>NC_000001.11:1291585-1997183 GCF_000001405.40 Homo sapiens | reverse complement strand
CCCAAAGTGCTGGGATTACAGGCGTGCGCCACCGCGCCCGGCCGCCTTTTATTTCTTTTACATCTGATTGTTCTGGCTGGGGACGTGATGAATACTGAGAAGTGGTTTTAGAGAGCGTCCCTGTTTTGTTCTCGGTCTTAAGGGAATGTTTTTAATGTTTAAGTGTGACGTTTGCTGTGGTAATTTTTGGTATATATATACTCTATCACATTACAGATGTTCATTTCTTCTTCTTCTTTTTTTTTTTCTTTTTTTTTTTTTTTGAGACAGAGTCTTGCTCTGTCACCCAGGCTGGAGTGCAGTGGCATGATCTTGGCTCACTGCAACCTCCACCTCCTGAGTTTAAGCGATTCTCCTGCCTCAGCCTCCTGAGTAGCTGGGATGACAGGTGCCTGCCACCACACCCAGCTAATTTTTGTATTTTTAGTAGAGACGGGGTTTCACCATGTTGGTCAGGCTGGTCTCAAACTCCGGACCTCAAGTGATCCACCCGCCTCGGCCTCCAAAAGTGCTGAGATCACAGACATGAGCGCCCGCACCCGGCCAGTATTTCAGGAGACCTTCTTTCTGTTACTGCCAGTCCACTTAGAAGCCCACATGAGATTACACACACTTAATCTGATTTTTTCTCTATTTTTTCGTATGTTTAAAGTAGCTCCCATAGTGAATAATCTGATCAATCAACGTGAAGTGCAGAATTGAAGCTGCTGAGTCTTCCTGGTGAATTGAACATGCGGTTAGAATGTGTCCCCACTGCCGTTCCTGCTTTTTGCCTAAGTTTTTTGTCTGTTTCTAGACAACTCCACTAACTTCCTGTTTATGCTTCCTGCCTTTCTTTCTGACGCAATGCTTCTTAAGCTTGTGTTTTAGACGTCTCTCTCTTAAACTGTAGAGAGTTTGGGCAGGCACAGTGGTTCACACCTGTAATCCCAGCACTTCGGAAGGCTGAGGCGGGCGGATTACCCGAGGTCTTGAGTTTGAAACCAGCCTGGCCAACATGATGAAACTCCGTCTCTATTAAAAATACAAAAATTAGCCAGGCGTGGTGGCCTGTGCCTGTAATCCCAGCTGCCCAGGAGGCTGGGGTACAAGAATTGCTTGACTCCGGGAGGCAGAGGTTGCAGTGAGCCGAGATCGTACCTCTGCACTCCAGCGTGGGCGACAGAGTGAGACTCTGCCTCAAAAAACAAAAACAAAAACAAAAAAAGTTAGTTTGATTTTTTTTGGTTGTTCTTGGGTTTGTTGTTGTTGTTGTTTTCATTTTGTTTGTTTGTTTGAGACGGAGTCTCGCTCTGTCGCCCAGGCTGGAGTGCAGTGGTGCAATCTCGGCTCACTGCAAGTTCCGCCTCCCGGGTTCATGCCATTCTCCTGCCTCAGCCTCCTGAGTAGCTGGGACTACAGGTGCCCGCCACCACACCCGGCTAAATTTTGTATTTTTAGTAGAGACGGGGTTTCACCGTGTTAGCCAGGATGGTCTCGATCTCCTGACCTCGTGATCCACCCACCTCTGCCTCCCAAAATGCTGGGATTACAGGCGTGAGCCACCGAGCCCGGCCTGTTCTTAGTTTTTAATGCAACTCGATAATATACTTCCCTTTAGCTTGCTTATTTAATCTATATTTTTACTTAGGTTTTAACCTGAAAGTTTCTTATTTTGTCCGTTCTTCAACTGTTTTTTTTTTTCTTTTTTTTGAGACTGAGTCTCATTCTGTCGCCCAGGCTGGAGTGCAGTGGTATGATCTCAGCTCACTGCAACCTCCGCCTCCCGGGTTCAAACGATTCTCCTGTCTCAGCCTCCTAAGTAGCTGGGATTACAGGGATGCGCCATCACGCCCGGCTAATTTTTGTATTTTTAGTAGAGACGGGGTTTCACTATGTTGGCCAGGCTGGTCTCAAACCTTAAGTGATCCGCCCACCTCGGCTTCCCAAAGTGCTGGGATTACAGGTGTGAGCCACCTCACCTGGTTTGTTCTTCAACATTTTTACGAGAATTAAAGTACAGTCCTATCCGGCATTTCTGATGATTTTCAGTGTGATGCCAGCACACTGGCTAGCCATGTCACCACAGTGGAACTTCCACTGCTTCTTCAGCACGCTTTCCTGGGTCTCTCAGTTCCCAATCCCACTGCTCCCACTGGAGGACCACCTGAAGCTGCCCAGTCCTGAACCTTTCACAGCTGTGTGGCGACGTCGGGTTTGTTCTCAGCTTCTCCTGCAGAGGGTCAGCCAGCGCCTCTGTCTGCAGGGACAGCTACCCTCATCCCTCCACCTCCCGCTTCTCTTTGCTCCTGTTTCTCCCAATGACCCTTGCCCTGGTAGATTCATGTACTGAAAACAATAAATCTACCCCCTGTTGTTAGTGAGGACTCAGGAGAGATCAGAGGTGGCTGCCTGTTGGAAGTGCCGTCTTTAACCGGATGCTCAGTGTATATGGTTTAGTGTGATCATCTTCAGAGGAACTGTGTGTGTGCAATGACACCTTTTAGAAGACTGACATCCACGGGGTGTCCAGCAAAATGACGTCGCGGAGGCCGCATGGAATTCACAAGCACAGAGCTGAATAGGTTTGGCCATTTTCTAAATAGTTTCTGAAAATCCTGCCATTCAAAGACTAGCAGCTTAATCAGTTCTTTCAAGTGGAAAAAATATTGTTGGAATTTTACAAGATGCCTTAAAATTCTGCCTCCCAGGACTTTAAAATGCAATTGTTTCTTTGTAAGTTTAAAAAATTACTGGCATTGATACATTAATAATTTATCCAAGAAACATTGCTAGGCACTGAAAATATTTTTAGTGAATTATTCTGAAGCGATTGCTAAGTTAAGCAATGAAACACAGTCCTCTACAATTTTACAGTTTTAGCATCTCATACATAATGTCAACATTTATGTACATTTCACCCGGAATTACTCATTATTTCAATGCAAAATGGTAGTGCTAATTCCCAATGTTAAATGTCTGTCTCTATACTAGGTACATTGACTTAAAGCTTTTTTTTTTTTTTTTTTTAACCCTTTTAGAGTCAGGGTCTTGCTCTGTCACCCAGGCTGGCCTGCAGTGGCACAATCACAGCTCACGGCAGCCTCGACCTCCTGGGCTCAAGTGATCCTCCCACCGCAGCCTCCTGAATAGGTGGGACTACAGGTGCCCACCACCACGCCTGGCTACATTTTTTTATTTTTATTTTATTTTTATTTTTTTTGAGACGGAGTCTTGCTCTGTCGCCCAGGCTGGAGTGCAGTGGTGTGATCTCGGCTCACTGCAAGCTCCGCCTCCCGGGTTCACGCCATTCTCCTGCCTCAGCCTCCCGAGTAGCTGGGACTATAGGCGCCCGCCACCACGCCCGGCTAATTTTTTGTATTTTTAGTAGAGGTGGGGTTTCATTGTGTTAGCCAGGATGGTCTCGATCTCCTGACCTCGTGATCCACCTGCCTCGGCCTCCCAAAGTGCTGGGATTGCAGGCGTGAGCCACTGTGCCCTGCTGATTTATAAGCATTTGACATCAGCTGTTTTGTATATTAATCATGGTACAAGCACAATGTGATTAATAGGCGTTAAAACCAATCACATATTTAAGGTCTAATAGAAAACAGCCACCGGCCGGGCACGGTGGCTCACGCCTCTAGTTCTAACACTTGGGAAGGCCAAGGCAGGTGGATCACTTGATCCCAAAAGTTTGAGACCAGCCTGGGCAACATGGCAAAACCCTGTCTCTACAGAAAATACAAAAATCAGTTGGGTGTGGTGGTGCGTGCCTGTAGTCCCAGCTCCTTTGGGAGGCTGAAGCAGGAGGATCAATTGAGCCCAGGAGTTGGAGGCTGCAGTGAGCTGTGATCGCACCACTGCACTCCAGCCTGGGTGACAGAGTCAAACCCTGTCTCAAAAAAATAAAAGAAAGTTAGCCATTAAATTTAATTCTCACCAGAAAAAAATAAGTAAAGAGTTTGTGATTTTAACATTGTTTCTTTTTTTTTTTTTTTTTTTTGAGACAGTCTTCCCCTGTCGCCCAGGCTAGAATGCAGTGGCGTGATCTCGGCTCACTGCAACCTCCGCCTCCTGGGCTCAAGCAATTCTCGGGCCTCAGCCTCCCAAGTAGCTGGGACTACAGGTGCCTGCCACCATACCTGGCTAGTTTTTGTATTTTTAGTAGAGATGGGGTTTCACCATGCTGGCCAGGCTGGTCTCAAATTCCTGACCTCAAGTGATCTGCCCACCTTGGCCTCCCAAAGTGCTGGGATTATAAGCGCGAGCCACTGTGCCCGGCCTGTTTCTTAAGTGAAATTATTTAGTTCCAACATCTGGACACAGAAGATTCGGTACCAAGAGTTCCACACGAGCAAGCTCCTAACATTCCCAAAATGATAAGCAAAGTGTAATGATAATTTTGAAATTATTTAAGAATTGTTTTTGGGCCAGGCGTGGTGGCTCACGCCTGTAATCCCAGCACTTTGGGAGGCCGAGACAGGTGGGTCACGAGGTCAGGAGATCGAGACCATCCTGGCTAACACAGTGAAACCCCATCTCTAATAAAAATACAAAAAAATTAGCTGGGCGTAGTGGTGGGCGCCTGTAGTCCCAGCTACTCGGGAGGCTGAGACAGGAGAGGGGCGTGAACCCAGGAGGCAGAGCTTGCAGTGAGCCAAGATCCCGCCACTGCACTCCAGCCTGGGAGACTGAGCGAGACTTCATCTCCAAAAAAAAAAAAATTGTTTTTGGTGCCAGATGTAGTGGCTCAAGCTTGTAATCCCAGCACTTTGGGAGGTTGAGGTGGGTGAATCCTGGCTGAGACCAGGAGTTCAAGACTAGCCTGGGCAACAAAGAGAGACCCACCATCTCAACCAATAATTTGAAAATTACCTGGGCATGGCGGCATGTGCGTGTAGTCTTAGCACTTGTGAAGCTGAGGCGGGAAGATTGCTTGAGCCCAGAAGTTTGAGGCTGTAGTAAACTGTGATTGTGTCACTGCACTCCAGCCTGGGCAACAGAGTGAGACCCTGTCACAAAAGAAAACAGAAATTGCCCAACAGTGTTCCAGAGTATCCCTTTACACTCCCACCAGCAACGCGTGACGATGCCAGCCCTTCCATAGCCTTGCCAGTGCTCACTGTTGGCAGCGTTTTGATCTCAGGCATTTTTTTTTTTTTGAGACGGAGTCTCGCTCTGTCACCCAGGCTGGAGTGCAGTGGCGCGATCTCGGCTCACTGCAAGCTCCGCCTCCTGGGTTCACACCATTCTCCTGCCTCAGCCTCCCGAGTAGCTGGGACCGCAGGCGCCTGCCACCATGCCCGGCTAATTTTTTCTGTTTTTTAGTAGAGATGGGGTTTCACTGTGCTAGCCAGGATAGTCTCGATCTCCTGACCTCGTGATCCGCCCACCTTGGCCTCCCAAAGTGCTGGGATTACAGGTGTGAGCCACCACGCCCAGCCAATCTCAGGCATTCTACTCAGTATATAATAGTATCTCATTATGGCTTGATTCATATTTCCTTAAAGATACTGATGTTACACAGTTTCACATGCATATTGGCCATTTGTATATCTCTTTTCTTATGGAATTCCAAATCTTTTGACATTTTTTTCTTGAGATGGAGTCTCGCTCTTGTCCCCAGGCTGGAGTGCAGTGGCACTATCTCGGCTCACTGCAACCTCTGCCTCCCGGGTTCAAGCAATTCTCCTGCCTCAGCCTCCTGAGTAGCTGGGATTATAGGCATGCGCCACCACACCCAGCTAATGTTGTATTTCATTATTTTAATTTGGTATTTGCTGGTGGGAGTGTAAAGTGATACTCGAGGATACTGTTGGGCAGTTTCTTTTTTCTTTTGTGACAGGGTCTCACTCTGTTGCCCAGGCTGGAGTGCAGTGGTGCCATCACAGCTCACTGTAGCCTCACCACGTTGGCCAGGCTGGTCTGGAACTCCTGACCTCAGGTGATCCACCTGCCTCGGCCTCCCAAAGTGCTGGGATTACAGGCATGAGCCACCGCGCCCGGCCTCTTTGACCTTTTAAACTGGAGTTTGGACTTCATGTGGTTGATAGGAGCTCTTCATGTGTTCCAGATGTAAGACTTGTGTCAGATATGTGTGTGCTGCAAATATTTTTTCCTAATCTGTCGTTTGTTTTCTTAATGCCTTCTTTAAGAGAAATGGTTAATTCACCGTCTTTTAAATCTATGATTTTATTGATCTATATTTTGCGATCATCTTTTGCAGCTAATTTCTATCTCCCAGCATGGAGGATGACGGCAGCCTGCTCCCTGAGGACGAGCTTTTGGCCGATGCCCTTCTTTTGGAAGATGGTAATAAAGCTTCTTTCACAGTAACGGAAGTTTCAGCAAAAAGACAAACAAATGACATGCTTCATAGTAGCCCTTTAATTCCCTTTATTTCTGGGAGAGGGTATCTTTTACACTCATATTTTTCTCTCAAAGAGGGAGCTTATATTATTGTCTTTATTTGAAAGAAAGATAAATTGTGGCTGAGATGTTGAAGGCGGCAGACCATAGTTTTCTAGTTTCCAACATCAGTATTGAGAAATCTGATGCCATTTTTATCCCAATCCTTTGAATGTGACCTATTTTTGTTTTCTTTTCCTGGAAGCTGTTTTTAAAAAATCTCTGATGATCTGAAATGTTACTGAGACGTGCCTTGATTTGGTTCTAGTTCTGGGCACAGGCAGGCCATCGCAATCTGGGAACGCATTTCCTTCCCACCCCCACCCCACTCCCCACCCCGTTTTGGGTTCTGTTGTGTGCTGAGTCAGCTCCTGGCGCTGTGTGGCCTTCTCCCCCCTGCCCCCCGCCACTGTCTCCCTCTCCCGCCCCCCTTGTGACTGTGGCTTTCTGCCTTTTCCATCATTTTTACTGAGATTTAATGAAGGGAAGAAAAACTGTGTTCCCTTTGCCGTGTTTTGCCGGAAGTCCGCTGTAATCTTCTGAGATAGTGACCTTCAGCCTCTTTTGTCTGAGAACCCCTTTACATTCTTAAAAATTATTGAAGACACAGAGAACATTTGTTTATGTTGCCTGTATCTTTCCATACTTACTGTATCAAAAATTAAAGCTGGAAACATTTTAATACGTAGCCACTTAAAATAGCAATAACGAACCTATTGGCAGTAACGTTAAGAGTTGGGTTTAATGGAAGACAGCTGGAGTCTTAGAGCTGTCTGTTGTGACGTCACCTGTCATGCAGCCTCTGGAAAACGCCACTGTCCTCTCATGGGAAGAGAGTGAGGAGACAAATGGCGTGCGAGTGTGATCATGAAGACAGTTTTCACCTCACAGGCCCTGAAGGACACTAAGGGACCCTCAGGGTTCCTCGGATTTTGCTTTGAGAACCATCAAGTTAGACTTGTCAAGATTTATCCTAACACTGGCCGGGTGTGGTACCACCAAGTTAGTGCGTGTCAAGATTTATCCTAACACGGGCCGGGTGTGGTGGCCCACGCCTGTCATCCCAGCACTTGGGGAGGCCGAGACGGGTGGCTCACTTGAGGTCAGGAGTCCAAGACCAGCCTGGTCATCATAGGGAAACCCTCTCTCTACTAAAAATATAAAAATTAGCTGGGCATGGTAGGACACATCTGTAGCCTCAGCTACTCGGGAGGCTGAGGTGGGAGGATCCCTTGAACCTGGGAGGCGAAGGTGGCAGAGAGCCAAGATCACGCCACCGCACTCCAGCCTGGGCAACAGAGACTCCACGTCAGGTTCATGACTACGCCGAACGTCATGTTGAGGTCCAAAGGGAGTGGGTGGATGAGCAGAAGGAACGCTCGGGGGCCGTAGGCAGGTGAAAAAGGATTTTATTCAGCAGCAGCTCTCCCCAACGGCTTTGTCTCACACCGTCCGCCCTGTCCTGGCTGGTTAGTCCGGCGGCTCCCACACACACAGCTGCGTGGCCGGCTCTCCCTTGACTTCAGGGTCAGCAGCTTAACTCTTTCTCTGGACACCAGCCAAGCGGTGCTGTGCCCTTGCTCCCCGCTGTCCGTCTGCAAAGACGGATGTCCCTGACTCTCTCTCTCTCTCTCAAGGCGCCAGCGCCCCAGTCCCACTGAGTCACCCAGGCTGTTTACCTCTGCCTGTGCTTGTGTGGCTGCAGTGCAGCAGGTTCCTTACACCCTGTCCCAAAAAAAGAAAAAGATTTATCCTAAAACTTCAGATGCAAATGTTTGATCTGCTTTTTTTTTTTTTTAAACTCTTGCCTTGATTTCTAGAAAGAGATGAATTAGAGGATCCGGAGTTTGACATCAAATGTCTTCTACAGGAAGCTGAGGATGACGTGGACCCGGGACACAGCAGGTAACTCGGAGGATCGGGGGTGGAGGTGGGTGTGGGGGGGTGGGGGTGGGGGTGGGGGTGGGGGGGTGGGTGAAGGGAGCGGGGCGGCTGCTTCCTCCCTCCCACAGGCTGTAGCTCCCGCAGCTCCCGCCCTGAAGCAGAACTGTCAGGCACCTACCCCGGCAGCCACACCGAGGAATGAGTTCTGAGCCTGCAGCTGGGGTGGTGGCAGCTGACGTCCTTTTCATCCTAAGCTCAGTGAAAGAACTAGATACTGATGCTGATAAATTGAAGAAGAAAACAGCTGAGGACAGAACGCAGGCATTTCACCTGCGGCAGAACCTGAGCGCCCTGGATAAGATGCATGAGGAGCAAGAGCTTTTCACTGAGAAGATGAGGTGAGCTGGGGCTGAGGCCGCTGCACCTGCACCTCTTGATGCCCCCCAGGCCGTGACATGGGTGCAGCAGGGGTGGTCCTGTACCTGTCGTCACCCTGAGGGCCTGCAAGGGAGGGTCGCACAGGGTCTCCATGGAGGAGCAGTTCTGCAAGCCCCACCCGGGAGCTAGTGCCCAGCGCTCCCAGCCCCCTTCCCACAGAAAAGGCGGAAACAAGTGGCCCCGCTGCCCCCAGCGCCACCCAGAGTTGCCACCTGTCAAGCTTTCGTTGTAGCTTCTTTCTGTGTTTGTGTGTGTTTGTATTTTATATCTATGGGATTTTGTGCTAAATTATGTTAAAGCAAATCACAGACATGATACGTCACTCCTAAATATTTCAGCGTCTCCTAAAAACTAAAAACATTCAGCGGAGAGTGGTGGCGCACGCCTGTGGTCCCAGTGACTTGGGAGGCTGAGGCCAGAGGATGGCTTGAGCCCAGGAGGTCAAGGCTGCAGCAAGCCTGGGTGACAGAGCAAGACCCTGTCTCTAAAAATAAAAAACTGAAAGACAAATGTTCTTCTGCATAACTTCTTGCCCATAACTCGGGCACCTAACTTGGGTACTTCACCCGGGGAAACTACGATTTCCCTCCTCGGCTCCGGCAGCGCCCGTGTGTTTTCCAAGTGACCGTCATGGCCGGGCGCGGTGGCTCACACCTGTAATCCCAGCACTTTGGGAGGCCAAGGTGGGTGGATCACGAGGTCAGGAGTTTGAGACCAGCCTGGCCAATATGGTGAAACCCCGTCTCTACTAAAAATACAAAAATTAGCTGTGCGTGGTGGTGGGCGCCTGTAGTCCCAGCCACTTGGGAGGCTGAGACAGCAGAATCGCTTGAACCTGGGGGGCGGAGGTTGCAGTGAGCCGAGATCGCGCCACTGCACTCCAGCCTGGGTGACAAGCGAGGCTCTGTCTCGGGAAAAAAAAAAGCGACCTCCAGAGTTCATGCTCTGGGCTTTGCTCCGTTGTTTGTACCTGAGGCCTGAGTCGCCCCCAGGAGCTACCATGTGAACTGGATTCTGTCCCGGCCCATGCCCCACTGGTGACCTGGGCCTGCCTGGCCCGCTCTCTGGAAGATGGTGGAGGAGCTCCAGCTCCTCCCCTCCCGTGGGCCCCAGACCTCCCACCACGTGCCCTTCACACGCAGGAGTGCGCTTGTTTATGCAGACCCAGGTTCCCTCCCGCTCCTGCACCGTCCTCGGCCCTGGGGAGCATGTCACCTTCGGGTGGGGGCCACACAGCTGCCCCTGGGCAGTTTTCCAAAAATGGACGACAAGACCCTGCTTGTGTGGCTTGAAGGTGTTAGAGAGACCCCTGGCCCGGGTGAGGGGGGCTCTGGGGGTCTGGCTCTGCCTCACCTGGCCCCATTGCCACGCCCACTGTCACTTTGGAGGCTGGAGTTTCAGGGAACCATCATCTGACCTTTGTTTCCCTGTTCCAGAGGGGAGCTGCGCGCCTGTCGGCAGAGGCGGGACCTGATCGACAAGCAGCAGGAGGCTGTGGCAGCCGAGATCGCCACAGAGGAAGAGGCGGGCAACATGTAGGTGGCCCTCGCCAGGGGGCAGGGAACCGGGCATGAGGTCAGGGCCGGAGGTTCACTGGTTCACCCAAAGTGAGGCGTGAAGCACCTGCTGTGTTCAGGCCAATGAGGAGCCCCAGTGTGAGGCCACAACACGAACATGCAGAAGCATGTGAGGTCGGCACTGCTGGGGCCTGGAGGGCACTGGGGCTGGATCTCTGGGAGGCAAGGCCGAGTGGGTCAGCAGTCAGGGGAAGGCCTCTTGGGCCACTCTTGCCTGGAGCAGCAGGGTGAGGCAGCTGAGGGCGAGGTGAGAGGTGAGAGGCCTGCATGCGTCCCACACTCCCAGGTGGGAGGGGCCTGGGGGACGCTGGAAACGCCAACACTCACCAACAGGCATTGCTCCGGGAGCCTGGATGGCTCCACGGCTGCAGCTCTGGCCTCGCCTCACCCTCTGGGGGCACCAGGTGCCTGCAGGGCCTGCCGAGTTCAGCCCAGCCCTGGAAGGCCCCAGCAGGGTGCCCGACCTGGAGGGGCTAGTGCAGCCATGGGGAGCAGAGGGCCAGCAGCCAGGGGCAAGGGAACCAGCAGGTCCTCCCGGCCCTGGGGGGTGAGGGGCTTCGGGCCACTGCAACCTCTGCCCCTCCAGGTTTAAGCAATTCTCTGCTGCAGCCTCCGGAGTAGCTGGGATTACAGGCATGTGCCACCACACCTGGCTAATTTTTTTTTGTATTTTTAGTAGAGACAGGGTTTCACCATCTTGGCCAGGCTGGTCTTGAACTCCTGACCTTGTGATCCACCCGCCTCGGCCTCCCAAATTGCTGGAATTACAGGCGTGAGCCACCGCACCCAGCCCTCTGCAGGGTTTTGACCTGCCTCATTCCTGGACTGTGGCACCCAGGATCTAGGGGTGACTGCCATACCCGGCCAGCTGCTCAAAGCCCACCACCCGTGTCCACATGGCCGGGACCTCTGGCCAGCATCACACTGTGCCGCTCTCGTGGGCAACCGCCCACCGCCCGGGAAGTGGTCTCTAGGAACGTGGCTGGGCTGGCACTGGATGTGTGCTGGGGTGGATGATGCCCAGGAGGGGAACAGGAGGGAGGGAGGGGACCCAGGGCGCCCTGACGCGAGGGCTTGGGGCTTGTCGCACGTGCTGGGTCCTTCCCGGGTCACAGGCCTGGATGGCTGCTGCCCCCAGGGGCTTCATGCAGGGGCCACTGAGGGTCCAGGGCAGGCTCCCCAAGCCCTCACTCCCCCTGGGGCTGTGCCATGTGGGCACTGCCTGCCCAGCGGAAAGGGGCATGTGGAGAGCCTCCCGCCAGCCCCACGCTCCATTGGCTAGGTGGCCCAGTGCCGAGATTTCCCTCCTGAGCGAGAGGAGGCCAGGGAGTGCCAGGTGAACCTGGATGGCCCCTGGATGACTGAGGCCTGACACACGCCCGGCCTGTCCGTTCACCACTGCAGGGCCGCTGTGGGCCGCCTCCAGGCCGTGTCCAGACGCCTGTTTGCAGAGCTGGAGAACGAGAGAGACCTGCAGTCGAGGACTGAGGCCGTGCTGAAGGAGAGCGAGTGAGTCGGTGTGCAGCCGGGACTGGCAGCAGGCAGGCCCCAGAACGGTGCGAGTCCTTCCCATCTGGGGGCAGAGAGCAAGATCTGGGGGGTTTTGCACCTGACCGGCAAACTGCGGGGAAGTGGAAAGGGGACTCGGTGAATGCAGTGGTTGGAAGGGTTAGTCTTCACGTTGCCTTTTTCAGTTTCTCTGGGTTTGTTTATGTTCCTAGGAACTCCAAAATCAGGTTCTTTTTCCTCTTTCCTCGTTTCTCATGCTTTGTGCTTCCACAGAACAGCGAGCTGGGTTTTCAAAGCCCAGGAGAGAGACAGCTGCCTCGTCCTAAATGCTTTCCTGTGGAGTTGGGTTGGATGCGTCGAGTTGCCTTCGGCGAGTTTGGCAAGAAGGGGTTTGGGAAGGTGCACGAATTTCTCAGGGCGACTGAGGGGACCCTGAGCTGACCTCAAGTAGGACTCCCGAACCACACAGCCCCCAGCCCCGGGAGCTGCAGCCAGGTCCATGACATCCACAGCACTGACCCTGCACGTGCCCGGGATGACCTAAGCTTTCCAGCCTGGGCAGGGCAGGAGGCACAGAGAGGGCTGAGTGCAGGCCTCAGGCCACCCCACCCCTAAGAGTGCCCATGCCGCCAGCCCTCATGCAACCTAACATCTCAGCCTCACTCCACTGAAGACACCACTGAGCTTTGACCCAGTCTCTGACCTGCACTCACTGTGATGTAGTCACGACCCAGTCTCTGACCCACACTTGCTGTGACGTAGTTTCTGGCCCAGTCTCTGACCCACGCTCGCTGTGATACAGTCACGACCCAAGCTGGTGTCCAGTGCCCTGCACTGTGGCCCCACCTGTGTGGGCAGTGGGAGGGGTGCAGGGGAGGACAGGACGCTGAACCCAGCTGTGGCTGAGCGTGGAGAACACTGTCCCCTGCGACACTCCTTTGACAACTGGCTCTGTCATGCCCCTCTCACTGCTCAGCAGCACCTGCGCCAGGGTGAGGGGCTTCACAGGGCTAATGAACCCCAGAAGGCCTCACTTTACTAGGTTGATGTGATTGTCCACTTCTTTAAAAAAAAAAAAAAAAAAAGTTTTTGGGCTGGGCCCAGTGGCTCATGCCTATAATCCCAACACTTTGGGAGGCCCAGGCTGGTGGATCACCTGAGGTCAGGAGTTCAAGACCAGCCCAGGCAACATAGCGAAACCCTGTCTCTACTAAAAATACAAAAATTAACTGGGCGTGGTGGTGCATGCCTGTAATCCCAGCTACTCGGGAGGCTGAGGCAGGAGAATCGCTGGAGCCCAGAGGTAGAGGTTGCAGTGAGCCAAGATTGCGCCACTGCCACACTCCAGCCTGGGCGACAGAGTGAGCAAGACTCTGTCTTTTAAAAAAAAAAAAAATGGCTGGGCGCGGTGGCTCACGCCTGTCATCCCAGCACTTTGGGAGGCCGAGGCGGGTGGATCACAAGGTCAGGAGATCGAGACCATCCTGGCTAACACGGTGAAACCCCCATCTCTACTAAAAATACAAAAAATTAGCCGGGCGTGCTGGCAGGCGCCTGTAGTCCCAGCTACTCGGAAGGCTGAGGCAGGAGAATGGCGTGAGCCCGGGAGGCGGAGCTTGCAGTGAGCCAAGATTGCGTCACTGCACTCCAGCCTGGGCGACAGAGCGAGACTCCGTCTCAAAAATAAATAAATAAATAAAGTTTTATTTTGAAACAATTCCGAACTTACAGAAGAGCTGCAGAATGGCAGCAAGACCCCCTGTGCCCCTCGGCCCCGCATCCCAGAGCCGTGCCTGAAGCCCATGTGGCGTTGTGTCGAGGGTGGCCCCTCGCCTCCCCCAGTCAGAAGGAGCCTCGGTTCTTCTGTGACAGGCGGACGTTGCGGTTCTGAGGATTGCAGGCCAGGGGCTGTCCCGCACAGCGCCCGTGCTCGATGCCCCTGGGGGTGATGACCAGTCCCTCGGGTGTCCTCTCATGGGACACGTGATGGCTGCCAGCCCCACTGTGGGGCCGCTGGCTTCTTCAGTGCAGCGACACCGTTCCCTTGGAAACTGATGCGTAGCTTGTGGGCAGAAGCTTTGAGGCTGGGAAATCCCGCTCCGTGTCCCCTTTCACACGAGCGCTGGCATCCCTCCGTGTTTCTTGCCAGAATTCATTCCTGCTGTGATGGCTTCTAAGGGGTGAGTTTCCAGTTGCACCATCCCTTCCTATTAGTTGGCTTTCCACCGTTAGGGGAGCGTTCCCCCTCCGTGATCGCTCTCCGTGTAGGCTGGGGGTGCTGTGTCCCTGCGGGTATGATCCGGCCCATCAGGATTGGTCTGGGTGCTCCAGCCGCCTTGCGTTTGGCGGTGGCATCCTTCCGCATCCTGCGTTCGTGTCTGCCGCTCTGTGGGCGTTTTCGGGCACAGTGAGAGGCTCAGGTTCCCTTCTTCTTCCCTGCCCTTGCCTGGACCCAGACCCTTAACCGTCAGTAGACAGAGGTGGGAAACGCACGCAGCTCTGCCTGCCTGTATTGAAAACCACCCGTTCACATCTGTAATTCCAATTGCAACCAAAGCCACAGGTCTATTTCACCCCCTTCTCTGATGGTGTGAACCCTGCCTCCCACCACCCTCATTTCGGGCAGGTAGTTGCCCCATCCCTACCCGCAGGCGGCCCCGAGCGCCCGGAGCCCACCTGCCGCCCTCCTCCTGTGGGCCCGGCTGCTGCCGGACTGCCCGTGGACTTTCCTTTAAGTCAGCTTTATCTGGGTCTAATTTGCATGCAGTACAAAGCATCTGGAACGTTCCCTGCATATCTTCAGTGGGTAGCCCCACCCCACCAGGCAACCTCTGGTCTGCTCTCCACCCAGTGTTAAATTTTCTAGGACTTCACTCCAGCAGATGTTTGCAGGGTGCTCCGATGGAGCTCCTGGGCACAGCCTGAGGCATGGGGCTCATGCATATGCGTGTCCCCGTGTCTGTCCCTGGCGGGGTGTCCTGCATGTCCCTGCGTGTGACCACAGCTGGGACTCCTGCATGTCCCCGCGTGTGACCACGGCTGGGTGTCCTGCGTGTCCCCGCGTGTGACCACGGCTGGGTGTCCTGCGTGTCCCCGCGTGTGACCACGGCTGGGTGTCCTGCGTGTCCCCGCGTGTGACCACGGCTGGGTGTCCTGCGTGTCCCCGCGTGTGACCACGGCTGGGTGTCCTGCGTGTCCCCGTGTCTGTCCGTGGCTGGGTGTCCTGTGTGTCCCCGTGTCTGTCCGTGGCTGGGTGTCCTGTGTGTCACCGTGTCTGTCCGTGGCTGGGTGTCCTGCGTGTCCCCGCATGTGACCACGGCTGGGTGTCCTGCGTGTCCCCGCATGTGACCACGGCTGGGTGTCCTGCGTGTCCCCGTGTCTGTCCACGGCTGGGTGTCCTGCGTGCCCCCCGTGTCTGTCCGCGGCTGTGTGTCCTGCGTGCCCCCGTGTCTGTCCGCGGCTGTGTGTCCTGCGTGCCCCCGTGTCTGTCCGCGGCTGTGTGTCCTGCGTGCCCCCGTGTCTGTCCGCGGCTGGGTGTCCTGCGTGCCCCCGTGTCTGTCCGCGGTTGGGTGTCCTGCGTGCCCCCGCGTGTGACCGCGGCTGGGTGTCCTGCGTGCCCCCGCGTGTGACCGCGGCTGGGTGTCCTGCGTGCCCCCGTGTCTGTCCGCGGCTGGGTGTCCTGCGTGCCCCCGTGTCTGTCCGCGGCTGGGTGTCCTGCGTGCCCCTGTGTCTGTCCGCGGCTGTGTGTCCTGCGTGCCCCCGTGTCTGTCCGCGGCTGTGTGTCCTGCGTGTCCCCGTGTCTGTCCACGGCTGGGTGTCCTGTGTGCCCCCCGTGTCTGTCCGCGGCTGTGTGTCCTGCGTGCCCCCATGTCTGTCCGTGGTTGGGTGTCCTGCGTGCCCCCGCGTGTGACCGCGGCTGGGTGTCCTGCGTGCCCCCGTGTCTGTCCGCGGCTGGGTGTCCTGCGTGCCCCCGTGTCTGTCCGCGGCTGGCTGTGCCAGCCCCCGAGGGTCCCCGGGTTCCAGGCGCTTTCCCGCTGGGTCCCGTTGGAGGCAGCGCCCCCTCCCTCTCGCAGTCAAGGTCTCCGTGGCCAATGTGGTGACTCCTTTTGTCGTCTCTGGGCACTGCGGGCACAGGGGCACTGGACGGCTGGGTGCAGCTTCAGCTTCCACTCAGTGGGATTGTTGCAGGGTCTCTGCAAGGCCTCCTCCCTCTGGAACGGGGGCTTCCAGCGGTAGAGCCCAACGGAGAGAGCACAGAAACGAAATAGCACGGGTGTGTGCGAGGGGCAGCTTGGAGAGCGTGGTCCCCGCTTCCAGCGTCGGTCCCGGGAGGCCTCCGTTGTGGCTCTGGGACAGGTGGCGGCCACGAGGCTGGCCGCTGCTTCGGGACCCAAACCGCGTTCTGGAAACAGCACCTGAACCTTCCCCAGCACGTGTCCCTGCTGCCACACCATGCGCGTCATCCGCAGCCACAGAACAGGCCGCCCCAGCCCTTAGCCGCCTAAGGCAGCAGGCGTGATGGTCTCGGTTTCTGAGGGTCTCGGTTTCTGAGGGTCGTGGTCTGGGCAGGGGGTTGGGCTTGGGGTGTTCAGGCCAGCCCGAGAGAGACCCCGTGGAGGGGCTTCAGGCATGAACAGCCGAGGGTCCTTGGAATCATCTTGGAGACGGGATGCTGCATGTGTCTCACCCGCAGCTCTCCCAGGACCAGCATCTCTGCACGCAAGGGGCCATGGGCTGGCAGAAGCGTCTGTGGACTCACGGGCATTTCCTGGCCAGCAGGTCCCAGGAACCCCCAAAGAAGGCCCTAGAGACGACCCTGCCCGCTCACACCACCTCCCGGTCCTCAGCGCCTGCGCAGGTCCCATCCCTGTGCCCGGGGGCTGCTGTGAGGCGCCCACTGCGATCTGTGCCGGTGGCTTAGATACAGTCTCTCGTTCACCCGTCCTCCCCACACGGTAAGAGGGCGCCCACTGCGATCTGTGCCGGTGGCTTAGATACAGTCTCTCGTTCACCCGTCCTCCCCACGCGGTAAGAGGGCGCCCACTGCGATCTGTGCCGGTGGCTTAGATACAGTCTCTCGTTCACCCGTCCTCCCCACGCGGTAAGAGGGCGCCCACTGCGATCTGTGCCGGTGGCTTAGATACAGTCTCTCGTTCACCCGTCCTCCCCACGCGGTAAGAGGGCGCCCACTGCGATCTGTGCCGGTGGCTTAGATACAGTCTCTCGTTCACCCGTCCTCCCCACGCGGTAAGAGGGCGCCCACTGCGATCTGTGCCGGTGGCTTAGATACACTCTCGTTCACCCGTCCTCCCCACGCGGTAAGAGGGTGCCCACTGCGTGCCAGACGCCGTCCGAAGCCTTTGGGCCTCTCCCATGAATGAAGCAGCAGAGCCCTGCCTGGTGGAGGCTGCTTCGGTGGTGGGAGGCAGGCCGTGAGCGATCACACGCGTGTTCTGCGCAGCCTCGTCACGTGACACCTTCCCATGCCCAGCTCAGCACGACACGTGTGTTCTGCGCAGCTTCGTCATGTGACGCCTTCCCACACCCAGGTCAGTACCACACGCGTGTTCTGCGCAGCTTCGTCATGTGACGCCTTCCCACACCCAGGTCAGTACCACACGCGTGTTCTGCACAGCCTCGTCACGTGACGCCTTCCCACACCCAGCTCAGCATGACATGCGTGTTCTGCGCAGCCTCGTCACGCGACACCTTCCCACGCCCAGCTCAGCACGACACACGTGTTCTGCGCAGCCTCGTCACGTGATGCCTTCCCACACCCAGCTCAGTACCACACGCATGTTCTGCGCAGCCTCGTCACGTGACACCTTCCCACGCCCAGCTCAGTACCACACGCGTGTTCTGCGCAGCTTCGTCACGTGACGCCTTCCCACGCCCAGCTCAGTACCACACGCGTGTTCTGTGCAGCTTCATCACGTGACGCCTTCCCACGCCCAGCTCAGTACCACACGCGTGTTCTGCACAGCCTTGTCACGTGACGCCTTCCCACGCCCAGCTCAGTACCACACGCATGTTCTGTGCAGCCTTGTCACATGATGCCTTCCCACGCCCAGCTCAGCACGACACACGTGTTCTGTGCAGCCTCGTCACATGACGCCTTCCCACGCCCAGCTCAGCACGACACACGTGTTCTGTGCAGCCTCGTCACATGACGCCTTCCCACGCCCAGCTCAGCACGACACACGTGTTCTGTGCAGCCTTGTCACATGATGCCTTCCCACGCCCAGCTCAGTACCACACACATGTTCTGTGCAGCCTTGTCACGTGACACCTTCCCACGCCCAGCTCAGTACCACACGCATGTTCTGTGCAGCCTCGTCACATGACGCCTTCCCACGCCCAGCTCAGCACGACACACGTGTTCTGTGCAGCCTCGTCACGTGACGCCTTCCCACGCCCAGCTCAGCACGACACACGTGTTCTGTGCAGCCTCGTCACATGATGCCTTCCCACGCCCAGCTCAGCACGAAGAAGAGGCTTTGTGTGCACCCCGCTTGGCCACATGGGACCCACGGCAGGGCGCTGGTGCTGTGTCCCGGCCTGCTCTGAGGCTTCCCTGACTGCACCCGTATCCCATCGCTGCAGTGACAAATCCACAAACCTAACAGCTCAGCAGGACGCGGATTTATGAGCTTGCAGTTCTAGAGGTCATTGGCCCAACACGGGTCCCACTGGGCTAAAGTCAAGGTGTGGGCAGGGCTGGTTCCCCACGGAAGCCTCCGAGGAGAATCCATGTCCTCGCCTTTTCCAGCTCCAAAGCTGCCTGCGTTCCTCCTCCATCTTCAAAACCAGCCAGGTCCCATCTGTCCAGCCTCCAACCTTCATCATCACCTCTGCGACTGACCACACTGGCTCTTCAGATAAACTGGACTTGAGTGGGGT
Source organism: Homo sapiens (assembly GCF_000001405.40). Taxonomy (NCBI): domain Eukaryota; kingdom Metazoa; phylum Chordata; class Mammalia; order Primates; family Hominidae; genus Homo; species Homo sapiens. The sequence continues at coordinate 1,978,485 of NC_000001.11, read as the reverse complement.
CCCCATCTACTTCAGCCCTAGGGACCCCAAAATCAATTAACCACCGCCCCAAACCCCTTCCACCCATCCCCGCTGAGACACGCTGCCCTGCTGCCCACCGAGGAACCAGCCCGGCTCCCTCCCAGGCCTAGCAGCACCCCAGGGCTCCACCACCCCTCCCAGGTCCAGCATCGCCCCAAGGCAACAGGGAGCCCCTCAAAGGCAACATCCCTGCCAGGCCCCCGCGCAGTCCGGAGTGCCCCTCGGTGCTTTCAAAGGGCACAGGACTCTCCTCACTGGAGCCATAATGAAGAACATGTCTTCTATATGTGGTCACACTCACTGTCACACTCACCAACAGCTGGATGCAGTGGCTCACGCCTGTAATCCCAACACTTTGGGAGGCCAAGGTGGGCAGATCGCTTGAGCCCCGGAGTTTGAGATCAGCCTGGGAACATGGTGAAACCCCATCTGTACAAAAAATACCAAACTTAGCTGGGTGTGGTGGCGTGCACCTGTAATCCCAGCTACTCAAGATTACAGGCTGAGGTGGGAGGATTGATTAAGCAAGCCCAGGAGGTCAAGGATGCAGTGAGCTGAGACTGCGCCACTGCACTCCAGCCTGGGCCACAGAGCGAGACACCATCTCAACAACAGCAACAACAAACTTTCCAACGGGTTGTCTCTCCAAACATTTGGATTCCTTCTGCATGACTTTCTGGCATCTAGCTTTCTGCAGTGTAGGTCTCTCTTGGGTCCAGGTTTCCTCGATCAGCTGAGTTTGTGATGGGAGCCGCCTGCAGTGGGTGGGTGAGCTGGTGGCATGTCCACATCAGATGCCCAGGCCAGCCTCGGACAGGCTCTTCCCTCTGCGGTCTGGCAGGGTTGGAATTCATTCCCACACACCTTCCCCCACGTCCTGCTGTGTAGATTGGCTACATTCTTCTCCTCTGGGATCCTTCTCCTCTCAGTTCAGTTCAGACTTTGTTCTTGCCCCTGGGAGCATCTGGGCCAGAGAGGATGGCAAGGGGGTCATGAGGAGCTCTGGCAGCCCCTCAGGGAGGTGTTACGGGGCCCCCAGGCAGCAGAGCCTGCCTTCGAGGGAGGGGAAGGCTGCTTCCCTGTGGACGGATATGCAGAGGGGCTTGGCGGTTTGGGGCACTCGCTCAGATGTGTGCAGATACCCTCAAATGTCCTCCCTCCCATTCTCAAAATCCCAATCTTTCCCAATCAGCCTCTGCTGTGGTCTGAAGGCCAGTGCCCCTGAAATTGGTCTGCTGGAACTCAACGCTATTGTTCGTCAGTCTTTGTGTCACTATAAAGAAATGCCTGACACTGGGTCATATAAAGAAAAGAGGTGGCTGGGCGAGGTGGCTCACATCTGTAATCCCAGCACCTTGGGAAGCCAAGGTGGGTGGATCATGAGGTCAGGAGATTGAGACCATCCTGGCTAACACGGTGAAACCCCGTCTCTACTAAAAAAAATACAAAAAATTAGCCGGGCATGGTGGCAGGCACCTGTAGTCCCAGCTACTCAGGAAGCTGAGGCAGGAGAATGGCGTGAACTCGGGAGGCGGAGCTTGCAGTGAGCTGAGACCGCACCACTGTACTCCAGCCTGGGCAACAGAGCGAGACTGTCTCAAAAAAAAAAGAAAAGAGGTTTGGGCCAGACACAGTGACTCACACCTGTAATCCCAGCACTTTGGGAGGCCAAGGTGGGCAGATCACCTGAGGTCAGGAGTTTGAGACCAGCCCGGCCAACATGGTGAAACCCCGTCTCTACTAAAAATACAAAAACTAGCTGGGCGTGGTGGTGCATGCCTGTAATCCCAGCTATTCAAGAGGCTGAGGCGGGAGAATTGCTTGAACCCGGGAGGTGGAGTTTGCAGTGAGCTGAAATCATGCCGCTGCACTCCAGACTGGCGGAGAGAGCAAGACTCATTTTAAAAGAAATAAAAATAAGAAGAAAAGAGGTTTGATTGGTCAGGGTTCTGCAGGCTGTACAGGGAACGTGATGGCATCTGCTTCTCGGGGCGCCTCGGGAAGCCTCTGGAAGCCTCCAATCACAGTGGAAGGGGAAGGAGCCGTGTCTCCCATGGTGAGAGGGGAAGCAAGAGGGTGGAGGTGCCACACATTTTCAAAGATCCAGATCTTCCGTGAACTCACTCGTCACCAAGGAGACGGCCCACCCGTTCATGAGGGAGCCGCCCCACGACCCCAACACCTCCCACCAGGCCCACCTCCAACACTGGGGGCTCCGGTTCAACACGAGACCTGCGGGGGACACGCGTCCAAACCAAATCCGCCCTGGAGGTGACGGCAGGAAGAGGTGGGGTCTCTGGGAGATTCGGCCATGGGGGCCCTGCCCTCGTGGGGGCGATTAGTGCCTCGTAAAAGGGCTTGAGGGAGCCTTTCTGTCCCTCTGCCACGTGAGGACACAGACAGGCACTGCCTTTGAGGAACAGGCTTTCATAGGCCATCGAAGCTGCTGGCACCTTGACCTTGGACTTCCCGGCCTCCAGAACTGAGGAATGAAATTCTGTTGTTTGCGAAGACCCGGTCGTGGGTGTTTTCCTACAGCAGCAGGAATGGGCGACGACAGCATCTGGGACAGCGTCTTGCCTCTTTACTAAGAGACCCTGCAGGCTGTTAGCTCCCACGGCCACTGGAGCACTGATCACCGGGCAGGGGAAGTGACAGCCAGCAGAACAATGACTGAGCGTTTTCCAGAATTGATGGGAGCATGAATCCTCAGATTAAAGAATTTCATGAGTCACGCGAGGGAGGAATAGAAATAACCCGCCCGTGGAAGCTCCGCGGAGTCCCCCAGACTTGGGGAGCAATGAACGTGCTGCATGACAGGACACCAGCCAGAGATCCGAAGTGACCCATGCTCCCTGGAAAGGAGCCCTCTGTTTAAAATTACCCCAACAAAGAACATGGTATGCCCAGTTTCTAAAATGCAGTGACACAACCTCGATGCCAAAACCAAGTGGGCGTACGAGAGAGGGAAAGTAGAACCCGATCTCAGGAGGCAAATCAGAAAACCCCAAATCAAACATTCAACATTGAAATCCAGCCACGTGTGAGACACGCAGACACACCTCCCTTGCCAAGTTGGAGTTTATATCCTAGGAGCCCCGAAAAAGGCTCAACGTTAGAAATCCTTGACATTAACACGTTAAAAGAGAAAACCATTGAGTATCTCAATTCAACATATGTTCATGATTTTTTCAAAAAGATGTAAAGCAGACTTTATTCACGGAGGGCCAAGGCGGTGGGACCCCTGCCCCGGGTGTTGCAGTGGGGAGAGAGACTGGACTCGGCTCCACAGGAAAAGCTTTTAACGAAAGACGAAGTGGAAATGAACATGATCGCGGGTGTCTAGGACAGAGCTGTGGCACACGTCACGTGGAATGTCAGCAATGCAGTGAGGATGCCGGCTCAACGCCTGCGTCTGACCTTGTCCAGGGTTCTGATCCTCGCGTGGCCAGCCCCGGCCTGAGCCGCATCTCTGGGTGGAACCGTTCGCAGTCTCCAGGAGCGGCTCCTTGCATCCCTCCACCAGGTGTCTCTTTCCAGGCCGCCTCTCCAGCGGCTCTCACCTGGCCGCTGTTAGAAGGACACTGTCCACATCCTCAGAAGGAACTTTCCCAGCCTGAGCCTCCACAGCACACGCACTCCTCCAACTAAAGATTCACCGGAAATTTCCCTGAGTTGTGCCAAGAACCAAGGGGCACTGTGTCATCTGGGGCCACCACAGACGCCACACTCACAGTCGAGGACAAATTCGCCCAAGACCAGGGGTCAGGCAGGTCCCCTGTCATCCAGGACATGTGGCCCCGGGCAGGGCTGGCTGACTCCACGCTCCATAGCCCCCACCCCAGGCACATTTGAAGACTGAGGGGTGGTCTTGGGTGCCGGTCAATTTGCACCAGGGATCCTCCAGCCCAGCCAAAGAGTCACGGCTGTCCCTTCCTGAAGGCCTTCCTCAGGCTGGGCAGGGCCTGCCCCAGGCCCACCGCAGCCAACGGACACAGCCTCAGGCCGGCAGGTGGCACGCGGGAGTGCAGGCCAGGCTCTAGCCGGGCTGGATTGAACCCATAGTGATTTTCCTGAGGTTGGAGGCAGGCAGGGCGGGCCTCAGTGTCTGGGTGACTCAGAGCGGAGATGGCCCCTAGAGGAGGGAGCTAACCCATCTGGGGTGTTCAACATCTGCCTGGAGGATTTGTCAGAACTCAATGCCGAAACCCCCACCCCAGGATGACTGTGGGGCCCGTCTCCAGCTGCTTTGCCTCTTGTTTGAAGGAACACCATGTGGCACATCGAGATCCAGGAGGGGCGACTCGAGGCCTTCCGGACAGCTGACCGTGAGGAGGTGGAGGCCACGGGGCGGCGGCTCCAGGTGCGCGCAGCCGAGCAGCTCTGCAGAGAGCAGGAGGCCCTGGGGAAGGTGGAGCGGAACCGACTGCTGAGGATCAGGTAGGCGACACCCAGGCCCACCTCCATCCCTTCCCAGCAGCTTCTGCCAGCCCCTCCGCCCTCTCCCCCAGGGGTCTCCAGATTCAGCCTCGCCCTCCACATCTGTCCAGATCCACCTCCACCCCTCCCTGCCTCCTCCCAGCTTGCTCCTCCACCGGGCCCTTGAGTCCTTCCCAAGTGTCAGGCACTCCCCTGCACCTGCCCAGAGCCCCAGCCCTCCCAAGATGCCGCAGCCACCATACAGCCGCTAAAGCTGGCTACTAAAGCCACGCTCCAGCAAGACTGCCCCTCCCCTTTCCCTCCGGCAGCCCCTTCCTCTTCCCAGCCAGGCCATTCTCTGGGCTCCATCCCCACCTCTGGCTGCTCCTTTGCACCCCTCCCACGGCCCCCACCTGCGTGGCTGTGGAGCACTCAGGCCCATTCCCCACACGTCTTCTGTCATGAGTCTCCTGCTCAGCCAGGGCCCGGCCACCTACTAGGCCAGTCCCCAAGTGCTCCACAGGCCATCAGGCCAGCTGTCCCAACCTGCCGTGAGCCTCTCTCCTCGGGACCCCCTTCTGGCCTCCATCCCCTCCCCCATCTCATTCCTTCCCTTCAGCTGCCCAGGCCACAAACCCCTGTGGAATCCAGGCCCTGGCTGCAGACACAAGGTCCCCAGCCCCTGCCTCCTCCCTCCCCACAGCACTGCTGTGCCTGCACCGTCCTCTTCCCAGACCCCTGCCCAGCTGGGATCAAACCTTGCCTTTGGTGGCTCCCTGGCACTGGAGCCCCAGTAGCGTGGAGAGTTTGACATCTGTGTGGCCCACGGCATCAGCTCTCCAGGGACCCTCGCTCCTCCCCAAGGGAGGCTGTGCGGGACAGAGCTGAGCGAAAGGGCCCACGGCGTCTCTGGGACACGAGCTCCAGCCGTGCAGGGCTTGGGGGCAGATGGGACGTGTGATGCCGAGTTTCCCTCTGACGGCCCCATATCCCCACAGGAAGTCCCTGAACACCCAGAAGGAGCTCGGGCTCAGGCACCAGAAGCTGCTGGAGGACGCCCGGAAGAACCACAAGGTTGCCGTGCGGTTCCTGAAGGCCTCCCTGGGAAGGTAGGGCCTCCCTTCGACGTCCTTAAGGAGAAACCCAAGAATACGGGTCACTTGCTTTTGTCTTGAAATGCCCTGATTTTATTATTTATTTATTTAAGATGGAGCCTTGCTCTGTCGCCCAGGCTGGGGTGCCGTGGCGCGATCTCGGCTCACTGCTCCGCCTCCCGGGTTCAAGCGATTCTCCTGCCTGAGCCTCCTGAGTAGCTGGGATTACAGGCACGCGCCACCATGCCCGGCTAATTTTTGTATTTTTAGTAGAGATGGGGTTTCACCATGTTGACCAGGCTGGTCTTGAACTCCTGACCTCAGGTGATCTGCCCGCCTCAGCCTCCCAAAGTGCCGGGATTACAGGCGTGAGCCACTGCACCCAGCCTCCTGATTTTATTATTGAATCACCACCTTATCATCAAAAACCAATAAGTGTGTATTTTTAGTGCTGAGGTACTGTTTCTTTTCAGAAGAGGCCCTTGAGATGCGCTGGGCGTGTTCCCGCCATGTCCTCGTGGCCTGGCCCTCCAGGGCATGTTCCCACCATGTCGTCATGGCCCGGCCTCTGCGCCAGCACCTTTTGCCCATCCCACCTCTTGTGTTCTCACCATTAATCACATTCCTGGTGGAAATGATAGCACCGAGGCTCCTGTAATTAACACCCCACACGGCATCGCTGTGTCACTTCCTCGGTTAAAAATGTGGCCGTTTGTGGTGGTGCATGCCTGTGATCCCAGCGCTTTGGGAGGCTGAGACAGGAGGATCACTTGAGCCTGGGAGGTCGAGGCTGCAGAGAGCTGTGATCGCACCACTGCACACCAGCCTGGGCGACAGAGCCTCAAAAATGTTTAAATGTCCTTCCTCAGAATCCGAGAGCAAGAGAAGAAGGAGGAGATGGAGTGCCACGAGTACATGAGGCGACGCATGGATGCGGTGGTGGCGCTGAAGGGCAGCATCTCCGCGAACCGGGTAGGCCCCCGCAGCCCCACCCAGCCTCTCCCTTGGCGCCCTGCCGGGGTCCGTCCCTGGGCCCCTGCTCCTTGGGAGCCAGGCCCGTGTCCTCTGGCGTCCAGGGCTGACCCGCGCACTTGGTGACCCCTGGAGGCTTCCCGAGCCTGTGCCACAGATTTGCCCACGGGTTCCGTGTGGGTCAGGGCCAGGCACTGGAGTCAGGCAGGAGCAGGCACCCCAGCCCTGCTCCCATGGGGCCTGGTCTTGTTGGGGAAGCAGTGGCGTCCTCATGAGACACATGGAGGGCCTGGGTGCCTCGAGGCCATGCCCTGGGGCCAAGGCTGGGGATTCAGGCTGGGAAAATGGAGGGAAGAGTGGGAACAGCATCTGCAAAGGCTCAGAGGTGAGGAGCAGAGGCGGGCAGGTGACGTGCAGGGACACCCAGCCCCACGCTTGGGATGTGCGGACAGTTTGCCAGTGGTCTCTCACAGGATCTGCAGGCGTCAACATTGGTTTAAGGACATCTGTTCAACGGCCCAGTGTGTGAGCATGTGTGTGTGCACGTTTGCATGTGTGTGTGCATGTGTGCATGTGTGACCGTGTGTGCACGTGTGTGCATGTGTGACCGTGTGTGTGCAGGTGTGCATGTGTGTGCACGTGTGTGCAGGTGTGCAAGTGTCTGCAGGTGTGCATGTGTGAGCGTGTATGTGCACGTGTGTGCAGGTTTGCATGTGTGTGCATGCGTGAGTGTGTGCATGTGTGTGCAGGCGTGCACGCGTATGTGTGCAGGTGTGCATGTAAGCACGTCTGTGCACGTGTGTGCAGGTGTGCATGTGTGTCCAGGTGTGCATGTGCGAGCATGTGTGTGCACGTGTGAGCATGTGTGTGCACACGTGTGCAGGTGTGCATGTATGAGTGTGTGCAGGTGTGCGTGTGTGAGCATGTGTGTGCACGTGTGTGCAGGTGTGCATGTGTGATGTGTGCATGTGCAGGTGTGCGTGTGTGTGTGCACGTGTGTGCAGGTGTGCATGTGTGATGTGTGCATGTGCAGGTGTGCATGTGTGTGTGCACGTGTGTGCACGTGTGCATGTATGAACCTGTGTGTGCACATGTGCAGGTGTGAGCGTGTGCATGTGCCCGTGGGTGCTGCTGCTGTCATCTCAGTGCTCTCTGTTTCCAAGGACACACTGCGGAAGTTCCAAGCATGGGACCGTGCCAAGGCAGAGCTGGCGGAGCAGAGGGTCCAGGCTGAGAAGAAGGCGATTCTGGCCCAGGGCAGGGATGCATTCAGGCACCTTGTCCACCAGCGCCGGCGCCAGGAGCTGGAGGCCCAGAAGAGGTGAGGGTGGTGGCAGAGGTGCCACCGGGAGGCACCCGCCCAGTCAGTGGGTGCAGGGAGAGCCAAGGGGGTTCGGCTTCACATTGAGCAAAGCTGCTCTCTCTCCCAGGGCGCCCACTCAGGCGGCTGTGGGGCACGGGAACAGGGGCTCCAGGCTGCTACCCTTGCCCTGCCTGGGCCTGACTCAGCCTGCCCAGCCCTGCCCCTACTCCAGTCCACGCCCAACCCTCGGCCCCTTCTCCCCTCCCAGACGCTGAAACCCCGGCCCCTGTCGAGAGCCTCCGGCTCCTGTCCTGACTTCTCACAAGGAGGGACTGGCGGGCTCTTTCCTGGCCCACCCAGAAGTCTCCAGGGAGCACCAGGCCCCTCCAGGGAACCTGGTGCTGCTGGGCCTGCCCTTGCTCACTCCCTGTCCAGGGCCGTCCACCTGGCTTCCTGCTGCCACGGCCTTGGGGCCCTCCTGGCCCCTCAGACCACCTCCTGCCAGCTTGGGTCCGTGGTGAACACGTTGCTTCTGGCTTCACTCTCTGTTCTTCTCCAAACGGGGGCCCATGTTGCCCTCTCGGACCCCCCACCCACGGGCCCCACTGGGCTTCCTGAGATCCAGACCTCGGGGCCAGGTTCCTACAAGGCCCCTCTCTCCCGCTCAGTCTCGCCTTTCCCAGCCCTGCCCGTAACGCTCCCCAGTGACCTCCACGCAAACCACCCTGTCCTGGGTTTTGCCCGAAGCTGCCCTCATCCCGGGAGCCTGGCCCTTTCTCCCCATCCCAGTCTCCCTGTCCACGGCCCTGGCCAATCACTGCTTAGGATCTGCCTGGGCGGGGGCTCCTGGCCCTCTCACTGGGCAAGGCATCCTCCTCTGGGTGCCACAGAGCCCTGAGTGCGTCCTCCCCACCCCCCTGAGTCACGATCAGAGTTCTCCACCACCCATCAGCCTGCCCACCTGGGCGGGGGGGTCCTGGCAGCAGCTCCACCGCCTATACATCCCTTAGCCTGGCGCAGGCCTGGCATGTAGGAGGCACCCGGGAAGTGCAGCTGCAGTGAGTGGATGAACATCTTTAGCCCTGGTGCTACTCTCAGTGGCAGCCCCACGCCAGCCTAGAAATAAGGGCTTGGAAGAAGCCCTCCGGGCAGCCAAGGCTGCTGGGGGACTGGGCTGCGAAGTGGGCAGGGCTGGGCCGGGCAGGGCTGGGCTGGGCAGGGCTGGGCAGGACTGGACTTGGAAGGGATGGGCTGGGCTGGGCAGGGCAGGGCTAAGCTGGGCAAGGCTGGGCTTGGCAGGGCTGGACTGGGAAGGTCTGGGCTGGGCTGGGCAGGGCAGGGCTGGGCAAGGCAGGGCTGGGCAGTGCAGGGCTGGGCTGGGAAGGCCTGGGCTGGGCAGGGCAGGGCAGGGCTGGGTTGGGCAGGGCTGGGCAGGGCTGGGTTGGGCAGGGCAGGGCTGGGCAGGGCTAGGCTGGGCTGGGCAGGGCTGGGCAGGGCTGGGCAGGACTGAGCAGGACTGGGCTTGGCAGGGATGGACTGGGCAGGGCAGGGCTGGGGTTTAAGCCTGGAACCTCTGGCTTGGCCTCTGCCCATCTGCTTCCCACTGGAGCTTGCGTTTAGCTCCAGGACCAGGAAGTTCCCACCCCAAGAGCCCTGCTGGGTAGGATGGAGTCCCCAGGAGGGAGCTAGGGAGGGGCCGCCAGGCGCTGTCTCACCTGGGGCTGCTGGGCAGGACCGGAGCCCCCAGGAGGGCGCTAGGGAGGGGCCGCCGGGCACTGTCTCATCTGGGGCAAGGTGGAGGCAGGGGACCTCTTGCACTCATCTGAGAAGCGACTCCACGCAGGGCCTTTGAGGAGGAGCAGAAGCTCAGAAAGCAGGAGATCATCAGTCGGATTCTGAAAGAGGAGGCTGAGGAGGAAAAGAGGAAGAAACAGCATCCCCCCACCAGTGCCAGGCACCGGCTGACCCTGAGGGACAAGACCTGGAACTACATTTCTGACTTTTGCAAGAAGACCACAGTCCCAACCAACACGTACACACTGGTGAGCAAAACGCCTTCCTGTAGACAGAAGCCGCACACCTGTGGAGGGCAGGTGGGGCCTCAGGGCTCAGGTGTGGTGAGACATCCTCTGAGGACCTCAGCACCATGGCCACCTGCAGGGGGTTGCTGAGCCCGCTGAGTGGCCGCCACTCAGCTCAAGGACAAGGGGACAAGACACACTACGGACCCACCACATGAGAGAGGCCCATGGCCGCAGCATCCCCAGCAAGGGTCCAGTGTCCTCCTGGTCTCGGTGTGCCCACCAGACCCTGCGTCACCCCCAGCAGTGTTGCTGCCCACCAGGCTGGGACCACCTTGCCTGGCCCTGTAGAGCTGGGTCAGCCGCCTGCCAGGGAGATGTGCACAGCCGTTCAGACCACATGCCTGGGATCACCCTGCTACAAAGCACTCCTGATAGCACCTAGAGGACAGCTTTCCTATCACTCATTCATTCACTCACTCATCCTTTATTCGTTCACTCACTCATTCTTTCTTCATTCATTCACTCACTCATTCTTCATTCATTCACTCATTCATTCACTCATTCACTCTTTACTCATTCACTCATTCATTCACTCACTCACTGATACACTTATTCATTCACTCATTCACTCATTCATTCACTCATTCGCTCACTCATTCACTCATTCATTCTTTACTCATTCACTCATTCACTCACTCACTGATTCACTCATTCATTCATTCACTCACACATTCACTTATTCACTCACTTACTCATTCACTCACTCACTCACATCCAGGGCCTGCTTGGTGTCCACTGCTGCTGCAGGCAACTGGCTTCAGTTGGGGGAATGTATTTCTAGTTTACCTTTCCCTAAAGGTGTGGGGTAGGGACGATGGTCCTCTCCTGAGTCTGGCACAGTGCTGCAGTCTCTGCCCTTGTGTACCCCAAAACCTGAAGGTCAAGGTCACTGCTGCAACCGATGCCCTGCTGGGAAAGAGAAAGCCTTGGGCTGCCTCAGCTTTGGCCTCCACAGGGTCTCTGCGGTGCCCTTCAGGGCACCAGAGAAGGTCCTTTCCTGCTACCCAGGCTCCCAGTGCCTGGGCTGAGCCTTTGCCCCATCCACCCCTCACTGCCCGTCTCACGCCGGGGCCTTTGCACCCGCCGATCCCTCCGCCAGGAGCACCCTGCTGCGCCTCCTTGCTCCAGAGAAGCCTCCCCTGCCCCCACCCCCACCCGTGAGCTGCTCCCTGCGATTTTCTGTGGCACCACCTGTGGCACTATACAGGTCACAGTAACAGCAATGCGCTGGCCCCGTCCAGACTTCCTGTCTGTCGCTCCATAGGACGGTCCCCAGGAAGAAGAACCCTGTCTACCCGGCCCAGTTCCCCCTTCTCCAGCAGGCCTGGGACAGAGCCAGAGCAGATAGGCAAGGCTCCGTCCCCAAACTCATTCTGAGGAAACCACCACAGCCATCCTCCTGGGGTCAGCCTGGGGCTTTTCCCGGGCATGGCTTATATCCACAGAAATGAGAACTGCGCCAGGCGCGGTGGCTCACACCTGTAATCCCAGTACTTTGGGAGGCTAGGGTGAGTGGATCATGAGATCAAGAGTTCGAGACCAGCCTGGCCAACATAGTGAAACCCCATCTCTACTAAAAATACAAAAAATTAGCTGGGTGTGGTGGCGGGCGCCTGCAATCCCAGCTACTCGGGAGGCTGAGGCAGGAGAATCATGTGAACCCGGGAGATAGAAGTTGCAGTGAGCTGAGATCGCGCTGCTACACTCTAGCCCAGGTGACAGTGCAAGACTGCGTCTCAAAAAAAAAAAAAAAAATGAGAACAGATGAGTGCCTGAGGATCGGCGCCAAGGATGCCAGTCCGTGAATTAGAACATTTTCCTATCAAAGGAAATATTTTGCAGACTCTTCTGAGCATTGTAGAAAAATATTTAATAATGTATTAAAATACTTATATTTCAAGTAGAAAAAGTTACAAAACCGTGTGCACCGCTATCTCCATGCAGAGTACGTGAGGCAGAAGAACGGGGGCAGGCAGCGGGCCATACCGGCGGGGGCTGGGCCGAGTTTCTCTTCCCTGTTCTCTGTCATGAGCGTGTCTTTGCGATGTTCCTCTCCCCGACTGCAGGACTACGAGGCTGCTGCAGGCCCCGGGCCCTCTCGGTTGCTGGAAGTCGTTTCCAGTGAGCTTATCCAGGGGGACCCCGGGGCCAGCTCAGAGGAGGAAACGTTAGCTGAGCCCGAGATCTCTGGGCTTTGGAATGAAGACTACAAGCCATACCAGGTATCAGCTCCTGCTCCTTTAGACGCTTGCAGACGGACCCCGGCCCTCTGTCGCCGGCTCGCCACCTCCCACGCCTGCCCCGGCCACACCAGCTGCTCTGAGGCTTCTCCTGGCTGTGCCTGCCATCTCCCGCCACCCTCTCCTGTGTGTGGACGCCCCCCGCCTCCCTCTCCACACTCATGCCTTTCCCTCTTCGCGGAGCCTGGAGGGCACCACGCGTGCTCGACGACCCCAAGCTCCCCCTGACAGACAGCTCGGTCACCATGGTGTAACGGGGAGGGACGGTGGGGCTCCAAAGCTGAAAGGCTGAGGGAATGACTCTGAGCTACTCCGTGTACTATTGGAGAAGCATCTTTCTAGAAGAAGCGTGCAAACTTTCTTTGACGGCCTTTTGTAAGAAACATGCCCCATCTGGCGCTGGGGTCCTTCTGCCTCTGAAAGAGCAGTTACAGCAAGACACGGTCTCTGCAGCAGTGTGGCTCAGGCTGTGGCCCTGTCCCACGTGGGAGGGCAATGCCCGCCGCCCGGTTTCTGTAAGCATTGGCCACCTCTACTGTCAGGGCAAAAGCCACCTGGTTCTGCTGGTTCTGGGGATGCCGGGCTGACCAGGGTGGTGAACAAGACAGGCCAGGCAGAGCCACCACCTGCCCACTGGGGACACCCAAGGGAGAAGGCTGCCTCTGGACAAGAGGAGGGTGCCAAGTGCCCCCCCCACCCCGGGAAGCCAGGGAGGAGGCTGCCCGGCTGCCGGGCATGGGCACCAGCAGGGACAGCCCACAGCCCAGAGCCAGGACCCACGCAGAGTCCAAGCAGCTTCTGAAGGGACAGTTCAGGACTCCAGTTCTGATCTTCCTGGTTGCTGGTGTTGGCCAGGGAAGCGGCTTTTCATCTGAGAAAGCCCAGTGTGTGCTGACACTGCCCGCTCGAGAAAACTGCTTCCTGCAGAACCTTTCAAAACCTTCCTCTTGTCCTGATTTAACAATCTGGAAAGTTCCCCCTCCACATCATTTCCCAGAAATCCACCTGAATCTGGAGCTGTCTGCTCTTGTTTCCTGGTTTCCTCTTTTTTGGAAGTGAGGGGTCCCTGCCTTGTCAATGGAGCAGAAAGTCAGTCGGTCCCCAGGGCCTTTCTGAGCAACTCAGAGCAACTCCCCGGGCCATGGGGCTCTTCCCAGCTCCAGCGCTGGTGGCAGCCGGTGGGGCTGGGCTGTCCGTGCTCTGCTAACCGCTACCCTCGCCTCCGAGCTGCCACCGGCGCCGCCCAGGTGGAGCCGCTAACAGCCCCAGCCTCTGTCTCTGTGACCCCCAGGTGCCCAAGGAGGACGTGGACCGAAAGCCCGTGGGCGGGACAAAGATGGACAAGGACATCCTGGAGCGCACGGTGGAGCGGCTGCGGAGCAGGGTGGTCCACAAGCAGGTGGTGTGGGGGCGTGAGTTCCAAGGACGCCCCTTCAACAGCAAACCGGAGCTCCTCCACTTCCAGGTGAGCCCGCAGCTGGGCCAGGAACGGGACGGGCAGCAGCACAGGACAGCAGGGGAGCCCTGCCGCAGCCCAACCCCTGACACCTTTTGCTTTTTTTTGAGATGGAGTCTCACTCTGTCGCCCAGGCTGGAGTGCAACGGCATAATCTCAGGTCACTGCAACCTCCGCCTCCTGGGTTCAAGCGATTCTCCTGCCTCAGCCTCCCGAGTAGCAGGGATTACAGGCGCCTGCCACCACGCCTGGCTAATTTTTGTATTTTTAGTAGAGACGGGGTTTCACCATGTAGGCCAGGCTGGTCTCGAACTCCTGACCTCAGGCGATCTGCCCGCCTCAGCCTCCCAAAGTGCTGGGATTGCAGGCATGAGCCACTGCGCCTGGCCTGCCTTTCGCTTTTTAACGCTGGAAAACCCGGGGGCTTCCTCAGGAGGCACAGGCCCAAGTGTGGACCTTCTCTTCCAGGAGGTGGAGGGAGAGGGCCCCATCCCCATGGAGGGCTGGACGCCAGTCTGAGCAATGGGGGTGCCGTGGCCCCGAAAGCCCTGTGCCACTTGGGGCAGTGGGGGTCCCCTGAACCTCGGGACAGGGATGTAGCAGGGACAGGGTGGGAACATGTGAGGCTGAGGTTGGTGCCTGGACGCCTCTGCCAAACTCTGCAAGACAGAGCAGGCTGTGGGCTCCTGTATTTGACCCCAGCTCAAGTCCATCCATGGAGTCAGGGACCCACCTTGGAACCCACAGTGTCTGAGCCTTTTCTCTTACTCCCACCTGCGGGCCCCAGCAAGGCCCTGTCCTGCCTCAAGTGGCGAAGGCTCTTATGTGACAGGTTCCACCCCCAGACCTGTCCTTCATGCACCCCAGGGGCCTTCTCGATTCTGGGAGAAACCTTGGAAATTGTTCCCTGGGAACCTCTCCCTAGTTGGCAAATGCTCACCAGCGGTTACCTTGAGGCAAAGCTGCCTCGGTGCTCACAGCACAGCCCCCTGTGACCCGCTCTGAAGCTGCTACCTCGGCCTTTCCCAGGACTTTGATATTGGCAAAGTGTACAAGAAAAAGATCACGTTGGTAAACACCACCTACACGATCAACTACTGCAAGCTGGTGGGCGTGGAGGAGCACCTCCGGGACTTCATCCACGTTGAGTAAGAGGACGGCTCAGACAGGGAGGGACGCGGTGCAGGGACAGCAGGAGGTTCATAGGTCCCTTCATGTTCAGAACGGCTGGAACAGGCTCTATATGGGCATAAGCCCTCAGGTCCGATTTTCACGAAGATTTTGTAGAGGGGGCTCCTCTGTCTTCTTGTGTCAAAGTCGTCCGAGACCGAGCCCATTTCCCTTCACGAATGGCTGGAACTTTGCCTGGCTGCCCAAGTTTCCTTTTGTTTTTCTTCGTTTTGTTTTGCTGCCTTTTTTTTTTTTTTTTTTTTTTTTTTTGAGATGGAGTCTTGCTCTGTCGCCCAGGCTGGAGTGCAAGTGCGATGGCGCGGTCTCAGCTCACTGCAACCTCTACCTCCTGGATTCAAGAGATTCTCCTGCCTCAGCCTCCCCAGTAGCTGGGATTACAGGCACCTGCCACTACGCCTGGCTAATTTTTATATTTTTAGTAGAGACCGGGTTTTACCATGTTGCCCAGGCTGGTCTCGAACTCCTGACCTCAGGCGGTCCACCTGCCTTGGCTTCCCAAAGTACTGGTATTACAGGCATGAGCCACCACACCTTGTCAGAGTTTCCTTTTGTATTGTTATGTTTTGATGTTGACCATTCTGATAAGTTTTCCCTGGCAATTAGCCAGTGTTTTCAGTGTCAAGGTGAAAGCTGTCTTCATTTCAGCACTGCCTCCCTGAATTAAGGCCGTGCTTTCACTCTGTAACAATGTTTCCATTTGCTTCCTTGCAGACTCCACTTACCTGTGTTTTGGATCCTCCTTGCTGGTCTTTGGTGTCTGATGTTTTCCTTCTGGTTGCCTTTAATGCTTTCTGCTTTCCTTTTCTTTGTTTTGTTTTTGACAGGGTCTTGCTCTGTCACCCAGACTGGAGTGCAGTGGCACGATCTCAGTTCACTGCAGCCTCAATTTCCCAGGCTCCAGCAATCCTCCTGCCTCAATCAGCCTCCTGAGTAACTGGGACCACAGCTGTGTGCCACCAAGCCCGGCTAATTTTTCTATTTTTTGTAGAGACAGGGTTTCACTGTGTTTCCCAGGCTGGTCTCAAACTCCTGAGCTCAAGTGATCCACCTGCCTCAGCCTCCCCAAGTGCTGGGATTACAGGTGTGAGCCCCTGTGCCTGGCCCATTTTCTTCTTTTCTCTTTTATTTTATTTTTCTTCATTTTTCCCTCTGACGGCCTTTTCCATGTTTTCTGCAATGTTTCTCTTTTCTTCTGCTCCTTAGTAACTTACTTTTTTTTTTTTTTTTTTGAGATGGAGTTTCACTCTTGTTGCCCAGGCTGGAGTATAGTGGCACAATCTCGGCTCCCTGCAACCTCTGCCTCCTGGGTTCAAGCGATTCTTCTGCCTCAGCCTCCTGAGTAGCTCGGATAACAGGCGCCTGCCACCACGTCCGGTTAATTTTTTGTATTTTAGTAGAGACGGGGTTTCACCATGTTGGCCAGGCTGGTCATGAACTCCTGACCTCAGGTGATCCGAGGCCCACCTCGGCCTCCCAAAATGCTAGGATTACAGGCGTGAGCCACAGCACCCAGCCTAACTTACTTTATTTTTAAGAAAGTTCTTTCTCTTCTACTTCCTGCTTCCTGCCAGTTTTCTCTTTGTGGACAGGTTTGTAGGTCCAGGATGGCTTTCGGATTCCCAGTTCAGGAGTTTCCACTCCCGCGAGCGTTGTGAAGTGCAGCTTCTCAAAAGAGGGTCAGCAAGGGCAGGATCCTCATTCCCCCCTTGCTGCCCAGGCTCCAGAGGGGCCTCCTCTTCTCCCACGAGGCATCTTCCTGAGGCTGCCCCCAGGGGCGCGTGGGCTCTGATGGCCCCTCCCTGAGATCAGCACTGACTCACTGGGACTTGGTATTTTCTTGTGGAGGCTGTGATGTTCTCTTTGGGGAGCTGATTTTAGGTCAGTCTTAGGGTCTTTGTTCCCGTCTCCTTCCTCTCTTCCCTGCAGTTTTTCAGACCTTCGTAGCTCTCTGTGAAGGCGGGCATGGAGAATGCATGCTGGAGGTTGGTGTTTACTTTTCACCTTATGGTTAATTTTAAGTCTGGAGGGTTCTGTGTCCTCTAGTCATGCTGAAGGCATGGGATTTCTGCAGCCCGCCTGTTTCTCTCATTGATCCATGTGGTTTCTGGAGGGCGCGTGCAGAGGTGGGTTTAGGTGGTCGCTGTGCTCTCAGCCACCGAGGCATTCCTCCCCACGCTGGGATGAGAACTTCTCATGGACGGTTATTTTCTCTCAACAGGTTGAGGCCACCACTCTCCTGCCCTCTGCCTCTTGTTGCTGGAGTGGGAGGTGGCCTCGGTCCAGGTGCTGGTTTTTTTGGAGGATACCTGGCTTTCCGCCTGCTTGCTCTGAGATTCTCTCATCCTTAATGTCCCGCAGCTCTGCTGTGCGTCTGGTGTGGGCTGATTTTTCTTAGACCTCACTGTGCTGTTGAATCTGAAGATTCAGATCTTTGAACAATTTTGGGAACTTCTCAGCCCCAGCTCCCCAGGCATCGCCCCTCCCCCATTCATTCTCCGGCTCTGCCCTCCTGCTCCTCCTTTTGAAACCTCCCCGTCGGGTTGGAAATTTCTTGTCTCTTTTTCGCATTGGGTGGTGCTCTAGGTGCTGCTCGGTTCACCACTTGTCCCCTTAGTGCTGCTAATCAACGGTTGAAATTGCTCAGTAAGTTTCTTACTCAGCTGCCCTGTCTCTCATTTCTAAAAATGCCAAGTTCTGTTTTGGATGAGTCTGCATTTCTTGACAGTGTCTTGTTCTTTTCTCACGTCTGGAATTCTCTATTTCTGTCTCTAACCATTTTATCTATACGTCCTCTAACATCCCCACTCCACGCTTCTGTCATCTGAAGGGTTTGGAGCTCGGCCCTGCACTCTGCTGCTGGTTTATGTGAGGCACGCACGTCCACCCTCTCGGATTCTGCTCCTCTCCCCGGCAGCTCCATCCCGGGCTCTGTGCAGTCGGCACCAAAGCATTTCCCTCCCAATTGGAGGAGCTTTGGGTTTGCTTCTGCTGGTGCCGTGGGAATGTTGCCAGCCAGGGACACATTTTACATTAAAATTTTAGCTTGTGCATTTCTAAACCAAGCACATTAGGTAAAATCCAACCTTGTGAAATCAGCCTGGCGTCAGGAATTCCTTGGGGAGATGCTCCCTCACCCTGATCTGGGCCAAGACAGACCAGCTCCCTCAAGTGGCCTGTGCAGTAGGGGCTATTTTTGTGGTTCTTTCCCTGAAAGGGGCTGAGAGGGTCCCGAGGGTCCCAGCTGTCTCAGGACTCCCAGTTCCAGCTCTCTTCCTGGCTCCTGCCCACAGCCCCCTGGTCCCATATTGGTATCAAAGCCCTAGAGCCCCGGTCCCAGGCCTGGCACCTGTGCCCAGGGGAACTGTGGCCCTCTCCGACCCATGGGGTCCCATTTCCTGGCAGTTGGCCTGGGGACTTGCCTCACGCCTTCAGTGATTAACTCCCTCACTCCACAAACGTTCGCACACACTGGAGCGCCCCCTGCCTGCCAGGTACTGGCGGCAGCAGGGAATGCAGCAGATCCAGCACTCCCCGGGGTGAAGGCGGCTGGGCAGGGGGCCAGGCCCGGGATGGGGAGGAGGCCAGGAGGCCCAGCCTGACTGTGCTCTGGGTGGTGAGGCGAGCGTCTGCCCTCCGCAGCACTAACCCCCGTGTGCTATGGGTCACGTCCTGCAGCTTTGACCCCCCTGGCCCCCTGTCAGCCGGAATGTCCTGTGAAGTGCTTGTCACCTTCAAGCCGATGGTGAGTCAGAGGGGCCCGTTCTCTCTCGAAGGGGAGGTGGTGGTGGGTGGAGCCTGTGATCGGGCATGGTGGCGCAGAACATGATGGGGGAAGGATGCACTTGGCCTCTCAGTGAGGATCACGCAGGCCCCTGTTTTGCTATTTTACTTCCAAAAATACACTCAACATATTCCTGAATGCTGGGCAGAACCGCGGCGCAGCTCCTCTGGGTTAGTGGCCGAGGGCGTGCACTCTCGGGTCTAAGTCGGGAGGGCTGGGATGTTCCAGGAAGCTAGTGTCCAGCCCTCCTGAGATGCCCTCTACTGACTCTTTCCCCTGGGGTCACCCGAGCTGGGCAGGTGGCAGGCGGCCCTGGCCCAGGTAGCCACGGCACATGTAACAGGCTAAAGTTACAGGAGGGAGGGGTGTGGTGGCTTATGCCTGTAATCCCAGCACTTTGGGAGGCCAAGGCAGGAGGGTCGCTTGAGCCCAGAAGTTCAAGACCAGCCTGGGCAACATGGCGAGACCCCGTCTCTACAAAAAATACAATTAGCCAGATATGGTGGCGCATGCCTGTAATCCCAGCTAGTGGAGAGGCTGAGGTGGGAGGATCGCTTGGACCCCAGGTGGGGGTGGGTGGAGGGGGGTTGCAGTGAATCGAGCAGGTGCCACTGCACCCCAGCCTGGCCAACAGAGCCAGACCCTGTCCAAAAAAAAAACAAAACACACAAAAGTTGCAGAAGTGTATTGTGGTGGGGGTTGTTTTATGTTTTAGATAAACAAGGATCTAGAAGGAAATATCTCATTTTTGGCTCAGACGGGCGAGTTTTCAGTTCCACTGAAATGTTCAACAAAGAAATGTTCGGTGAGTTCAAAGGTGTCCGAGCCAGCATTTCTCGGGGCATGCTGGCTGGGAACCCCAGTGGGGGACGGCATCTCCTGGGAGGGGGTGCAGGTTGGCGGGGGGACCAGGTGGAAGCTCCAATCTTCACCAGGGGCTGAGCCCCTTCTTCCAACAGCAGCTCAGGTGGGCCTGAGCCGAACCTTAGGTGGGGTCTCGAACGTGGGGCACTCGGACCAGTGCTGGAAAAATGAGACAAACCCTGCTCTGTGTGGAGCCCAGACTGCAGGGCCTGTGGCTCAGGAAAACTTAACATTCATCTGCAGCTCTTGGGGGGATCCCGCCTGATTCTTTTTAACTAAGAAAAATTTCAAGCATAGAGGAAAACAGAACAGCAGAACAAGGCTCCACGCGCTGCAACCCGGACCCCGCATCCTCCCAGACTCCACATTGTCGGCCTCGGACACCTTTGCTTGGTCCATCAACTGCTATATCTGTTGTTGCTGATCCATTTCAAAGTACATTAGTAAAATGTCAACACTCCACCCTCAGAAACTTCAGCATGCATCTCCAGTAAACCAGGAACCCACACATCATTGTCCCCCCGGCCCCCGCCGAGTAATTGGTCAGCTCGCACCGCACCTGCCACACAGCAAACGGCTCCTGGCTCAGCCGCGAGTGTGAAGCCCTCTGCGGCCAGCCCCGTCCAGGCTGGACTCCAGAGTGGCAGCTACGGCAGCACGAGCATCTCCCAGAGGACAGTGGGGACGTCATTATCTCCTAAGAATTCTCAGGTCAAGGCAAGTCTCACAGCCTGAGCCTGCGTCAGCGGGGCAGGAAGAGGCCCATTCTTACACTAGAGGAGGAACAAGCCGGGGCAGGCGAAGGGCAGAGGCGCGCTATGTCCCCCACCCCAGGAAGATCAGCAGACGCCCTCATGGTCACCCGTGATCCAGGCCACGCTGGCCCCAAGCCACCTTTGATGAGCACCTGTGTAACTTTCTCTGTCGCGTGCTTCCTCCTTCACCGCGTGTCGCCGTGGAGAGGGGTTGGGATGAGAGTCACCGATGGTGGCAGAGAGAGAAGTGTTTTCCTCTCAGTTTCTTCATAGGCTCACCAGTGTTTGAGTATTTGGTGTGTTCCAGTCACTTTAGTCTCCCTTCCTCTTGGCACTCAAGTGGCCCCGCTTGGGTTCATGCAGGGACCACTGCCGTCCTAGGGCACCCGAGCAGCTCCTTGCCCTGTGGCTGCCGCCTTCTCCTCAGAGCGGTCACGGTTGGGCCGGCACTCGGCTGTGCGGGCTCTTGGTGAGCCAAGACTCAGGCCCAGGACACCGAGCACCAGGGCCAGGGGCAGCAGGAAGTCCCCCGCCCCCCCGCAGACAGCCAGGCTCCGGCTCCCTCCTGCTCAGCCTGGGAGCCCGGCAGGAGTCTGGTACTGGCCTGCTCCACTCCGGATCAGCATCATGGAGCACGTGCCCGGCGAGGCCCCAGGTGTCCTGGCCAGAGCTGCCCCGGCCTCTCCCGCATTTGGTCTTTGCAGTGTCAAGTGCTCCTCTGTGACAGGAGCACCGAGACCCTCGGCTCCCCTGAGCAGGGGCTTGCTTCTCCCAGGGGAGCGTCCAGGCTGGGGACTGTAAAAACAGTAAAACCCCATCTGAACAAGGGGAGAACAGGACCCAGGCGGTGCAGGCGGGAAGGAGGCGGCCTCCCTTGGCTGGACCCCGACCGCCCTCTGCGAACCACGTCCATTTGCGTCGGTGGCCCCTGGTCCTGCCCCTGGAGCAGGAGCACAGAGTGGGGAGCCCCTGGGCCTCCAAACTCAGAGCCCAGAAAAGCCTCCCGAGGAGGGGCCATTGGGCAGAGCCGAGGTATGGCCCGGGCCTGCATCCTTAGCCAGCACCAGAGCTTCTGTGGCCTGTGGCCCACAGCGGGCATGGTGAGGCACCCCCATGGAGGGCGTGCTCCCGTTCTGGAAGGATGCTCCCTGGGTCCCTGTATCCAGAGTCCAGCTGACCTCACCCAGGAATGACACCATCCATCCTCAGGACCTCCAAAGCCCCGTGTCCAGGCTCCTTGTTTAGGCCCTGCATCCGGGCCCTGCGTCCTCTCACTGAACCCTTGTTACTCCGTGGCGAGGGGGCTCCTGCCTTGATGTTCTTAAAACCAGACTCGCGTGCCACACCTTGTCATGAGCAATACACACCTGATTTCTGGGTTGAATCGTGTACCTGCTTGTGCAGTGCACAACGCGCACAAATGCTCAGGGCAGCCCTGCCTGGAGCCACGTGCAGGCCTCACGCTGGGCACCCTGTGGGCCTGGCACGGTGGCCCTGAGTTCACTCCATGTCCTCTGGCAGCTGTCCCTCGACAAGGAGCTCATTGACTTCGGCAGCTACGTGGTAGGAGAGACCACGTCTCGGACCATCACGCTGACCAACGTTGGGGGCTTGGGCACGACTTTCAAGTTCCTGCCAGCTTCAGAGCCCTGTGAGATGGACGACTCCCAGTCTGCCCTGAAATTAGTGAGTGTGCCACTCAGCCATGGGGGAGTGTGGGGACCTGCCCCCCAAATCCAGTCCCATGTGGGTGAACAGAGGTGACAACATGAGGGTATCAACAGTGGGCCTGGGAGAAGGAGGGCAGTGTGGGGGCCTCCTCAAATCAGCCTAAGCAGAAGAGACCAGCTTCTTCTGTAGGACACCTGCAGTCACCTGGCCTCAGGGGCAGCAGCAGCAGGACACTCCCTTTCTCAGGCACGTAGCAGCAGGGGTGCTGGCCAGCAGCTCCAGGCCCGAGGGCCCCAGGAGACCCAGCCTCCCCCGACGCATCTCTGAAGCCCCAGGTGTGGGGGTGGGAGGACTGGACAGGTGCACTCCATGGCCACAGCTGCACCTGTTCCAAGTGTGAGCGCGTCTTGTCCTGTCACGGGTATGGGTGTCCCAAGGCTCAGGTGGAGAGAAGCCTCAGCCTCTAGCCAGCCAAGGAGGAAGGAGGGTTGGACCAAGAGGAAGATGTGGCTCACACTCCCAGGCTGGGGCAGCACAGCCATGCCCACCCGGCCTGGAGTGAGGGAGGCTGAGGGGTGACTCTGAGTCTCTGGGTGAGCTGCTGCTGTGATCCCACAACCAGGATGGGTGAGACGAGAGCAGGCAGCCGAGGAGGCAGCTGAGGGGCCACGCTGGAGCCAGGGTCCAGCCCCCAACACGGCCTGTCCTCATGGGAGTTCCGGCAGCTGACTGGGAAAAGGAGGTGGGAAACCTCCCAAGCCAGGATGTTGATTCTCCTCTCTAGAGCAGTCTCCTGACCTACGAAGATAAAAGCTTGTATGACAAAGCCGCCACCAGCTTCTCTGAGCAGCAGCTAGAGGGCACGGAGTCCTCCCAGGCGGACATGCAGAGCCGGAAGGAGCTGGAGAAGCTGGACAAGGAGCAGGAGGAGGAGCAGCCCGCAGGTGAGCCAGGCTGCCAGGCCAAGCCAGGGTGGGCGGGCGGTGAGGGCCTCAGGGCAGCATTCCAGGGGGCTGAGGGGCCCAGGGGAGGGCTGGAAAGTAGAGAATTTTCCTAGGCCTTCGATGTTAAGTGACGGTTAAGCAAGAAAATATTCTTATGTGCCACTAAGTGTTGTTTTTGGAGTGGACGAAAATGTACATTCACGTTGACGCTAACCGAAGACTTGAAGGCACCTCCAGCATTGGCCCAGCAGGCCCAGCACGGGCGGAGCCGCACAGGGCGGGGAAGAGGCTCTGCGGTGCCCCCTGGAGGGGCCGGGCTGCGGGGGGCTTCTGTCTAGCTCTGCAGCTGTGGCTGTTGTTAGACGCGCACCAGCGGGGAGAGGTGCCGAGAAACGGGCGGGCCCTGCCCTCCCCATGCCTCCTGCCCTGCAGCCCGCCGCCATCGGGAATCGCTTGCGTCTCCTCCTTGCTTCTCTTGATCGTTTTCCCACATACGCATCGAGATCCAGAAACCTCCGTCCTCCTCCTGTCTGTCTTCGCGTGGTGCGCGTTCCGCACGCCCTGCAGCTCAGCGCGGAGCTGGGCCGGTTCTCCACAGCCTGTGTGAGCCGCACTTCCGGTGTGAGCCGCACTTCCGGTGTGAGCCGCACTTCCGGTGTGAGCCGCACTTCCTGTCCTCACCACTGCGTGGCGTTTCCTTTCCTGAGAGAGCCTCGGGTTCTAGATCCGTCCTTCTGCCAGTGCACACTTGGGAGCGTTCGTGGTACACACTGTTGCGAAGGCCGTTCTGCACTGCCCCTTGGCCTGTGTGTGAGTTCCCACAGGGCACCTGGCTGGGGCTCATGCCTGCATCACAGGGCATAGCCAGCCTCACTGGCATCAGCTAATACCAAAGTGAGTTCTTTTTATGTTGAGACAGGGTCTCTGTCGCCTAGGCTGGAGTGCAGTGGTGCAGTCACAGCTCACTGCAGCCTCGACCTCCCGGGCTCAAGCAATCCTCCTGCCTCAGCTCCTGAGTAGCTGGAACTACAGGCACGCACCACCGCACCTGGCTAGTTTTTGTATTTTTTTGTAGACACAGGGTTTCGCCATGTTTCCCAGGCTGGTGTGGAACTCCTGAACTCAGGCTGTCTGCCCACCTCAGCCTCCCAAGGTGCTGGATTACAGGCATGAGCCACCTCGCCTAGCCCACCGAGTTCTTTTTCAAAGTGGTTGTGCAAGTTTACACTCCCACCAACAGTGTACAAGACTGTGCTGTCCAGCGTGGCTGTCACTGCCACATCTGGCTATTTAAACTTAAATTGATCCAAATTAAATAATAGTGAAAATTCAGGTCCTCCTCCACAAGGGCCACATTTCACATGCTCCATAGCGACCTGTGGGCAACGGCTGCCCTACTGGACAGCCCAGAAGCCCAGCTCTGCCTGGTCACAGAGGGTCCTACGGGGCCACACTGGGCTTGAGGGCCTTGCTTCACATCCGCAGGAGCACGAGGTCACACGGCCCGGGGCTGCTTGTCTGGGGGGCCTGCACCACGGTCTGCTGTTGAGATGTTGCTTTTTGGTTTCCCAGATCACCAGTGAGATTGCGTGTCTTTCCCTGGGCCCATTTACAAGTTGTATCTTCTTTGGTGTGACATCTCTGTTTAAGGCTATCCCTTGTTCTTCTGTGGGATTGTCTGTCTTCTTCTCATTCATTCATAGGAGCTCTTCATGCACCCAGATTCCAGCCCTCCTCCCTGAGGAATGTTGCAGGTGCTGCCTCCGAGTCTGTGGCTGGGCCTTCCTCTCCCTTTATGACGTCTTTTCTCAAATCAAAGTTCTTCAGTCCAGTCTTTGCATATTTACCAGTCATTTCTATTGGAATTTGTTTTTTATGATTTTTAGGCAATTTTTTTCTCCTCCAGGGTCATAAAGACATAGGACATCGCTTTTGTGTTGAGGTGTATGATCCACCTCAAATTCACTCCTGCTTGTGGTGGAAGTCAGGGCTGAGGCTCATTTCCCCTGGTGCGTGTTTGTGTATTCCACGGCACAAGTGGACTCTGCTATCCCATTCGATCCATTCGTTGTCCGTGTCAAAAATCAATTGACCATCCAGGCACAGTGGCTCATGCCTGTAATCCCAGAACTTTGGGAGGCCGAGGCAGGAGGATCACTTGAGGTCAAGAGTTTGAGACCAGCCTGGCCAACATGGTGAAACCCCATTTCTACTAAAAATACAAAAAATTAGCCAGGCGTGGTGGCGGGCGCCTGTAATCCCAGCTACTTGGGTGGCTGAGGCAAGAGAATTGCTTGAACCCGGGAGGCGGAGGTTGCAGTGAGCTGAGATCGCGCCATTGCACTCCAGCCTGGCCTATAAGAGTAAAATACTGTCTCAAAAAAAAAAAAAAAAGCAAGTCAATTGACCATATAAGCATGAGCTTATATAGTTCTCGCCTCTTTTTTCTGATTAATTGATCCATTTAATTATTCTTATGCCAGAGCCATTGTCTTGGTTATCATGGACTCAGACAAAGCCTTGAAGCCAGGTAGTGTAAGTCACCCAACTTTGTTCTTTTTTTTCCACAATATTTGCATTAGGGCCTCAGGATAGTTTAGGTCCTTTACATTTCCACATAAACTGTAGAATCAGCTTTTTTATTTCTACCAAAAAAGCATAGCATGAATCTGATTGGCATAGCATTGAATCTATAGATCAATTTGGGGAGAACTGACATCTTAACAGTATTGAGGCTGGGTGCAGCAGCTCACACCTGTAATACCAGCACTTCGGGAGGCCAAGGCAGGAAGATCGCTTGAGCTCAGGAGTTTGAGACCAGCCTGGGAAACATAGGGAGACTCCATCTCTACTAAAAGTTTTTTTTTAATTAGCCAGGTGTGGTGATGTGCCTCTGTAGTCCCAGCTACTTGGGGGACAAAGGCAGGAAGATGGCTTGAGCCCAGGAGGTCAAGGCTGCAGTGAGCTGTGATTGCACCACTGCATTCAGCCTGGGCGACAGAGACCCTGTCTCTTAAAAAAAAAAAATTGAGTCTTGTAATTCATAACCATTATCTCCTCATTTAACTAGGTCTGTCTTTCTTTCTTTCTTTCTTTCTTTTTCTTTGCTTCTTTCTCTCTTTCCCTCCCTTCCTTCCTTCCTTTTTTCTTTCTTTCTTGCTCATCAATGTGTTATACAGTTTTGGTCTGTTTATCCAGTCTGACAGTCTTTGACTTTCTTAGAACATTTAATCTATTTAAATGTGTTGTGATGATTGATATATTTGGATTCGTTTCTACCATCTTATTTTGTGCTTTACATTGGTCTTGCTTTTTTGTTTCTTTTCTTTTTTTTTTTTAATTTTATACTCTAGCCTTTTATCCTCTTCCTTTATTTTCTTCTCTACTCATTACAATGACCCCTGGCCTTTAAATTGGCCTCAGAACTGGAAACACCTTGGTCGGGCCCAGTGGCTCACGCCTGTAATCCCAGCACTTTGGGAGGCCGAGGCGGGTGGATCACCTGAGGTCAGGAGTTTGAGACCACCCAGGGCAACAAGGTGAAACCCCATCTCTACTGAAAATACAAAAAATGAGCCAGGAATGGTGGCAGGCGCCTGTAGTCTCAGCTACTCCGGAGGCTGAGACAGGAGAATCTCTTGAAGCGGGGAGGTGGAGGTTGCAGTGAGCTATGCTTCTCGTGGAATTCCCTGCGTGCTGAGCCAAAGCTGTGCTCTTCTGAGGGAGGCTGCCTGTGCGTTGGCCGCTCACCGATGCTCTTTCAGCCTGAATGGTATTCTCTGCAGTCTGCATGAGGCGGTTTGCATCACACAGGCTGGCCTCAAACTCCTGACCTCAAGTGATCCACTCATCTCAGCCTCCCAAAGTGCTAAGATTACAGGCGTGAGCCACTGCACCTGGCCATCAAGCAGATTTTCTATACTGTAGGAACTAACCATTGGAACACTTCACTAAAATGTGAATATCCCAGAACTAACTATGGATCAATGCAATTCCAACCAAAATTCCAGGAAGATTTTTTAATGGAAATTGACAAGGTGATTATAACGTTTATATGGAAAACCAGAGGACCTAGAGTGACCAAAACAATTTTGAAAAAACAAATTTCAAGGACTTACACTACCTGATTTCAAGATTACTATGAAGTACAGTAACAAGACAGTGTGGTGGTGAACAGAGATAGAGACCCAACGGAACAAGAGAATCCAAAAATAGACACACAATTATAGTCAACTGGTTTTGAACAGAGGTGCAAAAGTAATTGCTTGGAGAAAGAACAGTCTTTTCAACAAGTGAGGCCATAACAATTGGATAAACATAAGCCCCCTGATATAGTCTGGCTCTGTGTCCCCACCCAGGTTTTGTCTCAAATTGTAATCCCCACGTGTGGAGAGAGGAAAGTGATTGAATTATGGGAGAGGTTTTCCCCATGCTGTTCTCATAATAGTGAGTGAATTCTCATGAGATCTGATGATGTTATAAACATGCTCTCACCTCTCTCTCTCCTGCCGCTGTGTGAGACGTGCCTGCTTCCCCTTCCAACCATGACTGTAAGTTTCCTGAGGCCTTGTCAGCCAGGTGGAACTGTGAGTCAATTAAACCTCTTTCCTTTATAAATTACCCAGTCTCGGGCAGTTCTTTATAGCAGGGTGAAACAGACTAATACACCCCCCTCCAGTTTAACTTTAATTCGTTCCTCACACTGTAAACAAAAGTTACTCAAAATAGATGATGTACCTAAAAGTTAAGCCTAAAAATATAAAATTCCCCCCCGAAAAAAACACAGGAGAGAATGTGTGGCCCTAGGTGAGGCAAAGGTTTTTCTTAGACATAACATTGAAATTATGGCCCCTGGTTTAAAAATTGTAAACTGGACTTCGCCAAAACCAAGAACATCTGCTTTTTGAAAGACGCTGTTAAGAGACTGCAGAGATAAGCCACAGACTGGCGGAAAGCATTAGCAAATCACAAATCCGATAAAAAATTTGTGTCCAAAATATGTAATTTTCAAATCTCAATTGGAAAATAACCCAGTCAAAAAATGGGCAAAAGCCTAGGCGCGGTGGCTCACACCTGTAATCCCAGCACTTTGGGCGGCCGAGGTGAGCAGATCACCTGAGGTCAGGAGTTTGAGACCAGCCTGGCCAACATGGCAAAACCCCGTCTCTACTAAAAATACAAAACTTAGCTGGGCATGGCGGCAGACACCTGTAATCCCAGCTACTCGGGAGGCTGAGGCAGGAGAATCACTTGAACCTGGGAGGCGGAGTTTGCAGTGAGCTGAGACTGCACCATTGCACTCCAGCCTGGGCAATGAGAGTGAATGAAACTCCATCTCAAAAAAAAAAAAAAAATGGGCAAAAGACTGAACAGATGCTTCACCAGAGAAGATACGTACGTGGATGAGAAATTCGCACATGAAAAGACGCTCAACATCATTAAACATGAGATGAAGAAAATGTAAATTAAAACCACAATGGGACACCACTACACACCTATAAGAACAGCTAAATTATAAACAAAGAACAACAAGTTTAACAATAGCAAGTGCCGGTGAGGAGCAGCTGGAATTCTAATGCTGCCCCTGGGGATGCAGAATGGCATGGCCACCAGCGAAACGCTCAGCAGCAAAGCCAGACACCCACCAAGGCCACTCCTAGGTATCCACCAAGAGAAGCGAAAACTTAAATTCCCGCAAAAACCTGTATGTGAATGTTTGTAGAGAGCTTATTTGCAATTGGCAAAAACCAACAACTCTAATGTCCCACGCGTGGGGAGTGGATAGAGAAACCGTGGGGTCCCTGCCACACAGCACTGCCGAGCAGCAAACAGACATGAACCTTTGATAGAGGCAGTGCCGTGGACCAGTCTCAAATGCATCATGCTAAGGGAAAGAACTCAGACGCAAAAGACTGTAAGCTCTGTGACTCCATTTTTGTGACATTCTAGAAAAAGAATATTTTGGCTAAAAAAAGGCAAAACTGTAGAGACAAAATAGATCACTGGTTGCTGGGGCAGGGGAAAGGGTTGACTAGAAAGGGGCATGGGCGACGTGGGCACGGTGGGGCCATTCAGTGTCTTGATTGCTGTGATGAGTGTACAACCACATGAATCTGTCAAAACTTAAGAAAGTTCCACTAAGAAGAGTCCATTTTACTATATGCAACTTATTCCTTAAAAAAATAAAAAATAAAAAAAAAATCACTCACACAGAAACAACAGAAAGTACTGCGGTTGGCCGGGCACAGTGGCTTACACTTGTAATCCCAGCACTTTGGGAGGCCAAGCGGATCACTTGAGGTCAGGAGTTCAAGACCAGCCTGGGCAACATGGCAAAACCCCATCTCTACTAAAAATACAAAAAATTTGCCAGACATCGTGGCACGCACCTGTAATCTCAGCTACTTGAGAGGCTGAGGCACTTGAATCACTTGAACCCGGGAGGCAGAGGTTGTGGTGAGCCGAGATCATGCCATTGCACTCCAGCCTGGGTGAAGGAGCAAGACTCTGTCGAAAGAAGGAAAGGAGGGAGGGAGGGGAAGGAAGGGAGGGAGGGAGGGAGGGAAGGGAAGAAAGGAAAGGAAGGAAGGAAAGGAGGGAGGGAGGAAGGAGGGAAAGGAAAGGAAGGAAGGAAGGAAAGGAGGGAAGGAAGGAGGGAGGGAGAGAAGGAAGGAAGGGGAAGGGGAAGGAAGGGAATGAAGGAAAGGAGGGAGGGAAGGAGGAAGGAAGGGAGTAAGGGAGGGAAAGGAAGGGAGGAAAGAGGAAGGAAGGAAAGGGAAGGAAGGAAGGGAAGGAGGGAGGGAAGGAAGGAAGGAATTGCAGCAATCTTGCATGGTTCAGACATGGGTATTATCAGGCATCAAATATCAAATAAGGATGCTTAATACATTGAAAAGTACTACATGGTGAGACCCCATATCTACAAAGAAGAAAATTTAGCCAGGCGTGGTGACATGCATCTGTAGTCCCAGCTACTCAGGATGCTGAGCCGGGAGGATCGCTTGAGCCTGGGAAGTTGAGGCTGCAGTGAGCTGTGATCACACCACTGCACTGCAGCCTGGGTGACAGAGTGAGACCCTGCCAAAAAAAAAAAAAACAAGAAGAAAGGAAAGAAAAGACTAGAATAAGGAGGCCAGGCCATGGTAGCTCATGCCTATAATCCCAATACTTTAGAGGGCCAACGCAGGAGGATCGCTTAAGCAGATGTTTGCGATCAGCCTGGGCAATATAACAAGACCATGTCTCTACCAATATACACATAAATATATATATATATATTTATATATGCCAAGCATGGCTGCATGCATCTGTGGTCACTTGAAACCAGGAGGCCGAGGCTGCAGGGTGCAGTGATCGCACCACTGCACTCCAGCCTGGGCAACAGAGTGAGACCTCGTCTCTAAAAACCAAAAAGCTGCTGGCCCCAGAATCTGACCACCTGCGCTCAGGTCCAGGTTCTTGTTGCCGTGGTGACTCCTGAGGCAGCCGCACCCCTTCCACTTTCAGAACCGGGGACCCTTGGCCGGGCACAGTGGCTCACGCCTGTAATCCCAGCACTTTGGGAGGCCAAGGTGGGCAGATCACAAGGTCAGGAGTTCGAGACCAGTCTGGCCGATATGGTGAAACCCCGTCTCTACTAAAAATACAAAAATTAGCCAGGCATGATGGCAGGTGCGTGTAATCCCAGCTACTCGGAAGGCTGAGGCAGGAGAATTACTTGAACCCGGGAGGCAGAAGTTGCAGTGAGTCAAGATCACACCATTGTACTCCAGCCTGGATGACAGACCGAGACTCCGTCTAAAAGAAAAAAAAAAGAACAGGGGTCCCTGCGGCCTTTACAACTCCAGACCCCAGAAATGATGTGCATGGTGCTTCAAAGTCGCCACCTGGCTCCTGAAGAGCTCTGCCGTCCAGACGCTGAGCCCGGGGCAGGCTCTGGCAAGCCCGTGGGGGCTCTCCACAGTGACCTGGCCTGGCTGGTGGCCCAGCTGCTCTGACCCGACCGGGCAGCACGACAGAGGCCAAAGGAGAATGCCAACCTGCGCGTGGCCTCTCGAATTGCCTCTGTTCAGGTGCAAAGTCAACAAAAAGTCCTGCTCAGACTTGCAAGGAAACAGCTCTGCTACCCGGGGCCTTGCTGCTGACCAGCTGCCGGCTGGTGCCCCCAGAACCCAGTGGCAGATGGAAACCAGGAGCCTGCCACAGGGAAGTGATGACTCAAACACGCCAGTAGCAGGTACCCGTAGGGAACAGTACGCTACAGCTATGGGAAGTTAGGTTACCAGATATGATGGTAAGAGAAGAAACATCCCCAAAAGATGACACTGTTTTAGAATTTTCTGGACTTAGCTGTCCTTCCCACTCCAGCCTCTAATACCCTCGCCCTGGGCCAACAGGTCGTGAGAAAATGGGGGTCTTTGGGAAAGGGCTTCCAAAGCCCTCCGGGCACGGTGGGGACTGGCTGCACCCTCTCTGGGCCTGGGTGCCCCAAGGGGCCACACGGATGGCTCCACTATGTTCAGAAAGAACAGAGCCCAGGATATGGGTTTGGAGGTGGTGACCACGTCCCAAGGGGGCCTGGGCCACACTGCCTCCACCCTGCCAACCCTCACCTCTGGATCCCCCTTCTCTTCCAGAACCAGAGAGATTAACCACAGTGATACCTCCCAGCGAAGAGCAGACGGAGATCACGCTGGGGGAGGTCAGCCAGCTCAGGCCCTAAAATAGCTGCCACGATCCAAGACACCGCCCACCTTCCCCCAGCCCCAGCTGCACCCCAACCCACTGGCCCTCACTGCTAGGTGGCCCTTGCGTTTGACCAGAGACAGGCCAGACTTTGTCCACCAGGGACTTGCAGCCTCCAGGCCTCTTGTAATCTCAGCTGGCATGGGGCCACCGCCTCCGGCTGTGCAGGACGCAAGCCACAGATTGTTTCCCGGGTGTGGGGCACTGGGTGAAACTTGGGGTGGATGCTGGCCGCGGCCTCCCTGGCTGGGACACGGCCATGAGCTCATGAGCAGGGGGAGGATGTGGAGGAGTTCAGGCTGCCTCCAACTCCGCTGGCTGGGATCCCACGACAGTAAGTCCTCCAAGGGCTGGGCCAGGCCCAGGACATCTGTGGCCAAGTGGCCACCCAGGGACACGGGTCCTGCCACCTTCCATCCTTGCAGCAACATGCCATTGTGAGGGTTGGGAAGGGATCTTAAAAGCCATGAAGCCTGGCAGACCCCATGGCATCTCTTCCTGTGCAGGTAACAGAAGGGGAAATTGGCCCCTTCAGCTCCATCAAGGTGCCCATCGTCTTCACTCCGGTCGTCCCAGGCGACGTCCAAGCCAGGTTCAAAGTCACGTTTAAGAACCCCCAGTGCCCCACGGTGAGTATTCCTGCTGCCACGCCACGCACACACCCTGGCCCCTGCCTCCACAGCCTCATGTGGCAGCTGCCCTTGGCCACAAGGTCGCCATTTGCCCACGCAGGGATGGCCAGTTGGTGGCACGGATGGTTGGCACCACAGTTTACAACACACGCACGCACACGAGTGTGCACACACGCACACTGGCATACACAGGCAGGCATGCTGTGAGCACATACACGCATGCCCATGCAAAAACATGCATGTATACACATGCACACATGCACACACGCAGAGCCCACACACACGTACACACGCACACACGCAGTCCCGCACACATGCACACATGCAGAGCCCCCCCCACACGCACAAACGCACATACACAGAGCCCCCACACACACGTGCACACATGCAGAGTCCTCACACACATGCACACACATGCACACACGCAGAGCCCACACACACACGTGCACACACGCAGAGCCTTTGTTCTTTTTTTTTTTTTTTTTTGAGTTAGGGTCTCGTTCTGTCACCCAGGATGGAATGCAGTGGCAGGACCACAGCTCACTTCAGCCTCTAACCCCTGGGCTCAAGTGATCCTCCTGCCTCAACCTCTCGAGTAGCTGGGATTACAGGTGCGTGCCACCACACCTGGCTAACTTTTGTATTTTTCGTAGAGATGGGGTTTCACTGTGTTGGCCAGGCTGGTCTCGAACTCCTGACCTCAAGTGATCCGCCCGCCTCGGCCTCCCAAAGTGCTGGGATTACAGGAGTGAGCCACCGTGCCCAGCCCCAAGTGACAACTTTCTATGTTTAAACATTTCTCTGCACCCCCTATGCACCCGCATGGGCTGGGGCGGTTGCCTGTCCCAGGTTGAGGCTCCTGGCATCCTCGACAGTGTTCAGAGTCCTCGGCTCACCTCACAGCACCAGGACAGTACCACTGCCTAGGCGGCTTCGTGCTGGGCTGCTGCACTTCCCCAGCCCGGGGCTTGCTGGCCCTCCCAAAACCTCACTCATACTCTCTAACCTCCTGAGGCCCCAGGAGTCAGTGCTTGGGGAGAAGCAGATCTCACTGTCTTGGCTCACTGCAACCTCTGCCTCCCGGGTTCAAGCGATTCTCCCACCTCAGCCTCCCACGTAGCTGGGACCACAGGCACACACCACCATGCCTGGCTAAGTTTTGTATTTTTTGTAGAGACGGGGGTCTCACCACACTGCCCAGGCTGGTCTCAAACTCCTGGGCTCAAGCATCCTCCCACCTGGGCCTCCAAAGTGCTGGAATTACAAGTGTGAACCACTGTGCTCGGCCATAGAAAGGTTTTTTTAAACACCTAAATGTTAATGAGTATGAAGCTGACTGGTAGGTACTTGGTGATCCAGTATTCTGTTCTAGTAGTAGTTGAACATTTCGAAAATAAAAAGAATATTTGGCCGGGCGCAGTGGCTCACGCCTGTAATCCCTGCACTTTGGGAGGCCGAGGTGGGTGGATCCCTGAGGTCAGGAGTTCAAGACCATCCTGGCCAACGTGGCAAAACCCCATCTCTACTAAAAATACAAAAATTAGCCTGGCATGGTGGCGGGCGCCTGTAATCCCAGCTACTTGGGAGGCCAAGGCAGGAGAATTGCTTGAACGCGGGAGGCAGACATTGCAGTGAGCCGAGATCGCACCATTGCACTCCAGCCTGGGCGACAGAGCGAGACTCCGTCTCAAAAAAAAAGAATATTTTGAATGATATGATATGAAAAGTGCCACAGCCGTCCCAAAGAGTTAGAAAACTCAAGCCCATGAAACGTTCCTCCTGGGAGCTGTGTCAGTGCTCACCAACAATGCCTGCTGTGCCCAAGGAACTCCTGTTGCTGAGCTCCTGTGTCCATATGCAGCTGCATTTCAGGGTCGTGGGCGTGGCCATCGATGTGCCGGTCTGGGTGCCGAAGCCCAGCGTGGACCTGAAGATCTGCATGTATGACCGGCTCTACCAGGACTCTGTGCTCGTGCACACGCGGTGAGCCCCCTCCTGTCCATGCACACGGGGTGACCCACGCACACGGGGTGAGCCGCTGCCTGCCTGTGCACACGCGGTGAGCCCCCTCCTGTCCACGCACACGGGGTGACCCACGCACACGGGGTGAGCCGCTGCCTGCCTGTGCACACGCGGTGAGCCCCCCAGTGGCCAGCGGGGACATGGCACCTGGGGCTGCCACGGCTGCTGTCCAGGCCCTGAACGGCATCCTGTGTGGCAAGCAGGGGGCTTAGCAGACATGGTTGGGGAGAGGGACCTTGGTGGGGGGTGATCCAGGATCATCTGGGAGGCGCCAGTGTCATCACGGGAGGCGTCACAGGGAGGCAGGAGGGTCAGAGTCAGGCCGATTTGAAGACACTGCACTGTCGGCTTCCAAGATGGAGGAAGGGCCCCGAGCCCGGGGACACTGCAGCTTCTAGAGGCTGTGAAAGGAGAGGAGAAACCTGTCCCGTAGAGCCACAAGGGCACGGCCCTGCCCGCACCTTGGCCTTAGCTCCGTCTTGGCTTCTGACCTCCAGGACGTGGAGAGAATGAATGTGCCTCTGTGTTGTGGGGCCCCTAAGCTTGGGGCAAATCCTTTCAGCAGCCACAGGAAACGCACTGCCCGCCTGGGCCCGGCCAGAGTCCTCAGCCCCTCGTGGACACAGGCAGGGTGAGCCTGGAGGAGGAAGCCTCCACTTGCAGGGTTTGGCAAGGGCTCCAGACATCAGAGCAAGCAGCCTGCCCTGAACAGCCACGCCGGTGGGAAAGCGCAGAGGGACGGCGAGGCTGGGCCTGCGGGGTTTCCATGACGGAGCCCCTGTGCCACCAGCACCAAGGAGCAGGGTGTGCGGACACAGAGGCCCCGGGCACCGGCCCCAGGCACAGCCACCTCTCCCCGGTGACCTGGGTAGGAACAGCTCCCGCGGCGCCTGTCCTCCTGCTGTCGGACTCCTGTGGGCCCGGCATGGGCCGGGAATGTGCAGCCTGCGGTGACCCGGGAGCCAGCTGCGTGTGTTGGCGTGTCTGCGGTGGAGTCTGCTCGCCTCCGGCATCGTCCTACTACAGCCTCTCAGTGGCCTTGGAAACTTGACAGAAAGGGCCCAGGCGTGTCTGTCGGGCATTGAGGGCTGAGTGGGGCCCAGCTCTGTGGATGGTCTCCGGCTGTGGTTGTGTGTACCTCAGTGTAGCTGTGTGCTCATTTGTATAGACTCTGGCCCCATAAGGGAACCGGAAGGCAGAGCAGCGTCTGCCTGACGGGGAGGGCGCGGTCTCTGAGCACCCGGGCGCCCGCCTCCCATGGGGCCCAGCAGTAGGGGTGCAGAGGCTGGCGTGCCCAGACGCACTGTGGGTGGCCTCTGGGTAGTGGTCAGAGGTCAGAGGCAGGTCTGTGATGGACGGAGATGAGGCTGCCACAGCATGGGTGACTGTCGCATGGAAGCACAGGAGGGAGGAGATTTCTCACTGCCACACCCTCTGGGTCCCCCCTCGTGGATTGCCCGGGGCAGCTGTGGCGGGGCGGCCACAACACTGTTTAGCAGAGGCTCCAAGACGGGGGAGGGGAGGGAGGCTTCACTGTGGGAACAGGGAGGCTCCAGGTGGTCCTGAGGAGGCCGTTGGCTTAAGGGAGCCGGAGGTAGGGACCGGACAGACGCATGGCCTCCCAGGTGACTGGCGGGTACCTTGGCTCTCTCAGGCTCGTCTTGGGTTGGAGGCTGCTGTCATAACCGAGGCCTGTGGCCGTCCCAGGCCCCCCACGTGCCCTGTGCTTGAGCTGCAGGATGTGGGGATGCCCTGGGCAGGAGGCGGGCAGAGCCCTGGAGGGAGGGGTTCCACCCCTCATGTCCCCTCCAGGGCCCCGCACCCAGGGGCTGCCTGGCAGGTGCTCTTCCCGGAAAGCATCTGGTTCCCGAGAGCCCATTAGGACCGTGCTTCCGTTTCGATGTGGTTATTTTTAAGAATTCTTCATCAGATTTCATTTCAGAAAAAACAGCCCTTACAAAGCAGGGCTTTGAGGACTCCGATTGTCGAGGTGCACGTGCATGGCTTGGAGTGGGTGGGCTCTGAGCACCTCTCGGGGGCTTGGGTGCCAGAAATGTTTTAATAACTCCAGGCATTGAGCGCACACAGAATCACGACTGTGGCACCTGACCCAGTGCCCTGCGACACGCCCACAGGTCGAAAGCTGCCCTGCGCCTGAAGTTCGAGGTGTGCAAGGAGCTGAGGGCCCACCTGGAGCTCCTGCCCAAGACAGGCTATATCCAGGCACAGTCGTCCTACTCCGTGCAGCTCAAGTTCCTGCCGCGGTAGGTGCCAGGACGCCAAGGCCGGGACAGGAGGACGTGGGAGGTTGTGGGCTCCGAGGCGCTCCTCGCCACTGGCCACTCCTCTGTTCTCATTGCTGCCGGGATCATCAGCCTCCAGGGATGTGTTCTGGGGCAGAGGCCATGACGCTGGGGGGCAG
Organism: Homo sapiens; assembly: GCF_000001405.40. Classification (NCBI taxonomy): domain Eukaryota; kingdom Metazoa; phylum Chordata; class Mammalia; order Primates; family Hominidae; genus Homo; species Homo sapiens. The sequence goes on along the minus strand of NC_000001.11, from coordinate 1,941,869 downwards.
TCACAGCTGGGTCTGTGGTCCGTTTTGGTTGCTTTTGTTTAAGATGTGAGCCGAGTTGAAGTTCATTTTTTTGTACAGAGGTTTCCAATTATTCCAGCCTCGTTGTTGAAAAGACTGGGAGGCTGCGTGTCTCCCATGCATGGCCGGTGGCTCTCATGGCCACTGAGGGTCTGCTACCTGCCGGGATAAGGTGGCCCAGGATAAGGCTCTGGCTTGCTACGGGTACCCTGCGGTCCGTGCACTCCCCCGCTGTCTTCCCTGTCTTCATCCCTTTCCCAGTAACTCCCTGGGGTTCTGTTTCAAGCTCAGTGCACACCTGACATTTGCTCCTTTACCTGTGTCTTGAGGGTGTCCCTGTCACCCAGCTGTCCCTCGTCTAATCCAAGGCTCTTCCCAGGCCTGCTGGCTGCATCCCCTGGTCTCTGCTTTTGCCAGGTGAACTTTGATTTCTGCGCTTGAACATTTGTTGTGCTTTGGAGACTGGACGTCCTGTGTCCGATCCCAGCCCCCCAGAGCTGCCCTCAGCATCCGGGCCGGGACCAAGGTCCAGACAAATGATGCTCAGTGGAGCTTGGTGGGGGAGGTGGGCGCAGCAGGCACGGGCCTGGTGGGACTAGGAGGGGAACAGGGCGGAGCTGAGCTTAAAATCGGCTGCTTCCTGGACTTGCCCCCGCCGGCCGCCTGTCACAGGGAGGCTGATGTTTTTCTTTCTTATTTTACTTCTCCTGATATTTCTTTCTTTCTTTCTTTCTTTTTTGAGACAGAGTCTCGCTCTGTCGCCCAGGCTGGAGTGCAGTGGCACTATCTCGGCTCACTGCAAGCTCTGCCTCCCGGGTTCACGCCATTCTCCTGCCTCAGCCTCCCGAGTAGCTGGGACTACAGGCGCCCGCCACCACGCCCGGCTAATTTTTTGTATTTTTTAGTAGAGATGGGGTTTCACCGTGTTAGGCAGGATGGTCTCCATCTCCTGACCTCGTGATCCGCGCGCCTCAGCCTCCCAAAGTGCTGGGATTACAGGCGTGAGCCACCGTGCCCGGCCCTTTTCCTGATAGTTCTTTAACAACGTTAACTTATGTAATCAGAGATCAAGCTCTGATTAAAGTGAAAATGCATTTTTAAAGGGCTTTTTAGGATTCCTTTACGATGCAAACTCCATATTAATTTGAAACATGGCTATTGAATTTATTCCTGTTTATTTAAACACAGCTTTTGAGCCACAGTCACTTGTGTTGCTCCCGGGAGTGACTGGCTACTTAGACACGCCAGAGCCCTCACGGGGCCACAGGGGCCACGTGCTCGTGGGTTCTGTGCGAGAGCAGGAGGGCGGCGCGATGCGTCTCCCAGCGCTGATGTTCCAGAGACGCCGTAGCTCTCACGGGATGTAGAAGCACCAGTGACAGTGGGTCTTATTGTCATTTCACAAAATGGAAAGAGGAAAGCACATTCGCCTTGTCTGCCTCTTTCAGACACTCCCTCCCGGAGGACGCAGGGAGGTATTTTGACAAGGAGACCCGAGTCCTGGAGGCCCCGATGACCATATGGGTTGCCGACCAGGTCTGTGTTGGGGCACTTCCCAGGGATGCTGGGCGCTCCTGGGTAGCAGGGGCTTTCCTGGGAGGCCAGGCCCAGCACCCGGGCGAGGGCCCCCAAAAGGGCTCATCCTCACTTGCCTTCCAGGAGGCGTCTAGCGGCCAGAGGGGCTTGCCTGCTGGGAGGGTGCTCATGGGCCAGAGAGAGGCCTCCGAGGCCCATCCAGGCCAGCAGGGCTGTGTCCCAGGCACCTGCACCTGCATGTGCACACATGAGGGGTGCCCCACACACTCAGCTGCACACGTCTATGCGCCCATGTGTGCCGCACACAGAGACACATGCACCCCACTCCACCTGCAGCAGGCTCTCAGCTGCCACCCACCCGCAGCTCCTCCCGCCATGTCAGGGAGCAGTCACAGGGAAGTGGGTTTTATGAAGAGACGGCCTCGTCGTGTCCTGGAAACAGTGGGCCATGGCCACAAGGCAGCAGCAGTGGTTGCGCCTCAGAGTTTGGGGAGCACTTGGTAAGTCTCCGAGTGGCTGCGAGGGCGCCTGTGCCCTTTATGTCTCAGAACAAGCCAGTGGGATTCACCGTGCATGCCATTGTCACCACCTCGGACCTGGAGCTCAGTCCCTCGGAGGTGGATTTTGGCTACTGCACCATCTATGAGGCCATCAGGACGGAAATCAGCCTCCACAACCACTCGCTCCTGCCCCAGGAGTTCGGGTTCGTCAGGCTTCCCAAGGTACCTCCTGCAGCCAGGCCTGGGGTAAGAGGGGTGAGGCTGGGAAGTCCTGGGGACAGGATGCAGCGGCCACTGCTCCAGGGTCCCCCACGCGTGGGCATGTGGCCCAACTTCCGCCTCTCAGCTGCACCCCTCCACACCTGGGCCTCCCCACCCTGCACACCAGCCCTGGGCGTGCAGCCCAACTTCTGCCTCGGTCCTGTGCACCTCCTGCGCTCCAGATCCCTCTCCCCGCTCTTTCTTCTGAAACTTTCCCCTGCTGGGGCCACACAAGGTAGCTGGGACGAGGCCCAAGCCTGGGCACCCCTCACCTTTCCCTGGGCTGCCCCGCCGCCAACACCGCCATCCTCCCTCTCTCTCCCCCCAGCACACACACACATATGCGTGCACACACATGCACATGCTCACAATTGCTCATGCACTCATACACATGTGCTCACACTCACACACTTGCTGACACACACTCGTTGACAGCGACACTCTCACCCTCACATTCGCTCACACACGATCACACTCATCTCTTACTCTCACACTCACGGCCCTGCCGCACGTGTGTCCACATGGTCTCCCCGTGACATGCCCTCAGAGCACTCTTCTATTTCCAGTTTGTGGACGTCCAACCCAACGATGGGTTTGGGACGATCCTGCCCCTGGAAACGCTGCAGTTCTGTGTGATCTTCCAGCCCACCAAGGCCGAGGAACACAGATTCCAACTGACCTGCAAGTCTGAGATCAACCGGTGAGCCTGCCAGGGAGAGGGGACGCAGGGGGCCTGGAGTGCCCGCTCAGGAGGGGCCCCCCTTCCCAGCTCCACCACATCCCCGCCCCTGACCCCATCTGCCTGGCTGACCACAGGGCTGGGCTGGGCAGCACTGCCGGCCAGCAGGAACCTCAAACCTGGGTGCAGAGAGGCCTGGGACCCAGGCAGCCTTGAGTTCTGGGCCCACTCAGACGTGTGTGTTTGTGTGTGTCGTGGGTGTGTATGTATATGAGCATGTGTGTGAGGACAGGCGAGTGTGCCTGTGTGTGTGTGTGAACGTGTGTGCGCAGACGTATCACTGTAGGAGCAGGTGTGAGTGCATATGGGGGTGTGTGAGTGCGTTTGTCAGTGTGAGCCTGTGTGTGTGTGAGCCTGTGGGAGTGTGTGTGTGAGCCTGCAGGAGTGTGAGTGCAGGTATGTGAGTGTATGGGGGTGAGTGCCTATGTGAGTACACGTAGGTGGGTGTGTGAGCTTGCATGTGAGTGAGCGTGTGTGTGTGAGTGCCTTGTGTGTGAGTGCATGTATGTGGGTGTGTAAGGTTGAGTGTGAGTGCATGTATGTGGGTGTGTAAGGTTGAGTGTGAGTGCTTGTATGTGTGAGCATGTGACTGTGAGTGCATGTATGTGTGAGCATGTGACTGAATGTGAGTGCTTGTATGTGGGTGTGTAAGGTTGAGTGTGAGTGCATGTATGTGTGAGCATGTGACTGAATGTGAGTGCATGTATGTGGGTGTGTAAGGTTGAGTGTGAGTGCGTGTGTGTTGGGTGTGTAAGGTTGAGTGTGAGTGCATGTATGTGTGAGCATGTGACTGAATGTGAGTGCTTGTATGTGTGAGTGCTTGAGTGTGCGACCATGCGTGAGTGCATGTGTGTACATGTGTATGAGTGCGTTTATGTGAGACTGTGTGTGTGCATGTGTGTATACACGCATGCTGTGCAGGGCACCCCTCTGGACACAGGTGGGTGGACCTGTGTCCAGAGGTGGACCTGGTGTTGTAAATCCCTGCGTGCTCTGAGGTCTTGTGCGACCAGCCAGTCTCTGCACCTCCCTGAGCCTGAGGGCGGGATAAGGAAGTGGTGGAGAGGGAGAGATGAAACTGGACCCCAGGCGGTGGCTGGTGGTCCTGCGTGGGTTCTTGTTGCTGCTGGGACCGTCAGTCTCCAGGGATGTGTTCTGGGGCAGAGGCCAAGACACTGGGGGGCAGTCACAGCCGGGTCTGTGGTCCGTTTTGGTCGCTTTTGTTTCCGATGTGAGCCGAGTTGAGGTTCATTTTTTTGCAGAGGCTTCCAATTATTCCAGCCTCGTTGTTGAGAAGATTCCATTCTGCCCTGAATTCCTCTGTGCCTTCATCAAACAATCGCCCACATTTGGGTCCTACTGACCTGGGCCACTGGGGCCTCCCTCCATCTCTGTGGTCCTTGAAATGTATTTATTGAAGACGCCAGGTGCGTTTGTCCTGTGGAATTGCCACAGGTGCGATGCTGTCCCGTGGTGTCAGTTCACATGTTCCTCTGTTCTGTGTTGTGGGTTCATGGGCAGCAGCACCTCTGGGCTAGTCAGACAGCCAGACCACTTCAAAAGCCACGCTGGCTCCTTCCCCAGGGCGCTAACGCCCCGTCGCCTCTCCCTCAGCCGCCTTTGGTGCCCAGTGCTTTGCACGTTCCATCCGTAATCACGGCCATGTTGCAGTTTCCAACCCTGTATCACTTTCTGAACTCTCTGAGGCACACGTGGAGTCCTTAGGCTGCTGCCTTTGATTCCTTCCTAACACGCTTCCCAGTTTGCTTCGCCGTTTACACAAATTCCACTCCTCATTCTCTCTCGTCTCATAACAATGTCACCTGTGATTCGACCATTTTCTACTGCTCATTTTCAAGTGCAATTATTTGTTTCTGAACTTTTACATTTTAATTTTTTTTTTTTTTTTGAGACAGGGTCTTGCTCTGTCACCCAGGCTTGAATGCAAGGGGTGCAATCACGGCTCACTGCAGCCTCCACCTCCCGGGTTCAAGCAATCCTCCCACCTCAGCCTCCTGAGTGTGGCTAGGACTACAGGAACACGCCACCATGCCTGGCTAACTTTTATATTTTTTGTAGAGATGGGGTCTCACTATGTTGCCCAAGCTGGTCTTGAATTCATAGCCTCAAGCGATCCTCCCGCTTCAGCCTCCCAACGTGCTGGGATGACAGGCGTGAGCCACTGTGCGCGGCTCTCCTCCTCACTCTCAGAAGGGAGCCCAGTTCAGAGAGCTTTTCTTTTTTCTTTTTTTTCTTTTTTTGTTATTTTTCTTGAGATGGACTCTCGCTCTCTCGCCAGGCTGGAGTGCAGTGGCATGATCTCGGCTCACTGCAACCTTCGCTTCCCGGGTTCAAGCAATTCTCCTGCCTCAGCCTCCCGAGTAGCTGGGACTATAGGTGTGCACCACCACGCCCAGCTAATTTTTGTATTTTTAGTAGAGACAGGGTTTCACCATGTTAGACAGGATGGTCTCGATCTCTTGACCTTGTGGTCCACCCGCCTCAGCCTCCCAAAGTGCTGGGATTACAGATGTGAGCCACCGCACCCGGCCGCAGATCAGAGAGCTTTTCTTTTCTTTTTTTCTTTTTTTTTTTTTTGAGACGGAGCATCGCTCTTGTTGCCCAGGCTGGAGTGCAATGGCGCAATCTCGGCTCACCACAACCTCTGCCTCCCAGGTTCAAGCGATTCTCCTGCCTCAGCCTCCTGAGTAGCTGGGATTACAGGCATACGCCACCACGCCCAGATAATTTTGTATTTTTAGTAGTGACAGGGTTTCTCCACGTTGGTCAGGCTGGTTTCAAACTCCTGACCTCAGGTGATCTGCCCGCCTCAGCCTCCCAAAGTGCTGGGATTACAGGCATGAGCCACTACACCTGACCTCTCAGAGAGCTTTTCTAACTCCATGGCTCCAGAGCCCCCTGCAGTTCGTGTGTGTGTGTGTGTGTGTAGTGCTGAAAAAAAAAAGGTCCCAACTTTCTTAGCTCTGCGTCCTCTGCTCTCTTCTTCCCTTCCATTTTCAGATAACCCACAAACTCAGCCAACATCATGTACCCTCCACCCAAAATACAGATCTTAGACTTTTATCCTACTTGCCTCTGATTTCTCTTTGTTGTTACAGAAACAAACATTCTCCCTCAAGTCGGAGCTGGCTTTGTTCTCCCTCCCTCCCCAGAGCCCGTCACTGTCAGGAATGCCAGGGGTCACACTTTCATTACATACCTGTGTACCTATAACCTAACACACACACGTACACACGTGTATACCTACAACCTAACAGGTACACACGTGTGTACCTACAACCTAACCCACGTGCACACATGTGTACCTACAACCTAGCGCGCACACACCTGTGTACCTACAACCTAACACCCACGTACACACGTGTGTACCTACAACCTAACACCCACACATACAGACGTGTGTACCTATAACCTAACACCCACATACACACGTGTGTACCTACAACCTAACACCCACGTACACACCTGTGTACCTACAACCTAACACCCACGTATACACCTGTGTACCTACAACCTAACACCCACATACACACGTGTGTACTTACAGCCTAACACCCACGTACACACGTGTGTACCTACAACACCCACGTACACGTGTGTACCCACAACCTAACACCCACGTACACACGTGTGTACCTACAACCTAACACCCACGTACACACGTGTGTACCTACAACCTAACACCCACGTACACACCTGTGTACCCACAACCTAACACCCACGTACACACGTGTGTACCCACAGCCTAACACCCACGTACACACGTGTGTACCCACAGCAACACACATACACACGTGTGTACCTACAACCTAACACCCACGTACACACGTGTACCTACAACCTAACACCCACGTACACACCTGTGTACCTACAACCTAACACCCACGTACACACGTGTGTACCTACAACCTAACACCCACGCACACACGTGTGTACCTACAACCTAACACCCACGTACACACGTACCTACAACGTAACACCCACATACACACGTGTGTACCTACAACCTAACACCCACGTACACACGTGTGTACCTACAACCTAACACCCACGTACACACGTGTGTACCTACAGCCTAACACCCACGTACACACCTGTGTACCTACAGCCTAACACCCACGTACACACGTGTGTACCTACAGCCTAACACCCACGTACACACGTGTGTACCTACAACCTAACACACACACATACACACGTGTACCTATAACCTAACACCCACGTACACACGTGTGTACCTACAACCTAACACCCACGTATACACCTGTGTACCTACAACCTAACACCCACGTATACACCTGTGTACCTACAACCTAACACACATACACACCTGTGTACCTACAACCTAATACACACATGTGTACCTACAACACACATGTACACACGTGTGTACCTACAACCTAACACACACGTACACATGTGTGTACCTACAACCTAACACCCACGTATACACCTGTGTACCTACAACCTAACACCCACGTGTACACCTGTGTACCTACAACCTAACACCCACGTATACACCTGTGTACCTACAGCCTAACACACGTACACACGTGTGTACCTATACCCTAACACTCACACATACACACACTTCTACACTTGCACAGATGTAGGGTGACCACCATGCTGCTGTACCCAGTACTGAGGGGCTTCTCAGGCCGCAGGACTTTGAGTGCTGAAACTTGGAGAGCCCCATGCAGACCGGGACCTCATGCCGGTGGCCTCAGACCCCTGCTGCTGGTCTGGATTTTGCTTGTCTCCCCTCAGCCTGGGTATTTTTGTGACTGATCCTCATGGGCACCACCAAAGGCTCCATGTTGGACCCATCAGGTTTGAGGCCTGCGGGCTGTCAGAGCAGCACCTCGTGGGAAGCTTCTAGTTCTAAACGCAGATATTAGAAAAGAGGGTGTGAAAATCAACCATCTAAGCTTCCTTTTCAAGAATTAGGAAAAGAACACAGTAAATTAAACCCAAAGAGAGTAGAAGAAAGACATAAAAAAGGTAAAAGTGGAAGTCAACGAAATAGAAATGCAATATTCAACAGAGAAAAACAACAAACTAAAAGTCTTTCTTGTACAATTTAATAAAATTCATTACCCCCAGCAAGACCAATGAGGATAAAAAGAGAAAACACAAACCATCAATATCAGGAGCGAAAGGGAACATCACCACAGACCCTAACAAATATCAAAGCGATAAGAAGAGAACATGATGAACATCTTTACACCAGGGAACCTGACAATTTTGAGGAAATGGACAAATTCCTCAAAATACACAATGGACACAGGAAAAATATAGAAATACCTGAATAGTTGGGCCGGGTGCGGTGGCTCACGCCTGTAATCCCAGCACTTTGGGAGGCCGAGGCGGGCGGATCACCTGAGGTCAGGAGTTTGAGACCAGCCTGGCCAACATGGTGAAACCCTGTCTCTACTAAAAATGCAAAAATTAGCCAGGTAAGGTGCTGCACACCTGTAATCCCAGCTACTCTCCTGAAGCAGGAGAGTCGCTTGAACCCAGGAGGCAGAGCTTGCAGTGAGCCGAGATTGCACCACTGCACTAAGCCTGGGCGACAGAGCGAGACTCCATTTCAAAAAAAAAAAAAAAAAGGTCAGGCACGGTGGCTCCCGCATGTAATCCCAGCACTTTGGGAGGCCGAGGTGCGCAGATCACGAGGTCAGGAGATCAAGACCATCCTGCCTAACACGTTGAAACCCCGTCTCTACTAAAAATACAAAAAAATTAGCCGGGCATGGTGGCGGGCGCCTATAGTCCCAGCTACTCGGGAGGCTGAGGCAGGAGAATGGCGTGAACCCTGGAGATGGAGCTTGCAGTGAGCCGAGATCGCACCACTGCACTCCAGCCTGGGTGACAGAGCAAGACCCCATCTCAAAAAAAAAAAAGGTCGGGCACAGTGTCTCACACCTGTAATCCCAACACTTGAGGAGGCCGAGGCGGGCAGATCACGAGGTCAGGAGATCGAGACCATCCTGGCTAACACAGTGAAACACCATCGCTACTAAAAATACAAAAAATTAGCCAGGTGTGGTGGTGGGTGCCTGTAGTCCCAGCTACTTGGGAGACTGAGGCAGGAGAATCATTGAACCCGGGAGGCGGAGGTTGCAGTGAGCCGAGATCATGCCACTGCTCTCCAGCCTGGGCAACAGAGCGAGATTCTGTCTCAAAAAAAAAAAGAAAAAAAGAAAGAAAAAAATTGACTACTAATAATAATCAATAATATCTCCACTCAAAAATAATTTTAGTGAGTGCTGGGCGCCACGGCTGTAATCCCAGCACTTTGGGAAGCTGAAACAGGAGGATCACTTGAGTCCAGGAATTTGAGACCAGCCTGGGCAACACCCCATCACTACATTTTTCTTTTCTTTTTTTTTTTTTTTGAGACAGAGTCTCGCTCTATCACCCAGGCTGGAGTGCGGTGGCGCGATCTCGGCTCACTGCAAGCTCCGCCTCCTGGGTTCACGCCATTCTCCTGCCTCAGCCTCCCAAATAGCTGGGACTACAGGTGCCCACCACCACGCCTGGCTAATTTTTGTGTATTTTTAGTAGAGACGGGGTTTCACCATGTTAGCCAGGATGGTCTCGATCTCCTGACCTCGTGATCTGCCCGCCTCAGCCTCCCAAAGTGCTGGGATTACAGGCGTGAGCCACCGCGCCCGGCCTACATTTTTCTAAGTTTTTTGTTTTTTGTTTTTTGTTTTTTTTTTTTTGAGGCGAGAGTCTCACTCTGTCACCCAGACTGGAGTGCAGTGGGGCGATCTCAGCTCACCGCAACCTCTACCTCCTAGGTTCAAGCAATTCTCCTGCCTCAGCCTCCCGAGTAGCTGGGATTACAGGCACCGGCCACCACGCCCAGCTAACTTTTGCATTTTTTTCAGTAGAGATTGGGTTTCACCGTGTTGGCCAGGCTGGTCTTGAACTCCTGACCTCAGGTAATCCACCCGCCTCGGTCTCCCAAAGTGCTGGGATTATAGGCGTGAGTCACCGCGCCCAGCCAATTTTTTTAAGAATTTTTTTTTTTTTTTTTTTTTTTGAGACAGAGACAGAGTCTTTGCTCTGTCACCCAGGCTGGAGTGCAGTGGCACAATCTCGGCTCGCTGCAAGCTCCGCCTCCTGGGTTCACGCCATTCTTCTGCCTCAGCCTCCCAAATAGCTGGGACTACAGGCGCCCGCCAGCACACCCAGCTAATTTTTTTGTATTTTTAGTAGCGACGGGGTTTCGCCGTGTTAGCCAGGATGGTCTCGATCTCCTGACCTTGTGATCCGCCCGCCTCGGACTCCTAAAGTGTTGGGATTACAGGCGTGAGCCACTGTGCCCGAACTTTTTTTTTTTTTTTTTTTTTTATTGAGATGGGGTCTTGCTCTGTCACCCAGGCTAGAGTGCAGTGGTGCGATCTCAGCTCACTGCAAGCTCCGTCTCCAGGATTCACGCCATTCTCCTGCCTCAGCCTCCAAAGTAGCTGGGACTACAGGTGCCCACCACCATGCCTGGCTAATTTTTTTGTATTTTTAGTAGAGACGGGGTTTCACCGTGTTAGCCGGGATGGTCTCGATCTCCTGACCTCGTGATCCGCCCTCCTCGGCCTCCCAAAGTGCTGGGATTACAGGTGTGAGCCACCATGCCAGCCTTTTTAAAGAATTTTTTAAAGCATTTAGAGCCTGTGGTCACAGGACATAAAAATACGCATTTGAATATTACAACATATGAATGAACACTTTCTGTTACCGACAAATGTGATAGGAGTATTGTCCTTTACAGCATAAAATATATACAATTAGGACAAAAATCAATGGGGAAAATACAGTGGAAATAGGCATTTGAGGAAAATATGAAATGTGAAGTTTCCAATGGTTAAAATAACCAGGTCCCGGCCTCTTTTTAATAGATGGTGGCAGGAATCAACTTGCTCATAATAGGCCTCGTAGACACCTGTGCTTCCATTTAGAGAAAAAGATCCGTTTTTAAAACGTCAATAAATATTTAACAAAATAAGCTAGAAATTTCCTTTGCAACTTCCTTTGCAACTATCTAAACTTGTGATTAAATTTTTAGCTACCCAGGACACAGTGGCACTCATCTGTAGTCCCAGCTACTCGGGAGGCTGAGGCAGGAGGACCTCTTGAACCAGGAGTTCGAGGCTACAGTGAGCTGTCGTAGTGCCACTGCACTCCAGCCTAGGGCAACAGAGCGAGACTCCATCTCTATTTATAAATGAATAAATACGGTTTAAAATTTTTAGCCACCCACCTCAAATGTGCACAAGGATACGCTGTATTTTCGAAACTTGTCAGCGGCGCAGTGACCCCCTGGGCAGCAGGAACGTGCATGTCCCTGTGAGCCCCCCCCGGGGCTTGTCCTCCACCCAGTGGCCCCCGCGCCTGCCGCAGAGGGACACGGACGCCCTGCACGGCTGAGGGCCTCCCATGCTGCTGCTTGCAGGTGCTTCAAGCTGTCTTGCCGGGCTGTAGGCGTCCACCCACCCCTGGAGCTGTCCCACTACCAGATCAAGTTTGCCGCCACGGCCCTATACGACACCTCCGTGGCTACAGTGTACGTCATCAACTCTCACCTGAGCATGAGCTCACCGACCCACTCCAAGCCCCGCATTGGCTCAGAGGACGCCTCTCCCATGGGGCCCACGTCTTTCGAGTTCCTGCTGCCCCCAGACTCGCCTATCACCATCTCGCCCTCAGTGGGGACCGTGTGGCCAGGAAAGGTGGGTGTGGGCCCCACATGCAGGCTGGGAAGCAGGAGCTCCACGCCACCTGCATTTACCCCTGGGGTGTCTGGCTCTGCCCACCCTTAACCACAGGGTTTCAACCCGGAGAACAGGGGCGGGAGTGAACCTGACCCTCAGACCCGAGCAGGGCCGAGGAAGGATCCATGGCCAATGTGCATGGGGGCCCAAGGCCACCCCCATCGGGGGGGGTCACAGTGCCCTTGGTCCAGCCTGACCCCGAGAGGCAGGAGCTCCCCAGGCTGCTGGCCTGGCCGGAACCCATCCAGGGCTCCCAGGTTGAGACTGGGGAAGGCTGTGTAGTCCCTTGCACCTGTGGACCTCGCAGGCCGACTGGGAGGACAAGGTGTCGGCCACTCCCACCCAGCACTCTACCTTTCCTGCAGAGCAGAAAGCTCTGGGCCTGGCAGGGCCTTCGGGTGACCCTGAGGGCTGCCGAAGGCCTAAGTGAGGAAGGGCATGTAAGGGACAGTTGGCTCACATGGGATTTCAATGAATGCAGTGATTCAAAATGGATTTCATTCAACTTAGCGAAAGCCACTCGGTGATGGTTCTCACCCCCACACACATTACTGCAGATGCAGCTCTCCTCTCCCTCCCCTACCCTCTCCCCTCGCTCCCTCCCTACCCTCACTCCCTCCCTCCCCTACCCTCCCCCCACCCTCTCCCCCTCCCGCACCATGTCACCCCCAACCCCATACTGCACACTGCCTGTGGGCTCTGTCATGGAGGGACCCTTCTGTGGGAAGCCATTTCCAAGATGGAGGCTCCTTGGAAAGGCTGGTGTGTGCAGGGACCAGGTTAGGGTGTGGGACTCGCCCGTCAAACTCAAGGCAAGGGCAGGCTCAGCTGTCACTGCTGCCCCGAGGACAGGGGACCCAGTCCCGGCCTGTCCAGGACTCTATTCTCAGCACCTCCAATCACAGGACTGCCCCCTGCATGGCCAGAGGGTTTGGTGCTCCCGCCTGCAGCCCGCCCAGCCTCCTGGGGGACAGAGGTCAGGGAGGGGCTTCCTGAAGGGGCACGCAGCCTGAAATCTCAAGGGGGAGGTGACCTTGAGGGGAGTCCACGGGCAGAGGACGGTAGAGTGCCCGCAGGGGCTCCGGGGAGGTGGAGGGAAGTGGCAACCCCTGTGCCCACGCTGGTCTCTCCTCAGAGGTGCCTGGTCCAGGTGGCCTTCCGGCCAGTGCTGCCCGAGAAGCTGATCCGCCAGGAAGCCCTCCCACTCCTGAACAAAGAAATGGAGACCAAATCTGTGCGTGGGGCCCGGGAAGGAGGGGCGTAGGTCGGGGAAGGGCCTGTTGCAGGAACAAACTCCACCGCCTTCGAGTCCTGGGGGGCTCCGGCCACGTGCCGGGAGCACAGGGTAGACCTTTCCCAAGCAATGCACGTGTCGAGCTGTATCTGAGGTTAAAAAGCTTGCTCACCAAGACCCTCCCTTCTCTCTGGAAGGCACTGCCAGGCGGGAGCAGGGAAGGGTGGGCTCTGGAGGTGGGGGCAGTAGGGGCTGTGACCCAGGGGTGCAGCGGATGCAATGAAGGGCCCCTCCAACAACCTGGAGGCCCCGGGAGGCGCACCTGAAACACGGAGTGTCCTGCAGAATCTGCCCCACAAGTGCCGGCCCTGGAGGTGGCCTCGAGGCTCCTGCCACACTCCAGATGCACCCTTCCCAGCCTGGCTTCCTCCCACGGGTTTGCCCTTCCCGGCCTGGCTTCCTCCCAAGGGTTTGCCCTTCCCGGCCTGGCTTCCTCCCAAGGGTTTGCCCTTCCCGGCCTGGCTTCCTCCCAAGGGTTTGCCCTTCCCGGCCTGGCTTCCTCCCAAGGGTTTGCCCTTCCCGGCCTGGCTTCCTCCCAAGGGTTTGCCCTTCCCGGCCTGGCTTCCTCCCAAGGGTTTGCCCTTCCCGGCCTGGCTTCCTCCCAAGGGTTTGCCTTTCCCGGCCTGGGTTCCTCCTGGGCGTGCACTCGAGGGGAAGCACTTGCCTTCGGCCTTCCGCGGTGAAGATAGGGGAAGGCACCAGGGTGGGGACCCCGGTTCTGGCCGCCTCCTCACTCCGTGCCTCGGTTTATCCTCTGGTGAAGCAGACGCCACAGTCTGTGAGCAGCTCTGTGGGGGTCTGTGTGCCCCTCCGCACTGGCTACTGTCTTCCTCGGGCGCCGGTCGGCTTTTGCGTCCCCACATTCAATCCCAACTGCGGCTCCCGCGGTTCCCGCACTGGCCGCAGAGGAGCCACGGGGCACAGCTGGCTGTGTTTAGGGCCCTGCACAGCCCCACAGCCAGTCGCTCCCCCCACAGTTCCGAAAGAATATGGCCCCCCAGAGGAAGGACCTGCATGGACTGTCATTCTCCGTTCTTCGAGCACAGAACCGCGACAAGCTGTTCAAAGTCTCTGTCCCCCACGTCCTGGAGATGCGGAAGCGGGAGCTGAGGCCCAGGTGGGTCCAGGAGGGGCTGCCCCACCTGCTTCCCTCCAGGCCCCTCTGGTGGGACCCACTGTGGCCCCTGTAGAGTCCCCTCCCTACAGATTGCCCGGAATGACCCATGTGGCTGGAAGGACTGATGCCTTCAGACACAGCTGGATCCAGGTGCTGCCTTCCTGGGACCTACCCACCCCATTTCCCCAGGCCTGACACCCCTGCACACAGCCTCAATCCACGGGTGGGGAGCAAAGCCACCACCCCCCACCCAGCCCCCCGGGTGCAGAATGAGCCCTGGGAAAGCTCTAATGGGTGCCTGTGGCCCCGGGAAGGAACATGGCTCTCTAGCCAGGGGCCAAAGGCACCTGCCCCAACCCCTAGCCTCCAGCCACCAGCTGACGAGGACCTGAAGTGAGTGATGAGACCCCCACAGGAGCCAGAGAAGGGTGGAAAAGCCAGTTTGTCAGACACAACTGGGACAGCCACAGCTTGGGACCCTGGGACCCTGGGACCCTGAGGCAGAGCCGCAGGGGTCCGGCCTGGGCCGATGGTGGGTGGGGGCAAGGCGGGAGCGCAAGCCTCTGACTTCCTTCTAGTTCCGACGAGTACCAGGCCGCCCGAGCCACCCTGCTCAGAGCGTTCCAGGCGAAGTTTGACACATTTGTAGTTCCCTGTGTTGTTGCCAGTGGCGACATCAAAGACAGGAAGGGGTCAGAACCCCTGAGCTTCAGGTGCGGGGTGCTCTGGCCAGAACAGGGTGTGGTCAGCCGCAAACGCGCTGTCCCTCTGCTACTGCCCAACTCTGGGGCCTGGGCGGGCAGGGGGCCGCCCACCCTGCCCTCAGCATGCCCTTCCTATCCCAGCCCCCACAACACCCTGTACCTGGAGCTGTGGTGCCCGACGGTGGCACCATCTGTTGTGGTGACGTCCCATAAAGGCAAGACCATCTTTAACTTCGGCGACGTCGCTGTGGGTGAGACGCTAAGCCCCGCCCACACCTCCACCCCGGTGCCCAGGCACACCCACGCCTCCCCCAGCCCCACGGCCCACCCCTGGCAGAGACGCTCCCTGGGGCCTGGGGCTGGGGCCTGACGCTCCCTGCCCCATTTCAGGGCACCGCAGTATCAAGAAGATCTCCATCCAGAACGTCTCTCCCGAGGATCTGGCCGTGTCCTTGTCCACCCAGCTCAGGCGGCCTGCGGGGTGGGAGCGGGGACCGGGGAGGGCGTGGTAGAGCCTGCAGACACCTGTATCCCCTCCTTGACGTGGACCCTCAGCTGGACTTCTCCCTGCTGAACCCCAACGGCCCCTTTGTCCTGCTGAACCACTCCAGCCTGCTGCGTGCAGGTGGGACCCAGGTCCTGGTGCTTTCCTTCTCTCCCCACGAGAGCATCCTGGTGAGTCCCAGGCCCACCCTGGCCACACTGCGGCCCAAGGCTCCCCACACTGCAGAACAAAGGCACTGGCCGGGGCGGGCATCACCTGTGCTCAGGCCTGGGACTAAGCCTGGGTCTGCGAGCAGCCTGGCCCCCAGGCCCTCACACCAGCCGCCAAGTGAGCGGAGCTGACAGAGCCCCCCCAGAGCTGTCTCAACTCCAGCGTTGAGAACCCACTGCCCCTGAGGCAGAGCTCCCCTCGTGGCTCCAGCAGACATCGGTTCCTGGCTGAGCGATGTGGTCTCTTTAGGCTCAAGAAACACTGGACATCATCACCAAGAGAGGCACGCTCACCCTCACCCTCATGGGCACTGGCGTGGCGTCCATGATCACGTGCTCCATTGAAGGCAGCGTCCTCAACATGGGCTATGTGATTGCCGGAGAGTCTGTGTCCTCAGGCTTCAAGGTGAAGCACACGTGGGCCCTGGTGCTGGCTCCAGCCTCCCAGGAGGGGTTTCCACCAGGCAGGACTCAGGCCAGCTGTCAAAAGTGACCCGTGGGTCGGAGAGCCCGTGGGGACACAGGTGGCCCCCTCTACCCCTCCTCTACACAGCTGCCGCCTCTGCCGCCCTCTCCTGCAGGGAACCCGGGGCCTGTTTCTGGGGAGGCTGCAGATGTCCCCTAGTCCTCCCCACCTCCCTGTCCTCCTTGGCGCTCTTTGTCCCTCCTCCTCAGCCCCTGCACAGAGCTCCCCCACCCACCACCCACCCCCTGCCCTGCTGCTTGAACTCACTCCTTTGGAGCTCAGCTCAGCCACCGGGGGCAAGGGTTTGCAGCCCTCTGCAGTGAGCCGCACTGCCCTGCGTGCTCTCATGCCTCGCACTGCCCTGTGTGCTCTCATGCCTTCACACCAGCGTGTGCCCTCATGCCTTCACACCAGCGTGTGCCCTCATGCCTTTGCACCAGCGTGTGCCCTCGTGCCTTCGCGCTGCCCTGTGTGCCCTCATGCCTTCACACCAGCGTGTGCCCTCATGCCTTCACGCTGCCCCATGTGCCCTCATGCCTTCGCCCTGCCCTGCGTGCCCTCATGCCTTCGCCCTGCCCTGCGTGCCCTCATGCCTTCGCACCAGCGTGTGCCCTCATGCCTTCGCACCAGTGTGTGCCCTCATGCCTCCGCACCAGTGTGTGCCCTCATGCCTTTGGACCAGTGTGTGCCCTCATGCCTTCACACCAGCGTGTGCCCTCATGCCTTCGCACCAGCGTGTGCCCTCATGCCTTCGCACGAGTGTGGGTCCGGGAGGGACACCTGCTTCTCCGCCTGGCTCAGGGCGGGTCCTGGAGGCAGAGCCCGAGACGGGCGTTGCATGGAGAAAGGGTGCTCTAAGGAGAGGGGGTGAGGGCAGGGAGGACACAGGTGGGGACGTGGGTTCAGCTAAGCTGGGCCTGAGCGAGACTCAGGCGCCCTGGAGGACAGGTGACACCCCAGAGCTGTCCACGCACCCTAGGCAGGGAAGCCGAGCCCCGGCCTAGCAAAGGCTGATGAGAGGCTGGAAGAAGGGATGTTGGCACACAGCTCAATAAACCGCCACGTGTGCTGGCGTCATCAGGCCACCCGGGTCCCCACTTGGGTGTGGCCTCATAGCACCAGCCAAGTCCTGGGCACCGACGACAGGAAGGGGGCAGCCAGGCAGGGGCTGGCGGGCAGTGACCGCGGCCTGCTCTCTGCAGCTGCAGAACAACTCTCTGCTCCCCATCAAGTTCTCCATGCACCTGGACAGCCTCTCCAGCACCCGGGGCCGGGGCCAGCAGCAGCTGCCGCAGTTCCTCAGCTCGCCCTCCCAGAGGACGGAGGTGGTCGGTGAGCGGGGGGTGGGGGGTGGGTGGTGAGCTGCGGGGGTGGGCGGTGAGCTGGGGGAGTAGGCAGTGGCCTGGAGGGGGACAGTTGGTGAGATAGGGGGCTGGGCAATGAGATGGGCTGCGGGCGGTGAACTGGCAGGGGCGGGTGGTGAGCTGGAGGGGGGTGGTCGGTGAGCTGGCGGGCACGGGCGGTGAGCTGGGTGGGGGGCAGTTGGTGAGGTGGGGGGTGGGCGGTGAGCTGGGGGGGTGGGCAGTGAGCTGGAGGGGGCGGTTGGTGAGATGGGGGGGGTGGGCGCTTGGATCCATGGGAGGAGTGGGGGGCGCAAGGCCATTGGGGGGACCGGGCAGGACAGGGGCTCTGCAGGGGGGCGGGCAGGGTGTAGAGCTCTATGCAGCAAGGCTTGGAGGGCAGACAGTGATTGCAGGTGGAGAAGGCCAAACTGCACCCCACCCTACCCGCAGGGACGCAGAATCTCAACGGTCAGAGCGTGTTCAGCGTGGCCCCCGTCAAGGGCGTCATGGACCCCGGGAAGACACAAGACTTCACTGTCACCTTCAGCCCCGACCACGAAAGCCTCTACTTCTCCGACAAGCTCCAGGTGGTGCTCTTTGAAAAGGTGCGGCTCTGGCTCTGCAAGCTCAGCCCGGCCCGGCCCTGGCCCCACGCAGGGCCTTGCCTTTGGCTGCACTGCTCCACTTTGGAGGCCCTGAGGGTACCATGGCTGGGGGACTCAGCACCACACTGAGGGCCGTCAGTGGAAAGACCAGAGTCCAGGGCCCCACGGGGCCCCCAGGCCGTCCCTGCTTCCTTCCCTGAGCCAGCCCAGCTCTCACCAGCAGGACCCCTGCCGCCGAGCTTCGGGGACAAGGCCACTCCACTTCTTGTCCCCAGAAAATCTCCCACCAGATCCTGCTGAAGGGTGCCGCCTGTCAGCACATGATGTTCGTGGAGGGCGGCGACCCCCTGGACGTGCCCGTGGAGTCTCTGACAGCGATCCCTGTATTTGACCCCAGGCACAGAGAGGGTGAGCCCCTCCCCAGGGAGGGAACAGACACGGGGCCTCCCGGTGCCCCTGTCCCGTGGATGGGGGCCCCGAGACCCAGCGGAGCAGGGCAGGGATTCCCAGCCTTCTACCCCAGAGCCAAGCAGGACAGCCACTGCTAACCAGAGTTCAGGAGTCCAGCTGCAGCCTCACCCCATGCCTCAGCCTGACCCTGAACAGCTCCCCTGGCCACACCCCTCCAGCCAGCTCCCGGCCAGGCCCTCTCTCTCCAGAAGCTGAGGAGCTGAGGCCCATCCTGGTGACCCTGGACTACATCCAGTTTGACACAGACACGCCAGCCCCACCTGCCACCCGAGAGCTGCAGGTGGGCTGTATCCGGACCACCCAGCCATCTCCAAAGAAGGTGCCCACAGCACTGCCCCTGGGGACACCAGGCAGCCCCCTCGGCCTCCCCTGCCCTGGGCAGCCCTGACCCTCCTGGCCTTGCCCCTCACTGGGCTTGTCCTGACAGCCGGGCTTTTCTCGGACTTCCTGTGGCAGCTGTGGGGTGGGCAGCCTGGTCAGAGCTGGGAGGGTGAGTGGAGCTGGGCACCCTCACCCCTAGTCCCACTGCTTCTGGGAGCGGTGCCTGGTCGCCAGCCTACAGGAGCCCCATACCCCACAGACCGTTGAGTTCAGCATAGACAGCGTCGCATCCCTGCAGCACAAGGGTTTCTCTATTGAGCCCTCCAGGGGCTCCGTGGAGCGCGGCCAGACGAAGACCATCAGCATCTCCTGGGTGCCACCTGCGGACTTTGATGTAGGTGCCTTTGGGCTCCAGGCCAGGGAGCCCTGGGAACGCCAAAGGCTGGGTGGGCTGACACCCCTGCCCAGTCCCAGGGGAGGAGGTGGCCGTGGAGGACCCAAGGGAGTCAGGTGGGCAGGGCAGTGGGAAGACAGCAGATCTCCTCTGGGTGCCCACTGACTGAAGGCCTCTTCTCCCCTCCCCTCCTGTTCCAGCCAGACCACCCACTCATGGTGTCGGCCCTGCTGCAGCTAAGGGGGGATGTGAAGGAGACCTACAAGGTCATCTTTGTAGCCCAGGTGTTGACTGGCCCCTAAGCCTCTGCACAGAGCACCCTCGGGCCCTCCTGTCCACCCTCAAAGCCCTCCCCAGGCTGAGGGCCAGGTCATACTACCCTAGAGCCTGGGACCTGGCCATCCTCTGCCAGATTCCAATAGGCCGCCCTCCACATGGCGCCACGGCCACTTCCTGCTGCCCTGGACCCCGCAAGCCCAGGGACATCCAAGAGCACCCCTCCTGAGACCCCAGACTCAGAAGCAGCGAGAAGGCCAGGCCAGCCCTCAGCCATCCTAGCCAGACCCCCTCAGAGCCCCCAGCCCCCAGGAGAGCCCTCCACAGCCTGTCAATAAATTTTTTGTAGGCCAACACATGCAGCCTGCAGTGTGGGTGACAGCAGGTTATTCCCTGGGGTGAGCACAGAATGGGAGGTGGGGACAGAGCCCTGGGGAAGCAGCCCCTCCCCTCACAGCCATGACACCCGCTTTGCCTGGCAAGGGCCTCCTAGAGTGGGGCCATCCTGCAGGACACCTGTGGGGAGGCCACCCTGACCCAAATTCAAGGAGAGCCCCCAAGCCTGGCACCCTGAGCAGCAGCAGGCAGCCCAGAGGGCCGGGGTACAGCTAGAGCTGAGGCTGACCCAGAACCGAGGGGCCTGGGTGGTGGGGAGGGCAGGGCTGCAAAGCCCAGGGCAGGCCCCGGGAACCTCCAGACTTTTCCCAAGTTCCAGGACCCCGGATGACCCCAAGCAAAGGTGAGCAGACGGTGGGGACCCCCCAGCCTACTCATGCCCTCCCCTCCACCCAGCAGGGGCCAGGTGAGGCCCAGCTCCTGCACTGAAGTCTCTATTTGTCTGAGATAAGTCTGGGCTCGGCTTTCTGGGCTCTGACCCACCCTTCAACAGAGAAGACCCCTCGCAGCCCGTGAGATGCTCCTGAAGCTCAGAGTGGTGCCTGCACCCCAACCCTGCCCTCTGGAGTCTGGCTTGTTGGACGCTGTCCCCACAGAGCCCACCCAGCCTGGCCCTCCTGTCAGTGCAGCACACCCACTGTGCCACCCCAACCAGCAGCCACCAGCAGACTGTACGCAGCCTTCCCTGGCCGGGTCGGGGGAGCAGATGGTGCTTCTGGGAGCTTTCCTGGGCACAGGCCTCAGGGACGCCGGTCTTGAGCTGCCTGCCCTCACCCCCAGCCCCCCAGGGCCCACAGTGCCTAGGAACTTGCCATTGCCCCAAACTTCAAGCCAGTGACATTGACCCCGCAGTGGCGTTTTGCAGGATTTCTGTCCAATGGGTCCCTTGCTGCCCTTCCTGCGGCCGACCCACCATGGCTCAAGCTTGCGCCACACCAGATGGGAGGGGAAGGCAGGTTCCGCCAGGTCCAGGCCAGGCCCCGGCCGCAGGAGGAGGTGCTACTGGATGGCAATGTTTCCTGAATAGGCCCCTCTCTTCTAAACCCTGACCCGACTCTCCTGCTGGCAGGCCTCTGGTACTGAGTGGCGAGGCCCGCCCAGCTCCTGCGTGGGGGCCGTGCCCACACCTTCCGGAACTCGGGGCTGTGGCCTCAGGCTGTGCTGTGCACATGCACTCCCATTCCCACTCCCGTGCTGGGCCTCCACGACCAGTGCAGTCAATGTGGCAGGAAGAAGGGCCAGGGGCTGGGGGAGCTGGGCAGGCAGGAAGGGCCCTTGAGGACCGTGGCACAGGCCTTGGGAGGTGAAAGGCAACTTCAGGCAGAGCCCAACAGTGGAAGGAGTGATGCAGTGAAGGGGCAGGTATGGGCAGAAGAGCCACGCAGAGGAGGCCCTGCCCTCCAGGGTCACTGCCCTTGTGGTAGGGGTGGGGGACACTGAGCAGCGCCCACATGTGGAACAGTTCTGAGCAAGGGGTGCATGCCCCTCCTGCAGTAAGATGGACCCTGCCCCTTGCTGTGCTGACCACCTCCCTTAGCCTGACCACCAGAGAGACGGTGTGCTGTTGGTCCCACGGGGAGCAGAGGGCACCAAGAGCCTAACAGGGCCCCTGGCCTGGTGGCAGAGGGATAAGGGTCTGGGGTCCCCCTGGAAGAAATGGCCCCAGGCCTGCCCCTGCACAGGGAGCAGCAGACATTGCAGGCTGAGGGAAGGGCACTGGGCTCCCTGTGGCCCTCGGGAATGGAGGTCACATTCCCCAGGTGGGGCATGGCCCCCAAGGCCAAGTGCTTTGGGAAAGTGGTCTGCACCCAGCGCCTCAACAGCCCAGAGCCAGGGCCAGGCTCCAGCCCCCTGGGCCAGCCCCCAGACAGCGCCTGCAGCGCAGGTCCACAATCAAGTGTCCAAACACCAAGTTCGGGATGCCCAGCATCTTGGTGGCGTTACCCTACAGTCCACCTGGAGCCCGCCTGCGAGACTGGACCCGAGGGACCACACCCAAGGCAGCCACGACTTTCCAGGCCAGCTCCCGAGGGTCCCCGGGCCACGCCCAGACCAGCAGCAGAGCAGGCCACGCTCGGCCGAGGTTAAGGCGCCGTGCCCGGGCTGAGGACGAGACCCACCGTCGCCTCACGAGTCTGGGCCAGGTGGAGCTGCGGGGTAGGGCTTGTGGCGGACAAGCCCTCTGAACACGTTGGGCGTGGCCCAGTGGGAGGGGATTGCGCTGAGCGGGGTATGGTGGGCGAGGCTTACGTTGGGCATGGGGCCAGTGGGCGGGGTTTGCATTGAGTGGAGGCCCAGCGAATGGGGGCGTCTCGTGGGCGAGGGCTCCTGTGGGCGGGGCCTGCGGCGAACAAGGCTTGCACTGGGCGGGGCCCAGTGGGCGGGGTTTATGCTGCGTGAGGCGTCCTGTGGGCGAGGCCTGCGACGAACGCGGTTTGCTCTGGGCGGTGCCCGGAGGGCGGGGTTTACCCTGCGTGGGGCGTCCAGTAGGCGTGTGCGCCTGTGGGCGGGGCCTGCGGCCAGCGGGGCCCGGTGGGCGGGGTTTACTCTGAGCGGGCGTTCTGTGGGCGTGTCATGTGGTGGGTGTGTCCTGTGGTGGGCGGGGCCCCATAAAGCCGCGCCGCCGGGCTTTGCTCCAACCTCCTCAGAGCATGGCCCGGGGGCCGCTGGCCGCCCGCGGACTGCGGCTGCTGCTGCCGCTCCTGCCGCTCCTGCCGCTCCTGCCGCTGCCGCAGGTGGGTCGGGCGGCGTTCTCTCTCGGTTCGGCCACCGCGGGGCGGGTCCCTGCTCGGACCACGCCCCTCCCGGGCTCACCCTTGTCCCCACAGGTGGCGCTGGGCTTCGCGGACGGCAGCTGCGACCCCTCGGACCAGTAAGTCGGGGGGGAGGGAGCCGGGGCCTGGCCCCGCCCTATGGGGAGGCACGGGTGGCGAGGTCGGCCGTCCCATGCCCCGCCTGCTCCAGGTGCCGCCGTCCCCACAGGTGCCCGCCCCAGGCCCGCTGGAGCAGCCTGTGGCACGTGGGGTAAGTGGAGGCCGCGGCGGAGCCGTGCGTCCGACGGTTCTGGGGCGGGGGTCACCGGGGCCAGGCCCGCCAGGCCCTTACCTCACCAGGCCGCCTCCGCTGTCGCCCAGTCCCGGCCGCTGGCGGGAACTGACCTGGAGCAAGCAGGACCTTCCCTCCCACCTCTCCCGCCTGGCCTCCGCGGGAGTCCCCTACGATCCCGCTCAGCAGTGGGGCACTCGCTGAGGACAGCGAGTCCTGGGAGTGAGCCCAAGGCCACCCCTGGCCAGCCCAGGAGAGATAGCCAGGGCAGGCCCAGCAGCCCGAGGCCAGGCTCTGGCCACGGCGGTCTCCGACATGGAGAGACATTGTCTGCTTTTTATCCTGTTAACCTGTCTTCGGTGGTTGTGCCACGACATTCCCCAGGGTGCAGGTGCCCGGTGGCCGAGGGTCAGTCCAGTGGTAGAGCCTTGCTCTCCTAGGCTCATCCTGCTGGCGGTCCTCCTGCTTCTGCTGTGTGGTGTCACAGCTGGTTGTGTCCGGTTCTGCTGCCTCCGGAAGCAGGCACAGGCCCAGCCACATCTGCCACCAGCACGGCAGCCCTGCGACGTGGCAGTCATCCCTATGGACAGTGACAGCCCTGTACACAGCACTGTGACCTGTGAGTGCCTAGGGGCCCGCCAGTTGAGGGTGGAGATGGCGGGGGTAAATGCCAAGCCCGCCTCCACGAACCCACTCTGGTTCCCTGCAGCCTACAGCTCCGTGCAGTACCCACTGGGCATGCGGTTGCCCCTGCCCTTTGGGGAGCTGGACCTGGACTCCATGGCTCCTCCTGCCTACAGCCTGTACACCCCGGAGCCTCCACCCTCCTACGATGAAGCTGTCAAGATGGCCAAGCCCAGAGAGGAAGGACCAGCACTCTCCCAGAAACCCAGCCCTCTCCTTGGGGCCTCGGGCCTAGAGACCACTCCAGTGCCCCAGGAGTCGGGCCCCAATACTCAACTACCACCTTGTAGCCCTGGTGCCCCTTGAAGGAGGTAGGAGAACGGACCAGAGCTTGGAGAACTAATGCTTGGAGCCAAGGGCCCCAGCCCACCCCACCGTCCCACACATTGCTGTGGCCCCAACCTCGGTGCCATGTTACACCGGCCCCTGGCGTCACCCACTAGGCAGGCTGCTGCTTTCAGCCTCAGCCCCTGGCCCAGCCCCAGCAGGCCCTCAGCCTGGAAGAGGCCCCTTGGGCCTAAGCCTCGGGTGGGAGCTCAGGGCCACCTGTGACGTCTGCATCTTCTTGGAGAGAGAATAAAGTTTGTATTTAAGTGGTCTCTGCCTATGTGGGAAGGACTCTGGGACTCCAGGGCTCTGGGAGGAACCCTTGGGCAGCCAACCCCCAGTGCAAGCAGGAAGGGCGAGCGTGTGGTCCCCGGCCTGTACCCAGTCCAGGTTTCAGGCTGGCATTCCTAGCCCTGAGCTGGGCAATGGGTGGTGTCAGGTGTCGTGGCAGAAATGACTGGGGCTGTTTCTGTGACTGGGCCAGGAAAACTCTTTTCCTTCTCCAGCCCCACGCCTTTGCCTGTTGCCCCCCAACCCAGGCTGGGACAGTGAGGCACACACAGGTTGGGCTGGAACATTTATTTTACACGGAGCCGGGGGAGTGGGGGCCAGGGGGCAGGGGCAGCAGCCTTCCCGGGCAGGCCTCCCCCGGCTGCGGCAGCTGCACCTACTGGATCAGCTTGAAGGACTCCCCCGTCATCATGGCCACAAACTCTGGGAACAGAGGGGCAGGTCAGCAGCTTGCCCCGGCCCAGCCAACGGCTCCCAGGGCTCCAGGCCACTCACCCTCATAGTCGATGGTCCTGTCCCCATCCTTGTCGGCCTCCTTCATCATCTGCTCCGCCTCCACCTCGTTGAGGGGCTCCCCTGCGTTCATTAGCACGTACCTACGGGGCCTGGCGCTGAGCCACTCCATCGGCCCTGCCCGTGCCCGCCCACCACCCGCCCCCAACCCGGGCCCTACTTGAGTGTGTTCCAGTCAATGTAGCCCTTGCCCTCTTTGTCAAAGACACGGAATGCCGCCCTCAGCTCGCTCTCCTGGTTCTGGGCCTTCTCATGGTAAACTCCCATTAGTGCCAGGAAACCATCGCAGTTGAAGAACCCTTTGTCTGCAAGGGGCACAGCTGGGGCTCAAGGGATGGGGCACAGCACTCCCCATGGGCTTTGCCTCTTCCCCCCGTAGGCACTGACACCTGACCCAGGGCCCCCCCGAGGCTGCCCACCCCACTCCAGCCATGAGCTCACTGTCTCTGTCCACATCCTTGGCCATTGAGGCCAGCTCACTCTTGGTGGGGTTGATACCCAGCAGGCTCATGAGCCACTCCAGCTCCCCCGTCTTCACCTCCCCGTTGCCCTCTTCGTCGAACATCTCAAAGACTCCCTTGTACTCCTTGATCTGCTCAGCCGACAGGCGCTCTGTCTGCAGGGGACACCCGCACCGGCCTGACCAGGAGCCCCTTCTGCCCCTGTGTCCAGGGAAGGGTCAGAGGTACCCCCTGCACCCATTCCTCCATTGGCAGCCTTTCAAGGTGAGTGGTAAGAGAGGAGGCCCCCAGCGGAGAGCAGGCTTCCAGGACAAGGGGTCACACGCCAGGGGTTTGCAGGGCCAGCAGGGCTCTGCCAGGCAGCTAACAGGGGCAAGGGCCAGACAGGCAGGAGCCAGCGTGCGAGGGAACAGCAGCAGCTGCAGGGCCAGGCGGGCCAGGCAGCGGCCCTGGAGCCTGGCAATGGACACCAGGTGAGGCAGGTGAAGGAAGCCGAGAGCAGGGTGGGGAGGAGCCCAGCCCTGGCCCGGGAAAGGCTTCCAGCCCAGGATTGGGATACAGCCCAGGAAGCAGAACCCTGGGCTCCAGCCTGTGTGGCATTCCGGAGGGAGAGTCCAGCACCGGGCCACACCTGCCTGCCACCACTGCTGCTGCCCATCTGGGAGCCAGCTTTCAGAAAGGGCTGCTCCACCCTGGCCCCGGAACAAGGGCTGTGTTGGTGGCAGCAGGGCTTGGCCCCCTCTTCTACCTCAGCCCCTTCCTGCCCAGGCTCCGTGGCAGGTCATTGCACCTCCAGGTTCCAGCTCAACCTACCCAGCCAGCCCACCAGAGACTCCATCGGGCACAGAGAGCAGCCTTACCATGTCGGTGGTTGTCTGACAGGATTCTGCAGGGTGGTGACACCAGGGCTGCTGTGGGCAGAGTGCTGGGGCAGTGGTGGCAGCTGAGTTTTAGCTGGGCCTGGCTGCCTGGGGTCCCCGGGGTCCAGATTCCAAGAGCCTTTTATGGGTGGGAAATCCTGCCGGCCCTATTTTGGGACAGGCTCTCGGCCTTATCCACAGGGCCCCTTCCCGGCCCGCTTTGGCCTGGGCTTCCCCTGACCCTGAAGATGGGCACCGAAGGCTAAGTGCGGGGGCCAGGAAAGGGCTGAGACATGGCGGGACCCTCACACACGCTGTTCCCCGTGCTGTTCCCTCTTCACTGGACCAAGCTCCAAGTCTACCTTCCCAGAGGTGCGGCCCTCCAGCAGGTCTTCATGGGACCCTGGTCCCATGCTGTCATCACTTACCAGTGAGATTTCTTGTTGAAGACCCATCCTGGCCAGCTGGTGCTCAGTGGCTCAGAGCCTGGCCACCCTCCCATCCTGGTGGACTCAACATTGGCCCCGTGCCAGCATGTCACAAACTCTCAGGACAGGTCGAATGAACAAATGCATGAGGCACCGCTTGACCATCTTGTACAGGAGGGGCTGAGGGTCCACCATTCAGGGAGGAGACAGCAGGACATGGGCTGGGGGTGAAGGGGGAAAGGGAGCAAAACAGGGCCTGGGGGCTGGGCTGCCCGCTGGAAGCCAGGCACAGTTGGGGGCTATTTTGGGGTTTCTCAGGGAAACCTGATCTCCCTTCCACTCAGAACAGCAAAGCTGGCTCCCGAGGGGGCCTGGTGCCCAGGCTGGTCCGTATCAACATGCCACCGTGGAGCACACGCCTGCACACGTGTGTTCCCTCCTCAGACCCGCACTGAGCCCTCCCTGTCTGGGTCTAATTACCCACCAGACTCCCAAAGCCAGGGTCCAGCTCCTCCCTGCCCCACCCAGGCAAGAGTGTGAGGATTGCAGTGGCAGGTCAGGGCCCTCAGGGTCACACTCACACCTGCCCCCCGACTGGCCCCTTGATGGCATGAAGAGTCTGAGCAGGTGGGGCACTCAGTGTCCCCCGCCAGCCCAACCCTCTGCCTGCCAGCAAACCTGCAGCTACAGGATGGCTCCCGCTGAAACCCAGGCCAGCTGCTGAGACTGCAAGATTGACGCTGACGAGGGCAGGCCAATGGCCCAGGGCACCTCCAGCCAAACGGGAGCCGGGGCTGGAGGGAAGCGGCCCTGGGTCTGGTGGGGCCAAGGGAGGCCCTGACCTTCATCCTGGCTGCTCCCTGGCCTCAGCTTTCCCCTGGGCTGGGGCAGGGAACAATTCACGCACTGAGCACCTTCCCCCAGGGGCATAGAATGGAGGGAGCCGCAGCACCCAGGCCAGGGCCCATCCTGGGTTCTGGCTCAGGGTCTCCAGGTACAGGCCAGCTGGGTACAGAGACACAGAGAACTGCACTGGCCTCGTGGCCCTGGACAAGTCCCCACCCCAACAACTCTCACAGCCAGTGGACAGCAGGCTCTGCCTCCTCCGTTCCCAGGCTTCCAGCGTCTGACATTCCTGGGCCACAGCCCTGAAGGTTCCAGACATCCTGATGGGCTTACGAGTGAAACTCAAAGCTGTGACCCCTGGAGCCCAACTTAAAGCAGAGGGCACACCCCCCGCCCCGCCCGTAGGAAGGGGCAACATGGCCACAACCACCATCAACCTCTCTCCTCTCCATCTAGGCTTCTACCCATATCCAAGACCCAGTACAAGCAGCAGAACAGGTCCTCGCCCTCTAACCCTCTCTCCTCATGCTGACCAGCCTCTGTGTGGCCTTCGGACATACCCCGTATCTCTAGGACCTGAGACTCATCCAATCTTTATTTTCCTTCTTGTGTCTCTTCTGATCACCGAAGGGCTATTCTCCATAAGAAAACAGAAAAAGAGGCTGGGCACGGTGGCTCACGCCTGTAATCCCAGCACTTTGGGAGGCTGAGGCGGGCAGATCACGAGGTCAGGAGATCGAGACCATCCTGGCTAACACAGTGAAACCCCGACTGTACTAAAAAAAATACAAAAAAATTAGCCAGGCGTGGTGGTAGACACCTGTAGTCCCAGCTTCTCCGGAGGCTGAGGCAGGAGAATGGCGTGAACCCAGGAGGCAGACCTTGCAGTGAGGCGAGATCGCGCCACTGCACTCCAGCCTGGGCAACAGAGCGAGACTCCATCTCAAAAAAAAAAAAGAAAAGAAAAGAAAACAGAAAAAGAGAAAAACCCTGTAACAATTAGAATGCTGCCTCAGCCACGTTCAGGTGCAAGTGCAGTTGTGTTCATGGCCGTACCCAGTTATGCAGCAGATCTCTAGAACCTTTCACCTTGCAAAACGGACCCCCGCCCCCATTAAACAGCATCTGCCCTCTTCCACCACCCCCCGCCCCCCAGCCTATGGCAATCACTATTCTACTTTCTGTTTTTAAGAATTCGACTCCGGGGGCCGGGTGTGGTGGCTCACGCCTGTAATCCCAGCACTTTGGGAGGCCGAGGTGGGTGGATCACAAGGTCAGGAGTTCAAGACCAGCCTGGCCAAGATGGTTACACCCTGTTTCTACTAAAAAAAATAAAAAAATAAAAAAATTAGCCGGGCGTGGTGGCAGGTGCCTGTAATCCCAGCTACTCAGGAGGCTGAGGCAGAGAATTGCTTGAACCTGGGAGGTGGAGGATGCAGTGAGCCGAGATTGCGCCACTGCACCCCAGCCCGGGTGACAGAGTGAGACTCCATCTCCAAAAAAAAAAAAAAGAATTCGACTTTTTTTTTTTTTTTTTTTTTGAGGCAGAGTCCCGCTCTATCTCCAGGCTGGAGTGCAGTGGCGCGATCTCAGCTCACTGCAACCTCTGCCTCCCAGGTCAAGCAATTCTCTTGCCTCAGCCTCCCGAGTAGCTGGGACTACAGGCACCCACCACCAAGTCCGGCTAATTTTTTATACTTTTACTAGAGACGGGGTTTCACCGTGTTAGCCAGGATCGTCTCGATCTCCTTACCTTGTGATCCGCCCACCTGGGCCTCACAAAGTGCTGAGATTACAGGCATGAGCCACCGCACTCGGCCTGGAATAGGCGTCTTTTTTAAGGCTGAGTAAAATGTTATTCTCGGGATGGACCACACTCGGTTTATCCACCATCTGCTGATGAACACTTAGGTGCTCCCACCTCTTGGCTGTTGGAACTGCTGCTGCAATGAATATGGGCGGGCATGAAGGTGTTTCATAGATGTGATTAGTATTTAAATCAGTAGGCCGGGCATGGTGGCTCATGCCTGTAATCCCAGCACTTTGGGGGACCGAGGCAGGGAGATCACAAGGTCAGGAGATCGAGACCATCCTGGCTAACATGGTGAAATGCCGTCTCTACTAAAAATAAAAATAAAAAAATTAGCTGGGCATGGTGGTGCGCGCCTGTAGTCCCAGCTACTTGGGAGACTGAGGCAGGAGAATGGCGTGAACCCCAAGGAGGCAGAGCTTGCAGTGAGCCGAGATCGTGCCACTGCACTCCAGCCTGAGAGACAGAGCGAGACTCCACCTCAAAAAAAAAAAGAAAAAGTATTTAAATCAGTAGACTTTGGGTAAAGCACATGACCCTCCATAATGTAGGGGGGGGCCGCATCCAGTTAGTTGAGGACCTTAAGAGAAAAGACTGAGGTCCCCCAAGGAAGAAGGAATTCTGCCTCCAGACGGCTGCAACATCAGCTCTTCCCTGGAGGTTGCCTACAGTGCAATCACACGGGCCAATTCCTCAAAATCTCTCTCGTCTGTGTATATGACAGACGTATATATACAGACATACACACATATACACATCCCCCTGCTTCTACCACAGAGGGTCACCGCAGACATCACCACTGCCACTGAGGGTCTCCAGTGAGAAGACACTGAGAGACCCCGCCCCACTCCAGGGCAGCAGCCTCAGCTGCAAACCCACCCCACCTGAGCCACATGACACAAGGTGGTCATTGTGTCCACAGGCAGGACTCTGATGGTCCCTGCAGGTGGTCTAGGACCCCTTCTGTCTGGTTCTGCTTCCCCCTTCCTGTCACAGGGGCTGACCCCTAACAGGGAGCTCCTATCCCAAACTCCATCTCAGGGTCAGCTTCTGGGGAGCCCCAGCTGTGACATGATGGATGTTGGCGGTGGACCCCCCGCTGCCAAGCTGCAACCAGGCACCAGTGCGGGACGAAGACACAAGCCCCTGCACAGTCACCTGTTACACTCACTGGTGGTGTGTTGGAAGGGCAGAGGGATGGACCAGGTAACTGCCACCAATCGAGGCTACAAATGGTAGAAGGAGAGAAAGGGGCACTTGAAAGCCAGGGGTGAGCCCAAGTGTGAGCGTCGGGGGCCCTCTGTGGTTCAGGCAGCATCTCTGCTCTCCACTCTGCAGTGGGAGGGCAGCGATTCGGAGGACCAAGCCCAGGACTTAAATCAGAGCCGGCAGGGCCCTGGTGGGGACATCCAGGTGGGTGTCCCCTGGAGTTTGATCCCCAGGTAGCTCTGAAGCTTCCGCGTCTGCAGGTTTGCTCACCACTCCATAGGAAGAGCTGACACTCCCACCCCCAATGCTGGAAGGACCCAAACCAGAGGCAACACTGGTTCCCCCGAGCCCCACCTGCCCTGGTAGCATGAGGTTGGCTCTGAGGGTGGAGCTGCAGCCGGAACCTCGCTGCGGTCGAGTGGACCCGGTGCTGCTGCGGCATCTACGGGGTCTGGACCCACAGGGCTCCCTTGGGCCTGGAGCACGGGCTCAGTAGGAAAAGGACTTCACGGCTCCCGGCTTCTCCTGCCGTTCCCTTCCTTGTGCAGCTTCTGCCTGAGGCCTCCTCAGCAGAGCCCAGGGCAAGCAACAGTGATGGGGTGAACACCGGAGCCATGGCCCCTTGCACACAGTGTCATCTGCTCAGCCCTGGGCTGGCCCCTTCCCACCCTCATCACCTCCAGCTGCCCCACGGTGGCTTCCTGGAATTCCCCCAAAAAAACTGTCCCTTTGAGTCCTCGTCTCAGTATCTGCTTACGGGAGCCCGGCCTGGACAAGGGTGAAAAAACAAAGTGAAGCCCGAACTCCAGACCCGCAGACCCCACAAGGACGAGGGGATGTGAGCCACAGGGCCCTGCACTCCCAGCACCGCACAGGAGATAGCTAGAGACAATGCCCTGGGCCTAAAACGCAACGTGAAACCTCTAAGGTGGCCACTAAAATGACTGAAACTGCTTGTATAACCTCCACACCTGTGGAGGAAAAAATAATGACGAAAATGTAATAAATCTAACAGAACACAGGAGGGGAGAAAGAAGCATAAATAGAAAGCAGAAAGTCACATTATAAAAGTACATTCAGGGCCAGGCGTGGTGGCTCTCACATATAATCCCAGCACTGTGGGAGGCTGACGTGGGAAGATGGCTTGAGCCAGGAGTCTGAGACCAGCCTGGGCAACATAGTGAAACCCTGTCCCTACAAAAATACAAAAAAAAAAATCAGCCGGGAGTGGTCAGTGGTCCCAGCTGCTCAAGAGCCTGAGGTGAGAGGATCGCTTGAGCCAGGGAGGTTGAGGCTGCAGTGAACTGGGATTGTGCCACTGGACTCCGACCTGGGTGACAGAGCCAGACCCTGTCTCAAAAACAAACAACAATAAAACAAACAAAAACAAACAAACAAAACAGAGGAAAGAGCTCAAATAGTTGAAAGTGGTTGTTTCTGAGAAAGGGCAGGCCGGCGGAGGGGCTGCAGGTTACCAGCCCTAAAAACCATGGATTATTTTGGGAAATGCAGGCTTGTCTTGGAACAAAGCCTTCCGGGACCAGCGCGCAGAGCTGCCAGCAGCCCCGGACCAGCAGCGAGAGCGGCCCCAGGGCTTCTCCCGCCATCCGCAGTCCTCAGCTGGGTTCCATAAAGCCGGGCTGTGCCTCAGCTTCCCTCTGCGAAGTGGGGGAGGAGGAGCGAAGCCCAGCGCGCCCTGAGGTGGGGCCTAGCGCTGCACTAGAGGCTTCTCGCCCTTTTTTTTTTTTTTTCGAGACAGAGTCTTGCCCTGTCGCCCAGGCTGGAGTGCAGTGGCGCGATCTCAGCTCACGGCAACCTCCGCCTCCCGAGTTCAAGCGATTCTCCTGCCTCAGCCTCCCGAGTAGCTGGGATTACAGGCGCCCGCCACCACGCCCGGCTAATTTTTGTACTTTCGGTAGAGACGGGGTTTCGCCATGTTGGCCAGGCTGGTCTCCAACTCCTGACCTCAGGTGATCCGCCCGCCTCGGCCTCCCAAAGTGCTGGGATTACAGGCGTGAGCCACCGCGCGCGGCCGTCTCTCGCTTCTTGCTTGACGTTCACGTGGCACAGCCTGTGGGAGCCGGTGCTCGCCACCGCCGTGCGTCCTAGCGGCGGCGGGGAAAGGCGGGGGAGCCCGGATCACCCGGCCCCGCCCCGTCACCCGGCCACGCCCCGTCATCCGGCCACGCCCCGTCACTTCCCCCCCCCCCCCCACGGCCCGCCTTGACGCCCGCCCCACCCTGTCTCGGCCCCGCCCCACCTGGAAGCCCCGCCCCGCGTCGGAAGCTCCGCGCTTTCCCACCAGACGGCGCTCGCAGGCCGCGCGGACTCGGGGCGGTCCCGGGGCCTGGGCGTCTGGCGTCACCCCGCTTGGAGTGGGAGCTGGGCCGGCCGGGGTCGCCGTCCGAGGCCGGTCGTGGGGATTTCGAGCACTGCGAACACGGCGCCGTCCGCGCCGCCCTCCGTCCTCGGTCACACACGGCCCTGTGAGTTTCCCTTCCGGACTCCCACCGTCGCCGGGAACGAACGGAGGCGCCGGCTGCGGCCCCGCAGGGTGCCCCGACCGCGGCTCCCGAGAGGCCCCTCGCCAGCAGCCGCCCGCGCCGCGGAGGGCTCGGCCCGACTCCCTGCTCCACCTCGGGGCGCAGTGGCAGCCAGGTTCCGGGGCTCCTCCGTCCGCGTCCTCTTCAGCCTCGTTCGAATGTGACAGCAGCTGGGTCATGTTGTCCAAACGTACCAGGAGCCCCAGATCCTCCCTGCAGCGCGTGCCCCAGCGCGCCCGGTGGCCCAGGAGCCCCTGCACCCCCGCAGCCGTCCTGTCCCGCCTCCTTCCAGCTCCCAAAAGGGACCGCAGATGGGGACTGCCGGAGTCCGGGCCTGGGGCAACACCCAGCCTGAGACGGGCAGGCCCTGGGCTCGGGCGGGCATGGATCTGGCCTCAGCAGGGCCCCAGGAGTCAGGTTGACTCAGCCCCTCACTCCTGCCACCCTCTGCAGTGATGGGGGGCTTCCTCCCCATGGTCACTCCCAGAGGTCCCAGCTCGGTGCCCAATCAAGGCCTGACCCCGTGGTCCCCAGGGGCTGCTGGAGAGGCCGCAGGGCAGGAGAGACAGACCCTTAGAAGTATGATGGGGGCCGGGCCCTAGGTAGCTCACACATGTAATCCCAACATTTTGGGAGGCAGAGGCAGGCGGATCACTTGAGGTCAGGAGTTTAAGACCAGCCTGGCCAACATGGCGAACTCCCCACCCACAACTCTACAAAAAAATACAAAAATTAGCCGGGCGTGGTGGCACATGCCTGTAATCCCAGTAACTTGGGAAACTGAGGAAGGAGAATTGCTTGTGATTGAGAGGCGAGGTTGCAGTGAGCCCATGTCGCGCTCGCCACTGCACTCTAGCCTGAGCAACATAGGGAGACCATCTCAAAAAAAAGGCCGGGCGCGGTGGCTCACGCCTGTAATCCCAGCACTTTGGGAGGCCAAGGTGGGCGGATCATGAGGTCAGGACATCGAGACCATCCTGTGAATGGTGAAACCCCGTCTCTACTAAAAATACAAAAAAATTAGCCGGGCATAGTGGCGGGTGCCTGCAGTCCCAGCTACTCGGGAGGCTGAGGCGGGAGAATGGCGTGAACCCGGGAGGCGGAGCTTGGAGTGAGCCGAGATCGCGCCACTGCACTCCAGCCTGGGCGACAGGGCAAGACTCCGTCTCAAAAAACAAAAAAAAGTCTGGTGGACAGGCTGGGCCTACCCCCAGGGGACCCCAGGGCAAGCCTGGGCAGAGCTCCAGGAGGCGTGCAGCAGCGCCCAGCCAGTCTCAGATGTGCGTCAGCCACAGGCTCCAGGGGCCACGTGCCTGGCCACACCTGCTGGTTTCCAAAACACCCAGCACCTGCAGGCCCAGCCTCCCCAGGAGGGGCAGCACCCCTGCTTGAGGACTCCTGGTTCCACCCAAATCCCTGCTGCTTGGGGTCCTCTTCCACCCCTGGGCAGCCCCCATGCCCTCAGGCCTCCCAGACCACCACCTTGGCCTGTGCCCCCTCCAGGACCTCACTGGTCCCCATGCCGTACCCCACCCCTTATTGCCTCCTCCAAGCAAACCTTGCATCAGCTCCCAGGAGACACACGCTGGAGCATGCTGGAGCCTCAGGACAGCATTCTAGACAAACAGCCTCAGGCCCCAGGGGCAGTCCCAGGAGAAGGCCGTGGCTTTGGGGTGAGTCCTGCCTAGGAGTCAAGGGGCTGAGACCCTGGGGGTTCTGCATGGAGCCCTGGGCCTGGATGGCCCTGCTGAAGGGCCACAGCTGCCCCCTCCTGCCCCAGGGCATGTGCTGTGGTGCCTGCCTCCACTTCAGAAGATGTCGGGGCTGCACTTGGGTCCCAGTCATGAGTCCCAGGGACTCCACTGCCCTGATGGGCTGGGCTGACATTGTACATTCTGGACTCCCTGAGGCCAAGGCCTGTTATCTCCAAGCCTTGAAGATGGGAACTAGTGGAGCCCAGGCCTGGGGGCAACACCCAGTCTGAGAGGGGCAGGCCTGCCTCTCACGCCTACCCCCAGAGAGCTTCAGCCACTCCCAAGGGCTGGCCAAGCTGGCCTGGGTGGACACTGCCCATCTTCCCCACGCCCAGGCCAGCACTCCCAGGAGTCCCTCCTGCAGGGATATTGGCAGCTCCAGGACAGTCCTCAGCTACACATGTCCCCACCATGTGCCCTGCCAGCCTGTGGCTCTGCAGGCCCCTGAGACACCCTCCCCATGCCTGCTTCTCCACCCAAACATTTAGAAGCATCTCATGCTAAAAAGGTCCAAAAAGCAGCCCATGCTCTCCCACCTCCGCTGTAACGGCTCTGCTGCCCCGTTGCTTACAACACCCAGGTGTCAGCCTCGACTCCCCCACTGCCCTCGACCCTGTGCCACCAGCAAATCTGTCACTCAGGAATACTCAGCCCTGCCCAACCTTCACAGCCCATCTGCACTCCTCTCTGGTCACCCTGGCCCTACGGGACGTTCTCCTCTCAGCCGCCAGAGGGGGTCATGTCCCTGCTCAGAGCCCCGCTGCTTCCCATCACGCTGTCGCCTGCCCTTGGTGAGCTGACCCCACTGGTCAGCGTGTTAGGCTGGAAGGACTAAGACACCACACTGTGGCCTGTGCTCAGAATTTATCTTTTTTCAGAAAACAGGTGATGAATGCTAATGGCCTTTTTGGCAAGAATGGAAAAGCTGATCCTCAAATTCATGTGGAATTGCAAGGGCCCTGAATAATCAGAACAATCTTGAAAACAAAGAACAAGGCCAGGCACGGTGGATCACTCTTGTCATCCCACCACAGTGAGAGGTTGAAGTGGGAGGATCTCTTGAGCCCAGGAGTTCGAGACCAGCCTGGGCACCATAGGGATACCCTCTGTCTACAAACAAAACATTAAAAAAAAATTAGCTGGGCATGGCCGGGCGCAGTGGCTCATGCCTGTAATCCCAGCACTTTGGGAGGCCGAGGCGGGCAGATCACGACGTCAGGAGATCGAGACCATCCTGGCTAACACTGTGAAACCCTGTCTCTACTAAAAAATACAAAAAAAATTAGGCAGGCATGGTGGCAGACGCCTGTAGTCCCAGCTACTCGGGAGGCTGAGGCAGGAGAATAGCGTGAACCTGGGAGGCGGAGTTTGCAGTGAGCCGAGATCGTGCCATTGCACTCCAGCCTGGGTAACAGAGTGAGACTCTGTCTCAAAAAAAAAAAAAAAAATAGCCAGGCGTGGTGGCGGGCGCCTGTAGTCCCAGCTACTGGGGAGGCTGAGGCAGGAGGATGGCGTGAACCTGGGAGTTGGAGCATGCAGTGAGCTGAGATCATGCCACTGCACTCCAGCCTGGGTGACAGAGCGAGACTCTGTCTCAAAAAAAAAAAAAAAATTAGCCGGGCATGGTGGCACCTGCCTGTGATCCCAGCTACTTGGGAGTTTACTTGGGCCTGGGAGGTAGAAGCTGCACTGAGCCGTGATGGTGCCATTGCACCCCAGCCTGAGTGACAGAGTGAGACCCTGTCTCAAAAAATAAAAATAAAGGCCGGATGCAGTGGCTTCTGCCTATAATAGCAGCGCTTTGGGAGGCTGAGACGGGTAGATCACCTGAGGTCAGGAGTTTGAGACCAGCTTGGCCAACATGGCGAAACCCCATCTCTACTAAAAATAAAAATTATGCGCATGTGGTGGTGCACACCTGTAATCCCAACTATTCGGGAGGCTGGGACAGGAGAATTGCTTGAACCTGGGAGGCGGAGGTTGCAGTGAGCTAGTATCATGTCACTGCACTCCAACCTGGGCAACAAAGCAAGACTCTGTCTCAAAAAAATCAAAAAAAGTTACCATATTACCCAGCAACTCTGGTCCTAGGTATATGTCCCAAAGAATTTAAAACAGATGTTCAAACAAAAGAATGTGTGTGGCCAAGCACAGTGGCTCACGCCTGCAATCCCAGCATTTTGGGACGCTGAGGGGGGGCAGATCACCTGAGGTCAGGAGTTCAAGACCAGCCTGGCCAACATGGTGAAACCCCATCTCTACTAAAAGTGCAAAAATTAGCCAGGCATGGTGGGCACGCCTGTATTCCCAACTACTCAGGAGGCTGAGGCAGGAGAATCGCTTGAACCCGGAAGGCGGAGGTTGCAGTGAGCCAATATCACACCACTGCACTCCAGCCTGGGCGATGGAGTGAGACTCTGTCTTGGGAAAAAAAGGAATGTGTATAACAGCATTGTTTATAATAGCTAAAGGACCACCCTGGGCAATAGGATGGGACCCCATCTCTACAAAAAAAATTTGTTTTAATTAGCCAGGCATGGTGGCAGGCACCTCTATTCCCAGCTACTTGGGAGGCCAAGGCAGGAGGATCACTTGAGCCAAGGAGGTTGA
This sequence comes from Homo sapiens, assembly GCF_000001405.40. Classification (NCBI taxonomy): domain Eukaryota; kingdom Metazoa; phylum Chordata; class Mammalia; order Primates; family Hominidae; genus Homo; species Homo sapiens. The sequence continues at coordinate 1,904,535 of NC_000001.11, read as the reverse complement.
GGCTGCAGCAAGCCATGATTGCATCACTGCACTCCAACCCCACCACAGAGCGAGACCCTGTCTCTAATTATTTATTTATTTTATATTATTTATTTATTTATTTATTTATTTTGAGACCGGGTTTCATTCTTGTTGCCCAGGCTGGAGTGTAATGGCGCGGTCTCAGCTCACTGCAACTTCTGCCTCCTAGGTTCAAGTGATTCTGTTGTGTCAGCCTCCTAAGTAGCTGGGATTATAGGTGTGTGCCACCATGCGTGGCTAATTTTTTGTGTTTGTAGCTCTGTCGTCAGGCTGCAGTGCAGTGGCGCAGTCTCAGCTCACTGTAACCTCCGCCTCCCAGGTTTGAGTGATTCTCCTGCCTCAGCCTCCCGAGTAGCTGGGATTACAGGCGCGTGCCACCATGCCCGGCTAATATTTGTATTTTCAGTAGAGGCAGGGTTCTGCCATGTTGGCCAGGCTGGTCTTGAATTCCTGACTTCAGGGGATCTGTCCGCCTCGGCCTCCCAAAGTGCTGGGATTACAGGCGTGAGTCACCGCACCTGGCCCCCATTTTTGTATTTTTAGTAGAGGCAGGGTTTCGCCATGTTGGCCAGGCTGGTCTCAAACTCCTGACCTCAGGTGATCCACCCGCCTCGGCCTCCCAAAGTGCTGGGATTACAACTATTGAGCCCCTGTGCTTGGCCTCTGTCTCTATTTAAGAAAAAAAAAAAAAAAAGCCGGTCAGGCACAGTGGCTCACACCTGTAATCCCAGCACTTTGGGAGGCTGAGGCAGGCAGATCACAAGGTCAGGAGATCAAGACCATCCTGGCTAACACGGTGAAACCCTGTCTCTACTAAGAAATACAAAAAAATTAGCCAGGCATGATGGCGGGCGCCTGTAGTCCCAGCTACTCAGGAGGCTGAGGCAGGAGAATGGCGTGAACCCGGGAGGCGAAGCTTGCAGTGAACCAAGATCGCGCCACTGCACTCCAGGCTGGGCGACAGCGCGAGACTCTGGCTCAAAAAAAAAAAAAAAAAAAAAGCCAAAAGGTGGAAACAACCCAAATATCCATTCATGAATGTATGGGTAAAATGTGGTATATCCATAAAGTGGAATATTATTCAGCCGTAAAGAGGAAGGAAGTACGGAGACATGCTGTGATGCAGATGAACCTGGAGACCTATGCTTGGTGGAAGAAGCCAGACATGAAGGGTCACAGGCTGTGTGTTCCACTGGCAGGAGGCATCTACGACAGCCAGATTCACAAAAGAAGGTGGAACCGAGGTTACCAGGACCAGGGGGGTGGAGGAGGGTGGTGTGGCTGTTTAATGGGCATGGGGTTTTCTTGGAGGCAGTGAAGTGTTCTGATGCAGGGGTGCTGACGGCTACGCAGCACTGGGAATGTGCTAAATGCCACACATTGTACACTCGAAAATGGTTACAGCACACCCGGTGCAGTGGCGTGCACCTGTAGTCGGAGCTGCTAGGGAGGCCCAGGAGTTTGAGTCCAGCATGGGCAACGTAGTGAGATCCCCCATACCAAGAAAAGAAAAAAAATAGGCCGAGCATGGTGGCTCACGCCTGTAATCCCAGCACTTTGGGAGGCCAAGGCGGGCGGATCACAAGGTCAAGAGATTGAGACCATCCTGGCCAACATGGTGAAACCCCATCTCTATTAAAAGCATAAAAATTAGCTGGGTATGGTGGCAGGCGCCTGTAGTCCCAGCTACTTGGGAGGCTGAGGCAGAAGAATCGCTTGAACCCGGGAGGCAGAGGTTGCAGTGAGCCGAGATCACGCCATTGCACTCCAGCCTGGGCGACAGAGCAAGACGCCATCTCAAAAAAATAAAAATTTAAAAATAAATAAATAAAAATAAAAAATAGTTAAAATGATAAATTTTATGTGTATTTTATCACTTTTTTTTTTTTTTGAGACAGAGTCTCGCTCTGTCGCCCAAGCTAGAGTGCAGTGGCGTGATCTCAGCTCACTGCAAGCTCCGTCTCCCGGGTTCACGCCATTCTCCTGCCTCAGCCTCCCAAGCAGCTGGGACTACAGGTGCCCGCCACCATGCCCGGCTAATTTTTTTGTATTTTTAGTAGAGACAGGGTTTCACCGTGTTAGGCAGGATGGTCTCGATCTCCTGACCTTGTGATCTGGCCGCCTCGGCCTTCCAAAGTGCTGGGATTACAGGCGTGAGCCACCGCCCCCAGGCTTTACCACTTTTTTTTTTTTTTTACAGTAGCTCATGAGGCAGAACCCAACAAAGGGGAGCCAGCAAGTCACCAAGGGCGTGGGGCGTGTGGAGGAAGTCCCTTGTGGAGACCTCTGGGCCCTGAGCTGGGTGGGGGGTGGGGACAGCAGGTGGGACCCTGGCACCCAGAGAGAAAGATAGAGTCCCTGACCTCTTCACAGGGCGGGGCAGTGTGGTGGGGTCTTCTGTTGGAGAGGACGGCCCCCCGAGGCACTGTTGTGACCCGTGCAGCCCGGTGTGGCGTGGCGAAGAGCTCCGCCCAGTGAGCAGCTGCACTGTGGGAGTGCAGCTCCAGCCTGGGAGGACCCCTGGCCCTTCCCCTCTAGGTGCCTCTCTATCCTGAGAGAGCCTTGACCAGGTCCCCTGCTTCCAGGGAAGGCTACTCATGGCCACCCACTGCTGGAAAGGGCCCTGCTGGCATCTGCCTGTCAGTGACCTCCAGCTGCTTCTTTGGGACAGAAGGGCAGCTCCAGGGCAGGCAGGTTGGACTCTGGGTCCATCTCTGGGCTGCCCCTTACCTGGCAGGGCCCAAGAGGGCAGTGGGCAGGGGGCTCGGGAAGGCTCTGCCCTCCGCAGCCCCTTAGCTGGGCACCTCTAGGGGCCTCGCAGTCAGGAAAACCTTGGTGGCTGGACCAGCCACCCACCAGCTGAGGCCACAGGTGCGAACTGTTTCCCCGACAGGTGTAGGAGGAGCCCCGTCCGGGGTGCCGCCCCTGGGAAGATGAATCTCCTGAGCTGCCTGAGCTTCTTCCTCAAGCAGGGCCCTGGCAGGGGAGGCGAAGGGAGCTGGAGGCCAGGGCTGGTCCAGCCACCCCCGCATTCCCTGGACCCCTGGGTTCCCACCCAGTCACCTCTGCTCTCACTCTGGGCACTGGAATGGGGTGGGAGCCTCCGTCATCCTGCACTGGCCAGTGTGGCCCAGCTGTGCTGTCTCCCCACTCTCCAGCCTCAGGGACCCCACCCCAAGCACATCTAGGCAGGCGGGTGACACCTCAGGCCAGGAAGCTTGGCCAGGCCTGGGAGGAGGATGTTGAGGGACCGAGAAAGAGTCTTTCTTTCTTTCTTTCTCTCTTTCTTTCTTTTCTTTCTTTCTTTCCTTTCTTTCCTTTCTTTCCTTTCTTCCTTTCTTCCTTTCTTCCTTTCTTCCTTTCTTTCTTTCCTTCTTTCCTTCTTTCCTTCTTTCCTTCTTTCTTTCTTGAGACAGGATCTGGCTCTGTCATCCAGGCTGGAGTGCAGTGGCTCAACCACAGCTCACTGCAGCCTCGTCAACTTCCCAGGCTCAAGCGATCCTCCCACCTCAGCCTCCTGAGTAGCTAGGACTACAGGCACATGCCACCATGCCCAGGTAATTTTTATTTTTTTTGCGGGGCATGCTAGCTCACACCTATAATCCCAGCACTTTGGGAGGCCGAGGTGGGTGGATTACTTGAGGTCAGGAGTTTGAGACCAGCTTGGCCAATGTGGTGAAACCCCGTCTCTACTAAAAATACAAACATTTGGCCAGGCGTGGTGGCTCATGCCTGTACTCCCAGGACTTTGGGAGGCCGAGGCAGGCGGATCACGAGGTCAGGAGATCGAGACCATCCTGGCTAACATGGTGAAACCTTGTCTCTACTAAAAATACAAAAAATTAGCCGGCCTGGTGGCGGGCGCCTGTAATCTCAGCTACTCGGAAGGCTGAGGCAGGAGAATGGCGTGAACCCGGGAGGCGGAGCTTGCAGTGAGCTGAGATCACGCCACTGCACTCCAGGCTGGGCGACAGAGCGAGACTCCGTCTCAAAAAATAAATAAATAAAAATAAAAATACAAAAATTAGCCAGGCATAGTGGCGCGTGCCTGTAGTACCAGCTACTCAGGAGGCTGCGGCAGGAGAATCGCTTGAACCTGGGAGGTGAAGGTTGCAATGAGCTGAGATCGCGCCACTGCACTCCAGCCTGGGCAACAAGAGTGAAACTCAGTCTCAAAAAAAAAAATGTATTTTTTCATGTTTTGTAGAGATGGAGTTTCACTATATTGCCCAGGCCGGTTTCAAACTCCTGGGCTCAAGCGATCTGCCTGCCTCTGTCTCCCAAGGTACTGGGATAACAGGTGTGAGCCACCGCGCCCCCAGAAGGGATCTTGAGGGTTCAGAGCCCCAAGGCCCAGCTGGGGTGGCTGCCTCCGAGACAGTCCTTCTCACCCCCCAGGCCCTGCCCACTGAGCTCCCTCTCTCAGACCCCCACTTTCTGGGCACTGAGGGTCTTGCGTCCCCGTTTCGGTCTGCTCATGTCTCCGGTGCCTACCTAGGCCACCTTGCTCTCTTGTCTGTGTGGAGGTGTTGGGGGGTGGGTGTGGGCCGCTCTGACTGTCCGTCTCTCTGGGTCACTGTGCCAGCTTCTCCCTTCGTCTCACCAGGATGTGTGCAGGGCATTGTGCCAGCCACACTCTCAGCCTGAGGATGCTGGTGGCCTGTGGGAGGCCGAGGGGGCCCCAGAGAACAGCTGTAGCCTTCCTGCCAAGGGGCCACCCAGCCATGGCAGGAAATGGGGCTGGGGGCTGGGTGGTTGGGAGCTCCAACTGTCCCTGCAGAGGACTTGCAGATGGTGGCGTGGGGCTCCCACGATGACCCCACCCCAGAAGATGCCCTGCAGCACGCCATGGGGGCAGGGGGAGAGCAGAGGCCTGAGCCTGCTCCACCCCCGTGGGCTCTGTCCGCAGCCTCCGGGTTCAGGCTGGGTCAGGCCAAGGGTGAGGCAGCCTGACCTCAGCGAGGGGCAGCCAGCCATCCTTCGTCCTTGACCTCACCATGGGTGAAACCAACCATCCGATGTCCTTGACCTCACCAACCAACAGAGGCTTTGGGTATAAGTAGCCTAGCTGTTGCTCAGCTGCTAGTTTTTAGCCACGAGGTAGGTGGGGACACCTATGCATTTTCCCCATGCCCAGCAGCCTCTGCTCCCCCTGGCGACAGCCCTGCCTTTGTGTTGAGAGCCACTAACTACCGTTGGAGCCACACAAAATCTGAGTGAAGCCTTTCAGAGTCCTCCTGGGGTCAACATCCGGATAGCCGTCTTCTGAGCAGTCTGACTGCTGAGGTGGGGGTGACGGGGCAGTGGGGCTCTACCCAGCAGAGAAAGGAGGAGGCGCCACATGGGGACACAGAGCCATGGGTGGGTGGGCCGGGGGAGAGCCCGACGGGCTCATCTGGATCCAGATAGGCTTGAGGCTCAGCTGTCTGCTCATGACTCCTATTCACTGAGCCAGTCAGTTACCTCTTTTCATGCAAGCTGGCTTAAGCTTCTACTGCTTGCTACAGTGACTCCTGACTGACCCAGCTTGCATGTGTGTGCACATGTGTGTATACCAAGCTCATGTGTGTGCACATGCCCATATACTAGCTGGTGTGCATGCAAATGTGTGTATACCCAGCCCCTGTGTGTTTGCACATATGCATATATACCCAGTTTGAGTGTGTGCACGTGTGTATACCCAGTTTGGGTGTACATGCATACCCAGCTCATGTGTGTGCATACATGCATGTATACCCAGCTTGAATGTGTCTGTACACATGCATATATACCATCTGCTGTGCATGTACATGTGAGTGTACCGTTTGGGTATGCATGTACATGTGTGTATATCCAACTTATGTGTGTATATCCAACTTATGTGTGTGCATATCCAACTTATGTGTGTGCACATCCAACTCATGTGTGTGCACATGCACATTTACCAGCTCCAGTGTGTTTGCACACATGCATGCATACCATCTGCTGTGCATATACATGCATGTATACCCAGTTTGCGTGTGTTCACATGCCCAATCCATGTGTGCATGTACATGTGGGTATACCCAGCCCTTGTGTGTACACGTGCATGTACACCAGCTGATGAGCATGTACATGCATGTATACCCAGCTCATGTGTGCATGCACATGTGTACATACCCACGCTGGGTGTGCATGTACATGCATGTATATCCAGCTCGTGTTTGTCCACATGCATGTATACCTAGCTTGGGTGTGTGTATACACCCAGCTCATGTACATACATGTGTGTATATCCAGCTTGTGTGTGCACATGTGTATATACACAGCTTATGTGTGTTTGTTCACATGCACATATACCCAGCTTGGGTGTGCATGCACATGTGCATATCACCAGCTCCCATGTACGCACATGCATATATACTCAGATTGTGAATGTATGTGCACATGCACACGTACCTGTCTGTGCACGGCTTCTGGGTCTACAGGCAGGGGACGATGCTCTTTCCATTCATGGTTTTGCATCTTTCACTGTTAGGGAGGTTTGTGGGGTTTTTGTTTGTTTTTGAGAGAAGGTCTCACTCTGTCACCCAGGTTTGAGTGCAGTGGCGCGATGATGGCTCACTGCAGCCTCAACCTCCCCTGCCCAAGCGATCCTCCCACCTCAGCTTCCTGAGTAGCGGGTACCTGAGGCACGAGACATCATGCCTGGCTAATTTTTTTATATTTAGCAGAGATGGGGTCTCACTCACTATGTTAGTCTCAAACTCCTGGTCTGAAGTAATGCTCCAGCCTCAGCCTCCTAAAGAGCTGGAATTGTAGGCGTGAACCATGGCACCCAGCCAAGAGGTGTTTTTTGTTGTTTTTTTTTTTTGAGACGGAGTTTCACTCTTGTTGCCCAGGCTGGAGTGCAATAGCGCAATGTCAGCTCACCGCAACCTCTGCCTCCCGGGTTCAAGCGATTCTCCTGCCTCAGCCTCTCGAGTAGCTGGGATTACAGGCATGCACCACCACGCCCAGCTAATTTTGTATTTTTAGTAGAGACGGGGTTTCTCCATGTTAATCAGGCTGGTCTCAAACTCTCCACCTCAGATGATCCGCCCACCTTGGCCTCCCAGAGTGCTGAGACTGCAGCTGTGAACCACCGCGCCTGGCCAAGGTTTGTATTTTAAACCAAAGGTCTGTCACTCCTTGAATGGGGGATGACATTGAAATGCTCCTTGGCCAGGCACGGTGAGTCATGCCTGTAATCTCGGCACTTTGGGAGGCTGGTGGCGGCGGGGGGGTTGGATCACAAGGTCAGGAGTTCGAGAATAGTCTGACCAACAGGTGAAACTCCATCTCTACTAAAAAAAAAAAAAAAAAAGCCGGGCATGGTGGCTCATGCCTGTAATCCCAGCACTTTGGGAGGCTGAGGTGGGCAGATCATGAGGTCAGGAGATCGAGACCATCCTGGCTAACATGGTGAAACCCTGTCTCTACTAAAAATAAAAAAAATTAGCCGGGCATGGTGGCGGGCGACTGTAGTCCCAGCTACTCAGGAGGCTGAGGCAGGAGAATAGCGTGAACCCGGGAGGCGGGGCTTGCAGTGAGCTGAGATCGCGCCACTGCACTCCAGTCTGGGTGACACAGCAACACTCCGTCTCAAAAAAACAAAAAACAAAAAGCGAAAATTAGCTGAGTGTGGTGGCAGGTGCCTGTAATTCCAGCTACTCAGGAGGCTGAGGCAGGAGAATCGGTTGAACCAGGAGGCAGAGGTTGCAGTGAGCTGAGATTGCGCCACTGCATTCCAGCCTGGGCAACGCAGCGAGACTCCATCTCAAAAAAAAAAAAAAAAAAGAAAGAAAGAAAGAAAAGCCCCGCGTTGGCTGGGTGCTGTGGCTAACACCTGTAATCCTAGCACTCTGGGAGGCCGAGGTGTGCAGATCATGAGGTCAGGAGTTTGAGACCAGCCTGGCCAACACGGTGAAACCCCGTCTCTACTAAAAATACAAAAATTAGCCAGGCATGGTGGTGCGCCCCTGTAGTCCCAGCTCCTCAGGAGGCTGAGGCAGGAGAATTGCTTGAACTCGGGAGGCAGAGGTTGCAGTGAGCCGAGATCGTGCCACTGCACTCCAGCCTGGGCAACGGAGTGAGACTCTGTCTCAAAAAAAAAAAAAAGCCCTTCCTTTAGGTTCATCTGTGGTACTTAGGGCCACTGGACATAGTCAGGATTTCTATCTCTGTGCATGCAGTTTTGGGATTCTACAGTGAGGCCAGATGAGCCTGTGATAAAGGACTCTAAGGAAGAAGGTGGATTCTTCCATTGGCCTGCAAGGGAGGCAGGGGCTGGGTGTTGTCAGGTCTTTACTGGAGCTGGTGGTCTAAGCTACGCACCTCCCTCTGCGAGTGTCAGCCCACCTGGGTCTGCTCACCAGAGTGACAAGAGGCCACGTGAGTTTTCTCTGGGGATTCTGGTCCAACTCTAGCAGGGAGAGGAAACATGCCCCCACAATGCATCTGCTCACTTACACCATCACCTCCTCCACCCCCCAGCAGACACCGATTCCCCACTGTGTGTGCACATGTGTACATACCCAGCTCATGTGTGTTTGTGCACATGCATGTGTGTACCCAGCTTGGGTGTGCAAGCACGGGTGTGCCCAAGAAGGATGTGCAATTCATGATTCATGACCACGGGTTGGTGGCCAGGAGGGTCGGGGGTGAGAAGCATGGTGGGGAGCTTCGGAACAAGGGATGAGTCCTGGTGGGGGACAGAGGCCAACTCCCCGCACCTGCAAGACGGGGTCCAGGGGGCCACAGTCAGCCTCCTCTCAGAGGCCCCCAAGGCCCGGCATTCGCTCTGCCTGCCACACCAGCCTCCTGGGCCATGATGTCTGTGACCTTGTAGGGCAGTGACCCTCCCAGCTCTGCCAGCCACTCATTCACCAGCCACAGCAGCCTGCCCTCACTTTGTGCCTGGCTCTGCTGCGGTGACACCTCCTCACTGGCCGCTCCCCATGAAGCTGGGAACCAGGCCCCTACTCAACCCCCTGAGCAGAGCTGCCCTGCTTTGGCCTCAGGGCCAGAGCCTGGTGCTAAACCCACCCTGGCACCCAGTGGGCCTCAGCAGGTGTGTGCTGAGGGTTGGAGAGGTGCCATGGTCCCATTCCTCCACCAGCCCCTTCCTTTGAAAGCTGCAGGAGCTAATTAGGGCTTTCTTCTTGATCACCTACATTCTGCACCCCCTGGGCACCATCACGATGCTCTCCTCTCTCCCTCCCTCCTTATTCTCTGTCCTTTGGGGCCTGGATCTCACTGCAAGTGAAGACGACAGCAGAGGGCCGTGTGGTGGAGAACCTCACAGTGCTGGTAGGAGGAGGACAGACGCCCTGCAGGAGCCCAGAGCCCAGGGAAAGACAAAGGGACCTCTCCTGCCAGAGCTGGAAATCTAGAAACGTCCCCTGCAGCTCTGAGACCCTTCAAAGCCTGGCTGGAGCGCGGCGCCCAGGGCGCGCACAGAGATGGAGCTGTGGGTCCTGTCACATGCACAGATTGAATAATTCGGATTTAAAAGACCTACTTTCACATTAGACCATTTCCTGCTGAGAAGCAGGTGGGGGTGGGGCATCTGAATTGTATCTCCCGCTCCCGTGGGGTTTTAGAGAAGGCCTGGTGTGGAGCCAGTATCGGTGCAGCCGCCTCCACCCCAGGGCCCAGCTCAGTCTTGCCCGGGGTTGGGCACAGCTGACCGGGTATGGCTCTGGACTCAGGGACCCAGAGCTGACCGGGTGTGGCTCTGGACTCAGGGACACAGGCTGATCTCTGAGATCCTTGCAGAGAAGGGAGTGTTACTGGGAAGCGTTTGCTCTGCCAGGGAGAGGGCGGGGTGGTAGGTGAGGGCCAAAAGATACAAGAGGCCTGGGCTGAAGGGAATGGAGGCGGGGCAGGGAGGGCAGGTCTGAGGCCGGCTCTAGACCCCCCTGGGCCACCAAGGGCTCTGAGTGTCTCTTATCTCCAGGGATGGGCCCTGGCTGGAGGTGAGAAGCACCTTTGGATTCACATCGTCCTCAGGGCAGAGGTCTCTGCCTCCCAGGGACTGTGTACTTCAGAGGGCAGCCCCAGGCTGCAGTGAAGACCTGGGAGTAAGCACCCGGGGCCCCTGCTCCTTCCCTCCCTCCTTCCTCTCAACTTTGCCCTCCATAAACCATCAAATAGGATTTCTGCCTGGGCCATGGGGCAAGTTCCAGGGACAGCCCTGCCTTACCTAGAGGACCTACAGATAAGCTGGAGGTGCTGGGGCTGCACCCTGCCCCTTGGATATGGCCAGGGCGGGCACTGGCCTGGGGTCCTCCTGTGTGGCCTTCCTTCATGGCCCTGGCTGTACTGAGATGGGCTGACCAGGCTGATGGTGGCCTGTGGGACAAGAGAGCCCTGGGGTACAGCCCTGCCACTGCCCAGTCTGGCCCGCAGTGTGGTGCCCACTCCTCTTGAGGCTCCTCCATGGCCCTGGGCCAGGCTTGCAGGGACCTTCTGGGGCCTCTCCCATCCCACAGCTGCTGGAAGGTCTCTGGTGACAAACGGCCACTGCCCACTTTGGGCTTCCCTGCTGCTGCCTCAGCCTCCTCTCCCTGCTACTCATTTCCACTTTTAATTCAGGTGGTCATTGAAGGCTGGCATTAGGCCTGCCAGATTCTGAGGGCCACCTCTGACCCCTCACCTGCCAACGTGCAGAACACTGTCCCCCGACTCTGCATCGTCCCTCAGCCCTGGATGTGCCCCATGCTCCACCCTGCCCCTCGAGTGTCCGAGCAGAGAAGCCTTCCTGCGGAAACCCGGCTCTCCTGAAGTCCAACCACTCAGGTTCCTCGCACCCTGCCCTTGTTCTGGCCCAGGTGATGGTTCTGTCCCTCCTGATCCCTTGCTCTGGGCACTGGTCCCTGTGCTGGGTTGCATCTTCCTCACTCAGAACTCAGAGCCTATCAGCCACACCAGCTGTTCTCCGATGACCCCGTGTGCCTGGTGCCACGCTGGGCTGGTGGAGCAGCGGTTAAGAGTGGGCTTCACAGTGCTCACACTGCAACAGGGGGAGGGCCCGGAGCAGGCAGAGAGGCACCTGGGAGGGATGGTTAGGGCTGGGGAGACATCTCCATGGACGTGACACCCGCAAAGGCCTGAACTACACGAGGTTATGGGGAGACCGTCCCAGGCAGATGGAGCCACTGGGCCAAAGCCTGGAGGATGGAATTCGGTGGTGTCGGGGAGCATCAGGAGCCAGTGTCTTGATAGTGGGGAGGGGAGGAGGGGCCTGGACACTGGGGAGAGGGCGGGTGATGGGAACTGTCAATGGTTTCAGGCACAGGAGTGATATGATTGACAATTCAGGCTGTGTCCGCAGTGGCTCCTGCCTGTGATCTCAGCACTTTGGGAGGCTGAGGTGGGAGGATCGCTGGAGCCCAGGAGTTTGAGACCAGCCTGGGCAACACAGGGAGACCCCCATCTCAAAAAGAAAGAAAGAAAGAAAAAAAAACCCAAAATAAATAAATAAAATAAAAATTAAAAAAATTTCACTGGGAATTCACTCCTTGCTCAACTGTGCTAGGCAGGCAGGCGCCCCTGTGGGGGCGGGGCCTCGGTGGTCCAGCGGAGGTCAGAGGCCACGCAGGGTGAGGAGCGGGTAGCATATGGTGGGGTGGAAGCAAGGATGAGAGACTGGTTACACAGGAGATAATCAGAGCCAGGTTCCTCACTCCCAAAGCAGGAGGCCCCTCATTCCGAACAGGTTGAGCCCTGTAGTGTTGGCCTGGCATCAGAGTAAACACGTGGTGCCCAAGAAAAACAGACAAACACGCCCATGAAACTGTGTGTATACATATGCGTGTGGGCATGTACATAGATGTGTTCCCTTGCTCCGCCAGCTGCAATGACACCCCAGTAGCAATGAGCACATCCGGAGCCAGATCCCGGGCTCTGCATGACATTCTCCCACAATGAACCAGGCTGCAGCAGAAATAGCTGGGTTCAGGCTGGGGCAGGGAGAATACAACAGGGCCCTGGAGCATCTCGTGCCAGAAAGAAAGGGCTCCAGAAATGATGCGGACAGGTGAAGTGGGAGGGAGAGAGAAGGGTGGCAAGGCGTGGGTTCCCTGTCTGGTGGAGGCTCCCCTAGGTAGGGGGAAGCGCGTGGCACGGAGGGCAGGTGGCGGACGCATCTGGAAGCCGCACTTACTGTGTGTCCACTTTCTCACACAAGCACCATGCACACAAAACAAGAAGGAAAACGTCAGCTGAGAGAGGCGGGTGGTGTCCCAGGGTGTGGAGAGAGTAGAAGGTGGGAAATAGGTGTTGGAGGTGGCATGGCCCCTTGAGGTTGTGGCCCTGGTTGAGGGGAGGCCCAGTGGATGAGGTTGGGTCTCTCTCCCCTTCAGCTGTGCTGGTGCAGGCCTGGAGGAAAACGGACGCCAGGTTTGGTGTGGAAGGGGAGCTCGGAGGCGATGAAGGCCCAGGCAGGTGGAAGGTGGTGGTTGAGGACCGGGGAGCAGGGCGCTGGCTGGGGAGAGGCAGAGTGAAGAAGCCGAGGGTGAGGGGCAGCCGGAACTCAGCTGGAAAGACAGCAGGAGGCGGTGGGCGCAGGGGCGGGTTCCATGGACGTTCTGGAGGCTTCTGAGGACACCAAGCCTGGAAGCCAGGACATGTGGCCTTCTTGACTTCGTTCCCCTTCCTCACCTGGAGGTCTCCAGTCCCCGCTGTCCACTGCTCAGCGGCATGGGAGGAGTCCGCGGCCTTACCCCGACACTCCCGCCCACCGGCCCCCGCCCCTGCCAGGCGGCCCTGCTCGCAGCAGCGCGAGGAGCCACGGGGTGCTGCCCTCCTCCGCAGCCCGAGGCCCACTTCACACGCACTGAGCCCAAGCGCGAGTCTCTGCCCGTCAGCCGCGTCTGAGCTCGCCGCAGTCCCTGCTTGAGAGGCCGGGGGGCACCTGCGCCTGCCCGGGACCCTGACCTGCTAGCGGGGCCTGTTGCCTCCTCTGCAGGAAGCGATCTCGCCCGCGGTGCCCCCACCCGCCCCGTCCCCGGAGGGACCGCCCCCGCCCGCGGCCTTCCCGCCCCTGCCCTGTCGCTTGAGTGCCCCCCGCCCGCCGTTACCCCACCCCCGCCCCTGGAGGAGCCCCCGCCCACGGTTACCCAACCTTACCCTGTCCCCGGAGGGCTCCACGCCCGCGTTCCCCCCGCCCCATCCCAACTCCGAGGGTCCACTGCCCCGGTCCCCATCCCGCCCGGTCCCCGCAGGGCCGGGCCGCCGGGGGTCTCCCGGGGCAGCGGTACCCGAAGGCAGCAGCACGGCCCCTTTAAGCCGCTCGGACACGCGCTCGGGGCCCGATGCGGTTTGGACGCGCACAGGCGTGCGCGTGCCCGTCGGGCCTGGCGAGCGCGCGCGACGCGCGGCGTGCGTGGTGACGCGAGCGCGTGGGGTTTTCCGAGGCTGCGGGCAGGGGCCCGCCGCGCCCATCCCGATGGCTGGAGGCGTCTGAGGGGCGGACGGAGGCGGCGGCGGCGGCGGCGGGAGCGGGAGCGGGCGGCGAGTGGGGAGCGGGGCCGGGAGTGGAGCAGCCGCCGCGGCGGGACTGGACCGAGCCTCGCCGGCGCGCACCTGCCCGCAGCGCCCGCGGAGCGCGCAGCGCGGCCCGAGCGCGACGACCTGCCGAGCGGCGGCCGAGGCGGCGGTGTGGGCGCGTCAGGCCGCGACGAGGGCGCTGAGGTGAGCGCGGCAGCCCCCAGCCCCGGACCCGGGTCCTGTTCGTCCACCCGCCCGCCCTGGGGGCGCCCGCCCCGCCCCCACCCCACCCGCCGGTCGGGGCCGCGTCTTCCTGCCCCGCCCGGGTGCGGCGGGCGGCGTCCGAAGGGGGGGCCGGGGGCTGGGGTCCGAGGTTCGGGGTGCAGGGTCGGGGTCGAGGGCGGGGTCTAGGGAGAGGAGCCGGGGTCCCAGGCCCAAGGCTGGGGGCCGAGTTTCGGCACCGGGGTGCGGGGTTGTGTGCGCCGCGGGCGCTTCCCGTGGCGGCGGCCGGGGCCCCGGGGGCGCGGGTCGGGCGGGGCCGGGCCCTGCGTGGGGAGCCGGACGTGGCTCTCGGGCCCGCGGCGCGAGAACAAAGGCCGGGCGGGCCTGCAGGCGGGGCGGTGTCGGCGGCCGGAGCCCCCGCGCGGGCCGCCTATCGGGGTGACTTTGAGGGCCGGGCGGCCGCGGGGCGCGAGCGTGGGGAAGGGGAACAATGAAATGGGGAAGCCGGGCCGCGCGCCGCGGTCGGAGTAGGGATTTAAAGCGGAAGCCGGGCGCGGCGTCGGGAAATGGGAAAATAACGGTTTCGGCCCTTTTCGCTGTGTCGAGCCGCTGAGGCAGTCGCGCTGTGGCCTCGCCCTTCTCCTGCCGAGGCCCGGGTCTGTCCGGCGCTGGCGCCCCGCGCGTGTCGACTCGAGGGTTGCGCGGACCCCGGCCCGGCCCCGCGAATGAATGGGCCCGGTGGCCGCGCCAAGATGGCGCTCCCACCGCTGCCTTTGTGGGGCGGCCGCCGCCGCGCCGAGTTTCGGGGCCCGGTTTGCGATATTCCGAAGGCCCGAAGGTGGGGGAGAGGACAGGAAATAGCACAAAGGCTGGGTGTCTTCCTCTTGCCTGGATCGGCTTTTCGGCTGGAAGCGGGGTGGGGGTGGGGAGTGGGGAGATCTGTTGAAAATTCCACAGGGCTGTCGGCTGAGGCTTTTGACTTTTAAGAACCTGCTATATTTTTTCTTGTGAATCGATAGTTGATTCAAATGATATTTTAACATTTCTTGTGTCCGTTAAATTACATGGTTAGCATGCAGAAGCAGTATCAGCTTTTGTTTGCTTAATTCATCTTCATGGAAGCCTTTTTTTTTTTTTTTTTTAAGAGATGGGATCTCTTTGTAAAAGAGATCCTGTTAACCAGGCTGGTCTCGAACTCTGGGGCTCAAGCGATCCTCCCGCCTCAGCCTCCCAAAGTGCTGGGATTAGCGGCCTTAGCCACCGTGCCCAGCCTGTCTTCATGGAAGCTTTTTCTTAAGATTGTGAAATGGGCTCCTGAAGGAAAACGCCGATGTTAAAATTTGTGTTTTGAAAAGGGAGTTGGTGTACATTTACAGTTAGGGTGTACAGTACTGGACTTATGGGTAAATAGTGTAGAAATGGTAACCTATGGTTTTCTTTTGGGGAGCATTGGTTCATTGTATTTTCATGTTGCTATCTATCTGATAACATTAGTCTCAAATAGTATTAGGTGATTAAGCAGTTGCTGGTGAGATTATTAATTAAGAAAATATGAAGATTATTTTTCATGATTAGCAAATGGACGTATTAGTTTTGTGGAAAGTTTCAGTGAACTGCATACTGAATAAGGTCTTTGGAGCAAGCATTGTTATTGATAAGGTTTTTGCATAAGTTATTTTCTAATCTGAAGTGATAGTCTTTTGGGAGAGGGAGGAGCTCTTTATTGAAAGTAAGGTTTTAATTTTCATGCTATTGACATGCATAGTCTATTCTGGATTCTTTGGGAAGGTATGTATATCAAGAAAGTGGATAGGCGGTTCCTTCTTTGCTAACGCTGGGTTCGAGGCTGGGGATGGAGGTGGTGCCACTGACATGGAGACAGGTCTGAGAGCCTCCCCAGGGTAGGACTGAATGGTGGGTTTTGTCTTGGTTTATGCTAAGGCAGAACTTTCTTTACTTTTTGAGATGGAGTTTCGCTCTTGTTGCCCAGGCTGGAGTGCAGTGGCGCGATCTCGGCTCATTGCAACCTCCGCGCCCCCGGGTTCAAGTGATTCTCTTGCCTCAGCCTCCCGAGTAGCTGGGATTACAGCTACCACCACCACACCCGGCTAATTTTTTGTATTTTTAGTAGAGATAGGGTTTCACCATGTTGGCCAAGCTGGTCTCCAACTCCAGACCTCAGGTGATTCACCCGCCTTGATCTGCCAAAGTGCTGGGATTACGAGCGTGAGCCACCGCGCCCAGCCGGTAAGGCAGAACTTTCTAACGATTAGAGCTGCGCAGAAATGAACTGCAACTGCAGGGTCCAGAGGCTGATGCTGTCAACCCTGGGGGAAGGCTGGACTGCAGGTGTTGGGCGGTGGTCCCAGGTTACGAGCATTTGGTTTCATCAACACTGAAAGTGCTCCCCCCGCCCGCCTTTTTTTTTTTTTTTGAGATTGAGAGTTTGGAAAACCAGTTAAGTTCTGAGGTGCCTGTGCCCCCTCCCAGTTAAGTGCGCACTGCCCAGGCCCAGTGTGAGGATGACATTTTATCTTCTGCGGGAACCTTTCAAGATGAGTCTTATAGAGGAAACTGTTCCAACATGAAATTTCAGCTCAGAATTGACTTTCTCAAAAGAGCACATCCACTGGCCAAAAGCTATTTCTCTCGCGTAATCTGAATTTATGACAGAACCATAGTTATCTCATCAGACAAGTACTGACAGTGCTCTTCAGTGATACCTTTAAAATATTGTTTTTTCTTTGATATCTTCAGTTAATTCTGTTTTTTTGGTGGGTGGGAAAGTTGAAGTAAATTTTCTCAGATTTAATTTTAATCTTAGAAGATTCAAGAGACTGCAGAATAGTGTGTGGTTTTTTTATTGTTTGTTTTTAAGAGTAAAACCCACTGGGTGTGGTGGCTCACGCCTGTAATCCCAGCACTTTGGGAGGTGGAGGCGGGCGGATCACATGAGGCTGGGAGTTTGAGACCAGTCTGGCCAACATAGCGAAACCTCGTATCTACTAAAAATATTAAAATTAGCCGGCGTGGTGGTGGGCGCCTGTAATCCCAGCTACTCGGGAGGTTTAGGCACGGGAATCGCTTGAACCCGGGAGGCAGGGGTTGCGGTGAGCCGAGATTGTGCCACTGGGCGACAGAGTGAGACTGTGTCTCAAAAGAGTAAAAACCTCTGTAAATCCTTTTGATGCCCAATGACTTTGATTTCAAAGCTAGTATCATCTAGGTAGATTTATGTTGATCACTTGAGAAACAGAATTTGAAAAGTTAATTTATTTCTCAAAGGAGATGTTGTACTATCCTGCAAAAGTACCAGAGCTTTGTTCTCTTCCCTTTGCTTTGCTAAAAATTTCTGGGTCTTTTGGTTTATTTTATGTGTGTGTTGGTCCACTGGAAAAGTTGTAGCTTTGTAGCTAAAAACAGCTTTGATAAAAGGATGAAAAAGGTCTTCAGGGCATCTCTAGACTTCATCTACCATCAGTTGACTTTTTGTAGCTAATACTTTAATGAATAACATTGGTATTATTTTAGAAGTGCAGTGTTGGCATTTATTATAGTTTTGTCGTTGTTTTTCTCTGCCCGAAAGATTTGGCTCATGTTGGTCTCTAAATTGGATTACATTCTTACTGTCTGTGACTTTGGCTTTAGCATTAGTGGATTGGTAATAGATATTCTCAATTTTTAAATCTGGCTTGACCATATGGCAGGCCATGTTATTTTGAAACCCCTATTTAGTGTAAGTCTCACAAGACATGGAACAAAAATTTTTATAAAATTTTAAACTGGTTTGACCGGGCGTGGTGGCTCACACCTGTAATCCCAGCACTTTGGGAGGCCGAGTCAGGCGGATCATGAGGTCAGGAGATCGAGACCACCCTGGCTAACACGGTGAAACCCCTTCTCTACTAAAATTACTTCTCTACAAAAAATTAGCTGGGCGTGGTGCTGGGCACCTGTAATCCCAGCTACTCAGGAGGCTGAGGCAGGAGAATGGCAGGAACCCGGGAGGGGGAGCTTGCAGTGAGCCAAGATCGGCCACTGCACTCCAGCCTGGGCGACACAGCGAGACTCCGTCTCAAAAAATAAAAATAAAAAAAATTTTAAACTGGTTTACATTCTGATTTCAGGTTTGCATTTGTTAAGAGTGGTTGGAGAGATTATGAAGTAGGCAATTCAGTTAAGTGTTTGGTTTAGGAACACAGAATGAGGAGATAAAATAAATTTAAAATGGAAACTATCAGAAATTTATGAAACTGCAGTGTTCAACATTACTGAAAGAAAAAGCAGGGCCAACGTATATGGGAGTGAGTGTGTATGAAGAGAGAGAAATGCAACATCACATCAGCTGCTCTGGGAGAGGGACAGAGCACCACCTATTTCAAAGCTATGCATTTTGTTCTAGAACTTTGATTGAAGAAATAGAGACAATCTATAGACATTTGAGTTTGCTAGTGGATTAGTGGAATGCTGAAAGCTTTTTTTGTGAGACAGAGTCCCACTCAGCCACCCAGTCTGGAGTGCAGTGGCGCAATCTCGGCTCACTGCAACCACCATCTCACGGGTTCAAGTGATTCTCCAGTCTCAGCCTCCCGAGTAGCTGGGATTACAGGCACCCGCCGTCATGCCCGGATAATTTTTTAAAATTTTATTTTAGTAGAGATGGGGTTTCACCATGTTGGCCAGGCTGGTCTTGAACTCCTGACCTCCGGTGATCTGCCTGTCTGAGCCTCCCAAAGTTCTAGGATTACAGGCGTGAGCCACCGTGCCCTGCCGGAATGCTGAAAGCTTTTTTAAACCTTTTAGCCTCTTGTTCTTGTGTCAGTGCCTACCATTGGGTGCCATGGTAATCAGTGGAAATTACTCCTGGCTTTCAGTGGTAGAAAAGCTTTCTGTTTTATAGAGCAATGTTGCTTGCTTGCTTTTTTTTTTTTTTAAGATTAAGTGGGCCGGGCACGGTGGCTCACGCCTGTAATCCCAGCACTTTGGGAGGCCGACGTGGGCGGATCACGAGGTCAGGAGATTGAGACCATCCTGGCTAACACGGTGAAACCCCATTGCTACTAAAAATACCAAAAAAATTAGCTGGGTGTGGTGGCGGGCGCCTGTAGTCCCAGCTACTTGGGAGGCTGAGGCAGGAGAATGGCGTGAACCCGGGAGGCGGAGCTTGCAGTGAGCCGAGATCGTGCTACTGCACTCCAGCCTGGGTGACTGAGCGAGACTCCGTTTCACAAAAAAAAAAAAAAAAAAAAAGATTAAGTGGAAGTATTTCCTTATTTATGTCTTCTTAAATTAGAATTCTGAGAAAGACCCATTTTTTAAAAGCTTACTGATTTAAAAGACCAGATTAAGATTATCTAAGGTAATTCCTTTTTTCTTTCTTTTTTTTTTGAGATGGAGTTTCCTTCCTGTTGCCCAGGCTGGAGTGCAATGGCGCTGTCCTGGCTCACTGCAACTTCTGCCTCCCGGGTTCAAGTGATTCTCCTGCCTCAGCCTCCCAAGTAGCTGAGATTACAGGTGCCCGCCACCATGCCTGGCTAATTTTTGTAGTTTTAGTAGAGATGGGGTTTCACCATGTTGGCCAGGCTGGTCTCAAACTGCTGACCTCAAGTGATCCGCCCGCCTCCGCCTCCCAAAGTGCTGGGATTACAGGTGTGAGCCACCGTGCCCAGCTTAATTTTTAAGTTTATTCTGTTGAACCTATTTTGCCATAGATAAAATATTTTTATGATTTAATAATTCATTGCTCCAAACTTACTAATGCATTATATCAAGAGAGGACTTTATGTATTAATTCATTCACCTGTTAGAATTGGAATACTGGCCGGGCACGGTGGCTCATGCCTGTAATCCCAGCACTTTGGGAGGCCCAGGCGGGCAGATCACGATGTCAGGAGATCGAGACCAACCTGGCTAACACAGTGAAACCCTGTCTCTGCTAAAAATACAAAAAAATTAGCCGGGCGTGGTGGCAGGCACCTGTAGTCCCAGCTACTTGGGAGGCTGAGGCAGGAGAATGGTGTGAACCCGGGAGGCAGACCTCGCAGTGAGTGGAGATCGCGCCACTGCACTCCAGCCTGGGCGACAGAGCAAGACTCCGTCTCTCAAAAAAAAAAAAAGAATGGGAATACTAAGGGCATCAGTGGAATGTATTCTTGTTTACTGGTGGGTAATCATGTCTCCATGCATGTCTGTGTGCAGTCCTGTAGCACTTAGAAAATATATTCCCTATGTTGATTACAGACACTCAACTTCTGCCGAGTGTTGTAGTTAATAAAGCTTAAAAAATTCTGGGCTGGGTGTGGTGGCTCATGCCTGTAAACCCAACACTTTGGGAGGCCAAGGTGAGCGGATCACCTGAGGTTGGGAGTTCAAGACCAGCCTGACCAACATGGAGAAACCCTGTCTCTACTGAAAATACAAAATTAGCCCAGACGCGGTGGCTCACGCCTGTAATTCCAGCACTTTGGGAGGCCGAGGAGGGTGGATCAGCCTGGCCAACATGGAGAAACCCCATCTCTACTAAAAATACAAAAAATTACCCAGGCATGGTGATGCATGCCTGTAATTCCAGCTACTCGGGAGGCTGAGGTTGCAGTGAGCCGAGATCGTGCCATTGCACTCCAGCCTGGGCAACAAGAAGGAAACTCCATCTCAAAAAAAAAAAAAAAATTAGTCGGGCATGGTGGCACATGCCTGTAATCTCAGCTACTCGGGAGGCAGAGGCAAGAGAATCGCTTGAACCTGGGAGGCGGAGGTTGCGGTGAGCCGAGATTGTGCCATTGTACTGCAGCCTGGGCAACAAGAGTGAAACTCGGTCAAAAAAAAAAAAAAAAAGTCCGGACACTTTATAATTAGATGAGCATGTCAAAAGAGTCTACAATAGGTTTCAGAAAATTTCTCATAGGAATTTTAAAATAATTCCTAAAATCTAGGGAGTGAGAGAAATTCAGTAGTTTTCAAAAGGATTGGCACTGTCTGAGTTAGAGCCCAGCTCAGCTCTGTTGCCTCACTGGCTGATTTGCAGTGTTAGGACTTTTATTCGCACTGAAAATCAAGATCAGTTCAACTTCTACCCTTCCACTCCACAGGAGCTTTCTGTCCTCCCTGAGCCTGCCTTAATTTAGGCCACCTGCAGTGTTAGGACTTCTGTGTCTGTCCTTATCTGTGAAACAGGCTCCTAGAGCCTCCTTCATGGGGTCATTGTGAGGATTAAATGAGTCCTGATGTGGGCACTGATAACAGAGCTCAGTGCAAGGATTAGCTATTTCTGTTGCTGATGGCCTTGCTTTGTAAAAATTTCTTTTATGGCAAGGTTAACAAATGTTATAAGATGACAGTTTACTGAGATTTTTCTTTTTTTCTCCATGGTTCCAGAAGAATATTAATTCAGGGTGTGGAACATGCATATTAGCTATCTTTGCAAATCCCTATCACTTATTTACTGCCTTACTTTCTACTAAATCTCTCACATCCTTATCTTTTCTTGAAAGGTTTTTTTTTCTTTTTCTTTTTTTTTTTTTTTTGGGACAGGGTTTTGCTGTGTCACCCAGGCTGGAGTGTGGAATGTGATGGTATGATCATGGTTCACTGCAGCCTGGACCTCCTGGGCTCATACGATCTTCTTCTCTCAGTCTCACAAGTAGCTAGGACCACGGGCACATGCCACCGTGCCCAGCTAATTTTTTTTATTGTTTGTAGAGACAGGCTGGTCTCCAACTCCTGGGTTCAAGTGATCCTCCTGCCTTAGCCTCCCAAAATGTTGGGATTATAGATGTGAGCCACAGTAACCTGCTCTTAAAGGCTTTCCTTTACCTTTGTAGAATAATCTTGAACTATGCCTCATTTTGAAAACTGGTAAGTTTATGTCCTTTTTTTTTTTTTGAGACGGAGTCTTGCCCTGTCACCCAGGCTGGAGTGCAGTGACATGATCTCGGCTCACTGCAACCTCCACCTCCTGGGTTCAAACAATTCTCCTGCCTCAGCCTCCAGAGTAGCTGGGGTTACAGGCACCTGCCACCATGCCCAGCTGATTTTTGTATTTTTAGTAGAGACAGGGTTTCACCATATTGGCCAGTCTGGTCTCAAACTCCTGACCTCGTGATCTGCCTGCCTCGGCCTCCCAAAGTGCTGGGATTACAGGCGTGAGCCACCACGCCCTGCCCATTTATGTTCATTTTTTTAGAGAATTCTCCTCCTCCCATTTATGAAGCTAGATTTTTTTTTAATTTCACCAAAATTTGTTGACGTCCCTTGATTTGCTGATAGGGACAATAATTAAATATTTTCCACTTGTTTTTATAAAAACTGTAATGGTGATTTGTTTAACAGATGTTGACTTAGCACCTTCTCTCTTTTTTTTTTTTTTTTTTTTTTTTGAGTTGGAGTCTTGCTCTGTCACCCAGCTGGAGTGCAGTGGCACGATTTCGGCTCACTGCAACCTCCGCCTCCCAGGTTCAGGCGCTTCTCCTGCCTCAGCCTCCCAAATAGTTGGGATTACAGGTGCATGCCGCCACGCCTAGCTAATGTTTTTTGTATCTTAGTAGAGATGGTGTTTCACCTTGTTGCCCATGCCGCTCTTGAACTCCTTGGCCTCCCAAAGTGTTAGGATTACAGGCGTGAGCCACTGTGCCTGGCCCCAATTTAGCACCTTACTGGGTGCTGAGGCTGTGAGCCATAGTAGAATGCATGTGATCCAGGGCCTTGCTGAATTCATGGTCTAATAGGGAGCCTGACACGCAGGCACAGAGCGGAGGGCAGTGGCTGTGGCTCCCAGGGACACCACCCTGTCCAGAGTTCAGTGGCAGCTTCTCATTAAAAAAAGCTTTGAGACCTGAATTGGAGTCTGTCTGGCAGGCAGGTGGGGATGGAGGGGAGGAGTGTATCCTAGGCTGATGAGATGGTGTGTTTTTCATCCGGCAACCAACTGGTCTCCTTCACTGTCTCCAGCACCCCGCACAATACTGTGTGCCAGGTGCTCAGTAATTATTTATCAAGCGCATAAGAGCACAGCACATCCAGGGACGGAAGTTCCAAAGGGCTAGGAGAGTGGTTAGACCTGGAAGCCAAAAGGTTTACAGTCTGGATAAAGAGCTTTTACCTTGAGGCCGGGCACAGTGGCTTATGCCTGTAATCCCACCACTTTGGGAGGCCAGGGCGGGCGGATCACTTGAGGTCAGGAGTTTGAGACCAGCCTGGCCAACATGGTGAAACCTTGTCTCTACTAAACATATAAAAATTAGGCTTGGTGGCGCACACCTGTATTCTCAGCTACTCATTAGGCTGAGGCACAAGGATCACTTGAATCTGGGAGGCGGAGGTTGCAGTGACCCAAGATCACCCTAGCCTGGGTGACAGTGTGAGACTCAAAAAAAAAGAAAAAAATGAACTTTTACCTCGAGAGCTCCAGGAAGCCCTGAAAGAGTTTTAAGGAGATTGATCTGATGGGGATCATTACTTGGTAGTTGAGCGTAGAGTGCTCAGGGGAGGGAGGGGACTCTAGTCAGTTGGCAAAGCTGCTGTAGAAGAGGAAAGGGGTCTGGACCAGGTTGACGATTGATAAGACCTGGTGACCGAAGGGAAGGCGAGAGTGGCGAGAAAGATGTAAATGACCACAGGTTTCCGTCTGCCCTCTGGGTGGCTGTGGGTCATGATGAGTTTAGTTTGTGTGTGTTGGGTTTGAGGAGTCTCTGAGGCTTTCTCATGTTTTGCATCGAGGGTACGGCAGGCCTTATACTTTCTCCTCCCTGTCCTTGGAAAACTCCTGGCTGTGTGTTTGCACAGTTCACTCCCTCTCTCCGTTCAGGCATTTGTCATGTATCCCTTCCTCCGAGGGTGTGCTCTGATCTCATTGATCTCTGCTGTTTTACCCCACTCTTGTCTTCGTAGCCTGATAATGCTCTTCCCACTTCTTCTAAGCTCCATGGACACAGGCAGTCTGGTTCACTGCAGACCAGCCCCTAAAACGGTACACAGTAAATGCTGACGTAGTGACTCCTGTGCCTGTGAGTGGGGAGCTCTGGAAGATAGGTCTGGATGGAGGCAGGCCTTTGGGAGTTAGCAACATTTGGGTGATGATTGAAGTCTTGGGGAGCAGTGGTCACTTAGAGCAGTGGTTCTCAAAGTGTGATCGTGGACCCCTGGGGGCTCCTGAGACAGTTTCAGGAATTCACTTAGTCAGAACTGTTTTCATCATCATATATATATATATTTTTTTTTTGAGATGGAGTCTCTCTCTGTCGCCCAGGCTGGAGTGCAGTGGCGCGATCTCGGCTCACTGCCAGCTCCGCCTCCCGGGTTCACGCAATTCTGCCTCGGCCTCTCCGAGTAGCTGGGACTACAGGCACCCCCCACCACGCCCGGCTAATTTTTTGTATTTTTAGTAGAGGCGGGGTTTCACCGTGGTCTCGATCTCCTGACCTCGTGATCCGCCTGCCTCGGCCTCCCAAAGCGCTGGGATTACAAGCGTGAGCCGCCGTGTCCGGCCTTCATAATCATATTAAGATGTTATTTGACTTTTCATTGTGTTGACATATAAAAATAAAATAAAAATTCTATAGAAATACTGTTCTTGGCTGGGCATGGTAGCTCACACCTGTAATCCCAGTGCTTTGGGAGGGTGAGGCAGGAGGATCACTTGAGGCTGAGATTTTGAGACCAGCCTGGGCAACATAGTGAGACCCCATCTCTACAAAAAAATTTGAAAATTAGCCAGGCATGGTGGTGCGTGCCTGTGGTCCCATCTACTGGGGAGGCTGAGGCAGGAGGATTGATGGAGCCTGGCAGGTTGAGATTGCAGTGAGCTATGGTTGCACCATGGCACTCCAGCCTGGGTGACAGAGTGAGGCCCTATGTCTTAAAAAACAACAACAACAACAAAAAACAGCTCTTTTCTTTTTCCAGCTGCATATCTATGTGAGACTGAATTTTCCTCTTAGACTTCAGCTAAAACTGTGTATTGCATCAGGCTGAGAGCAGACACGATGTGAAGATCCATTGCTCCCATTGAGGCAGACAAGGTAAATGTAAAATGTAAAATATGGCTTATCACCAGATTATTTTTCTTAGAAAATAGTTATTCTTTTTTTTTTTTTTTTCCCTGAGACAGAGTCTCACTCTGTCACCCAGGCTGGAGTGCAGTGGTGCGATCTTGGCTCACTGCAAGCTCCGCCTCCTGGGTTCACGCCATTCTCCTGCCTCAGCCTCCCGAATAGCTGGGACTACAGGTGCCTGCCACCACGCCTGGCTAATTTTTGTATTTTTAGTAGAGACAGGGTTTCACCGTGTTAGGCAGGATGCTCTCGATCGCCTGATCTCGTGATCTGCCCGCCTCGGCCTCCCAAAGTGCTGGGATTACAGGCATGAGCCACTGCGCCCGGCCTAGAAAGTAGTTGTTCTTTATAAAAATGTTATGTATGGTAACATGCAGTGGGCTTATTTTCAAATGATAAACATTTTTAGGACATTTCAGTTTTAATTTATAGCACAGTAAATATTGATAGATCAAACCCTCATAAACAAAAGCCCCTGGGGTCCTTAATAGTTGAGGATGTAGAGGGGGTCTGAGCCGAAATATCTGAGCAGCGCTGGTTTAGAGAATGGGCCAGGCCCAGGGCACCTGTGGGGACCAGAGAAGTTCTCAGCTGGAGACAGGCACCCTGTCCCTGCCCCCATGTGCAGTACTGTAGGATTGTGCCTTTTCCTGGGGAGGAGAACTCAGAGATTTGTCAGAGGTGAAGACCCGTTGGTGTAGCTTGAGAAGAGGCCCTTGTGTTAGGGATGTGCAGAGGAAGAGAAACACTTAAAGGAGTGACCAGACTTTGGGAGACTCTCAGCACTAGTGTCGCAGAACCCACAGAAGGTATTCTGAGAGCAGAGGGAATGGTCCGAAGTTGGAGATGGATTCGTCAGTGGTAGAGATTGCTGAGGGCCAGTGAGTTCCAGTGGGGTGAGGAGAGTCTTGTAGGAAAGTAGTCGGAGAGAGAAGTGTGGGGCTAGGGGAGGCTCTGTCTGCATGGATTTTAGATGGGAATACTGAGAGGGCAGCGCCCATAAAGGGGAAGAGAGGAGAGATCTTTTGTAAAATGCGTATTCAGGGCCAAAGATGTGCCAAGGAGAGGCAGGTGATGGGCAGTGAATAAGAGATGCCAACTTGCCTTGGTGAGAGGAATGTTACCTATGCGACAGTGGAAAAGGCTGTGTGCTGAAAAAGATGGCGGACGAGTCTGCTGTAGGGCTCTAGGCATTGCTGGTGCTTCCATGTTGAAAAGGGTGGTCCAAACATTTGAGGAGAGAGTAGGAGGAGGTGAGAAGACAAACCAGACAGACATCTGGGAAAAGAGGGTTCCAGGCAGGAGAAGCCCCAAGTCAGGGCTGTGCTTGGACTTGGAATTGAAATAAGTCCTGGAAAATTGGTTAATCCCCGCTTGGCATACATATTATGTAAAGTGTGTTGGGAGAGGTACTTGAAGGTTTTCCTGTTGAAATAAATTCCCTACAACCTTAGCCTTCCAGTCCCTCTGCCTGACACTCCCATGGCAGTTGGTGCACTTGCGTTTTGCCCTGTTGAAGATGCCTGTGCCATTAGCTCGCATTTGTTGGGTATCTTTCTTGCACCAGGCACCATGCTGGGAACTATGCTATTACTGCGTGGTCCTCACATCAGCTCTGATAGGTGCTGTTAATAGCTCCATCTTACAGATGACTGGATCTACAGGGAGATTAGACAGTTGGCCGTGGTGACAGTGAACTTAGTTCTTGGGTCATTGCTCCTGGAGCCTATGCATTATAGACCTGCTGGTGTGAGCTCTTTCTCCTCATTCATCTGAGAAGACTTCTGTGTCTGCATTTGCCTCTTCCTATGTTAGTAAAAGGAACATTTTTCCACTGGAAAACAGTTACCAACAGTTTTGTCAGTGGCTACTCTATTATACCTTCAAACATGCCTAAATCTTATGTAACTCAACACCCAGTTAATCTTGCTATCTATTCTAGCCACTCTTCTTGTTTTTCTCTCTTTAAACTCCCCAACAGGCAGTCTGTTTCCATTGCCTCCACCATCTATCCTATCCTTTCTCTGGAGATCTTGTTCCTGTTGTCTCAGTTTTATTTTCAGCTTCTTCATTTTGCTAATAAAAACATCTAAAATGTTCATTGTAGTAAATTAGGGGCTTGGCATGGTGGCTCATGCCTGTAATCTTAGCACTTTGGGAGGCTGAGGCAGGAGAATCACTTGAGGCCAGGAGTTTGAGACCAGCCTGGGCAACACAGCTAGACCCTGTCTCTATTTTTAAAAAAATAAATAAAATTTTATAAAAAAGGGAAATTAGGAACATACAGCAAAAATCTATAATCTCTCAATCAGGAAATAACCATGTAAGATTATTATATTTCTTCTAGTGTTTTGTATCTCTCATGCATGTGTGTATAGAGATGTTTTTCCTCGGATTGGGGGTCCCACTCTGTGTGTGTGTGTATATATATATATATTTTTTTTTTTTTTTTTTTGAGACAGAGTCTCACTTATTGCCCAGGCTGGAGTGCAGAGGCGCGATCTCGGCTCATTGAAACCTCCACCTCCCCAGCTCAGGCGATTCTCCTGCCTCAGCCTCCTGAGTAGCTGGGATTACAGGCATACACCACCATGCCTGGCTAATTTTGTATTTTTAGTAGAGACGGGGTTTCACCATGTTGGTCAGGCTGGTCTCGAACTCCTGACCTCAAGTGATCCGCCCACCTTGGCCTCCCAAAGTGCTGAGATTACAGGCATGAGCCACCACGCCTGGCCTGTATATATAGATTTTTAAAATTGTGATTTTTCTACTTTGTAATTGTTTCCAAATGTCATTCATCTTGGAAAACATGAGTAGTAATTATGTAGATATCAGTGGTATTTCTTGTACCTGAATCCACGTGCTGGACATCCTGGTTCTGCCAACTCAGATTTGAGGTCTGGAGCAAGTTACTGAACGTCTCTACCTTAGTTTTCTTGTCTTCCAGGATTGTTGTGAGGACTGAATGACATGCTACAAATAAAATTCTTAGCTTCAAGCCAAGCAAGACCTCAAAGTGTTAGCTTCCAGTACCGCTACTACTGATGGTGTTTGACTCTGCCTTCATTCCTGAAATGCTTCTCCATTGACTGGGTGTGGTGGCTTATGCCTATGACACTTATCACTTTGGGAGGCTGAGGTGGGAAGATTGAGACCAGCCTAGGCAACATAGTGAGACCCCATTTTTGCATGTGTGTGCGCTTGCTCACTGGCTCGTGCACGTGGCCATGCACGCTCGCTCTCTCTCTCTCTCTCTCTCTCGTGTGCACATGCATGTCCTCTCTCTTGCTCTCTCTTTTTCTTAGCTGGGCCTGATGGTGTACACCTGTAGTCCCAGCTATCCAGGAGGCTAAGGTGGGAGGATTGCTTGAACCCAGGAGTTCGAGGCTGCAGTGACCTGATTGTACGACTGCACTCCAGCCCTGTCTCTATTAAAAAAAAACAAGTCCTTCTCCAAGCTGATCTGGGCACTTGATTTCTACCCTTGTGGTTCTGGCTTAGTAAAGGTCTTCAGAAATGACACAATGTTAGTTTCCTGTGGCTGCTGTAGCAAATCATCACAAGTTGGATGGCTCAGAATGAATTGATTCCCTCAGTTCTGGAGGACAGAAGTCTGAAATCAAGGTGTTGGCAGGGCCCCAGTGCTTCTGAAGGCTCCAAGGGAGGACACTTCCTTTCTTCTTTCTGGCTTCTGGTGGGTGCCAGCAGTGTGGCTTGTAGAGGAGTCACTCTCTACCTCTGTTTTACGTGGGCTTTTCTCAGTGTCTCTACTCACCTTATAAGGACATAGTTATTAGATTAGGGCCACCCTAATTCAGTATGACCTCGTTTTAACTTAACTAATCATACCTGGAAAGACGCTCCAAATAAGGTCACATTCCCAGGTTCCAGGTAGACATGAATTTTGGGGGGGGGGACACTGTTGAACCTGCTAAAGTTCCTAGAGCTTCATCCTTCGCCCCTTGTGTTTCTAGCTCTCTTGCCTTCCATGTCTTCCCATTCCCCTTGTGGCCAGCCTTGTGAAATGAAGTCTCTGTTGGAGGTTGAAGAAACTTGTAAGATAATTTACATAGAAAAAGGGGCCGGATGCAGTGGCTCACTCCTGTAAGCTCAGCACTTTGGGAGGCCAAGATGAGAGGATCACTTGAGCCCAGGAGTTTGAGGCTGCAATGAGCTATGATTGTGCCACTGCACTCCAACCTGTGACAGAGCAAGACCCCGCCTCTAAAACAAAACAAAATAGAAAAGGTAAAGTGTCCTTGGCCAGGTGTGATGGCTCACACCTGTAATCCCAGCACTTTGGGAGGCCACAGCGGGTGGATCACTTGAGGCCAGGAGTTTGAGACCAGCCTGACCAACATGTGAAAACCCCGTCTCTGCTAAAAACACAAAAGTTTAGTGGGGTGTGGTGGCGTGCACCTGTAGACCCAGCTACTTGGGAGACTGAGGCATGAGAATCACTTGAACTGGAGAGGTTGAGGTTGCAGTGAGCTGAGATCACACCACTACACTCCAGACTGGTAGGCAGAGCAAGACTTTGTCTCCAAAAAAAAAAAACCAGAAAAAGATAAAATGTCTTCTAAGCATGGGCCCCCAACTCCTGGGCTGTGGTCTCTTAGGAGCCGGGCTGCACAGCAGGTGAGAGGTGGGCAAGCGAGCATTCCCACCTGAGCTCCACCTCCTGTCAGATCAGCGGCAGTGTTAGATTCTCATAGGAGCGTGAACCCCGTCATGAACTGCACACGCGAGGGATGTAGGCTGTGCACTCCTTATGAGAATCTAATGCCTGATGATCTGAGGTGGAACAGTTTCATCCCAAAACCATCCCCTCTGTCTGTGGAAAAATTGTCCTTCACAAAACCGGTCCCTGGCATCAAAAAGGTTGGTGACCGCTGCTGTAAGGATTCTGGATGCTTCACAGAACGAAGCTCAGGAGGCACTTTTTTTTTGTCTTTTTTTTTTGAGACAGGGTGTCACTCTTTGTCACCCAGGCTGGACTGCAGTGGCACCATCTCAGCTCACTGCAACTCCGCCTCACAGGCTCAAGCAATTCTCCTGTCTCAGTCTCCCAAGTAGGTGGGACTACAGGCGTGTGCCAGCATGCCCAGCTAATTTTTGTACTTTTTTTTTTTTTTTTTTTTTTTTTTTAGATGGAGTCTTGCTCTGCTTCCCAGGCTGGAGTGCAGTGGTGCAGTCTCGTCTCACTGCAACCTCTGCCTCCAAGGTTCAAGCAGTTCTCCTGCCTCAGCCTCCCGAGTAGCTGGGACTACAGGTGCACACCGCCACGCCCGGCTTTCTCTGTACTTTGGTAGAGACGGGGTTTCACCGTGTTGCCCAGGCTGGTCTCCAACTCCTGAGCTTAGGCAGTCCGCCCGCCTCAGCCTCCCAAAGTGCTAGGATTACAGACACGCGTGAGCCACCACGCCCGGCCTAATTTTTGTATTTTTAGTAGAGACAGGGTTTTGCCATGTTGACCAGGCTGCTCTTGAATTCCTGGCCTCGTGATCTGCCTGCCTCGGCCTCCTAGAGTGCTGGGATTACAGGCGTGAGCCACCGCACCTGGCCAGGAGGCGCGTTGTGTTTATGCTTTGCTAGTCTTTCTTTTGTGGGAACTGAAGAGTGTTGTCCTCGGTAGCTTCCACAGGGATGGATCGAGGCTGCTGCCAGCATTTGTTCCACTGACTGTCCTTGGGGACCAGTAACCTAGATCAGAAGTCAATGAGAAGACATAAAGAATGCCTCCAAAGCAGGGAATCTTTCCTTCCCCTGTGAAAGTGCTGAGTCCCCTAGAGGCAGGTATGCGTTCCCTCTTGTATTTAGTCCCCACGCTGCCTGCCTGGATACATTGGTGGTTGTGACAGCTGGGGTGTGCCACAGGGATCCTGCTCCACCATGGAGAATTGTCCAGTCCAGCAGTCTCGGTGCCAAGTTTATTTAAGATGGAGTCTTGCTCTGTCGCCCAGGCTGGAGTGCAGTGGCACCATCTTGGCTCACTGTAACCTCTGCCTCTGGGGTTCAAGCAATTCTTCTGCCTCAGCCTCCTGAGTAGCTGGGATTACAGGTGACCCGCCCACCTCGGCCTCCCGAAGTGCTGGGATTGCAGGTGTGAGCCACTGCGTCCAGTCTCGGCGCCAAGTTTAAGAAGAGCATATTGTCATGGCCTTACATCAGTTATATGCTCCTGGGTAACAAACTACCCCAAAATGAAGCGACTTAAAACAGTAAGTCCTTGTTCATCATCATGTGGGAGTATGGATGTGGGCAGGGCTCATCTCTGTTCACTGTGCTGGCCACGCTAGCAAGGGCAATTAACAGTTGGCAGGTAGGCTGGCTTGTGCTTCCCATTGCCCTCACCCACATGGGCTTTCAGCCAGGGTGCCTCTGATCTCCTCAGCCTGCCTCTCCAACAGTCTAGCTCAGGCTTCCTCCCATAGTGGCTGAATTCCAAAAGGGCAGGAGCAGAGTTTGACAGGCTACTTGAGGACATGTTTAGAAGTCACAGTGTCACCTCTGTTGCATTCCCTTGCTTATTGCAAGTTATGAGGCCTAGCATAGGCCAGGAGTGCTGCCTCATGCCTGTAATCCCAGCCCTTTGGGAGGCCAAGGTGGGAGGATGGCTTGAGGCCAGGAGTTTGAAACCAGCCTGGACAACATAGTGAGACCGCATCTCTACCGAAAATGAAGAAAAAAAAAAAAACAAGGCTTAGCACAGGCTTGGAGAGTAGGAGATAGACTCTGGTCCTTAATGGTGGGACTTGCAGAAACCGTGGCCATTTTTCATCACAGCCTTTCCTATACTGTGTGACCTCAAGAACTTCCTGCTTTAGGATGCCCAGTTAATAATATGGTATCTGTGGGATGGAGTGAACTCTTTAACAAATATTTACCAAGTACTTACTTTGAGCAAGACACTGTGCTTGGTGATGGTTGAGTACCGAGAAGTTGCAACTGGTGGTTCATTCTCTGTGGGGAGATGGCGAACTGGAAGAAGCGAAGTTTGGGCCTGTGGTAGGTGCTGTGAGCTGTTGGGTGGAGAGGGCACTTGGTTTAGGGTATTGTTTAGGGTATTTAGAGTAAAGGCCTGAAGGATGAGAAGGAACCAGGTAGGCAAGGAGCCCCTATGCTTCAGGTGGAGAGGGCAGTGATTGCAGAGGCCCTGCGGAAGGGACAGCAGGCGAAGCTCAGCAGAGGTCCTGCGGAAGGGACAGCGGGTGAAGCTCAGCACACAGGAGCAAAGCTGTAGGGCAGAGGTAGGGGTGGAAGCCAGGCCTTGGCCACACGGCCTCAGGCAGGTGCCAGAGGCCCAGTTTGCCCAGGACAGTCTTGATTTATACCAGGTGAGGGTCCTCGTGCAGATGGTGCATTCTCTAGTTTCCAAACTGGCAGAGAGCTTGGATGTTTTCCTTGATGCAGTGGGAAGCCGTTGAAAAATTTTAAGCCTCAAGTGACAAAAGGTGAATTTTAAAAGATTGTTGAGGCTGGGTGCAGTGGTTCATGCTTATAGTCCTAACAGTTTGGGAGGTTGAGACAGGAAGATTGCTTGAGCCCAGGAGTTCAAGACTCTGTCTCTACTTAAAAGAAAAAATTAGCTGGGCATTGTAGCATACACTTGTAGTTCCAGCTACTGGGGAGGCTGAGGAGGGAGCATCGCTTCAGCCCAGGAGTTGGAGTTTGCAGTGAGCTATGATCACACAACTGTACTCGAGTCTGGGCAACAGAGCGAGACCCTGTCTTAAGAAAAAAAAAAAAAGAAAAAAGATTGTTCAGATTGCTGAATGAAAAATGGATTGTCGGGGGCACAGATTGAGACAGAGGTCATTTTAAGGAGACTGTTGATGAGAAATGGCGTGGTTTGGCTGAGGATGGAGACTAAGGAAATGGGAAGAAATGGGTGGTAGAGTCAGCCAGGTTGCTGATGGACCGGGTGTAGGGGAGTAGGGAAAGGAAGGAGGCCAGGATGATTTCTGTGTGTGCTTTGCACATGTAGAGGGTGGTGATGTTGAGCACTGAGGGGAGGCAAATCTGTTGGCTGTGCAGAGCCATGCCTTGAATATCTGAAGCTCAAAATGGGTATAGGGCAACTAAGTGCCAACCGCCGGCTAACAGCCTGTTGGCCTGGAGTCCAGTCTGGAAGTCTTGGTCTTTCTGTTTTTGTGATGGTCGGTGGAGGGGTTATTAAAAGGAGAGGTGGGGTGCCCAGCTATTAGAGGTTAGATCGAGGAGACACGGAGAGGTGGGATGTGACAGTGTAGGGTGCAGTTGAGGAGTCAGGTGAATGGGGGTGGGGAAAGGGTTCCCTTAAGTCTCACTCTGTTGCCGTGGCTGGAGTGCAGTAGCGCGATCTGGGCTCACTGCAACCTCCGCCTCCTACGTTCAAGCAATACTCCTGCCTCAGCCTCTTGAGTAGCTGAGATTATAGATGTGTGCCACCATGCCTGGCTAATTTTTGTATTTTTAATAGAGACGGGGTTTCACCATGTTGGTCACGCTGGTCTCTAACTCCTGGCCTTAAGTGATCCACCTGCCTCGGCCTTAATGTTATCCAAAATGCTGGGGTTACAGGTGTGAGCCACTGTACCTGGCCAAAGGTTCCTTAAATTTAAGGACTGCAGGTACTAGGTGGTCAGCCCTTTTGGTTTCACGGTAGGGAGTGAAAGCCAGATTGGAGTCAATTGAAACATAGGAGATGGAAGAGGAGACCACCTGTGTAGATACGACTTAAAGAAGGTTGCTCTAGAGGGCTCAGAGAAGGAGCTCAGTAGTTGGAGGGTGATGTGGGCAACAGTGGAGAGTTCTGTTTTTATTTTATTTTATTGTTTATTTTTTTGAGATGGAGTCTCTGTCGCCCAGGCTGGAGTGCAGTGGTGAAATCTTGGCTCACTCCACCTCCCAGGTTCAAGCGATTCTCCTGCCTCAGCCTCCCGAGTAGCTGGGATGACAGGTGTGTGCCACCACGCCCAGCTAATTTATTTTGCATTTTTAGTAGAGGTGGGGTTTCACCCTGTTGGTCAGGCTGGTCTTGAACTCCTGACCTCAGGTAATCCACTCACCTCTGCCTCCCAAAGTGCTAAAATGGCTTTTTATATCAGAAATGGGTTGAACTGGCTCTTGGCAGATGATTATTCTTACTGTAATTCCAGCAACGCTAACATGCGTAACAGCGCATAAGGAAGTGTCTGCTGAGCTCAGAATATTATGTTTTGGAAAAGACAAAGTGCGATTCAGAAAGCTGAGTTTGATAGGGAGGGATTTGATTTTTAAACAAGACGGGCTGATTATAGTGGCTTATAACTATAATCCCTGTAATCTCTGGATTTGGGGAGGCTGAGTTGCGAGGATCCCTTGAGGCCAGGAATTTTAGACCAGCCTGGGCACAATGTAGTGAGACCCTGTCTCTACAAAAAGTTTAAAAAACAAAATTAGCTGGGCATGGTGCCTGTAGTCCTAGCTACTGGGATGGCTGAGGCAGAAGGAGTTTGAGGTTACACTGAGTTATGATATGCCACTGTACTCCAGTCTGGGTGCCAGAGTGAGACCTTGTCTCAAAAAAGCAAAAACAAAACCCCACAAACAAAAACATAAGATTGTCTTTGGGCCTGGTGCGGTGGCTCACGCCTGTAATCCTAGCACTTTGGGAGGCCATGGCGGGCAGATCACTTGAGGTCAAGAGATCGAGACCAGCCTGGCCAATATGGTGAAACCCCGTCTCTACTAAAAACAAAAATTAGCTGAGCATGGTGGCGGGTGCCTATAATCCCAGCTACTCAGGAGGCTAAGGCAGGAGAATCTCTTGAACCCAGGAGGTGGAGGTTGCAGTGAGCCTAGATTGTACCACTACACTCCAGCCTGGGTGATGGAGTGAGATGTTGTCTCAAGAAAAAAAAAGAAAAGATTGTTTTTGAATCTGAAGACATAACAAAGCAGCATTACAAGTTGTGTTGTACAAGTGTGTTAGCGTAGGTTGTCCTTGATAAATGGAATATAAATAGCTCTGAAGTTTTTGTATATATTGACCTATTACAAAATCAGAGACTTTCTTTCGGGGTTGGGAGGGCAGTTTGAGGGTAGTTGGGTCATCTGGAAGAAGAGGCAGAAAAGAGGAACCAGCTACGTGATGAATAACTGTGATAAGACAAATAGGCTCCTCTACTGCCACCTCCTTGTTTTTTCCTGCTTACTATTTCTGTGGCTGTGATTGTTGGGATTCACGGGAGGAGGAAGCAGGGACAGTAGGAAAAGCTCCAGTTCCTGATGGACCTGTGTTGCTGGTGCTGCACTGCCTTTTCTCTGACTTCATCCCACCCACCTGAGAGACACTAAGGTGGGGGCTGAGGTCCACCCTGTAATTAAGCTCTTGGGCATGAATGGTTAGCTGAAACAAGACTGTCACCTTCTAGTGAAATTCTGTTTTTTGGATTCTTATAGAAGTCAGTAGTAAGTGTCTGAGATAATGAATGGTCAGATAACAACATAAAGGAGCAGTGGACTGACTAGAGCCTCTGGTCTTTGTAAGTTTGCTTCTTTTTTGTAAGTAACTTATTCTTTTTTTTTTTTTTTTTTTTTTTTTTGAGAAGGTGTCTTGCTCTGTTGCCCAGGCTGGAGTGCGGTGGTGTGATCTCAGCTCACTGCAAGCTCCGCCTCCTGGGTTCATGCCATTCTCCTGCCTCAGCCTCCCAGGTAGCTGGGACTACAGGTGCCCGCCACCACACCGGCTAATTTTTTTGTATTTTTTTAGTAGAGACGGGGTTTCACCTTGTTAGCCAAGATGGTCTTGATCTCCTGACCTCGTGGTCCGTCCACCTCAGCCTCCCAAAGTGTTGGGATTACAGGCATGAGTCACCACGCCTGGCTGTAAATAACTTATTCTTTATAGAAATTAACTTCAGAAGATTTTTTGAGTTCTTAGGCAAATACACTAATGGCATTTGTTTCATGATTGTTAGGCCTAAAACTTTTTCACTTTTTTTCTTTTTTGAGATGGAGTCTCACTCTGTCACCCAGGCTGGAGTGCAGTTGCACAATCTCGGCTCACTGCAACCTCCGCCTCCTGGGTTCAAGCAATTCTGCCTCAGCCTCCTGAGTAACTGGGATTACAGGTGCCCGCCACCATGCCTGGCTAATTTTTTTGTATTTTTAGTAGAGACGGGGTTTCACCATCTTGGCTAGGCTGGTCTTGAACTCCTGACCTCGTGATTCACCTGCCTCGGCCTCCCAAAGTGCTGGAATTACAGGCGTGAGCAACTGTGCCCGGCTAACTTTTTCACTTTTAAAAACGGGAAAACATGGCCAGGCACGGTGTCTCATGCTTGTAATCCCAGCGCTTTGGGAGGCTGAGGCAGGTCAATTGCCAGGAGTTTGAGACCAGCCTGGCCAACATGGTAAAACCCCATCTCTACTAAAAAATACAAAAATTAGTTGGATGTGGTGGCTCATGCCTGTAATCCCAGCTACGCGGGAGGCTGAGGCAGGAGAATTGCTCGAACCCGGGAGGCAGAGGTTGCAGCGAGCTGAGATCGCACCATTGCACTCCAGCCTGGGCAAAAAGAGCGAAACTCCGTCTCAAAAAAAAACAAAAAAACAAAACACACACTATATGAAGGAACCTTTAGATGCATTATTGAAGAGGTGAAAGAGAACTTGAATAGATAGACATAAATACAGAACTTGAATGCAGTATTCCTATATGCATGTGCTTGAATATTTTCAAGATGTCACTTGATTTGGAGAAGTAAATATTTGAGGGGAGTTCTAAAGAAAGAAAAGGGGGAACGTTTCCTAGTAGATTTTTTATAAGTATTATAGGTAAGTGGAACAAAGCAGTCTAGATACTGATCTATAAATTAATGGGAATTTATGATTAATGTAGCATTTACAATCAGTTGGGAATGGATGGTTTGTCATGTAAAAGGTATTGGATCAACTGGCAATCCAGCTGTAGGTAAAGAGTTTCTTAGTTTGACAATAAGGCTATAAGCTATGAAAAGATATCTGCTTAAGCATTCGGAACATATCTACAGCAAAAGATGCCTGTTTGGGGGCCTCTGAACTATAGTTCAAAGGCAGGAAAATTAGAAAAATGTTAGGAATATATATGATAAAGGGTTATTATTTTTAGTATAAAAGCATTTCTAAAATAATTGTTCCAGCAAGTCTATTTTTAGAAATTTATCCAAAGGAAGAAATAAGAGAATGCTTATTATAAAATTAGTTATAAAAGCCAAATATTTAAGACAGACAATGCTCAAAAACTCCTAGCTAGAATTTTTGGTATAAAAGCAAAAAATTGTCAGTAGCCACTAAAATATAAGCTCCATGAGGGTAGAGAACTTCATGTTTTATTTCCTGGTATATCCTCTGACAGTGCCTGGTACATAGTAGGTCTCAATAAATATTTGCTGTATGAATGCCTAGTCATGCTTGTCCAACCTGAGGCCTGTGGGCCGCATTGCAGCCCAACACAAATTTGTAAACTTTCTTAAAATGTTGTTTTTTGGTGGAGTTTCGCTCTTGCCAGGCTGGGGTGAAGTGGCCTGATCTCGGCTCACTGCAACCTCTGCCTCCCAGGTTCAAGCAATTCTTCTGCCTCAGCCTCCCGAGTAGCTGGGATTATAGGCGCCTACCACCATGCTTGGCTAATTTTTGTATTTTTAATAGAGATGGGGTTTCGCCATGTTGGCCAGGCTGGTCTCGAACTCCTGACCTCAGGCGACCTGCCCACCTCAGCCTCCCAAAGTGCTGGGATTATAGGCGTGAGCCACTGCACCCGGCCTAGAATTGAGGTTTTTTTGTTTGTTTGTTTTGAGATGGAGTCTCCCTGTGTGCCCCAGGTTGGAGTGCAGTGGCGCGATCTCAGCTCACTGCAAGCTCCGCCTCCCGGGTTGACGCCATTCTCCTGCCTCAGCCTCCTGAGTACCTGGGACTACAGGCGCCTGCCAACACACCCAGCTAATTTTTTGTATTTTTAGTAGAAACGGGGTTTCACCGTGTTAGCCAAGATGGTCTCGATCTCCTGACCTCGTGATCTGCCCATTTCGGCCTCCCAAAGTGCTGGGATTACAGGCGTGAGCCACCGCGCCCGGCCACATTGAGATTTTTTTTTAGCGATTTTTTTTTTTTTTAAGCTCATCAGCTATTACTAGTTAGTGTATTTTATGTGTGGCCCAAGACAGAATTCTCCAATGTGGCCCAGGGAAGCCAAAAGATTGGACACCCCTGGATGAATCTAAATGTCCATCAATAGATTGGTTAAATTAAGGCAGACTTGGAATGGCATACTGTGCAGTTGTTAAAAAGATTTAAGGTGGCCTTCCTTTATTGGCATGAAGAGATGACCACAATACAGTAAATGGTTGGGCATTTTGAATATGTATAGTTTGGGGAATATGGTATCATTTGATTGACTTGTGAAAAATTATGCACATATGTATCAAAGTCTGGAAGACATCCCTGTGAAACGTGGTATCTCATGGGGTGAATGGAGGAAAGGAACATACTGTTTTAAGATACTGTTTTCTGGCTGGGCGCAGTGGCGCACGCCTGTAATCTCAGCACTTTGAGAGACCAAGGCGGGTGGATCACCTGAGGTCAGGAGTTTGAGACCAGCCTGACCAAGATGGTGAAACCCTGTCTGTCTACTAAATAGAAAAAATTAGCTGGCCGTGGTGGTGCATGCCTGTAATCCCAGCTACTTGGGAGGCTGAGGCAGGAGAATCAGTTGAACCTCGGAGGCGGAAGTTGCAGTGAGCCAACGTTGCGCCATTGTACTCCAGCCTGGGCAACAAGAGTGAAACTCAAAAAAAAAAAAAATAAATAAATACTGTTTTCAAGGCCAGGCGTGGTCTCAAAAAACAACAACCAAAAAACAAAACTGTTTTCTCTTTATTTTTTGGAAAATTCGCCAAAGTCAGTGACAGAAAAAAGGAGTTATTTTTCATTTTGGAAGAAATGTGAAAGTGGATTATTTACATTTAAAAGTTTTAAAAGCTTTCTCAAGTTAGCATGACTGAAATGAGCACATTACAGGAATTTGTTTAAATCTGCCTTTTTAGGTACTGTAGTCTCCTGTTTCATAGACCTTGTAGTCATGTTTCTTGCTGTATCCTGTCACTGGATATTTTTGGATGCTGGTATTGTGAACATAACATAACTGTAATCCGGTAGTTCTTTTTGAGATGGAGTCTCACTCTGTTGCCCAGGTTGGAGTGCGGTGGCACAATCTTGGCTCACTGCGACCTCTGCTTCCCGGGTTCAAGCGATTCTCCTGCCTCAGCCTCCTGAGTAGCTGGGACTACAGGTGCCCGCCACCACACCTGGCCAATGTTTTGTATTTTTAGTAGAGATGGGGTTTCACCGTGTTAGCCAGGATGGTCTCGATCTCCTGACCTTGTGATCCGCCCTCCTCGGCCTCTCAGAGTGCTGGGATTACAGGCATGAGCCACAATGTGTTGCCTGTTTTTTTTTTTTGGTTTTTTTTTGTTTTTTTTTTGTTTTTTGAGATGGAGTCTCACTCTGTCACCCAGGCTGGAGTTCTGTGGCGTGATCTCTGCTCACTGCCACCTCTGCCTCCCGGGTTCATGCCATTCTCCTGCCTCAGCCTCCCGAGTTGCTGGGACTTCAGGTGCCCGCCACCACGCCTGGCTAATTTTTTGTATTTTTAGTAGAGATGAGGTTTCACCATGTTAGCCAGGATGGTCTCGATCTCCTGACCTTGTGATCTGCCCGCCTCAGCCTCCCAAAGTGCTGGGATTACAGGCATGAGCCACCACGCCTGGCCTGGCCTGGTAGTTTTTATAACAGATGTTAGATAGCAATACTCTTCATAACTCTGTACAAGGCAATCAGGCAAAACCAAAGGCCAAGTAAAATGTAATTGGTTAAGCTAATTGTAGCTGATGAAACCTTTACGTTTTGTGAAAGAGGAGATGTGCATCAGCAGCTGTAAGTGAGCACTCTAAGATGCAGTGAGTAAAAGGTGTTGGGAGATGAGCAACTAAAATATAACCTCTTAGTTATAAATTGCAGAACGAAGAATTTTACTCAGAGTACAAACTAGTGGAAAAAGTCTTTCGTATACTGGGTTTTTCAGAGTTCTTAGGCAAGATTATATAGTTTGATTTAAAGACCCAAAAATGTACTTCCTGGGGTGCAGGAATGTCAGGTTTCTGTTAGGTGGAACATGCTCCTCATGGCACAGAATTGGCTACATGAAGTTAACCTACAGGCCAGGTGGTAATCGGCAGGATGGGTCGGCCGGAGGGAATAACTTGTGATGATAGTGGGAGAAACCAGTATCATTGCGGCCGTTTTAACTACCTACTGTGTACTAGGCCCTATGCTATGAGCCAGAAGTTGCCACGCTACAGCCATCTCTTTCTGTGGCCCAGAAGCTAAGAATAGTTTTTTCGTGGGGTTTTCTTCTTTTTTTTTTTTTTTTTTTTTTGAGAGAGTCTTGCTCTTGTCACCCAGGCTGGAGTGCAGTGGCACGATCTTGGCACACTGCAACCTCCGCCTCCCAAGCAACTCTCTGCCTCAGCCTCCTGAATAGCTGGGATTACAGGTGCCTGCCACCACGCCTGGCTAATTTTTTTGTATATTTAGTAGAGACAGGGTTTCATCATCTTGGCCAGGCTGATCTTGAACTCCTGACCTCGTGATCCACCTGCCTCAGCCTCCCAAAGTGCTGGGATTACAGGTGTGAGCCACCACTCCTGGCAAATTTTTTAAATTTTGTTTTTTTGTTTTGTAGAGACAGGGTCCAACTATGTTGCCCAAACTGGATCCACCCGCCTTGGCCTTCCAAAATTTTAGGATTACAGGCGTGAGCCAGTGTGCCTGGCCCAGACCCTCTTGTTTTCAGTCACTGTGCAACACCACCTCCCACAGAAACATTGTTCTGTCCTATTCTTTAAAAAAATGTTATCAATTATGTGCTGCCATATACTACACTGAGAGTGGGGATTCAGTGCTTAAGCATAGGTAGGTTTTCTGAATTTTTCCAACTTAAATCTCCTTTGAAATCTTACTGTGTGTGATATCTGAAATTTGGGTGTTTGCTCACTAAAAGAACCTTGGAAGGAGAAGATCTCAAAATGAGCTATTTGTGGATGAAGAGTGAGTCCTGTGGGTTTTTGTTTTTTGTGTTCTTTTATAGTTAACAGAGTAGCAGCATGTAGAAGGTGGTGGAGCCTGAACACTAGGTTTAGCCATAGAAAGGCAGTTAGGTCTCCTAAGTAGACGTTTCAGTAAAGGGCTTTGTTGACGCTTTGCAATGTCTGGGGTGTGTTTGCCCCACTCCCAAACCCCTCCAGTGGCAGCAGCCACAGTGGGCAAGGGACGGCAGTGCTTTTCTGAATTGGTCAGGTTTCTGTGGGAGATGAGGCTCTAAAATCAGTCAAATTATCTCACATATTACTCAGGTTGGCTATAAATTGCATAACTTACATGATTGGGTGTTGTCACATACTTTCTTTTCTTTGTTTCTCTGTGGCCCTCACTGCTTCCATTTCTAGCCAGCACCACCTCACAACTTGCCCATCTGAGCCTCTGTTACTCATTTGTTTGGTTGGAAAACCTCTACAGCCCATTTGTAGACTGATGGCTGAAGAGGGGCAGTGACCAAGGATTGTGTTCATCTGATGAACAGACGCCAGTGATGCTGTTCAGCACCCTGCACCACCCGGGATGACCCCAGTGTCCACAGTGCTGAGGGTCAGACACATTCAGCCTGGGTCTAGCACTGTGCTCTTAGGTAGAGGGATGTGGCCTGGCGTGGGGCTGAATGAGGTTTGGTTTTCCCTCTTGTGTGTGTATGGCAGTTATTTGTGTGGACTTCAGCACCACTGCAGTTCAAATTCAGCCACCTTGCCTCCTCCGTGGTGTTTTCTAAGAGTCTCCAAGGTGTGATGCCTACGTGTAATACCTTACCGGGGAGCCCTCCTCAGCTTCCTTACCTTTCTGCTGGGTGTATTTGTTCTGCTTCTGTACAAATAAAGTACTGGCCAGGTGTAGTGGATTGTGCCTGTAGTCCCAACACTTTGGGAGGTCAAGGCAGCCGATTGCTTGAGC
The DNA here is from genome assembly GCF_000001405.40 of Homo sapiens. NCBI lineage: Eukaryota > Metazoa > Chordata > Mammalia > Primates > Hominidae > Homo > Homo sapiens. The sequence goes on along the minus strand of NC_000001.11, from coordinate 1,862,689 downwards.
CCAGGAGCTGGAGACCAGCCTAGGCAACATGGGGGAAACCCTGTCTCTACAAAAATTACAAAAATCGGGGGCATCAGAGCACGGCTTGTAGTCCCAGCTACTCGGGATGCTGAGGTGGGAGGATTGCTTGAGCCCAGGAGGTCAAGTCTGCAGTGAGCCGTAATTGTGCCGCTCCAGCCTGGGCAACTGAACGAGACCCTGTCTCAAAAAAAAAAAAATTAATAAAAATGAAGTACTTTACACTACCGGGTAATAGACTTAGGAAACTGATTGTCTCACTCAGTGTGGGGAGAAGTTAATGGGTGGACTTCTCACTCAGACTGTTGTAATCATCTCCTAATTTACCTGACAAGCCTCCGAAGAGGAGGTCCCAGGAGTTACTTAGTGGCTCTTCATCCTCCAATTCATGGTACATGGGACTGCCACGTTGCTCTGCTAACATATACACTTTACTTAGTTATTTATTTATTTGACAAGGTTTTACTCTGTTACCCAGGCGGAGTGCAGTGGCGCAATCTTGGCTCACTGCAACTTTCATCTCCTTGGTTCAAGTGATTGTCCTGCCTTAGCCTCCCAAGTAGCTGGGATTACAGGTGTGCGCCACCACACCAGGCTTTTTTTTTGAGATGGAGTCTCACTCTGTCGCCCAGGCTGGCGTGCAGTGGTGCGATCTCAGCTCACTGCAACCTCCGACCCCCGGGGCTCAAGTGATTCTCTTGCCTCAGCCTCCCGAGTAGCTGGGATTACAGGCGTGAGCCACTGCGCCCGGCCTCCCTTGAGGTTTAAAGAGTACAGGCCAGTTATCCTGTAGGACATCCCTCACTTTGGGTCTGGTGGCTGCCTCATGGGGGGATTCAGGTTTTGCATTTTGAGCTGAATACCCCAGAGATGTGTCCTGGGGCTTCTCTGGTGAATGCTTCCAGTGCTGTCTGTGTTGCTTGAAGGGTCCAGTTTGAGCTCTAACTGGAGCCTCAGCACCAGCTCTGTTTTAGCCACAGATTGAAGCCTCCTTCAGGGTTGCTTCCAGCTCTGACCTGTGTCTTCCTTACATCCTCTCTTGCCCCTCCATCACTTCTCCCCCACCACCAACCCCCAACCCCCTGAGGATATAAAATCTCTGAGATGTGTCTGTTCTCAAGGCTGCTTGCCAATCCTGCTTCCCTTGAGGGATGCCTTTCAATAAGCAGTTACTGAGTTCCTGCTGGGTTTTTATTATTATTATTATTATTATTTTTGAGACAGTACACAGGGTCTTGCTCTGTCACTCAGGCTGGAGTGCAGCGGTGGGATCATAACTTGCTGTAGCCTTGACCTCTGAGGCTCAGTGATCCTCCTGCCTCAGCTACAGATGTGCACCACCATGTCCAGTTAATTTTTAAAAAATTTTTTTGTGTGTGTGGAGATGAGGACTCTTTATGTTGCCCAGACTGGGCTCCAAGTCCTGGCTTCTAACAGTCTCCCTGCCTTAGCCTCCCACAATATTGGGATTATGGGCATGAGCCACTGTGCGCAGCTGTGCTGGGTTTTGTTCTGAGACACAAAGATTGGGAAGTCAGTTCCCTTTTTTTTTTTTTTTTTTGTGAGACAGAGTCTCGCTCTGTCGCCCAGGCTGGAGTGCAAGTGGCAGCATCTCGGCTTACTGCAACCTCTGCCTCCCGGGTTCAAGGGATTCTCTTGTCTCAGCCTCCCAAGTAGCTGGGACTACAGGCTCGTGCCACCATGCCCAGCTAATTTTTGTATTTTTAGTAGACATGGAGTTTAGCCATGTTGGTCAGGCGGGTCTCGAACTCCTGACCTCAAGCGATCTGTCCGGCTCGGCCTCCCAAAGTGTCAGTTCCCATTTTTGATGAGCGTGTAGTGTGTTACAGCTTACTGCAAAGTGGAGGGGCAGAGCAGTAGGTGAGGCTTTTGGGGTGGATTTAGAGCTGAGCTGCAGTCTGGTCGGTTTGTGGGGACTCTTCCTCCCTCTTTTTTTTTGAGACAGAGTCTTGCTCTGTTGCCCACAGGCTGGTTTGTGGGGACTCTTCCTCCCTCTTTTTTTTTTTTTTTGTTGGAGATGGAGTCTTGCTCTGTTGCCCAGGCTGGAGTGCAGTGGCGTGATCTCGGCTCGCTGCAAGCTCCGCCTCCAAGGTTGACACCGTTCTCCTGCCTCAGCCTCCCAGGTAGCTGGGACTACAGGCGCCCACCACCACGACTGGCTAATTTTTTTTTGTTTGTTTGTTTTTATTTATTTATTTTTTGACTAATTTTTTCAACTTTTATTTTAGATTCAGGGTTGCATGTGCAGGTTTATTTCCTGGTTATATTGCATGATGCTCAAGTTTGGGTATGAGTAATCCCATCACCCAGGTACTAAGCATAGTACCCAACAGTCAGTTTTCCAACTCTTGCCACCCTCTATCATGCCCCTGTCTAATAGTCCCCATTGTCTATTTTTGCCATCTTTATGTCCACAAGTCCCTGATGTTTAGCTCCCACTTATAAATGAGAACATGTGGTATTCAGTTTTTTGTTGCTGTGTTAATTCACTTAGGATAATGGCTTCCAGCTGCATCCATGTTGCTGCAAAGGACATGCTTTCATTCCTTTTTATGGTTGCTATTTTTTACTTCTTCTTTGTTTACTTTTTTTTTATTATACTTTAAGTTCTAGGGTACATGTGCACAACGTGCAGGTTTGTTACATATGTATACATGTGCCATGTTGGTGTGCTGTACCTATTAACTGGTCATTTACATTTACATTAAGTATATCTCCTAATGCTTTCCGTCCCCTCTCCCCCCACCCCACAACAAAAACTGAAAATGGATCCCTTCCTTACACCTTTTTTGTATTTTTAGTAGAGAACAGGGGTTTACCGTGTTGGCAAGGATGGTCGATCTCGATCTCCTGACCTCCTGATTTGCCCGCCTCTCGGCCTCCCAAAGTGCTGGGATTACAGGCGTGAGCCACCGCGCCCGGCCTGCCTCCCTCTTCTTTCCCACCCCTCTCCCCCACCCCACTTCTCCTTCCTCTCCCCTTTTCTCTCCTTTAGTTTACCCTGCTCCCCCTTTCTTTACATTTTCTTTCCTCCCCCACTCCTGCCAATCAGTCTCCGTTGGCGTCTCATCCCTGAGGGCAGATTCATGGCACCTTTATGTCTCCAAATGCCTTTAGGCCACGATACATAGTTCACATTCCCTTTATTGAATTTTTTTGTTTGTTTGAAGAGACAGGATCTCCCTCTGTTGCCCAGGCTGCTCTCAAAGTGCTGGGATTACAGGCTCACATGAGCCACCACGCCCAGCCCTTTGTTGAATCTTTCCATCTAAACAGTTTAACTATTTATGTCCTAGGAAGTTAGGGTAGCCATTTGAAAACTAATCCCCGTCGGGGCGTGGTGGCTCACGCCTGTAAGCCCAGCACTTTCGGAGGCTCAGGCGGGTGGATCACTTGAGGTCAGGAATTCGAGACCAGCCTGGCCAACATTGTGAAACCCTGTCTCTACTAATAATATAAAAATTAGCCGGGCTTTGTGGTGCATGCCTCTAATCCTGGCTACTTGGGAGGCTGAGACAGGAGAATTGATTGAACCTGAGAGGTGGAGGTTGCAGTGAGCTGAGATCGCGCTATTGCATTCCAGCCTGGGCAACAAGTGAAACTCTGCCTCCAAAAAAAAAAAAAAGAAAATAAATACCCATAAATTGAAGGAAACTGTATTTTATTTTTAAATAGCCACAATTACTAATGGGTTGTACAGCTTCTCAAACTTCAGAATCAGATTGGACTCCGTCCCACCCCACCCCTTGTTTCCTGTTCCATGTTGATTTCATGCAGAGCTTGCTTTTTTATCACAGCAGCCACTGCAAACAGGGCTTTATTAGGATGTGACGTCATCGGGAAGGGTGTAGCTCCATCTGCTGTTGGAGCACGAACCCCCTCGAGCTGTGGCTCCCTTGGTGTCCAGCAGCTGATGTTCTGCTGTGCTTCCCTTGGCTTTAAAATGTCTTTCGGTGTCCTCTGAGATGGCTGCAGTGTCCCTGGCATCTTGTTTGTTTTGGGAGCTTAGGCTTTCATGGCCCACAGTCTGGGCTGGACTCATCACTGTGGTCTGGTGAGTGGGGGTAGTATGTTCCCATGAGAAGGGGACCCACCCTCTGGAAGTACCTGGACAAGGGTGGAAGGAGGGATCTGTCCCTTTTTAAGAATCAAAATTAAGTCTTCGGGGTGCTGCCTGTCACCAGAGGGGAGGCCATAGGATGCCCAGGAAGAACCCAGGGATGAGGGACCACAAAGGGGCCTCTCCAACATGCAGAATATGGCTTCTATGGTACAAGTGGAATTTGTCATTGAAAAAAAATAAAATAGTTAAAAACGGACTTTTAGAAGACAGTCTGTGTTTTTCTTGACAGATGCGACAGATGAACTGAAAACAAATGACTTGTCAGAATAACAAGTGACTGCCTTTATTGGATGTTCCATGATTCTGGCCATGGCCTTCTCTCCTGTTTTTGACATAGTAGGCAGATAAGGCAGTGGGGATATTCATGAATGCTTTTAAAGAAAAGAAAAAACACCAGTGACTGTGCAGTTGTGTTTTTATTTTGTGTGTTTTGGGGACTGTAATTGTTCTGGATTCTCCATTATGGATCCATGTGTGCTGCTTTGTGGCATGTCCTCAGCTAGTGCAGTGCCAGAGGGAAGAATTGCAGTAGCCCCTGTACCCGTGGCCTTGTCTTTTGAGGTATGGCACCATAAAATATCACGGTACAGTACGAGAGAGACCACATTCCCATAACTTTTATTACGGTATGTTGTTATGGTGGTTCTGCTTGATTATTAGTTATTATTGTTAATTTCTTACTGTGCCTAATTTATAAATAAAACTTTGTTACAGGATTAAGTTCCTATCATTTGTATAGGAAAAAATACAGCATAAAGGAAAAAATGTAGTCTATATAAAGTGTGGTACTATCCACAGTTTATCTGGCATCCCCTGGGGGTCTTGGAGCATGTCCTTCTCAGATATGGGGGTACTGCTATAAGTGCACATGTAGAGAAGTTTGTTCCCATGTTAAAGATATCGTCATTGCTTGGCCTACCCATGTTCCCTTCTCAGGTACTCCACCCATTGTCCCTTTGGCAAGGGCAGCTGCCCACAGGACTTGCTGTATCCTCCCCAGTTCCACAGTGTACCAGCCACCTGGCCTGCAGACAGTGAGGGAGTGAGTTGGTGCAGAGGAGACTCTGGAGACAGAGACATGGCTGACATTTGATGATTGCTGTGATTTAGAATCCTAGGCTGCGTTGAACCCTGTACAAGATGACAGTGATTGGTTAATAGAGAGATTCACAGAGGAGCAGAGAAAGCACACTGGAAGGAGAGAGAGAGGAGCCAGCCAGCCCCAAGAGCCATCCGAGACTGGGTTCTTGGTTCCTCTTTCCACTTTCTCGTTTCCAGTTTAGTTTCCTTGGGACCTCTCATATTCCTCCTCTCCCCACTTCCCAGTGAGAACCTTGGCTAGACTGGGTAGACTTTTGAAGTGGGGGTAAAGTGAAGTCAGGAGTAGTTTTAATTTTCCATTTCTAGAATTAATGATTTCCTAAAAGATGTAGTTAATACCAAATTTCCCATTAAGGCTTCTCATTAATCAGCAGGATTTTGAGACAGGTGATTGGACAGTGAATTTAATTACCTGGTGAAAATACCTGAAGTGATTAAAATCAGAGTATGCTCTCCATATACCTGGGCTCTCCTGAATGTCTTTACGGTATTACTGTTTTGTAGGATACTTCCCTCAGAAGAGTGAACAGTACAAGAGCCTTTTTCTTGGGCCTTCTGAATTAATAATATTTTTTGTTTTAAATGAAATATCAACTGTTTTCAGAAATTACATTCTTGGTTGTCCCAACATATCACCAAACTGTTAATTGCTACATTAGGTGGGATTGTGGAGGGGGAGAGAGGAACATTAAGAAATTCTAGGCCAGGCGCAGTGGCTCATGCCTGTAATCCCAGCACTTTGGGAGGCCAAGGCGGGCGGATCACAAGGTGAAGAGATGGAGACTATCCTGGCCAACATGGTGAAACCCTGTCTCTACTGAAAATACAAAAGTTAGCTGGGCGTCGTAGCGCGTGCCTGTAGTCCCAGCTACTCGGGAGGCTGAGGCAGGAGAATCACCTGAACCCAGGAGGTGGAGGTTGCAGTGAGCTGAGATCAGGCCACTGCACTCCAGCCTGGCGACAGAGCGAGACTCTGTCTCAAAAAAAGAAAGAAAGAAATTCCGGGCCAGTGCAGTGGCTTATGCCTGTTATCCCAGCACTTCAGGAGATCAAGGTGGGAGGATCACTTGAGCCCAGGAGTTGGAGATCTGCCTGGGCAACATAGCGAGACCCCATCTCTAATTTAAAAAAAGAAAGCCCTATTCAGGAGGTTGTGGCAGGAGGATCACTTGAGGCTGAGAGTTTGAAAACAGCCTGGGCAATGTAGCGAGACCAGCCCATCTCTGAAAATATAAAAGTTAGCCAGGTGTGATGGCACATGCCTTTAGTCCTGGCTGCTCAGGAGACTGAGATGGGAGGATACTTGAGCCCAGGAATTTGAGGCTGCAGTGAGCTATGATGGTGCCACTGCACTCTAGCCTGGGTCACAGAGCAAGATCGCCATCTCTTAAAGAAGAAGAAGAAAGTCCATTGATTAAAAAAATTTGGGAGGCTGCTTTACGCCATGAGTCCTGAGAACACAGTGGTGAAAAGGTAGAGGGCCCTGCCCTGAGCTCCCTGCTTATCACCTTCCCCAGATCAGTGCTGTCAACTTCACTCTTAGGTTAAGAAGGTCATAGCATCTAGTTCTGTAGACACTATTGCCTCCTCCTCTTTGAAATAGCCAAAGAAGCAAACACCAGGTGTCTCTCTTTCCCCAGGTTACTCTGATGTACTTTCCTCACTGGAAAACAGTGACTTAGTGTTTTTTCCTTTTATGGGAGTTTTTTTTTGTTTTTTTTTTGAGACGGAGTCTCGCTGTCACCCAGGCTGGAGTGCAGTGGCGCGATCTCGGCTCACTGCAGGCTCCGCCCCCCGGGGTTCATGCCAGCCATTCTCCCGCCTCAGCCTCCCGAGTAGCTGGGACTACAGGCGCCTGCCACCTCGCCCTGCTAATTTTTTGTATTTTTAGTAGAGATGGGGTTTCACTGTGTTAGCCAGGATGGTCTTGATCTCCTGACCTTGTGATCCGCCCGCCTCGGCCTCCCAAAGTGCTGGGATTACAGGCGTGAGCCACCGCGCCCGGCCGGGAGTTATTGTTTTGCTTGCTTTTTAAGTCATTGCTGGTTAACTTGGATGGAATTTGGGTTCTTTTTTCTTCTTTTCTTTTCTTTTTTTTTTTTTTTGACACAGTGTCTTGCTGTGTCACCCAGGCTGGAGTGCAGTGGGGGCGATCTCAGCTCACTGCAGCTTCCACCTCCCCGGTTCAAGTGATTCTCTTGCCTCAGCCTCCCAAGTAACTGGGATTACAGGTATCCACCACCACACTCAGCTGTTTTTTTTTTTTTTGAGATACGGTCTTGCTCTGTTGCCCAGGCTGGAGTGCAGTGGAGCTATCTCGGCCCACTGTAACCTTTGCCTCCAGGGTTCAAGCGATTCTCCTGCCTCAGCCTCCCAAGTAGCTGGGATTACAGGTGACTGCCACTGCGCCTGGCTAATTTTTGTATTTTTAGTAGAGACGGGGTTTCACCATCTTGGCCAGGCTGGTCTTGAACTCCTGACCTCGTGATCCACCTGCCTTGGACTCCCAAAGTGCTGGGATTACAGGCGTGAGCCACCACGCCCGGATGTATTTTTAGTAGAGATGGGGTTTCACCATGTTGGCCAGGCTGATCTTGAACTCCTGGCTTCAGGTGATCCATCCACCTCGGCTTCCCAAAGTGCGGGGATTACGGGTGTGAGCCACTGCACTTTTTAATTTTTTAAAGACATGACGTCTTACTATATTATCCAGTCTGGCCTCCAACTCCTGGGCTTAAGCAATCCTCCTTCCTCAGCCTCGCTAGTAGGTGGGATTACAGGCATGAGCCAATGCGCCCAGCTTAAAAACTTACTTAGGAAGGAATGTCTGGGACTAACAGGAGATGTATCTGTCTTCCTTAAAACAGGTTTTGTAGTGAGTCCCTCTTGCTGTGTATCTGCTGCTTCATTGTGGTCCCCTTCCTCTACCTTTTTTTTATGACTGAGCTTTTTTGTACTGTCAGAGTTTAATTTAAGAGAAGGATAGCAGTTGGACTGAACATTCCAGGATGGAGACAATAAAGTTAATTTGTCTCTCACATTCAGAGGTAGAAGTGGCAGGCTTTGTCAGTGTTTCAGCAGGTAAGAAATCTTGACTAGTAGGAATAAGTCAGAATCTCAGGGACTCTTTATACCTGTTCACCCTGTCCTTGGGACCCCGCTCAGATTTCTCCACACCAGAGTGGCCTTCTCTGGCCACCTTCTAAGAGAGACCTCCCCATCTCACCTGTTTCCCCTTCTTACGTAGTTTTATGTTTCCTTAGCAATGGATAGCAGTTGATGTATCAAAATAAAGACTTGCACTGTTCGCTTAATGCCTTCCTCGACCAACAAGCAAGTTCTAGAACAGCAAGTGCTGTGTCTTGTTTCCTACGGACTCCCCTGAGCTGTGGTGCCTGGCACATGATTGGAGATGGGCAGGTCGTTGTTGAGTGAGTGAATGAAGCCATACAAATACGAACCCAGATATTGAGGCCACTTTATTGTTAAATGTTTTATCAACAATTGACACTTCTATCCTATTTTCATGTTGTTATATAATATGACTATATATGTACTCAGACTCCCAAGTAAATATTTGTGCTTACTTTACTCTGACCTAAACTGGTGCCTGGCACCAGAGTAGGCTCACAAAATGCTTTTCTCACAGTGACCGCCTAACAAACCTAGACATTAGCTGAGGTTTATAGAGCACTGTGTCATTCTAAATAGCCTGAAGACATAGTTTCTATTATTCCTGTTTCCAGTTCTCTTTCTAAATCACAGATGATTTAGAATATGGGTTATAAAAACATTTCCAACTCAGGGTACTTTCTATATTTTGTGGGTTTTGCAGGAAATAAGCTAAGTTTTGGAAGCATGTCTTTTTTCTTGCTTGGTGGGGAGATATTTTACCTTTAAAAATTGGCTCTCATTCTTTGAGGCAAAAATATGTTCATGTTTCTAGGATTTCTCTTTAAGAGACTAGTGGTCAGAGTTCGGCAGAGACCACCAAAGTTGTCTGGGGTGTTCGTGCCCATGTGTTTGGCCCTTTCTAGGCTTACTTGACTCCCTGGGGAGGAGTACCTGGGAATACAGTCAGTAAGAGCTTTAAATTAGGCCAGGCTAAAAAGTTTGATTTTTTCCGTAGGAGGAGTATTTGAAGACTTCTGAGCGGAGGAGTCGCATGTCAGAGCTGTCCTTCAGAAAGATAAATCAGGCAGTGCTGTTAAGATGGATTGAAGTGGAAAAGAGGTGGGATAGAGACACAGATTAGTAACGGGCCAGGCAAAGATGGTAAGCCATCAAGAGGCTGAAGCAGTGGGAGTGGAGCACAGGGGCAGGAGGGGAAAGGGATGGAAGGGAGGCTTGAGTCTGTGCTGCAGGAGAGCTGGGAGGGACTGCCAGCAGGTTTGGAAAGGAAAGGGGTGCTGAGGCTTGCTTTACACTGGTGGAATCTGAAAGGATTGAACCCTCAGAGCGCTGCAGTGCGTAGAGCTTTCTAGGAACTGGGGTACATTCAGGGAAAGGGAATAAGGAGTGGATCCTCGACTTGAGAGAAGAACCACAAAAGAACCAGTTGAGGGTTCAGAAGGGGGCGTGACTGGGTGTGGCAGATGTGGAGCTGGGTTGGTGAGAGCAGGATGAGGGGCTGTTGCTGGCTCCTGAGTGTAGGGTAGGCCCGTAAGTTGCACTCCACTCAGGGGCTGAGAACCTGTGTGCATAGCAAGGCACACAAGACATTCACTTTTTTTTTTTTTTCTTAAGAGACAGAGTCTCACTGTTGCCCAGGCTGACATACAGTGGCTCGCTGCTGCCTTCAACTCCTGGGCTCAACCAGTCCTCCTGTCTTAGCCTCTGGAGTAGCTAGGACTACAGGTATGCACCACCATGCCAATTTTTTTAAAAAATATTTTGAGGCCGGGCGCCGTGGCTCGAGCCTGTAATCCTAGCACTTTGGGAGACTGAGGCGGGCGGGTCGCGAGGTCAGGAGATCGAGACCATCCTGGCTAACATCGTGAAACACCGTCTCTACTAAAAATACAAAAAAAATTAGCCAGGCGTGGTGGCGGGCGTCTATAGTCCCAGCTACTTGGGAGGCTGAGGCAGGAGAATGGTGTGAACCCGGGAGGCGGAGCTTGCAGTGAGCCGAGATGGCGCCACTGCATTCCAGCCTGGGCGACAGAGCAAGATGCCGTCTCAAAAAAAATTTGAGAGGCAGGATCTTGCTATGTTGCCTAGGCTGGTCTGAAACTCCTGGCCTCAAGTGATCGCCCCCTGGTATTACAGGCGTGAGCCACCACGCCTGGCTCCTAACGTTTGGCATCTCTTTTTATATATTCAACCACAATATGTTGATTTTTTTTTTTCCAGTAAAGTGAATGTCTCTTTATTTATTTTTTTTGAGACGGAGTTTCGCTCTTGTTGCCCAGGCTGGAGTGCAATGGCGCTATCTTGGCTCACCGCAATCTCTGCCTCCTGGGTTCAAGCATTTCTCCTGCCTCAGCCTCCCGAGTAGCTGGGATTACAAGCATGCGCTACCATGCCCGGCTGATTTCGTATTTTTAGTAGACATGGGGTTTCTCCGTGTTGGTCAGGCTGGTCTCAAACTCCTGACCTCAAGTGATCCACCCACCTCAGCCTCCCAAAGTGCTGGGATTATAGGCGTGAGCCGCTGTGCCCGGCCGAATGCCTGTTTAACAGACATTCAGTCTACTGCCAAAATAAAGTAAAGGCTTGTCCTCATGGTAGCCTGCAAGACTGTTTGCATCTTCATGTGAAGTTGTATGGCTTGCTTTTCTGCATTTGTTCTGTCCTCCTCTAGGTGTGAGTAGTGAGGTTTCCTCTTTGGCCAATATTTTTTTAAATTAAATTTAATTAATTAGTTAATTTTTGAGACACAGTCTTGCTGTGTCGCCCAGGCTGGAGTGCAGTGGTATCCCAGGTTCAAGCGATTCTCCTGCCTCAGCCTCCTGAGTAGCTGGGATTACAGGTGTGTGCCACCATGCCCTGCTAATTTTTTTTTTTTTTTTTCTTTGAGATGGAGTTTTACTCTTGTTGCCCAGGCTGGAGTGCAATGGTGCAATCTCGGCTCACTGCAACCTCCGCCTCCCGGGTTCAAGCGATTCTCCTGCCTCAGCCTCCCGAGTAGCTGGAATTACAGGCATGCACCACCACGCCTGGCTAATTTTGTATTTTTAGTAGAGATATGGTTTCTCCATGTTGGTCAGGCTGGTCTCAAACTCCCGACCTCAGGTGATCCACACGTCTCGGCCTCCCAAAGTGCTGGGAATTGCAGGCATGAGCCTCCGCGCCTGGCGCCTTGCTAATTTTTGTATTTTTAGTAGAGACGGGGTTTCACCATCTTGGTCAGGCTGGTCTCAAACTCCTGACCTTGTGATCCGCCCGCCTTGGCCTCCCAAAGTGCTGGGATTACAGGCGTAAGCCACCGCGCCTGGCCGGCCAGTATGTTTTTGAGAAAAATACATGGTGCCACGAAGTTGAAGGCAGCCTTCCCCTGAGGATTATAAAATCCAAACCCAACTGAAGACTAGATTGAATTAACCCCTCATCCCCACACAGTAGTGGCTCAGACAAAGAGGTGTACCCAATTCTGGTTTTATTGAATATCATCTGATAATTCAATAAAAAATTATGAGATACACAAAAAAGCGATTTCTTGTTAAGAGAGAAATAAATGGAAGCCAACTTAGAGATGACCCAGATATTGGAACTGCCAGAGACTTTAAATGACTGTGATGGATGTGGTAAAAGATTGAGTGAGAAAGGTATACAGCATGCATTATATGTGAAAAGATCGAGAATTTCAGGAGGCAGAAACTCTAGAAAAAGTTAAATTGAAATGTTAGAGATTCTTTAAAAACATTATAGATGAATAATTTTCTCAGTGAGTTTGTCAGCAGATAGGAAAGAATCAGTGAAACTGAAGATAGGTCAATAGAAATCCAAAATGAAACAAGCAGAAGAAAATAAACCAGAACAAAAATAGCATTTAGGCTGGGCGCGGTGGCTCACCCTTGTAATCCCAGCACTTTGGGGAGGCCGAGGTGGGCAGATCACCTGAGGTCGGGAGTTCGAGACCAGCCTGACCAACATGGAGAAACCCCGTCTCTACTAAAAATAAAAAAAATTAGCAGGGTGTGATGGCACATGCCTGGAATCCCAGCTACTCGAGAGGTTGAGGCAGGAGAATCGCTTGAACCTGGGAGGCGGAGGTTGTGGTGAGCCAAGATCCCGCCATTGCACTCCAGCCTGGGCAACAAGAGAGAAACTCCATCTGGAAAAAAAAAAAAAATTAGCTGGGTGTGGTGGCGGGCACCTGTAATCCCAGCTACTCAGGCTGAGGCAGGACAATCACTTGAACCTGGGAGGCGGAGATTGCAGTGAGCTGAGATTGTGCCATTGTACTTCAGCCTATGTACAGAGCGAGACTCCATCTCAAACAAAAAAAAAGTGTTGAGTAGTTGTGAGACTATAGCAAACTGTCAAATATACAGATAATTGGAGCCCTAGGAAGAAAACGGGGCAGAAGAAATATTCAAAGAGCTAATGGTTGAGAATTTTTTCATTAGTAAAAGACAACAAACCAGAGGTCTGTGAAGTTCAGAGGACTCCAAGCACCATAAATATAAACAAAAAACCCTCAACACCTAGGCACATTATAGTCAAACTGCTGAAAGTCAAAGAGAAAGTTTTGAATGTAGCCAGAAAAAAAGTATTTCATACAGGCCAGGCATGGTGGGTCATACCTGTAATCCCAGCACTTTGGGAGACTGAGTGGCAGACTCACTTGAGCCCAGGAGTTTGAGAGCAGCCTGGGCAACATAGCGAGACTTCATCTCTACAAAAAAAAAATTATCCAGGTGCTCTGGCGGTGCCTGTGGTCTCAGCTACTCAGGAGACTGAAGTGGGAGGATCGCTTGAGCCTGGGAGGTTGAGGCTGCAGTGAGCCAAGATTGTGCCACTGCACTGTAGCCTGGGTGATAGAATGAGACCTAGTCCCACAAAAGACTTCCTCAGACAAAAGTTGTGGGGTTTGTTGCCAGTAGATCTGCCCTGTGAGATGGAGGAAGTTCTTCAGGCAGAAGTGTATCCCATCACACTGCAGTTATCTTCTGGTGCTATATCTAGTTTAATATAAATCAGACCAGGCAAATGAAGAGATATATACAGCAAGGCCTAGCAGAGTCTCAAGCACACATCCTCCAAGCCCTCTCCCCATGGAGTCTCTCCTGACAAATCGGGGTCAATGAGCTTCTAACCAGGAAGCTCCCCTGAGCCTTGGTGTTGAGAGTTTTTATTGGGGCTTTGTTACTTGGGCACAATTGATAGAGCACAATCTCTAGCCCCTCTCCCACCCCAGTCAGAATGGTTTCAAACCCCAACCGTCTAATGTCATGGTTTGTCTTTCTGGTGACCAGCCTCTATCTTGAGTCAGCTCATCTCAGCAAAAACATGGAGGCTCATGAATAACAAAGACATGCCTATCACTCCGGAACATCCAATAGTTTTTGAAGCTCCTTCTGAGGAACTGGGAACAAAGACCCAGAAGGAGTCTTCAAAAAACATGTAGAAGTAAAATGCTAGACAGTTGTGTTACAAAGAGTGAAAGGGAAGGAATATCGTGACCCTTAACACAGGGATTAGGAGTGCTAACCTGCTGTGCAGTCAAAATTCTTCTATCACTTGACTCCCAAAACATGAACTACTAATAGCCTGCTATTGACTGGAAGCCTTACCGATAGCAGTCAAAAGACAGTTTTTATGTTTTATATATTATATATTTTTGTGATCAAGCTAGAGAAAATATTAAGAAAATCATAAGGGAGAGAAAAATGTATTTACTATTTAATGAGTGGAAGTGGATCCCTCATAAAGGTCTTCCTTCTCATTTTCAGGTTGAGGCTGAGGAGGAGAAAGAGATGGGATTGGTCTTGCTGTCTTGGATGGAGGTGGTGGAAGGGGAGGTAGGAGAGACAGGCATACTTGGTGGAACTTTACTGAAATACATAATTTCTGACTTCTTTCTTTTTCGTTTTATTTTTTCTTTTTCTTTTTTTTTTTTTTTTTGCCTGGGCTGGAGTGCAATGGCTCAGTCTTGGCTCACTGCAGCCTCCGCCTCCTGGGTTCAAGCGGTTTTCCTGCTTCAGCCTCCCAAGTAGCTGGGATTACAGGCGCCCGCCACCATGCCCGGCTAATTTTTTTTATTTTTAGTAGAGACAGAGTTTCACTGTGTTGGCCAGGGTGGTCTGGAACACCTGATCTCGTGGTCTGCCCGCTTTGGCCTCCCAAAGTGCTGGGAGTACAGGCCTGAGCCACCGCACCCGGCCTGCTTTTTCATTTCTCTAAAAAAGTTTCTGTATGATAGCAACCTTCTGTTGTATGCTTTAGTTTTAGTTCCTGTGCCATAAAAGCTCTGTGTCCTAAAGAAGTCAAGTGCAGTCTTGGGGAATGGGGACCTTCTGCCAGATTGCCCAGTGTCCACGTGTTTTTGGCACTGCTTCTTTCTCATCGTTTGGCACCACGTTGGAAGTACTGACATCTGTCAAGGTGTGTTCTGTTAATTCCTCTGGTGTGGTGTCTAATAGCTCTTGAATTTCTCTAAGATCCACATGTTGAAGTCCTTACCCACCCCCCTACCCTTTTAAAAGCATATGCACAGTCTTTTCATGATTTCCTCGTCTGGCTCTCGTAAATCCTGTGAGGTCAGGCGCAGCATCTGGACGTCGTCCTCTCCAGCAGGAGTTGATTGTTTCAGGCTCATGGCCTTCACAGCTTTTTCTGTAACAACCTTGGCATCTTCAGCAGGATAATCCTTCCAGACTTAAACAATGTTCTGTCTATTGGGATTCTCTTCCATAGCATTGACAATTCTTTCCATAGAGTACTGTGTGTTATGAGCCTTAAAGGTCCTTATGACCCCCTAATCTAGAGGCTGAAGGAGAGGTGCTGTGTTTGGGGGTAAGTAGACCACTTCATTGCCGTCAGTATTGAACTCATGGGGTTCTGAGTGGCCAGGGGCCTTGTCCAATATCTAAAGAACTTTAAAAGGCAATCCCTTACTGGCAAAGTGTACTTCCTGACTGCAGACAAAGAACATCGATGGAACCAGTCCAGAAAAAGGGATTTTGTTGTCCCAGTCTTGTTCCACAACCAAGAGACTGGCAACTGGTGTTTATCTCTTCCCCTTCAAGGCTCAGGGGTTAGCAGCTTTGTAGATAAGAGCAGTCCTGATCATAAACCCGGCTGCATTTGCACAAAGCAGTAGAGTTGGCCTCTCCCTGCCTGCCTTCAGTGCTGGGGCTCACTTTTCTTCCTTACTAATAAGTGTCCTTTGTGGCAGTTTTTTCCAGAATAGGGCACTTTTGTCTGCATTAAAAACCTATTCAGGAAGATTTTCTTTTCCTCAATGATTTTCTTCATGGCATCTGGGAACCCTGGTGCCTCTTGGTTGGCAGAAACTGCTTCTCCTGTTATCTTAACATTTTTTAAGCCAACCCTCTTTCTAAACTGATCAAGCCACCCTTTTGCTGGCATTAAATTCTCTAGCTTTAAGTCCTTCACTTTCAGCTAGAACCAGTGGCTCATTCCTATAATCTGAGCACTTTGGGAGGCCAAGGGAGGAGGATTGCTTGAGACCAGGAGTTGAAGACCAGCCTGGGCCACATAGTGAGACCCTCTCTCCATAAAGAAACAAAAAATTTAGTCACGTGCAGTGTGGCACATGCCTGAATCCTTGCTACTTAGGGGGCTGAGGCAAGAGGATGGCTGTGCCTAGGAGTTCAAGGTTTCAGTGAGCTGTTCAAGGCTGTCACCCACTTGGGTGACAGTGAGACTCTGATTGATTGATTGATTGATTTTGAGATGGAGTCTCACTTTGTCTCACAGCCTGGAGTGCAGTGGCATGATCTCTGCTCACTGCAACCTCCGTCTCCTGGGTTCAAGCGATCCTTCTGCCTCAGCCTCCCGAGTAGCTGGGATTACAGGTGCCAGCCACCACGCCTGGCTAATTTTTTTGTTTTTAGCAGAGATGGAGTTTCACCACGTTGGCCTGGCTGGTTTCGAACTCCTGAGCTTAGGTGATCCGCCTGCCTTGGCCTCCCAAACTGCTGAGATTACAGACATGAGCCACTGCACCCGGCTAAATCTTACTCCTTCTATGTGTATTGGCATTCCTCTGTAAAGAAGAGCTTCGCTTTTCCTCTTTTTTTTTTTAATTTATATGTTACCATGTGCTTGTGTGTTCTTTTTTTAGATCCAGTAAGGTATATTCCATTACCATTGTTCGTCATGTTGACCCTCAGATTGTCCTAAATTTGGCCAGCAGACTTCCTTCAAGCTGGTGTGTTTTTGACATGTTCTTTTTAGTTTTGGAGCCCTTCCTTTCTGCCATAGCAAGAGGGTTCCTGTGCCAGACCTTGAGGGAGTGATTTCTCAGAGGAACCCTGAAGCTCCTTTTAAAGGGAACCGTTTTTATAAAACCAAGATTTGGGCTTTGTGTGTGGAGAGGTCGTTGCTTCCAGACCTTTCAGTTGACAAGAGATAGGAGATATACGTGTGTGTGTGTGTGTGTGTGTGTGTGTGTGTGTGTGTGTGTGTGTGTATGGACTTACACACAAATGATTCTACAGCGGAATAAATGTATAGAGAATTTCCATTGTCTCCAAATTCAGATTGAACCCCAGGGGGCCATTCCTTGCTTTCAGATAGTCCGTGTTGTGCCTCCCTTCTCCAGTGTGAGCCTTGCTCCCCAAATAACCATATCTTCGCTTATTTCGCTCTGGCATACATATCCATATTAATATTTTAAGCATTATTATTATTATTTTTATTTTATTTTATTATTATTTTTTTTGAGACGGAGTCTCGCACTGTCACCCAGGCTGGAGTGCAGTGGCACGATCTCGGCTCACTGCAAGCTCCGCCTCCTGGGTTCACGCCATTCTCCTGCCTCAGCCTCCTGAGTAGCTGGGACTACAGGCGCCCGCCATCCCACCTGGCTAATTTTTTGTATTTTTAGTAGAGACGGGGTTTCACTGAGTTAGCTAGGATGGTCTCAATCTCCTGACCTCGTGATCCGCCCGCCTTGGCCTCCCAAAGTGCTGGGATTACAGGCGTGAGCCACCGCACCCGGCCTACTTTAAGCATTATTATGCCACCAATATGACGCTTAAATTTCAGAACTCTATTTGCCCTTAGAATGTACCCCCACGTTTGTACAGTTAGAGTATTCTAAATTAACGTGATGTCTTTAGACCTTTTTTTGGTTGGTTGGTTGTGTTTTACAGGTATTGTTATCTTTTTATTGATACTGAACTCTAATTTTTGTTTGAAAGAAGGCATTTCTAGTTTGTTTTTATCCTGTTTATTAGTATGATCATATATAGTTGAAGATTATGATACAGAGTTGTCATTAAGTTCAGTATTATTTCACATTCTAGTTGTTCAGTGTGTTTTTGAATTAAAGAATTATTTGGAAGGGAGTTTACTTTGTTTCTTACAAGCCCCCAGGCCTTTAGGCAAAACTCTTGGGGCTGGATGTTTTCCGGAATATAGACTTTTTCAGGGTTGAGAAAGATGCAGTGAGTATGTTACATGTGCACCACACTTACGGCAAGGCTTTAATCAGATACCCCAAAGTTTGTAGTAAACATAAGACTGCTCACCCTGAATGTGAGAAAGTCTGCCTAATGCCGTGTGTCCTATTCTGGTTTGGGTATCTCAGAATTGTAGATAACCAGTGGTGCACTTATGTGTTTCCCATCTTAGGATTATGTTGATAGAGAAGAAATCATCCCCCACAAGTATACCTGTACTTGATTAGAAATATTAATGCAGCTTGTAGAGAAATTCTCTAGGTATGTCTCAAGGATTCAGTTTCTAGATTTTGAAAAATGCTGAAATAAAAGTATAAGTACTAGGATATGTGCAAAGAAGTCATATTAATATTTAATATTGCTAAATTAGCTGTATAGAGTCAGTTGATTTTATCAAGAGCCTTGAAAAAGTGCCCATCTTTTTCTTTTTTTTTTTTTTGGAGACGGAGTCTCACTCTGCCATCGAGGCTGGAGTGCAGTGATGCAATCTTGGCTCACTGCAACCTCCCTGTCTCAGGATCAATTGATTGTCCTGCCTCAGCCTCTCAAGTAGCTGGGACTACAGGTGCATGCCACCGTGCCCGGCTAATTTTTTTATTTTTTAAATTTATTTTTATTTTATTTTAATTTTTTTTTGAGATGGAGTCTTGCTCTGTCACCCAGGCTGGAGTGCAGTGACGCAATCTCAGCTCACTGCAAGCTCTGCCTCCCGAGGTCACGCCATTCTCCTGCCTCACCCTCCCAAGTAGCTGGGACTACAGGCACCCGCCACCACGCCCAGCTAATTTTTTGTATTTTTAGTAGAGACGGGGTTTCATCGAGTTAGCCAGGATGGTCTCGATCTCCTGACCTCGTGATCCGCCCGCCTCGGCCTCCCAAAGTGCTCGGATTACAGGAATGAGCCACCGCACCCGGCCAGTAATTTTTGTATTTTTAGTGGAGAGGGTTTCACCATGTTGGCCAGGCTGGTCTCGAACTCATGACCTCAGGTGATCCACCCGCCTCGGCCTCCCAAAGCACTGGGAGGTGCGAGCCCAGCTCCTGATGTTCTTTAAGGGTAGTGCTACTGGTTTAGGGTTACATTATTGTGGGACTGGTAGTCCTGTCCTTAGTGTGGGGTTCTATGAGCTGGATAGTCAGAAAAAGAGCATACATTTGGGTCATCTTGTTTTTAGCCAGAAATGGGTCCAGACAACTCTCCATGTGAATCCAGGCTAAGGTGATTTGATAGCACTTTTAGCATCCTTACTCCAATCTTGAGTCATGATTTGAGCCACAGGGCAATCTAGGCATTAAAATAGAGCAGCTGGGTGCGGTGCCTTGTGCCTGCAATCCCAGCACCGTGGAAGGCCGACCTGCAAGGATCGTTTGAGCCCAGGAGTTAAAGACCAGCCTGCGCAGTATGGCAAGACCCCATGTCTACAAATATATATATATTTTTTAATTAGCTGGGCATGGTGGCACACACCTGTGGTCCCAGCTACTCAGGAGGCTGAGGCAGGAGGATCACCTTAGCCCAGGAAGTCGAAGCTGCAGTGAGCCATGATTGTGCCACTGTACTCCAGACTGGCTGACAGAGGGTGACCCTGTCTCAAAAAAATAATTAATAATGATAAAATAGAGCAGATTATGTATAATTTTTTTTAGTAGTATTTCTCTTCCTACCTGTCCCTTGATCTGGAAAGTACTTGAAAAGATTTATATTTAGTGGTTGAGATAATTGTGACAGTTGAAGAGTTCTCAACTGGGGTCAGTATTGCCTCTCGGGATGCCAGGTGGCTGTTACAGCTGGGGAAAGGAGCACTACTGGCATGCTGCCAGATATCCTCCTGGGGACACACACACACCCCTGCCTAAAATGTTCATTGTGCTGAGGTTGAGACCCATGCTTTGAAACTTGATTTGGTGGCACTTTTCGGGTATGCTCATAGGACCCTGCCCCGGAGCGAGGCTTCGCTTCCTGAAGTCTGGGGTAGTTTGCATCATTCACTGTTTACTCCTGTGTGCCTTTTCACACCCAACTTTTTTTCTGAGGTGAAATTCACATAACATAAACCATTTTAAAGTGAATGATTCGGTGCCGTTTAGTACATTTACAATGTGTTGCAACCACCGTCTCTAGCTAATTCCATGACATTTTCATCACCTCAAAAGGAAACCCTGTACCCATTAAATAATTGTCCACTGCACACACATGTGCATGCACACGCAGACACATGCAGCCCCTGGCAACCACTGCATTCTGTCTCTTTGGATTTGTGTGTTCCGGATATTTCATGTAAATGGGGTTGTATATATGTGGCTTTTTGTGTATGGCATCTGTCACTTAGCATATTTGTGAGGTTTGTCTGTGTTCTAGCAGAGACAGGACCAGGACTTCTTTTTTTTTTTTTTTTGAGATGGAGTCTCACTCTGTCACCCCGCCCAGGCTGGAGTGCAGGGGTGCAACCTTGGCTCACTGCAAGCCCTACCTCCTGGGTTCATGGCATTCTCCTGCCTCAGCCTCCAGAGTAGCTGGGACTACAGACGCCCGCCACCATGCCCGGCTAATTTTTTGTATTTTTAGTAGAGATGGGGTTTCACCGTGTTAGCCAGGATGGTCTCAATCTGCTGACCTTGTGATCTGCCCGCCTTGGCCTCCCAGAGTGCTGGGATTACAGGCGTGAGCCACCGTGCCTGGCAATTTTTGTATTTTTAATAGAGACGAGGTGGCCAGGTTGGTCTTGAACTCCTGACCTCAGGTGATCCACCCGCCTCACCTTCCCAAAGTGCTGGGATTACAGGCGTGAGCCACCACGCTCGGCCTCCTTTATCTTTATAGCTGAATAATATTCAATTGTTTGGATAGACCACATTTTATTCATCCATTCATGCTCAGTGGGTATTTGGGCTGTCTCCACCTTCTGGCTGCTGAGTACTGCTGCTAAGAACATAATGTGTACATGCATTGAATCCCTGCTTTCAGTTCTTTTGGGAATATACCTAGGAGTAGAATTGCTGGGTTATGGGGTAATTCTGTGTTTAATTTTTTGAGGAACTGCCAAACTGTTTTCCTTCCACACTCATTTTTACTGCCGGAAAAGTACGTGCTTGCTTGTACATAAGCAGCATAATTGCAAAACGAAACTACTTTAAGTAAATGAATTAGAATTCACAGTTCAACTGGGAGATATTTCAGTTTGTTGATTCATCTACTGACTCCAGACTAGATGTGTGCATGTGAGTTTGCAGACTCACAAGACACTGAATTAATAGGCAGGTGGTGACCTGTGAAGCCTCCACAAGTGGTCTTTTCACATAGTTTAATTTGAGGGAGCGATTACAGAAGCATCTTTAAATGTTCTGAAATCAGGCCAGGCTCAGTGGCTCAGGCCTGTAATCCCAACACTTTCGGAGGCTGAAACAGGCGGATTACCTGAGGTCAGGAGTTTGAGACCAGCCTGGCCAACATAGTGAAACCCCATCTCTACTAATAAATAATAAAAGGCATGGCGTGTGCCTGTAATCCCAGCTACTCAGGAGGCTGAGGCAGGAAAATCGCTGGAACCTGGGATGCAGAGGTTGCAGTGAGCCAAGATCATGCCACTGCACTCCAGCCAGGGTGACAGAGTGAGAATCTGTCTCAAAAAATTAATAAATGTGGCCATGTGCAGTGGCTCACGCCTGTAATCCCAGCACTTTGGGAGGCCGAGGTGGGCAGATCACGAGGTCAGGAGATCGAGACCATACTGACCAATATGGTGAAAACCCGTCTCTACTAAAAATATAAAAATTGGCTGGGAGTGGTGGCATGTGCCTATAATCGCAGCTACTCAAGAGGCTGAGGCAGGAGAATCACTCGAACCAGTGAGTCGGAGGTTCCAGTGAACTGAGATGATACCACTGCACTCCAGCCTGGTGACAGAGCGAGACTGCTGTCTCAAAAATAAAAAAAATACAATAAATGTTCTGAAATCAGAAGAAATCTAGAATTGGACATATTTTCATTCCACCAGAAGTATGTCAAGAGGAGTCAGAAACCTCTCTTGTGATCTCTGTCACCATTCAAGCCACCTTCCTGGGCACCAGGGCCAGGCACTGGATGGGACCGTGTCAGCAGGAGAGGGACAGAGGGAGGGATTGGAAGTGTCCCAACATAGACTTGCCAGGACTCACAAAGTAGTTATTTAGTGGCTTCCTTGAGATTCAGATGAAATGCTCTCCACTGTCATGCCAAACAGGCAAAGTCTGGATTAAATTAATCTTCAGAATTTGTTGAATTGTATTAGTGTTGTGTCTGTGTGTGTGTGTGCGTGTGTGTTTTGAGACAGAGTCTCGCACTGTCACCCAGGCTGGAGTGCAGCGGCACGATCTCGGCTCACTGCAATCTCCGCCTCCTGTGTTCAAGCAATTCTCCTGCCTCAGCTTCCTGAGTAGCTGGGACTACAGGTGCCTGCCACTACGCTCGGCGAATTTTTTGTATTTTTAGTAGAGATGAGGTTTCACCATATTGGCCAGGCTGGTCTCGAACTCTTTACCTTGTGATCCGCCCAACTTGGTCTCCCAAAGTGCTGGGATTACAGGCAGGAGCCACGGTACCTAGCTTTTTTTTTTTTTTCTTTTCGAGACGGTGTCTTGCTCTATCACCCAGGCTGAAGTGTAGTGGCGTGATCTCCACTCACTACAACCTCCACCTTCTGGGTTCAAGTGATTCTCCTGCCTCTGCCTCCCAGGTAGCTGGGGTTACAGGTGCCTGCCATCACGCCTGGCTAATTTTTTTAATTTTTAGTAGAAACGTTTTTTTTTTTAGTTCGCTGCCAAGAACATAATGTGTTCTTAAAACACATTAAAATTAAAAACATTTAATTTTTAGTTAGCCACGTTGGCCAGACTGGTCTCGAACTCTTGACCTCAGGTTATGCGCCCACCTCAGCCTCCCAAAGTGTTGGGATTACAGATGTGAGCCACCGCGCCCAGACTGTTGTGTGTTTTTGTTTTGAGACAGATTCTTGCTCTGTCACCTAGGCTGGAATGCAGTGGAATGATCTCGGTTCACTGCAACCTCCACCTCCCGGATTTAAGCGATTCTCCTGTCTAAGCCTCCTGAGTAACCGGGATTACAGGCTTGTGACACCATGCCTGGCTAACTTTTTTTTTTTGTATTTTTAGTGGAGATGGGGTTTCACCATGTTGACCATGCTGGTCTCCAATTCCTGACCTCAGGTGATTTGCCTGCCTCAGCTTCCCAAAGTGCTGGGATTGCAGGGGTTAGCCACTGGGCCCGGCCTGCATTAGTTTTTAAATTGTTACTGTAATTTTTCTAGTGATAGGATTCTAACCTCTGTGCCCATACTTTTCAGTTTAATTCAAGGTATTTTCCCTGGGGCATTTCTAAGGATTCTTAAAGAAGTTGAGATCTGATTTCTTATTTTGTTCCCATGCTGAAAAACAAAATATGACAGTACTGCTAAATAAAGCAATTTTGGGGGAGAAATAGTAATAGGGAAGGGTCAAATTTATGTGTCGTTGCATAAAATATAGCTACTAGCAAAATAGAATATTTTATTCACAACCTGAGTGCAATACAAATACAGCCTTTTCTGTTTGTTTCAGACAAATTTACATGTATTGGAGACCAGACCAGAAGCCCTTCTGAATTAAGGTAATTTTGATATATTTGATCCTCATCAGTTTTAGAAAGACAATATATAAATTTCTTCAGAGTTTGTTTTTATAAATAGCTGGTGGGTTGGTTTTTTAAAGAGACAGTGTTTTGCCATGTTGCTCAGACTGGATTCTAACTCCTGGGGTCAAGGGGTTCTCTCACCTCAGCATCCTGAGTAGCTGAGGCTATAGACATACGCCAGCATGCCTGGTCAATACCCTGGTTTTTGTTACAGTTTTTTTCTATCTCTTTTAAGCCAAAGTTGGTTTTCAAAACAATTTGATCCTCAAAAAAAGCTTCCATTTAGTGTTGAGCAAGAAGGTTTAGGGTCCCAGTGATGAGGATTTACCTTCTGAATCAGAGTGGTACATCGCTAGTTTTTTTCGTTAGAAAGCAGGAGAGCCCTTTTTTCAAATCAGATCTTAGTTGAAATACCAATATATGGCCGGGTGCGGTGGCTGATGCCTGTAATCCCAGCACTTTGGGAGGTCAGGTTGGGTGGATCACGAGGTCAGGAGATCGAGACCATCCTGGCTAACACGGTGAAACCCTGTCTCTACTAAAAATACAAAAAATTAGCCGGGTGCGGTGGTGGGCGCCTGTAGTCCCAGCTACTCTGGAGGCTGAGTCAGGAGAATGATGTGAACCCAGGAGGCGGAGCTTGCAGTGAGCCAAGATCATACCACTGCACTCCAGCCTGTGGGACAGAGCGAGACTCCGTCTCAAAAAAAAAAAAAGAAAAGAAAAAAAAGTAAGGTGAACATGATTCAGGAAAACAAAACAAAACAAAAACCTTTTTGTTTGAATAAAGTGGGAATAATGAAGCCATGTTCGTAGTGAGTGAGTCTGGGTGAGGAGGGTACATGGTTTCTTTGTATTATTCTTGCAACTCTTTGAAGTTTGAAATAATTTTAAATTAAAAAGCAAAATTAAATTGAATAGCAATTAGGGGCTGGAACAATTGGATATTCTTTTTTTTCTTTTGAGACAGAGTCTTGCTCTGTTGCCCAGGCCGAAGTGCAGTGGTGCAATCTCAGCTCTCTGCAACCTCCCCCTCCCAGGTTCAAGCCATTCTCCTGTCTCAGCCTCCCAATTAGCTGGGATTACAGGCGCTCACCACCACACCCAGCTAATTTTTGTATTTTTAGTAGAGACGGGGTTTCACCATGTTGGTCAGGCTGGTCTCGAACTCCTGACCTCAGGTGATCCACCCGCCTTGGCCTCCCAAAGCTGTGGGATTACAGGCGTGAGCCACCACGCCTGGTTAGTCAATTGGATATTCTTACGCAAAAGGAGAACTTGACATCATGTACAGAAATTAACTCAGGCCAGGCAAGGTGGCTCACCTGTAATCCCAGCATTTTGGGAGGCCAAGGTGGGCAGATCATCAGGTCTGGAGATCGAGACCATCCTGGCCAACATGGTGAAACCCCGTCTCTACGAAAATACAAAGGAAAAGATTTAGCCACGTGTGGTGGCACGCCCCTGTAGTCCAGCTACTCAGGAGGTTGAGGCAGGGGAATCGCTTGAACCCAGGAGGCAGAGGTTGCAGTGAGCTGAGATTGCACCGTTGTGCTCCAGCCTGGTGACAGAGTGAGACTCCGTGTCAAAAAAACAAAAACAAAAACAAAAAGGCCAGGCATGGTGGCTCACGCCTGTAATCCCAGCACTTTGGGAGGCCAAGGAGGGTGGATCACGAGGTCAAGAGATCGAGACCATCCTGGCTAACACGATGAAACCCCGTCTCTACTGAAAATACAAAAAATTAGCCAGGCGTGGTGATGGGCACCTGAAGTCCCAGCTACTCAGGAGGCCAAGGCAGGAGAATGGCATGAACCCAGGAGGCGGAGCTTGCAGTGAGCCAAGATCACGCTACTGCACTCCAGCCTGGGTGACAGAGTGAGACTCCGTCTCAAAAAAAAAAAAAAAAATTAACTCAATGGATCATATACCTAAATATAAAACGTAAAATTAGAAAAAATGAGATTTTGAATTAAGCAAACAGTTTTTAGATGTGAGATCAAAGATAGAATGCGTAAAAGAAAACATTTATAAATTGAATTTGTTCAAAATTTAAAACTTCTGCTCCTTAGAAAAAACAGAGAACGAAAGACAAACCATAGTCTGGCAGAAAATATTAGCAAATGTCTTTTAGATGACTTGTATCCAGAATAGGTAAGAACTCTCAAAACTCAATTTTGGCTAGGTACTATGGCTAACACCTGTAATCCCAGCACTTTGGGAGGAGGATTGCTTGAAGCCAGTTGTTCGATACCATCCTGGGCAATAAAGTGAGACCCCTGTCTCTTCAAAAAAAAAAAAAAAAAAAAGTTAGCAGTCGGGCACGGTGGCTCACACCTGTAATCCCAGCACTTTGGGAGGCCCAGGCAGGCGGATCACCTGAGGTTGGGAGTTCGAGAACAACCTGGCCAACATGGGGAAACCCCATCTCTACTAAAAATACAAAAATTAGCTAGGTGTAGTGGCTTATGCCTATAATCCCGGCCATTTGGGAGACTGAGACACAAGAATCACTTGAACCTGGGAGGTGGAGGTTGCAGTGAGTCCAGGTTGTGCAACTGCACTCCAGCCTGGGTGATAAAGCGAGACTGTCTCCAAAAAAAAAATTTAGCCAGGCATCGTGTTGTGTGTCTGTAGTACCAGCTACTTGGGAGGCTGAGGTGGGAGAATCACTTGAGCCCGGGATGTTGAGGCTGCAGTGAGTCACGATCACACCACTGTACTCCAGCCTGGACAACAGAGCGAGACCCTGTGTCAAAAAAAAAAAAAAAAAAAAAAGCAATATTAAGAAAACAGGTAACCCAATAAAAAAGAGGCAAGTGACTTGAACAGACACTTTACCAGAAACTGTATAGACAGCAATTGAGTGCCTCAGAAGCTCAGCAGTCAGCGAGATGCAGATGGAGACTACAGCCCACGCCCCCATTAGAATGGCTGTGACACCCACCCAGCGTTGTTGGGCGTGAGGAGCCGGGACTCTCCACATTGCTTATAGGATGTTGGGAATGTGACCCAGCATAACCATTTTGAAAAGAGTTGGTTTTTTTTGTTTTTTGAGTTTGTTTTTTGTTTTTTTGAAATAGGGTCTCACTCTGTCTCTTAGACTGGAGTACAATGGTGTGATCATAGCTGACTGCATCCATGACCTCCTGGGCTCAAGTGATCCTCTGGCCTCAGCTTCCTAAGTAGTTGGGACTATAGGCACGCACTACCATGTCTGGCTTTTTTTTTTTTTTTTTTTTTCTTTTTTTAATTCTTGTAAGACGGGGTCTCAGTATGTTGCCCAGGCTGGTCTTCAATTCCTGGGCTCAAGTGATCCTCCTGCCTTGCCTCGGAAAGTGCTCAGATTATAGTCATGAGTCACTGCACCTGGCCTGGCATTTTCTTGGAATGTTCAACACACACCTGTAGTATGATCCAGCCATTCCACCGCTAGGAATCTGCCCAAGAGAAGTGAAAGCAGATGTTCTCATAAAGACTTGTACATGTAACAACATGCACAGATTTCAAAGTATCACATCTATCTGATTAACTCCACTGTTACACTGGTTGCCACTGCTACATATATTTTTGATTTCTGCAAAAGGGCCTACTGCACTGACTGGATGGAAAGTGTGGCAGGTGAGGCAGGAGGTAGTTTTCTGGACATTACTTAAAACTTTCAGGGCAACAGTTTTACACCTGCTTTCATAGCAAGTCATATTTAGTAAGCATTTACTGTGTCAGTCATGGTTCTAAGGGGCTTGCATGGATTCTAATGGAATTGTCATAGCATGAGCTGTGGGGACTATTACTGTCCCCACTTTCAGACAAAAAAATGTAGGCAGAGAGAAGTTAGGAAACCTACTGGAGGCCACCTGGTGAGAAGAGATAGAGTCTGGGTTAGAACCTGGGGCTTCCAACTTTCCTGCCATGAAGCGTCACTCTGCTTCCAGCCAGGGCTGTCAGACATCATTGGTCCTGCTTAAGTGGGCTGGACCTGCAAATGCCAATAAAAACACGGAAGTTTTTCTAGGAACAGAATTCTAACCCCCACCGCCCATTTGCTGTTGGGAAAGCACATAGTATTCATTGTAGTTTGCAGCAGTAAATGTAAAAACAAAGATTATTTTTATATACTGGAGTGCAGATGGCATGGCACACAGCAGTCTTTCCCTAAACCTAAGGATTTCCAGGCCCCTTATAAAAGGTGCTTGGAGGCCGGGTGCAGTGGCTCACGCCTGTAATCCCAGCACTTTGGGAGGCTGAGGTGGGCGGATCATGAAGTCAGGAGATCAAGACCATCCTGGCTAACACGGTGAAACCCCGTCTCTAATAAAAATTTAAAAAATTAGCAGGGCATAGTGGCAGGCGCCTGTAGTCCTGGCTACTTGGGAGGCTGAGGCAGGAGAATGGCATGAACCCGGGAGGCGGAGGTTGCACTGAGCCGAGATCGCACCACTGCACTCCAGCCTGGGCAACAGAGTGAGACTCCATCTCAAAAAAAAAAAAAAAAAAAGTGCTTGGAGTTTAGCCTCCTCTGTTGTGTGCGCTGCATGATTGTTAGTTTCTCACCACCTTTCCCTGTTAGACCCGTCTTCTGGATGGATGCCATTCATTTCATGAGACTCCATCAGTTACATATAAAGTTTGGCTTTGAAATGATCAAAGTGGGACTTCCAATTTGGCCTCAACATGTTTGAAGATGTGTATCTATTGAATGATTTCCAATTGTCCTAGTATGTGCTAGATTTTGTGCTCCGCCCTAAAAGCAAAAAGAGGCCATAGGCTAACAGGGTTAGAAAAGGGAGAGCAGAATGGGAGATCAGATGTTTTTTGTGATGCATGAGAAATAATAAGGCTTCGGGAGAGTCAGTAGCCACTTCTGGGATTTCAGAGTTCCAAGGGTCAGAGGTAAGCTCTTAGCAGCTGTGCCTCACTGGCTCACCCCTGGCTGTTAGACCCCTCCCTGGAGAATTGCCTTCTGAGGGCTTTGTGACCGCACACCATAGTTCCTGCCCTTCCCCCAGTTGCCAGCGTCTAATGGGTGAGTGAGCTCACTTGTGACTGGGACATGAAGGAGATGATTCTGGGGAGTCTCTTCACTTAGTCCAGAAATCCTCCCTCCATTGTTTGCTTTCTCTCCTTTTTCCCTTGAAGTTTATTTGTTAAAGACAGACTAACCGACCTGCCTGGTCGTCTGTCCTGGAGTGTTTCCCAGGCCATTGTGTAGTACCGTTGCCTCTGTGGGGTCATTGAACATGTTTCCCTGTCTTCTAGTTCTAGAGCTTTGGTCACATTCACTTTTTCGTTAAGATTACTTTATAGGCACAGGCAAAATCCTAAGGTAAGATTTTTAAAATTGTTACCATTGCAAAAAATAGCACCTCAAACAAGAACAGTTGTGTTATTTTTGCCCATCTGCCTGCTGCTCAAATGTTGGCCCATTAGCAAGGTCATGTCTAACAGCCATGCAAAGCAGCATCCTCCCTGCCCTCGTTGGCACACTTCACCCGTTCGCAGTGACTGTGTACGCTCCCAGCCTCTGTAACTCCACGTGATTTACCTGTTTGTCTTCTGTCTCCCTCAAACTAGAATCCAGCCTGGTTCATGCTGCTCAGCACCATGCTGAGGCTCTACAGTGCCTGTTGTGTTGGAGGGAGGGTCTGCGCATGCGTTGCTCTGCAGCTGCGTTAGTGGTCGTGTCCTTTATCAGTTGCGGTGGTCCCCTGCTCCCCTTATTCCTCACAGTATTGTTAGGAGCGGTGCGTAAGGGAAGCAGGGCCTGAGGACTTTTTCCGTTGCCCTTTGAATTCCCACAGTCTTAGTTTTGGAGATTGACCTGGACTTGGGAATGAAAGAAAAATGGAAAAGTGAGTGAAATTGGTTTAAATTCCTCATGCAAACTCCTCTCTTTCAAAATGCTGCTTCGTCTTGGAGGTGAGCTGTGATCCTTGTGTGTTTGGTCAAGTTAGCAAATTTCCTGCCCCGGTGTAAGACACTGGGGCCGGTTTGGACTTCGGAAGTTGTCCAAACCATCCAGAGATGCAGCCATCCAGTGCTGCACAGGAGGCTCAGGGGTGTGCGGCTAGCTGGTGACCAGGTGACTCAGGACTGCCCTGTTGCTGCTTGGTGGTGGGACCACATGTGTGCACTTTGGTGAGCATGGTGCCTGTTGTCCTTGAGATTGTTAGTCAAAGGTACACGTCATAGTTTAATCACTGTGAGACTGACAGAGCACTTTCAGATTGGTTGTCTGATTTAATTTTCATTTTAGCTCTGTGATATAGATAACACCATTCCCATTTTGAATTAAGCAGATTAGAGTAAAAAACAATTTAGTGAAAGCATTATTCTTTGTATGTTGCAGAACCAGAACTTGAAATTATTTTTCAATATCTGTACCCTATTTTGTCATTGGCAAACTTGCAGCCTGAATGTTGTTATTGGTGACTGTGTAATATGGGGTCCTGAGGGCACCGCTGAGGTGCCCCTCCTAGACTCTCAGGGGTCTGGATGAGAGGCCTGGGCTGCTGCATTGCCATGAAGGGTAGAGGCACTACACGGAGCACATTGCATTGCAAATATGAAATATTCTGACTTTAAAAATCTTGCTAACACTTGACTCACAAAGATGTTGTTCTAAAGTAGGGGCAGATCCCTTCACCTGCTTGCTTTTAAGTTATTCAAATCTCTCTCAAAAGGATTTCCAAAACTCAGATTCTGAATAAAAGCCAATGGCAGATATGGGTCATCAGGAAGACTAGACATGAGGCCTTAGCAGAGCCTGTCTTAGTGGATTAGACGGGCGGGCTCTTGGAGTCAGCACAGCCAGAGCTTAGCCGTGACGTCGGCACCGGAGGAGAGGAGCCCAGGCCAGGGAAACCTGGTGGTGGGTGTTCTGGAAGGTCTGGGGGACTGAGGGAAGCGAAGAGAAAAGCAAGAGCAATTAAATGTGAGTAAGACTTTTAAAATTTACATTTATTCTTTAATTTTCAAAGGAAGCTGCATCAATATTACGTTTAGTAGAAAAACGTGACTAATAGTTATAATAAAAATGCTATTCTATCTTTCTTTAAAGTGAGTATATTTTTCTTTTTTCTTTTCTTTTTTTTTTTTTTTTGAGACAAGGTCTCACTCCATGTGCTCAGGCTAGAGTGTAGTGGAACAGTCATGGCTCACTGTAGCCTCAATTTCCCAGGCTCAAGTGGATTCTCCCACTTCAGCCTCCCAAGTAGCTGGGACTACAGGCGTGTGCCACTGCGCCAGCTAATTTTTGCATTTTTAGTAGAGACCAGGTTTTTGCCATGTTGTTGCCCAGCCTGGTCTTGAACTCCTGAGCTCAAGCCATCTGCCAGCCTCAGCCTCCCAAAGTGCTGGGACTACAGGCATGAGCCACCGCGCCCAGACCTATTTTAATTATAATAAAGCAGCTACAATTACTACATGTGACCGGGTGCGTGTAATCCCAGTACTTTGGGAGGCTGAGGCAGGCAGATGACTTGAGGTCAGGAGTTCAAGACCAGCCTGGCCAACATGGCGAAACCCTGTCTCTACTAAAAATACAAAAATTAGCCAGGTGTGGTGGTGCATGCCTGTAATCCCAGCTACTTGGGAAGCTGAGGAAGGAGAATCGCTTGAACTCAGGAGGTGGAGGTTGCAGTGAGCCGAGATCGCGCCATTGCACTCCATCCAGCCTGGGCCTCAGAGCTAGACTCAGTCTCAAATAAAATAACTATATGCAAATTTATATTATTTTTGACTTAGTATATAGTAAGCGTTTTCCCAAATTATTACTGTCTTCCTTATTGTTCTTAGCAATATGTTACAGTTATTCCAGTAACTATTTAGAGACAGGATCTTGCTCTGTTGCCCAGATTGGAGTGCAGTGGTGCTATCATAGCTCACTGCAGCCTTGAACTCCTGGACTCAAGCGATCCTCCCACCTCAGCCTCCCAAGTAGGTAGGACTACAGGCACGTTCCACGATACCCAGCGAATTGCATCAAGTAACTTTTTTTTTGAGATGGAGCCTCATTCTGTCACCCAGGCTGGAGTGCAGTGGCACGATCTCTGCTCACTGCAGCCTCCGCCTCCCAGGTTCAAGCCGTTCTCCCACCTAAGCCTCCCGAGTATGTGGGATTACAGGCACGCATCACCACACCTGGCTAATTTTTGTATTTTTTAGTAGAAACGGAGTTTCACCACGTTGGCCAGGCTGGTCTCGAACTCCTAACCTCAGGTGATCCACCTGCCTCAGCCTCTCAAAGTGCTGGGATTATAGGCTTGAGCCATTGCACCTGGCTGCATCAGGTAACTTTAAAAAGTTAACTTTAGGCTGGGTGTGGTGGCTCATGCAATAGATTAGAGTCTAGCGCTTTGGGAGGCCTTGGCAGGAGGATCACTTGAAGCCAAGAGTTTGAGACCAGCCCGGGCAACATAGCAAGGCCTCGTCTCTACCAAAAATTTCAAAAATAGCTGGGTGTGATGGGTGGAGTCTGCTTGTAGTCCTGGCTACTCTGGAGGCTAAGGTAGAAGGATGGCTTGAACTGCAGTGAGCTATGATCATGCCACTCACTCCACCCTGGGCAAGAGTGTGAGACCCTCACAGAAATTTTTTTTAAAAAATGTAACATTAAGGCTGGGCGCGGTGGCTCACTCTTGTAATCCCAGCACTTCGGGAGGCTGAGGCGGGCGGATCACGAGGTCAGGAGATGGAGACCACGGTGAAACCCCGTCCCTACTAAAAATATAAAAAATTAGCTGGGCGTGGTGGCGGGCGCCTGTAGTCCCAGCTACTCGGAGAGGCTGAGGCAGGAGAGTGGCGTGAACCCGGGAGGTGGAGCTTGCAGTGAGCTGAGATCGCGCCACTGCACTCCAGCCTGGGCGACGGAGCAAGACTCCATCTCAAAAAAAAAAAAATGTAATATTATTTTATTGAAACTGAAAAGTATAAAGAAAAAAATGTTTCTTTGTTCTAGGACCCCAGATTAGCCTCTGTTAACTTTGTATGCGTGTGTTGGTGTGTAGGGGGGTTAGTAAGCAAACTATATTTGAAGAATAATGAGAAGAATAAAAGCTGCTAACCTGTTTCTCTTTCTCCAAAAACAACGCCATAACATCTGGTGTGTGTAGAAAAAAGATGGCGGGCCGGGCGCAGTGGCTCACACCTGTAATCCCAGCACTTTGGGAGGCCGAGGTGGGCGGATCACCTGAGGTCAGGAGTTCAAGACCAGCCTGGCCAACATGATGAAACCCTGTCTCTACTAAAAATACAAAAAATTAGCCGGTTGTGGTGGCATGTGCCTGTAGTCCCAGCTACTCGGGAGGCTGAGGCAAAAGAATCGCTTGAAATCGGGAGGCGGAGGTTGCAGTGAGCCAGCACTGTGCCACTGCACTCTAGTCTCAGCAACAAGAGCAAAACTCCATCTCAAAAAAAAAAGAAAAAAGATGGCTTGCCCTGGCATTGGCGTTTGTCCTTCTTGTACACACAAAAGCATCATGCTTTGTACACTGTTCGTTTTTGTTTCGTTCACTGTCTTCACGGTAAAGATGAACTAAGAGCCACTGAGAAGGCTGTTTATGGGAACCAGAAGGTTGTTTGCTTCCCTTAAGTTCGCTCTTCCTGGCACCTGGTTCCCTTGCAGCCCATGGGGAATGTGATGGTCACGTTTTCTCGTCTCTCCTGCCTCATCCCATCAGCCAGTTCACTGCTGTGCCTGAACTCCTGTACAGGGTGTCTGGTGCATGTCCACATAACAAAAAGATGGTACTGATCATTGAGTTTATCTCCAAAAATTTTTTTCAATTTGATTGTAGAAAATACATTTTTAGGCGGGGCATGATGGCTCATACCTGTAATCCCGGCATTTGGGAGGCCGAGGCGGGCGGATCACCTGAGGTCAGGAGTTCCTTACAGCCTGGCCAACGTGGTGAAACCCCGTCTCTACTAAAAATACAAAAACTAGCCAAGCGTGGTAGCATACGCCTGTAATTCCAGCTACTCGGGAGGCTGAGGCAAAAGAATCACTTGAACCTGGGAGGCAGAGGTTGCAGTGAGCAGAGATTGCATCATTGCACTGCAGCCTGGGCGATAAGAGTGAAACTCCGTCTCAAAAAAGAAAAGAAAAGAAAATATATCTTTATCCTGGAGACTAGAGAATGTAATTTTTTTAAAAAAATTGAAATGCCTGACAATAGATTTTTCTTATCACTTCTATGTGTGGACTGAAGAGGGCCTGACCAGGAAATTTATTTTTATTGCTAACAAAAATTGTGTGTGTGTGTGTGTGTATGTGTGTATGTGTGTGTGTACACAGCGTTTTGCCATATTGCCCAGGCTGGTCGCAAACTGCTGGATTCAAGCAGTCCTCCCGACTTGACCTCCTAAAGTGTTGGGATTATAGCCCACCATGCCCAGCCAGGAATACGCCTTTTTAAAAAAAATTGACAAACGTAGGTTTTGAGTCTCTGAATTGAAACTCAAATGTTGGCACAGCAGAGTGCTATAATAATTTCTGCTATTAACTATGAAAAAGAAGTCCGTCTGGTTTTTTTCTCTTTGCATGTGACTAAAGATGAAAGTTAGCGAGTTTTGGCATTACTACTTCTGAAATTTTGTGAGGTCACTAAGTTATATTGAGCTCATTTTAAAGATACTTAGATTTTTGGTAAATTTGTTTCTCTAGTCTCAAGCAATACAGCTGGGTGATTGTTGTGTACATGTTCTTGTATAATATGTGAAAAGAACATCTAATTAAAAGCAGTATGTAAGATTTCAGGAGTTATCCCACCTAATGATGGAATTTGGGCCTTTACACACCCACCCACCACCCTCCAGCCACAAGAAACATCTCTTTTTTTCTCGAGACAGAGTTTCGCTGTTGTTGCTCAGGCTGGAGTGCAATGGCAAGATCTCGGCTCACTGCAACCTCCACCTCCCAGGTTCAAGCGATTCTCCTGCCTCAGCCTCCCGAGTAGCTGGGATTACAGGCACACACCACCACGCCTGGCTAATTTTTGTATTTTTAGTAGAGATGGGGTTTCTCCATGTTAACCACGCTGGTCTCAAACTCCTGACCTCAGGTGATCCGTTGTCCGCAGCCTCCCAAAGTGCTGGGATTACAGGCGTCAGCCACCGCCCCCAGCCGGAACATCATTTTTGAAGCATCTCAGAACATGCGTTTCTCTTTCCCGAGATCCCAGGAGTTTGTTGTTTTTAGTCCCGTACTATAAAAATTAGCTTTACTTTTTAGTGTTTAAATGATCAGAAACTGTGTGTGTTAACTAAAACAGTTTAATTCGGGGTACTTCATAACATTAACTTGTTTTCTTCATGTTGATTTTGGAAGGATTAAAGTAGCTTTACAGACTAAGAACAATTCTCTATTATGCGTGCGGGGTGCTGGTGAAATAAAACTACCCCCAACTCTGCAAAATTGTGTGCATAATATAATTTGATCATGTGTGAAATACAAGTGAGTAGTGTCAGGGCATGCAGAAAGAATGCAAAGCACAAGGCATCCAGACAGCTTCCATCTGAGACACTGCTCATCTTGTCCTGGCACTCTTACTGCTTAACACATTAACGTCCACAAATCACAGTCGCTAGGATTTATATGTGAAAACCAGGGAAAGAATTAACCAGTCTTATCCCTTAAGAATAAACTGCCCTTGAGGTGTGACCTTGTCCATACCTAATTCCGGTGATGCTCCATGTGTGCAGGGAGGCCTGAGGTATTTTTCCTTAGTGAAGCTTTCCTCATGATTAAAACATCCGTTTCAAATAATGCCTTTAGAAACAACTATTTGGTCAGAAATCTTTCTGACACCGTGTTGCTGTGCAGCCTGCCTCCCCAGAGAGCAGTGGCAGCAGGATGCCTGGTCTGCGTGCTCGTGTTACGGGGCATGCCTTGCAGGCCTTTCTGGTTCTGTGGACCGTAGACATCAAGTATCTATACTGTAGGTTATTCGAATTCCTTTAGGCACACTAGGAAAGTTCAGACTGGAAACTGACGGCTGAGCTTCTTAGGTCATCGGATAGTTTCCCACAGATGGGTTTTAATCTCAAGAAAATAACTGCTATCAGTTAGATTTTGATGTATATTGTATTAGCCTTTTGACTTACACAAAAGTTATAATGGTAAAATTGATCCTCTGTGTAATTTATGTAGGAAATTGAAGTGCTTGCATAAGCCGTACTTGCATGTGAGAGCTAATTGTAAGGGATTAAAGACATTAGCAACTGTGTCCTCAGCTTTGTTATACTTGAGTCATACTTAACAGCCAAGATCTTCAGTCATACATTAACAGCTAAGATCTTGGTCAGAAATGCAGCCTCCATTTATGACATTCTCTTGGGAAAATAAGTCTCTTGTTTAACAAGGTGATTTAGTTTTTACTTTGATTTCAGGAATATTGTCTAACGTGAGTAGGGCGAGAAGGCAGGGCGGCTTGTACTGAGCCTAATTTAGCCTGCACCTATAAGGATCAAGGTGTTGTTTCTGAGCCTCCTGGGATCCCAGGGCTCACTTGGGTGGGAGAGTGGGTTGTCCCTGAGCCAAAAAACTGCTGGACACACCCTGTGTGCTCAGGATTGCTGTGTGAGCATCCTGACAGCTTTTGACCAGTAGCGGTTCATGGTTACTGAGATGAGGTGGCTTTGAGATTCTTGGTTGCCAGGTTGCCACTCACCCCCGTTCCCTGAAGTAACTTCCCCTAGGTCTTCATGCGATAGCTATCCTAAGTGTCAGGTTTTATTTTTTTTATTTTGAGATGGAGTCTCGCTCTGTCACCCAGGCCGGAATGCAGTGGTGTGATTTTGGCTCAGTGCAACCTCTGCCTCCCAGGTTCAAATGATTCTTCTACCTCAGCCTCCCAAGTAGTTGGGATTACAGGCGTGTGCCACCATGCCCAGCTAATTTTTGTATTTTTAGTAGAGATCGGGTTTCACCATGTTAGCCAGGCTGGTCTTGAACTCCTGACCTCAAGTGATCCACCCGCCTTGGCCTCCCAAATTGTTGGGATTACAGGCATGAGCCACCACACCTGGCCTAAATGTCAGTCTTATGTTCTTGGATTTATAGGGAGACCTAGATTTTTTTATGAAAAATGCTTAACAGATTTTTCTTTTTATAACCCACCAGCATATGTTGAGTAGTATTTTAGACATTGTAATATTATGCAAAGCCAATAAATAATCATAATTATATTTTATTTACCTGGCCCTACTTAGCCATTGTATAAGTTCTGATGAATGCTGAAGAAAAGTTCTCTGGTTTGTAATGAGACCATAGTTCTCAGACTTTCCTTTTTTTTTTTTTTGAGACGGAGTATTGCTGTGAAGCCCGGGCTGGAGTGCACTGGCGCCATCTCGGCTCACTGCAAGCTCTGCCTCCCAGGTTCACGCCATTCTCCTGCCTCAGCCTCCCAAGTAGCTGGGACTACAGGCGCCTGCCACCATGCCTGGCTAATTTTTTTGTATTTTTAGTAGAGAAGGGGTTTGACCGTGTTAGCCAGGATGGTCTCGATCTCCTGACCTCGTGATCTGCCCGCCTCGGCCTCCCAAAGTGCTGGGATTACAGGCTTGAGCCACCACGCCCACCTTAAACTTTCAATTTACTTTTCTCACCTGCTTCATTAAATTATCCAACAGTTGTTTATTGATTGTGCTTGTCTTTCTGTTTCAGATCTCACATTCTTGAAGGTGGCATTGAAGAGCACTAAGATCGGAAGATGAGTGAGCTTGACCAGTTACGGCAGGAGGCCGAGCAACTTAAGAACCAGATTCGAGTATGTAGTTGTGTGTGCTTGGTTTTATTAATCATTTGAGTTTCAGGTTAGATGTTACTTGTTTTAGGAAAAATGGTTTACAGGATGACTTGTTCTATGTTTTATATGAAATTGAATCTTAGTTGGCCCAGGATGTACTAATTATAGATCTAGATACTTAGCCTAGTACATTGTTTTTGGGATTTTGCTTTCTGTATACAATTTGTTATTTGAATATACACCAGATGTCTCCGTAGAATTTATAAGTGTCTTTTGCATTCTTTATCATAACCTTGAAAATTTGTGATACCCTGGGCCACTGATCAGACTGTGATATCTACCTCCCTCCCCTGAATATTGGGACTATTGACAGCAGAAAACTTGCTTAAAAGTAAGAGTATTAACAACAATAAAAAAAGTATTTCAGGTATATCTGATGTATTTTTTCCTAATTTTGAAAGATCTTCCCTAGCGGTGATGATTGGAATCTACAGCTTCTGATAGACTGCTAGATGGAGCAGATATATCTAAATCCAAGATAGAGGCCGGGTGTGGGGGGCTCATGCCTGGAATCCCAGCAGTTTGGGAGGCCAAGGCGGGTGGATCACCTGAGGTCGGGAGTTCGAGACCAGCCAGGGCAACATAGTGAAACCCCCATCTCTACAAAAAATATAAAAATTAGCTGGGTGTGGTGGTGTGTGCCTGTATTCCCAGCTACTCAGGAGGCTAAAGTCAGAGAATCCCTTGAACCCGGGAGGCAGAGGATCCAGTGAGCCGAGATTGTGCCACTGCACTCCAACCTGGGCGTCAGAGTGAGACCCTGAAAAATAAAAAAAAAATTGAAGATAAATTTATTTACCGTGTGTAAATAAACTGCACTGTAAAAAGAATACCTTTCACAGAATTCTAAAACATTAAATTCCAGTCTGTGACTGATGTAGGATGTTAAATTGCAGAGTTCATAAACTTTTATTTGAGAGAGAGTTTCACTCTGTTGTGCCCAGGCTGGAGTGCAGTGGCGCGATCTCGTCTCACTGCAACCTCTTTCAAGCAATTCTCTTGCCTCATAACTTTCTGAAAAGGGAGGAGCAGTAGGTCTAAATGGAATTCATTCTGCTGCTCCTACTTTTGTGAAGCAGTACTTCTAGTAAATATTTTATAGAGAAACATTTAATGCAAGTATGTGTTTCCTTTCTGAAACTGCTGATGTGAAGAGTAAGAGAAAAAGAGGCAGACTTCTCAGGAAAAACCACGTCTTCAGTATGTTTTTAGGTTTTGTCCATTTGATGTAAGAGCTTTCTCTTACTCTTGTTTGCTCTGTCAAGCTTTAGCTGTTCTTCAGAGTGTCGCTGTACAGGAAGCTGATGACATTCAGTACATACCTAAATAACAGTTTATAAGCTGGGTATGGTGGTGCGCGCCTGTAGTCTGAGCTACCCAGGAGGATCACTTGAGCCCAGGAGGTTGAGGCTGTATAGTAAGCTGTGATTGCACCACTGCACTGCAGCCTAGGTGACAAAGTGACACCTTCTCAAAATACAGTAAAATAAAATAAAAAACAACAGTTTATTTTTCTGACTCCAGTGCAAGGATGAAGTCAAGTATTTCCTTTTAAACGGCCAATTACATGTTTAGAAAGCCCACCAGGATTTGGAGAGAGAAACACCAACATAATTTTAGGCAACTTGTTCCTGAACTTGAGAAAAAATAATGGAATTCTCTGAGATTTACAGCCAAAGAGAAAACAAAGTATCCTCTACTGTAAGAATTTTAAATCTTAACATTTAAAAGATCTTACATAGGTGAATAGGGAAGACTTAGATTTTTTTAATAGTTTGCTCTGATCAGACTTGTTTAACATGTCCCCTCCACCAAAATTAATCAAATGTGTTCTGAAATATTTAGTTTGATATAAAATTATTCTCTGAAATATCTATTTAAATAAAACCAAAAGGTATTCAAATTTTGCCTGACTTAATACTTAAGCTTCTGCTGTTCATTTTAAGTCAGCATGGTTTTTGGCAAGTAAAAAAGAAAAGCAAAGTGTTGTTATTTAATAATAATCTAACTGGGTTTTTGGGGGGGTTCAGAACACTCTCAGCTCTTTACCACCTGCTTTTGAGACTATATTTCATCTTATAGAAATCAGATTTTTTTTTTTTTTTTTTTTTTTTTCTGGAGACAGTCTCGCCCTGTTCCCCAGGCTGGAGTGCAGTGGCGCGATCTCAGCTCACTGCAAGCTCCTCCTCCTGGGTTCACACCATTCTCCTGCCTCGGCCTCCTGAGGAGCTGGGACTATAGGCGCCCGCCACCACACCCGGCTAATTTTTTGTACTTTTAGTAGAGATGGGGTTTCACCGTGTTAGCCAGGATGGTCTCGATCTCCTGACCTCGTGATCCGCCCACCTCGGCCTCCCAAAGTGCGGGGATTACAGGCATGAGCCACCACGCCCGGCCTAGAAATCAGAATTTTAAAGTTTACCCTGAAAATGTCTTAAATAGTAGGGTGATTTGGCATATTTGAAGAAATTTTGTTTTTCTGACAGCTATAAGTTGTTCACAAATAGTGGACTTGGATCTATTCATAGCAGATGGAAAGAGCTTGTATGGCACAGGTGAAAGACACCCAAATTTAAAAAATTAAGGCCAAAAGGAACTGTTGCACCTCCTTCCGAGGTTTGGACCCTGTCACGTTGTGAATTCCCCAGGGCCTTCTTGCACAGGGGGCTCCCTCTTGGGCTGGCACAAATGTCACGTGACATTCCCCACATGCTCTTGTTGCCACATAAAAAATGTAAAAAGAGGTCGGGCGCGGTGGCTGACGCCTGTAATCCCAGCACTTTGGGAGGCTGAGGCATGTGGATCACAAGGTCAGGAGATCGATACCATCCTGGCTAACACGGTGAAACCCCGTCTCTACTAAAAGAAAAAAAATACAAAAAAAATTAGCCAGGTGTGGTGGTGGTGGGCGCCTGTAGTCCCAACTACTTGGGAGGCTGAGGCAGGGAATGGCGTGAACCTGGGAGGCGGAGCTTGCAGTGAGGCGAGAGCGCGCCACTGCACACTCCAGCCTGGGAGACAGAGCGAGACTCCGTCTCAAAAAAAAAAAAAAAAAAAGTAAAAAGAGAGACGGCCAGGCACCGTGGCTCATGCCGTTAATCCCAGTACTTTGGGATACCAAGGCAGGAGGATTGCATGAGCCCAAAAGCTTGAGACCAGCCTTTGTAAGGTAGAAAGGCCCTGTCTTTTGAAAAAGAATGAAAAGAAACGGGTGGAATTAACCCTAACAAGGTTTTTTTCATTTTTTTGTTTGTGTGTTTTGAGACAGGGTCTCTGTCAGTCATTCAAGCTGGAGAGCAGTGGTGCGATCACAGCTCACTGCAGCCTCCCGAGTAGCTGGAACTACAGGAGCATGCTGCCACACCTGGCTGGTTTTTTTCAATTTTGTAGAGACAGAGTCCACCATGTTGCCCCAGCTGGTCTTGAACTCCTAGGGCTCAAGGGATCTTCCCGCCTCAGCCTCCCAAAGTGCTGGCAGGTGTGAACCACCATGCCTGGCCCAACAAATTTTATCTAAGGCAGTATATCTAAAATATTATTTATTATGCAATGTGTAATTAATACATTTTAATTGAGATATTTGACACTGTTTTTGTCCCAAGTCTCCTGGTTCCGTTTGCTGTGCGCAGCAGCCACAGGCAGGTCATGGCCCCCGCGGTGGGACGTTCACTAGGAGAGGCGCCTAGCTGCTTTGTCTCCGAAGTACCAGGAACCGCGCTGTGTTAGTTCCTTTGCACGAGACAGGGACAGCAAAAGCTGTTGAAGTCCTTTTACCCCAAATGGGAAAGGAAGACTTATTTTTAAAATGTAGAACATTTTTTCCTGATTGCCCAAGGAATACGTGCTTGTTAAAGAATGCAGAGCATAGTGAATCAAACAAGAAATTGTAGATGATTCTAAAAGGGGCTGTTTTCTTTCTTAGATTTGTTTTTCAGCCAAAAGACCCTTAAAGGACCTTGCATGCTCCTTTTGATTATTATTGAGGAAACACAGGCTCTCAGAGGGATTCTGATTAAAACATGGTGTGCCTTAAAATACACAGAGTAGCTGATGGAGTAAGGAAAGCTCCACAGGATGCACAGGCGTAGATGTGTTCTGGAGCGGCATGCCAGCCAGTGCAAGGGAGCAGGGTCCATTCGTGCGAGAGGCAGCTGCAATGGATGCCCGGTCCAAAATGTCCAGCGACTCCATGCTGAGCAGGGCCCAGGCTTTAATTTAGGATGAAACCCCAAAGTAAGTGTGTTACTGTGTCATTTGACAAATCCAAAAAGAATGAGAAATCAACTGATGAGTGGCTTGGATATGTTCATCTCTGGTTTAAGTGGACATCATAATATGTATCTACAGGAGTCCATTAAACTGGAAATTAATCTGAAAGAACTTGAAGACTTTTTCTTCTTTGTTAAGCAGTTATAGAGCTTGTTTCCATTAAAAGACTTCTTCCTACAGTTTTAAAAGTTGAAGGTGTCTGTTCTGCAAAGTGCTGCACTCAGTTAAATAAGCTGGTTATTGGCTAAAATAAAGATTGAATTGAAGTTATCTGTGTGTTGTTTTTACAGTAGTTTTTCCTTCGGTTTAACAGTAGTATCACCACAGTCTGTTACACTGTACCTTAAGAAACTCATTTTAGTCATTGGACACTAACCGGGGGAAGTTGCTTAAATCTCATGTTTTATTTTCTCCATTTTAAATTTTCTTATGATGTTTTAAAATCAAAGGCTGTAACATCAACAAGAATAGTATTTCAAAAACAAATATTAAACTCAGTACTTGCCAGTAAAATTCATTGACAAAAAGACTTCTGCTGCTCTAAGTATTCTTCATCCCCCTTACTCCAAATGTTACTGCTTGCATAGAAATACTCGATTTTTTTGTGTGTGTCTTAATTATAAGCAGAATGACCAATAAAGAGCTTAACTAAAGATGAATTTGGAATGTATAAATTTGGTATATTTATAATAATCTCAGTATAGTTCCTTTTTTTTTTTTTTTTTTTTTTTTAAACAGAGTCTCGCTCTGTTGCCCGGGCTGGAGTGCAGTGGTGTGATCTCAGCTCACTGCAACCTCTGCCTCCCAGGTTCAAGCGATTCTCCTGCCTCAGCCTCCCCAAATAGTTACGATTACAGGTGCCGGCCACCATGCCTGGTTAATTTTTGTGTTTTTAGTAGGGATGGGGTTTCACCATGTTGGCCAGGCTTGTCTTGAACTCCTGACCTCAGGTGATCCACCCACCTCAGCCGCCTGAGGTGTTGGGATTACAGGCATGAGCCACTGCGCCTGACCAATATATTTCCATATTATCAGTTTATAATATTCCCACAAGCTTCCTAAAGTAGAAATCATTTGCAGTGAGCAGTTTGCCCCAAAAGCCTGAACCGCTGGGAACTCGTCCTCCACCTTCCCCATGTGGGGCACTTGGACGCACGCCTGTAAGGGCTGCACATGCCATTTGCCATTTTGAAAGTAGATGGTCAGATGACAGCATATAAACACATTTTTCTTACTAGAAAGTGTCAGCTGGGCATGGTAACTCTCCCCTATAATCCCAACACTTTGGGAGGCCAAGGGGGAAGGATCATTTGAGCCCAGGAGTTCAAGACCAGCCACAGGCAACATGACGAGATCCCCATCTCTACAAAAAAAAAAAAAAAATTAGCCGGGCATAGTAATGCATGCTTGTAGTCCCAGCTATTCAGGAGGCTGACGTGGGAGGGTCACCTGAGCCCAGGAGGTCGAGGCTGCAGTGAGCTGTGATGACATCACTGCACTCCAGGCTGGGCAACAGAGCCAGATCCTGTCATAAAAATAAATAAATACATAGTTTAAAAAAAAAAAGAGGCCAGGCGGGGTGGCTCACGCCTGTAATCCCAGCACTTTGGGAGGCTGAGATGAGCGGATCACCTGAGGTCAGGAGTTCTAGACCAGCCTGGCCAATATGGTGAAACCTCATCTCTACTAAAAATACTAAATTAGCCGGTGTGGTGGCACACGCCTGTGGTCTCAGCTACTCAAGAGGCTGAGACGGGAAGAATCACTTGAACCTGGGAGGCGGAGGCTGCGGTGAGCTGAGATCGCGACACAGCACTCCCGCCTGGGCAAGACAGAGCGAGACTCTGTCTCAAAAAAAAAAAATAGTTGTGATTAAAAAAAAAATTATACCAACACTCAAACTTTAAACCTGTTAGCCATTGTCTTATTTTCCTTCATGTTACGTACCTTTCTATTTCTAAACGTACGTTCTCTTTTGAGATTTCCAGGTCTATTTTCTAGTAACTTTGATCCCTTAGTAATGAAGACACTTGAGTTAGCATTGGTGGATCCCTTCACAGTGCCTACCTGCAGCCGCAGGTCATTTGTAGATGAGCAACGAGAACAGCCAAGAGGCTCATGTACATCTGATTGTCTGGCTCCAGGTCCCTTGCTCGTTTTCCATAGAATTTATTTATTTTTCTTTGTTTTCCTTTATTTTATTTTATTATTATTTTTGTTTTTTTTGAGATGGAGTCTTGCTCTGTTTCCCAGACTGGAGTGCAGTGGCGCAGTCTCGGCTCCCTGCAACCTCCGCCTCCCGGGTTCAAGTGATTCTCCTGCCTCAGCCTCCTGAGTAGCTGGGATTACAGGCGTGCGCCACCACACCCAGCTATTTTTTGTATTTTTAGTAGAGATGGGGTTTCACCATGTTGGCCAGGCTGGTCTTGAACTCCTGACCTCAGGTGATCCACCCACCTCGGCCTCCCAAAGTGCTGGGATTATAGGTGTCAGCCACCACACCCAGCCTATTTTCCTTAAATTTTTAATTTTTATTTTTAGTAGAGACAAGGTCTCACTTTGTTGCCCAGGCTGGTCTTGAACTCATGGGCTCAAGAGATCCTCCTGCCTCAGCTTCCCAAAGTGCTAGGATTACAGACGTGAGACCGCGCCCTCCATAGAATTTAGAATTAATGATTGTTTCTCTTGAAAACAAAGTACTTAGTTAATGCAGTCTGAAGAAAAGTTTTTTTGGGCTGGGTATCTGGTCCTTTTTAGACTTTTTTTTTTTTTTTTTTTTTTTTAATAGACCTTTTCTTTGGGCCACAGCCTTCCTGACCCTAGATGGGCTTTGTAAAAAGAGCAAGTCGTGTGTGCCAGCCTGTGCAGCAGTGAGGGCACAGGCAGCACCAGGGTCCCGGGTGTGTGGGTGCTGCCCCAGCTTGCAGTGTGGTCTCCTCGGTGCTGGCCACAGCTGTGGGTCCCCAGGAATATTGTGCTGCAGGTCTTAGACAGATTTGGGTACTACTGGTTCTCTGTTCAGCGTGGCCTGGACAGTCCACAGATGGTAGTAGACCATGGGGTGTTGAGATGCAAGGAGACTCTGCCGTTCTTTCACATTCTGCTTTTGCTCCTGACAGCTTAGGAAAGCTCTCTTTGAAACTTTGGTATGTGTGGACCTGAGATTGAATGTATCTGAAAGGTTGCTAATTTCTCACTGTCCTTGCTTCCCAGGACGCCAGGAAAGCATGTGCAGATGCAACTCTCTCTCAGGTAAGAGCCCACTGAGTCACGCAGAGCCATCTGCCTGTGAGGAGGCTAGCACGGCACC
This sequence comes from Homo sapiens, assembly GCF_000001405.40. Classification (NCBI taxonomy): domain Eukaryota; kingdom Metazoa; phylum Chordata; class Mammalia; order Primates; family Hominidae; genus Homo; species Homo sapiens. The sequence goes on along the minus strand of NC_000001.11, from coordinate 1,817,778 downwards.
CACACCTGGAGCCTCGGGAGGGCTCTGCTTGCATTCTCTGTTGCGCAGTGAGGATGCCAAGCCACTGCTTTTATTAAGAAGTCATTCTGATGGTAGGCATAGGAAATAGAGGGGCTTATTGAGATAAAAATGAGATATCTCAAGCCTTGAATAATCATCTACCTGTTACAGAGGGTAATAGTTGTAAAATATTGTTATTGTCTTAAGATATTTTGAAGCTCCTCTCCTCAACAGAATCTGCCTCAGAACTTCTATTTCTAATATCCAATTTGATAATACCTCAAAAAGTTAAACATAGAATTATTGTATGACTCAGCAGTTCTGCCATTAAATATATGCCCAACAGGATTGAACACTGCTTTTCAAACACACACATGTACATAGCAGCACCATTCACAATAGCCAAAATGTAGAAACAACCAAAATGTGCATAAATGAATGAGTGGAGAAACAAATTGTGGTGTCTCTGTGCCCTGGAGTATTATCAGCCATTAAATGGACGTCAGTACAGTCAGAGGCTGCAACGTGGATAAACCCCATAAATATTACGATAGTGAGAGAAGCCAAACAAATGGCTATGTATTGTTTAGTTCTATTTATATGAAATATCTAGAATAGTAACATTCACTGAGACAGAGTGGACTAGTGGCCAGCAGGGGTGTTAGGGGAGAGAGGGAGAGGAAGTGAACAGGGAGTGACTGCTGAATCAATGTCTGGTCTCCTTTTGGAAGATGGTTTGGAACTAGATGGTGGCAGTGGTTTTACAACAATGAGTGTACTAAATGCCACTGAACTGTAGACTTTAAAGTGATTAATTGGATGTTACGTGAACTTCACCTTATTAAAAAAATGAAGTCCATCCCAGCACTTTGGGAGGCCGAGGCAGGTGGATCACTTGAGGTCAGGAGTTCGAGACCAGCCTAACCAACATGGTGAAACCCTGTCCCTACTAAAATACAAAAATTAGCCAGGCATGGTGGCACACACCTGTAATCCCAGCTACTCAGGGGGCTGAGGCAGGAGAATTGCTTGGACCCGGGAGGCAGAGGTTGCAGTGAGCAGAGATCGCACCACTGCACTCCAGCCTGGGAGACAGAGCGAGACTCCATCTTAAAAAAAAAAAAAAAAAAAAAAGATAATAAAAATAAAGTCCAAATAATTGGACAGAAATGTGAAAGAAAAACTATATTCCTACTTCTACTGAAGATGATTAAGTTTTTTACATTGTCTAAATGCTTTAGGGGATGTGCTTTAATTGAGGTTAAATTGTAAGTTAAAGAAAAAAAAATTAGGCTACATAGAATTACCTGAATTTCAATTCTGAGAAGCACTTTGGACTGTCCGTTTTTAAAACCCACTATTGTAATCCACTTACTCCGTTTGCCAACCTAAACTCATTAACATCAGTGTCTATATGTAGGATGGGCTCAGCAGGTGTGTGTACAGCTGGTGCTCCAAGTGATGGTCGTGCAGAAGCAGGTGTCATGCAGGCCCACACATAGCCTGACATAGGAACCAGCTATTAAATTGTGGTGTGGGACATCTGTGTGGTGTCATAAGAAGAGTTGCGAGATCTCAAAGAACTCAGAGACCTAGGAGGAGATGGTCCTGGATGGACAGGGAGAGGAGGAAGGAAGCAGGAAGGGAACAGCAAGTGCTTCAAGGCTGGCCATGTTCGTGTGCGTGCATTGGAGGGCAGGGCACACAGGTTCCTGATGACCAGCCAGACTGAGACTTGGTAAGAGGTACGGAAGGGGTTCAGTGCAGAATGCCACAGTGGAAGCCACTGGAGAACTGTGGGAAGGGCTGGGAAGAGGTAGGCACAGTGGGCGAGCCAACAGCCTTGACAAGGATGGGTGATGAGGAGAATCGTTTAATCACAGATGTTGATTTACAGAAATGTTTTTATTTTCAAGATCACAAACAACATCGACCCAGTGGGAAGAATCCAAATGCGCACGAGGAGGACACTGCGGGGGCACCTGGCCAAGATCTACGCCATGCACTGGGGCACAGACTCCAGGTAGGCGTGGGCATGAGCAGGATGCTGCTTGTTACATTCAGGGGCTGCTCTGTTGTCCTAGGGGAAAAGTACCTGAACCCATTTGCTGTGCTGTGCAGTGAAGAAATTAGGAAGTTGAATCAGAACTCTGGGCACGCAAGGTGCAGCGTTCACAGGTGCATATTCCCTGTCCAGTTTTCCACTTACCTGGGCTGAAAGAACACTGCCATTTCTTCACTGTCTGAATCACATTAATACAAGTTCTGATTTTTCTTTCTCCCTTCTCCTGTCTCTTTCAGTTTCTAGACCTCTGTCTTCCCAGTTCTACTGCATCCTACTTATGTGAACTTGGGGAAGTTACCTCTCTGTGCCTGTTTCTCAGGGCTGGTTGGCCCTCGCCCTCTTGTGATGTCAGTGCCCTGGCTCAGGAAATCACAGAACCTGCCCCGAGGATCCTGAGGGATTAAGTGTATTGAGCCTTAGAACAGCATTGTGCTGTGTGTGCTTTGCTGCGGCAGACACACGGGAATGCGCTGTGAGCTGCTCTCACCATTCTCTCATCTGGCCTGTCTGCCCTGCCTTCCTTTGGTTTACCATCCCAAGAGATAATTCCCTTCATGGGCTCCTATTTGTTCTTTTCTTTTCTCTTTTTTTTTTTTTTTTTAAAGACGGAGTCTCACTGTGTTGCCCAGCCTGGAGTGCGGTGGGGCAATCTCGGCTCACTGCAAGCTCCGCCTCCCGGGTTCACGCCATTCTCCTGCCTCACCCTCCCTAGTAGCTGGGACTACAGGCGCCTGCCACCACACTGGCTAATTTTTTTGTATTTTTAGTAGAGATGGGGTTTCACCATGTTAGCCAGGATGGTCTGGATCTCCTGACTTCACGATCCACCCGCCTCGGCCTCCCAAAGTGATGGGATTACAGGCGTGAGCCACTACGCCCAGCCTCTTTTTTTCTTTTTTTTTTTTTTTTTTTTTTTGAGACAGGGTCTCACTCAGTCATGCTGGAGTGCAGTGGTGTGATCATATCTCACTGCAGCCTCGACGTCCTAGGCTCCAGTAACCCTTCCTACTCAGCCTCCCAAGTGGCATAGGCCACAGGCATGTGCCACCATGCCTGGCTAATATTTTTTGGTTTTTTACAGAGACAGGGTCTCCCTTTGTTGCTGACACTGGTCTCAAACTCCTGGCCCCTAAGTGATCCTTCCACCTCAGCCTCCCAAAGTGCTGAGATTATAGGTGTGAGCCACCACCACTTCTAGCCTATTTCTTGTACTTTAAATTATACCCCTTTCTTCTCCACCAGGCATCTCCCTTCCGTGACCCCACACTCTGATTTAGAGGCTATTACAAAGTCTTATTTGGTGCCTGTTCTATCTAAATAATTTAATAAAGTACTGTTTGATTTGTGTAACTGTGACATGCTCGTTGAAGCACCTGACATAACAATTTTTAACATGCCCTTCTTTGAGTAGTATTTCTTTGTATTCCGTTGTTAGCGTGGAATTTTCTGCTAGGCTTTTTCTTTGTTCGTGAAATTGTCCGCTTTAGAGCACAAACAGCTAGAGAACAAAAGATTCTATCTTTAGTTTGTTCTATATAGTATCCCATACAATTCCCCATGCAAATGAGAGCTCGCATGATGGTTCCAATGACAGCAGGAGTCAGAAAGAATAAAAGTGGGAAGGGGGAGGGTGGGGAAGTGGGGAGATGATATTCTGAGGGTACAGAGTTTTAGTTAGGAATAAATTTTAGAAATGTGCCACACAGCACGGAGAGTAGTTCATAATAACGTGTGTTTCAAAATTGTTAGTAAAGTAGACTTAAGTGTTCCCACCACAGAGCAAATTGGAAGTGATGGGTATGTTGATTAGCTTGATTGATTTATTTCACAATGTGGATATATATCAGAATATCACATTGTACTCCGTAAATATACATATAATTACTTGTCAAAAATTCTTTTAAATATTCAAAATAAATAAGTAACCAGGCACATTGGCTCATGCCTCTCATCCCAGCACTTTGGGAGGCCAAGGCAGGCGAATGGCTTGAGCCCAGGAGTTCAAGATCAGCCTAGGTCACATGGCGAGACCCCTTCTCTACAAAAAGTACAAAAATAAGTTGGTTGTTGTGGTGCGCACCTGGAGTCCCAGCTACTTAGGAGGCCGAGGTGGGAGGATCACTTGAACCCAGGAGTCAGGGAAGCAGAGCTTGCAGTGATTCCAGATCACCCCACTGTGTTTCAGCCTGCACGGCAGAGTGAGACCCTGTCTCTAAATAAATAAGTAAATAAGTAAGAATATACTTTGTGAATTCAAAGTTATTCCTTTAAAAAATTAAAAAGAATTTTTTAAAAAATGTTCTGGCTGGATGCAGTGGCGCACACCTGTAATCCCAGCACTTTGGGAGGCTGAGGTGGGCGGATCACTTGAGGTCAGGAGTTCGAAACCAGCCTCCTGGCCAACATGGCGAAACCCCATCTCTGCTAAAAATTTAAAAATTAGCTGGGCATGGTAGCTGTAGTCCCAGCTACTTGGAAGGCTGAGGCACGTGGAGGTTACTGTGAGCCGAAATTGCACCACTGGGTGACAGAGTGACACTGACTCAAAAAAAAAAAAGAAAAAATGTTGTTACTAGTCTATCTATGTTAGAATTTATTGTCAAAAGTAGATGGAAAACAAAACAGTATGTTACCTCTGGGGCCTTTCCTCCATGTGTGGGAACACTGATGTGCAGATTAGGCAGGTTAGTGGAGTAGACAGTGCTGCTGCTGGGCAGTGTTCAGGTACTCAGAGCACTGCACTGCCAAGTAATATGTCTCCTTCACCAGCTGGGCTCTGGACTGGGTAGTCTGGAAGGGATGAGAGTGACCTGCAGGCAGGTGTGTTCAGGGACCGAAGAGATGGGTGTGTGAACTGAGCAGTGGAGGTGGGGCTGGGGGCTCAGGGTGGGTGGGGTGGGCGCCAGATCCTTGCATGGGAGGCTTTATGTTCCGTCTGTCTCAAACACACTTTGTGCCTTGAAAGCCCCAGGATTAGAAGGAAGAAAAGCAAGGGCTGACAAAACAGGACCAAGTGCAGAATCATGGCCACCCTGTGAGCAAGGCGGTCTTCAGTGAGGCCTGTGGGAGGCTGGGGTGCCACATTGGTCCATGTTCTTGGACAGGGTGCTAGGTGCATGGCATTTGTTGTATAATTGCACAGTCATGAGAAAACCAAAATGATATTATGGAGAACCTCTGCTTTTCAGAGCCTTCTAGAGATTGCTTGTTGTAAATAGCCGTTTTTTTCTGGATAGGCCAGTGTTTGCCTCTTTAAGGTCCAAAAGAGGTTTTTTGGGGGGAGGGTGTGTGTGTGTGTGTGTGTGTATGTATGTGTGTGTATATATATACATGTATATCTATATCTCCTTGTTCCACAAGCTTTTTTTTTTTTCTTTAAGTTCTAGGGTACATGTGCACAATGTGCAGATTTGTTACATAGGAATACATGTGCCATGTTGGTTTGCTGCACCTGTTAACTTGTCATTTACATAGGTATTTCTCCTAATGCTGTCCCTCCTCCTGCCCCCCACCACATGACAGAGTGGGGAGGGTATATATTTTCTTTAATCTTCATATTTCCTGCCTTCATAAACAAATGTTATTGCTTGTTTTTCATGACTTAAAGCTATAATTTATGAATACCAGTTTTTTTGGGTTTTTTTTTTTGAGACGGAGTCTCGCTCTGTCACCCAGCCTGGACTGCAGTGGTGCGATCTCGGCTCACTGCAAGCTCTGCCTCCCAGGTTCACGCCATTCTCCTGCCTCAGCCTCCCGAGTAGCTGGGACTATAGGCGCCTGCCACCACGCCTGGCTAATTTTTTTGTATTTTTAGTAGAGACAGGGTTTCACCATGTTAGCCAGGATGGTCTCGATCTCCTGACCTCATGATCTGCCCACCTCGGCCTCCCAAAGTGCTGGGATTACAGGCGTGAGCCACTGCGTCTGGCCTATGAATACCATTCCTTTAACTGTGTTTGTTTGATTTATGGACACTCGGAAACAGTAGAAATGACTACTAATTTGTCTTTCTGTTTTTTTGAGACGGAGTCTCACTGTCGCCCAGGCTAGAGTGCAATGGTGCTGTCTTAGCTCACTGCAAGCTCTGCCTCCCAGGTTAACACCATTCTCCTGCCTCAGCCTCCCGAGTAGCTGGGACTACAGGCACCCGCCACCACGCCCGGCTAATTTTTTTTGTCTTTTTAGTAGAGACGGGATTTCACCGTGTTAGCCAGGGTGGTCTCGATCTCATGACCTCGTGATCCGCTCGCCTCGGCCTCCCAAAGTGCTGGGATTACAGGGGTGAGCCACTGTGCCCGGCCTAGTTTGTCTTTCAAAACTACATGAGGCTAGACGCGGTGGCTCACACCTGTAACCCCAGCACTTTGGGAGGCCAAGTCAGGTGGATCGCTTGACTTCAGGAGTTCGAGACCAGCCTGGCTGACATGGTGAAACCCCATCTCTACTAAAAATACAAAAATTAGCCAGGTGTGGTGGCGAGTGCCTGTAGTTTCAGCTGCACTCAAGAGGCTGAGGTGGGAGAATCGCTTGAACCCAGGAGCTGGAGGTTGCAGTGAGCCAAGATCACACCACTGCACTCCAGCCTGGGCAACAGAGTGAGACTCCATCTCAAAAAAAGAAAAAAAAAAAAAATATATATATATGTATATATATACCCACAAACATGCGCATTGCACTCCCGCCTGGGTGACGGATGGAGACTCTGCCTCAAAAAACAAAACAAAACACAAATAAAGCTACATGAGAGGCCAGGCACCGTGGTTCACGCCTATAATCCCAGCACTTTGGGAGGCTAAGGCGGGTGGATCACCTGAGGTCAGGAGTTTGAGACCAGCCTGCCCAATATGGTGAAACCCTGTCTCTGCCAAAAATACAAAAGTTAACTAGGCTTCATGGTGGGTGCCTGTAATCCCAGCTACTCAGGAGGCTGAGGCAGGATAATCGCTTGAACCCAGGAGGCAGAGGTTGCAGTGAGCCAAGATTGCACCACTGCACTCCAACCTGGGTGACAGAGTGAGACTCTGTCTCAAAAAAACAAACAAAAAAGAAAACTACATGCAAGGCCCACAATGATTACTTGTTATGTATGTATGTATTAATGTATCAGATGTACATTTGTAATATGTTTATCAATATATTTGTACTAAAAGGCAACTTTTTTTTTTTTTTTTTTTTTTTGAGACTGGGTCTCACTCTGTCGTCCAGGCTAGAATGCAGTGGTGCGATCCTAGCTTACTGAAGCCTTGAACTGCTGTGCTCAAGCAATCCTCCTGCCTCAGCCTCCTGAGTAGCTGGTACCACAGGTGCACATCACTGTGCCCAGCTAATTTTTAAAAAATATTTTTTGTGGGCCGGGCGCGGTGGCTCAGGCCTGTAATCCCAGCACTTTGGGAGGCTGAGGTGGGCGGATCACGAGGTCAGGAGATCGAGACCATCCTGGCTAACTCAATGAAACCCTGTCTCAACTAAAAATACAAAAAATAAGCCAGGCGCGGTGGCAGGTGCCTGTAGTCCCAGCTATTTGGGAGGCTGAGGCAGGAGAATGGCATGAACCCAGGAGGCAGAGCTTGCAGTTAGCCGAGATCCTCCAGCCTGGGTGACAGAGCGAGACTCCATCTCAAAAAATATATATATATATTTTTTTGTGGAGACAGGGTCTCCCTTTGTTGCCCATGTTGGTTTCAAACTCCTGGACTTAACCAATCCTCTTATCTCAGCCTCCCAAAGTGCTGGGGTTACAGGCATGAGCCACCACCCTCCCTCCTTTGAGTAAAATGAAGGGCATTAGGTGTTTTGATTTTTGACAGCTACTTTCAGGGTCCTGGAGCCTGTTAGCTTGCTTCCTGGCCCTTGCCTCTATGTTCTAGGTGAGTGGCACCTCAGATAATTGATTTTTGAGTAGGTAAAGGCACTACTAGGCAACGTGAACCCAGCTTTCCAACAGCTCCCTGACCCGGGACTAGGAGGCATGTCTTCTCTCACCTTCTGGAGGATCAGTGGACAGCTTACGTGTCCCTAATCCCTCTGGAAGTCAGCAGTTATTAAGCTCTCTGACCGGGAGACCTCTGTAAAGGTGATCCTCCTAATCTAGGAGGATGAGCTGCTTTAGATCAGCTCTGATACTCGACAGAAAGTCTCAGAAGGGCTGGGCAGAAATAAAGCTAGAGTGGGAACATGATACCATTACGTAGAAATAATTTTAAATGTTTAATATGTTGATGACAACCTGGATTGAGAAGTTTGCTTTAAGAATTGCAACTGAAGGCTGGGTGCGGTGGCTTACGCCTGTAATCCCAGCCGAGGCAGGCAGATTGAGCTCAGGAGTTCGAGACCAGCATGGCAAAACCCTGTCTCTACTAAAAATACAAAAAAGTAGCCAGGCATGGTGGTGCACACCTGTAATTCCAGCTAATGGGAAGGCTGACGCACGAGAATTGCTTGCATCTGGGAGGCAGAGGTTGCAGCGAGCTCCAGCCTGGGTGACAGAGTGAGACTCTCTCTCAAAAAAAAAAAAAAAAAAAAAATTGCATCTGAAAAATAATAGGATGGGAGCCTGCACTTAGTTTTTAGTTCTGTGATAAATTTTGTAATAAAGTGCAGGTGAAAAGGTTTTTATTTGTTCTTAAACTCATTGACACCTGTATCAAAACATCTAGTTTGATATTAAAAGTGTCAGAGTTATCAACAAAACTTGAGAGAGCGTTACTCCAGCTTTAGGTCAGCTTTAAGAAGCCACATATGTTCACAGCTGAAATAGTTAAAACCTGTGTTTTGAGGCGCTGTGGCTTATGTCTGTAATCCCAACACTTTGGGAGGCCAAGGTGGGCGGATCACTTGAGGCCAGGAGTTGGAGACCAGCCTGGGTAACATGGGGAAACCCCATCTCTACTAAAAATACAAAAATTAGCCAGGTGTGGTGGCACGTACCTGTAATCCCAGCTACTTGGGAGGCTGAGGCATGAGAATCACTTGAACCCAGGAGATAGAGGTTGCAGTGAGCTGAGATCACACCACTGCACTCCAGCCTGGGTGACAGAGCGAGACTCTGTCTCAAACAAACAAACAAACAAAAACAAACAAACAAAAAACCTTGCGTTTGATAGAAACTTTAAAATTAAAAATCCTTATACTATCATTTACCGTACTGACAGATATCCCTGCATCAAACAGTGGAACCTTCTTGCTCTTCCTTGAAAACAGCATTCTGTGCTACAGGGTTCCTTAGGACCTCTCATAAGCAACTGTGGTTCCCAGGAGTTACCTTTCACCCACCTTACTTGCCTGCTAAGGTGAAATTCTTTTGCTCCTTATTCATATTCTCCTTTGTAGTATGGAGCTCCTTTTCAACATGTGGATTCCGAACTGAGCACAGTTGCCAGAGCAAGGAAATAGTTATGAAAAAATTCATGGTCGGGCGCAGTGGCTCAACGCTTGTAATACCAAAACGTTGGGAGGCCGAGGTGGGCGGATCACCTGAGGGTCGGGAGTTCGAGACCAGCCTGATTAACGTGGAGAAACCCCGTCTCTACTAAAAATACAAAATTAGCTGGCTGTGGTGGCGCGTGTCTGTAATCCCAGCTACTTTGGAGGCTGAGGCAGGAAAATTGCTCAAATCTGGGAAGTGGAGGTTGCGGTGAGCCGACGCACCATTGCACTCCAGCCTGGGCAACAAAAGCAAAACTCCATCTCAAAAACAAAAAAAAGAGGCCGGGCGTGGTGGCTCCCGCCTGTAATCCCAGCACTTTGGGAGGCTGAGGTGGGCAGATCACGAGGTCAGGAGATCGAGACCATCCTGGCTAACATGGTGAGACCCTGTCTCTGCTAAAAATACAAAAAGAATTAGCTGGGCGTGATGGTGGGCGCCTGTAGTCCCAGCTACTCGGGAGACTGGGGCAGGAGAATGGCATGAACCCCGGAGGCGGAGCTTGCAGTGAGCCGAGATGGCGCCACTGCACTGCAGCCTGGGCCACGGAGCGAGACTCCGTCTCAAAAAAAAAAAAGAAAAAAAGAAAAAATTCGTGATAGTTACTGGTCTCTGCTCCCGGACCATGCGCAGTGGTGCTGTTGTTTACCAAGCAGGTGAGGAGGGAACGCCTCCTTTGGTTTCTAGGAGACCTTGATTCCAATTTTAGCTCAGTCTGGGAAATTTCATGGGGTATTTTGGGTGAGAAATGTTTCATGAATTTGGAATGTCTAAAAGTGGTTTGTTCTTTCTGTTTGTTTTTTTTTTTTTTTTTTTTTTTTTTTTTTCAGTCAGGATCTCGCTCTGTTGCCCAGGCTAGAGTGCAGTGGCGCAATCTTGGCTCACTGCAACCCCCGCCTCCTGGGTTCAAGCAGTTTTCCCACCTCAGCCTCCTGAGTAGCTAGGATTACAGGCATGCACTACCATACCCAGCTATTTTTTTGTGTTTTTGTAGTGGAGACGGGATTTTACCATGCTAGCATGAGGCCATGCTGGTCTCAAACTCCTGTGATCCACCTACCTTGGCCTCCCAAAGTGTTGGGATTAAAGACATGAGCCTCTAATTTGATTTGTAATGAAACCAAACAGAAACACTTATGAAATGATGTCAGCCTGTCTCAGCTGACAAAGGGAATGGGTGCCAGGGGTGATGTGGCCTGCATTCGGTTGGGGCCAGGCATCTCCACTCTCAACTGTGGTCTGTGACAGTGTTTTTGTTCATGCTTTGAAGTTGGTCTGACATTTAGAGCCTTCCTTTCCTTTCTTTCTTTCTTTCTTGAAACAGAGTCTCACTCTGTTGCCCAGGCTGGTGTCCAGTGGCATGATTGTGGCTCACTGTAACCTCCGCTTCCTAGGTTCAAGCGATTCTTCTGCCTCAGCCTCCCGAGTAGCTGGGATTACAGAGACGCACTACCATGCCCGGCTAATTTTTGTATTTTTAATAGAGACAGGGTTTCGCCATGCTGGCCAGGCTGGTCTTGAACTCCTGACCTCATGTGATCTGCCCACCTCAGCCTCCCAAAGTGCTGGGATTACAAACGTGAGCAACTGTGCCCGACCAGAGATTTTTTTTCTTATAAATAAGTGGCTTTGTCTGAAGCACATGTAACATGGGAGCACATAAGCCACCAGAGTCTGGGTTTTAGTCTGTTGCTCTTGTACACTTTCTGTGTTGTGCGGTACTGATAGGTTTGCTTTTGTCTGTCCCTCCAGGCTTCTCGTCAGTGCCTCGCAGGATGGTAAACTTATCATCTGGGACAGCTACACCACCAACAAGGTAGGGACTGGAGGATTCCCTTCCTTGAAAAACCAACCCAGGAAACAGGGTTTTAAGCTCTGGATTCATTTTGTTAAATCACGTAATACAGGATAGGGAAGGCAGCAGCGGCAAGCTCTGTTTGTTAGTAGTGAAGTTGCGCAGGTGAGATAGAAGCTGAGTCACGTGCCACCTGTCACGGTCTCTTCCTCTGGACCAGGCACAGTTGTGCTGTTGTCCGTCATCTCCTTACCAAGCTGGTGGGAGCTAAGGACCTTCTGTGTTTCTAGGAGACCTCAATTCCAGTTTTAGCAGAGTCTGGGAAGTTTCATGTTTTATTTATAGAGTGCAGAAGTATCACTTTTCATTCAGTTACAAGTTTTTAGAAGAGATCATCTGAAAGACATCATACTTTAAAGTGTAATTTATGTTATTTTCAAGACTTAATCCAAAGTGTATTGTTTTGAATAAAAAGTATTGTCATTGGTCCAAACATGTATGTAAAAGATGTAATTCAGTTTATTTTACTAAAGAATACTAAATGTGTATAAATGATTGCATTAATTACAGCAGATCTAAAACAGTGGGAGAGATGTGGCAGGGTAGATTGTAGGAATGTCCATTTTGGTTATTCCATAAAAATCTTTTGTTTTCGGCTGGGCGCCGTGGCTCACACCTGTAATTCCAGCATTTTGGGAGGCTGAAGCAGGTGGATCACCTGAGGTCAGGAGTTTGAGACCAGCCTAGCCAACATGGTGAAACCTCGTCTCTACTAAAAATACAAAAAATTAGCCAGGAGTGGTGGCAGGCGCCTGTAATCCCAGCTACTCAGGAGGCTGAAGCAGGAGAATTGCTTGAGCCCAGGAGGCAGAGGTTGCAGTGAGCCTAGATCACGCCACTGCACTCAAACCTGGGCAACAAGAGCGAAACTCCATCTCGAAAAAAAAATTTTTTGTTTTCAGATGAGTTCATAGCCATTTGACAGGATAATGCAGTGTTTTCCTTCCAATACGTGTGGGTTTTTTTGTGTTTTTGAGACGGAGCATTGCTCTTACCGCCCTGGCTGGAGTGCAGTGGCGTGATCTCTGCTCACTGCAGCCTCCACCCCCCTGGTTCAAGCGACTCTCCTGCTTCAGCCTCCTTGAGTAGCTGGGATTACAGGCGCCCACCACCACACCCAGCTAATTTTTGTATTTTAGCACAGACAGGGTTTCACCAATTTGAGGCCAGGCTGGTCTCGAATTCCTGACCTCAGGTGATCCACCCGCCTTAGCCTCCCAAAGTGCTAGGATTACAGGCATGAGCCACCGCACCCGGCCTGTTTGTTTTCTTTTGAGACGGAGTCTCGCTCTGTTGCCCAGGCTGGAGTGCAGTGGCGTGATCTCAGCTCACTGCAACCTCCGCCTCCCGGGTTCAAGTGATTCTCCTGCCCCAGTCACTCAAGTAGCTGAAACTACAGGCATGCGCCATCACGCCCAGCTAATTTTGGTATATTTAGTAGAGACATGGGGTTTCACCATGTTGGCTAAGCTGGTCTTGAACTCCTGACCTCAGGTGATCTGCCCGACTTAGCCTCCCAAAGTGCTGGGATTACAGGCGTGAGTGACCGCACCCGGCCTAATGTGGTTTTGATGAGTGGGCAGCACTACTGTTAAGACTCCACCTAATCATAAGTTGTGACTTCAGTAAAACTGGACTGTGTGGATTGAATTTGAATCCCATGTGCAGCACTGGACTTCTCATTAAGTATGCTTCACCTGAGTGGCCACATATGGGAATCGCTCTCTAGATAATTTTGGCTCTTATTTTGTTCTGTTACCTCCTTTGCAGTGAAAGTTGGAGATGAGAAAATCCTGGTGTCAGTGTTGTTTTTGAACATAAAGTTGTTTGCATCATCTGTCTTTCTGTCATTAGGTCCACGCCATCCCTCTGCGCTCCTCCTGGGTCATGACCTGTGCATATGCCCCTTCTGGGAACTATGTGGCCTGCGGTGGCCTGGATAACATTTGCTCCATTTACAATCTGAAAACTCGTGAGGGGAACGTGCGCGTGAGTCGTGAGCTGGCAGGACACACAGGTACCTGTCCTTGTTCATAAGCTTCAAGTGACACAAGCTGTTTACCTGGGGTACATTATATGCTTTGGATACTCACTTTTTATCAATCATTTTTTAATTAATTAATTAATTATTTTTTTTGAGGCGGAGTCTCGCTCTGTCACCCAGGCTGGAGTGCGGTGGCGTGATCTCGGCTCACTGCACGCTCCGCCTCCTGGGTGTTCACGCCATTCCCCTGCCTCAGCCTCCTGAGTAGCTGGGACTACAGGCGCCCACCACCACGCCCAGCTAATTTCTTTTTTGTATTTTTAGTAGAGACAGGGTTTCACCGTGTTAGCCAGGATGGTCTCGATCTCCTAACCTCGTGATCCACCCACCTCAGCCTCCCAAAGTGCTGGGATTACAGGTGTGAGCCACCACACCCAGCCTTTTTTTCTTTTTTTTTTTTTTTTTTTTTAAAGACAGAGTCTCACTATGTCACCCAGGCTGGAGTGCAGCAGCGCATTCTTGGCTCACTGCAACCTCTGATTCCTGGGTTCAAGCGATTCTCCTGCCTCAGCCTCCCAAGTAGCTGGGACCACAGGTGTCCGCCACCACGCCCAGCTAATTTTTGTATTTTTAGTAGAGGCGGGGTTTTGCTGTATTGGCCAGGCTGGTCTTGAACTCCTGACATTGTGATCCGCCTGCCTTAGCCTCCCAAAGTGCTGGGATTATAGGCGTGAGCCGCTGCGCCCGGCCTTATGAATCATTAAATGAGACTGGTTCAAATAAAAGTCACAGTAATGGCCAGAAGTTTTCTGAAAATGAAACTAAAAACAAGCCTGATATGCCTTTACCAGTAAGAAACCTGTGGATTTGCGCTGGACATGGTGGCTCATGCCTGTAACTGCAACACTCTGGGAGGCCAAGGTAGGAGGATAGCTTGGAGCCAGGGGTTCGAGACCAGCTGGGGCAACAAAGCTAGACCCCTTCTCTACAAAAAATGAAAAACAGCCACGCACAGTGGCACACAACTATGGTCCCAGCTCCTCAGGAGGATGGCTCAAGCCTGGGTGGTTGAGGCTGCAGGGAGCTATGATTGCACCACTGCACTCCAGGCTGGGCGAAAGCGAGACCCTGTCTCTGCAAATGAGGCATAATAGAGCCCTGTGGCCGTAAGTGCTAGGTAGTCTATTATTTCACCAAGATTTTATTTACTTGTGACACTAATTCATCATGAAAGGCATACATTTGCTGAAAGAGGATGTACTATTCTAATATTTTACCTCTCTGGCTGTATTATTTGTTCTCAGACATTTTATGCCCCAGTACTTTTTGATAACACTCCGCCCACTTCACATGCAGCCAAAGAAATCAGTTCATGGAGTCACTAGTACTACAGTTGACACCCATTAAGCAGTCTGTTAAATAAGTTAATTTTGGCCAGATTACAAGTTTAACCTTGTCCTTTGAAAGATAATGCTGCTGCTGTTGTTGATTTCTGTTCTCTGTTCTTTTCTGCCTTCTGCTTACTTTGGAGTTGCCTTCTTAATTTTCCAGCTACCTGAAGTAGATCTGTAGGCCACTGGTTTGCTTCCTTTTCAAATAGAATCACTTAAAGTTTTAAGTTTCCCTCTAAGCATGGCTTTAGCCACATCACACACATTTGTTTCATATTGTCTTTTTTTTTTTTTTTTAAGATGGAGTCCTGCTCTGTCACCCAGGCTGTAGTACAGTGGTGCAATCTCAGCTCACTGAAACCTCAACCCCCTGGGTTCAAGCGATTCTCCTGCCTCAGCCTCCCGAGTAGATTACAGGCGTGCACCACCACGCCTGGCCAATTTTTGTATTTTTAGTAGAGACGGGGTTTTGCCATGTTGGTCAGGCTGGTCTTGAACTCCTGACTGCAAGTGATCTGCCTGCCTCGGCCTCCCAAAGTGCTGGAATTACAGGCTTGAGCCACCACTCCCAGCCTATATTGTATTTTAATTATCATTCAATGTGAAATTTTTAATATCCTTGTGAGTGCTTATTTGACTTATAGGTTATTTAGATGTATAATTTTTACATATCTGAAGTTTTCTTAGTTATTGTTGATTTCTAATTAGATGTCATTGTGCTTAAAGACACACTTGGTATCATTTCAGTCCTTTGACATTTGAGGCTTGTTTTTAATGGAGCTGATGGTCTGTCATGGTGGCCGCGCTGTGTGCACATGGGAATGATATGTGTTTTTGTTGTATCTCGGCCTGATTTTCTACATACATGTTAATTAGAGCAAGATTTTTGGCATGTTCAAATATTCTGTGTCTTTCTATGAAATGCTCATGCAGGGCTGTTAAAATGATTATGGATTTTCTAACTTTCCTGTTAATTCTGTCAATCTGTGCTTCAGATATCTTGAGCTCTTTTAGTAGATGCCTTTACATTTGTTGTCTCTTTGTGATTAATTGACCCTGTGACCCTGCTCTCATGATGAACTGTTCTTTCTCACTCATAATGCTCTTTGTTGGGAACCGCTGCTTTTTCTGATACTAATGTAGTCAGTCCTGCCTTCATGGGGGTCCTTTCAGCTTAACTGTGTCTTTGAAAATAGTCTGTTACAGACCTCGCATCATTGTTGGGTCTTGGTTTTTTCTGCCCGCCTTTGGAATATGCTTTTGCACATTTATATTTCTTATTGTAACTCTGCTACTTTGCCACCTTTTTGTCCCTTCATTTTTGTTTTTTGGTTGTTCCCTTCCTACCTTCCTTTGAGTTACTTGATTACAGGCATGAGCCACCACGCCTGGCCTGGGTTACTTGATTTTTTAAAGAAATCTATTTTACTTTGTCTGTGGGCTTTGTAGGTAAACCATTTTGCCTGATGTCTTAGTGGTGTCTTTAGGGATTATAGTGTACATTCCCAATGTCTCGCGGTCCTCTAGTTAACTTGGTCCTAGTTGATAGGAAACGTAAGGAACTCACAGCCACACGGGCCTGCTGTCTGCCCTTGCTCACTCTTGTGGTTTTCATATGCATCACACCTGTGTGTGTTATTAGCTCCATGATGCATTGTTGTATTCTTTACTTTAAACATTCTTAAGAAATTAGGGGTCTTATAATGTGAATAAATATGAAAAGCATGAAATAGGCTGGGCATGGTTGGCTCACGCCTGTAATCCCAGCACTTTGGGAGGCCGAGGCAAGCAGATCACCTGAGGCCAGGAGTTTGAGATCAGCCTAGCCAACATGACGAAACCCCGTGTCTACTAAAAATAAAAAAATTAGCCAAGCATGGTGGCATGCGCTTGTAGTCCCAGCTGCTCAGGAGGCTGAAGCAGGAGAATTACTTGAACTGAAGCGGAGGTTGCAGTGAGCTGAGATCACGCCACTGCACCTCCAGCCTGGGTAACAGAGTGAGACTCCGTCTCAAAGAGAAAAGAATGAAGTAAATCTACTCTGCCCTCCAGAGAGATCTTCCATGTCCAGTGCCCTTCCCGCTCTCCTGCAAAGGCGCCTTCTGCGGGCGTCCTTTCGGCCGGGAGCCCTACCCGGAACAAGTCATGGTTAATGCAGTTCTCAGGTCTGCTGCTAGCAAAGCACTTAGTGTTCATTTCTCTAAGATTTATATTTTGCCTTTATTCTTGAAGGGTATTTTTGCTGGATATCTAGAATTATGGGTTGACTCTTTTTTTAATTTATTTTTCTTTTTTTTTTTTTTTTTTAACAATCTAAAGATTTGGTTTTTAGCAGTTTGCACGTAGGTGCCTCGGTGTGATTTTCTTTGCATTTATTGCACTTTGGCATCTTGAATCTATAAATTTGTCTTTCACCAAATTTGGGAAGTTTTAGACCATGTCTTCAAATGCATCTTCTGTCCTTAGTCCCTGCCCCTCTGTGCTGCAATACACACGCATCTGTGCTGTCCCCGAGGCTCAGGGGGCTGGGGTTTGTTCATCACTTTCCCACTTCTTCAGATTTGTTCCTTTTTGTTGTTGTTAGCACCACTTACTTGCTTTTAACCTTTTTATTTCCATTCAAGTTCATGTACTTGTTACCTCTGATAAACTAAGGCTATCCAGCAGGTTCTTTATGTCAGATATTCCTTCTGCAGTTGTAGAGTTTCTATTGCTTTTATTTAGAAATTTTTTATTTTCCTGCTGAGATTCCCTGTCCTTGTATAATAGCATGTTTTATTTTGCATCCACAAGGAGAGTTTAATAGCTGCCTTTAGAGTTCTTGTCTGCTGATCCCAGCATCTCATCTTCCTGAGGTTGGTCCTTGTGGATCTCTCCTCTGGATTCTGAGTGACATTTTGCTATTTTTTTAGTACATGTAGTAATTTCAAATTGTATTCTGGACATTGTAAATGTTGTGTCATAGAGACTTTGTGTCCGGTTACATTCTCCAGAACTAACTGATGTTTAGTGTCATTGTATCAGGCAGTCTATCTCTGTCTTTCTTGTGTGGCAGCAGCAGAAACCTCTGTTCAGCTTTTCTGCGCTGGCTGGGCTGCATGCCTGTGCACTTCAGGTGTCGGATATCTGGTCAGCCGTGTGTGTAGTTTGGGACTCCCTTTCTGTGGCTTTCTTCTTTGTAGTTGTTATCCTTTCGCTTTCTGGCTGTGGTTGCCCAGTAATCTGTCTACTGGCTCTTGAAGACCTTGGCCACAGGTCTTGTGTGTGAGGCTGTAGCCCTGGGGTTGTCACAGACAGTCCCCTCCTCAGAGAAAGCTCCTTAAGAACAAACCATGTCCTGCCTTTCTTTTCTCCCAGGGGAGACTCCTCCAGTTTCTACCTGCTCCTGTTTTCATGCTTTCAGGTGTTTCGTTTTGTAGTTTGTGCAGTGCTTATAGTTGTTTCTGTGAGAAGGTAATGCCTACAGATAGGAGCCCCTGGCCATCGCTGGGAGTCCAGCCAGGCAGCTCACACTGACCCTGTAAACCACACAGCTCTGTCTGACGCAGCACCCTTTTTGGAAAGGTGTTCTCTATGTTCAGCAGTCCCTTCCCATGACCGTCAGAGTCTGTGCATCTGTTTCCATTGGTAATCAAAGGTTGCTGGATTTAACACTGACTGTATTTGTCTTTGAAACCAAAGAAAGAAAAGCCAAAAATACTCAAGAAAATAAAAAAACTGGTATTAGTAGGAATATTTTAGAAATTTTATTTCCTTCATATTTCATGAAATTTTACTTCTAAGGAGTTGTGTTATTTAAAAAAAACACACACACACATTTGGCCTCTTAAGAGTGTTTGTGGGCTGGGCGCGGTGGCTCACGCCTGTAATCCCAGCACTTTGGGAGGCCGAGGCAGGCGGATCACGAGGTCAGGAGATCGAGACCATCCTGGCTAACACGGTGAAACCCCATCTCTACTAAAAATACAAAAAATTAGCCGGGCGAGGTGGCGGGCACCTGTAGTCCCAGCTACTCAAAAGGCTGAGGCAGGAGAATGGCGTGAACCCCGGGGGGCGGAGCCTGCAGTGAGCCGAGATCGCGCCACCGCACTCCAACCTGGGCGACAGCGAGACTCCGTCTCAAAAAAAAAAAAAAGAGTGTTTGTGAGTCTGGGTGACATAGGGAGACCCGCCTCTACAAAAAATACAAAAACTAGTTGGATGTGGTGGCATGCACTTGTAGTCCCAGCTACTCGGGATCCTGAGGCAGGAGAATCACTTGAACCCAGCAGGCAAGGTTGCAGTGAGCTGAGATCGCTCCACTACACTCCAGCCTGGGCAACAAGAGCGAAACTCCGTCTCCAAAAAAAGCTTATTTCCAGCCCTCTGATCCAGTCTCAGATTTTTATCAAAGCAGATCCCTAAGGGCCAATGCAGGGAGACTCAACGCTTGCTCTTAGAGCTTTGTTCTTTGCATACCTCTCGGGCAGTGGAGACACGGCGGCCCTTGCCTGGATCATTCTGATCAAGATGGCTACAGATACATAAGCATTGATCAGAAGTCCAGCCTAAGGCCTTCATGATACAGCGTGCACAGCTGTCAGTGACAGAGCCCACTGTGGTGGCCAAAACTTGGCATTTTTAGGCACGGTGTCTTCATATAGTGAGAAGCAGAACATTTTCTATATTCATGAAAATAGCGGATTTTTTTCTGACAGGCCTCACAAGCTTGGACACAGAAGGGGATATATGTTGTCTCCCCGTAAACCCTGCTTCAGGAGCCACAACAGGGCAGCTGGTGACTGGGATGTCTGCTTGAGGCTCACTGTTACCAGCCCCAGTATCTTGGCTGCACTGGTGGGCCTCACAGCCTCACACCATCATGGAGGCACTCATGGTGCCCGGGCACTCCTCTGTGCAACCCTCTGAGCCTCACTTTCACATCTTCAAGTTACTTCCTCATCTCTTTCATTTTCCTTCTTACTGAACTTGAAGAAAACACCTCTGCTCTCCAAGTGCATGCCTCGGTGCAGGGCTGGGCACCTTTCCCTCCAGGTCTAGGCTGAGCCTGTCCCTCGCCAGCACGGTCTTGTTTTTGCTCCTTGGAGCCGATCCTGGGGCGGCACAGGTGCTCCTGAAACCACCTGTCGGAGGAGGACTAGTGAGGGACTGGGCGTGGTCATGGCTGACTTCTTGGCATTTGCCCGCCTGCCTTTCAGTGTGTCCTGTGCGCCTCCCTTGGGTGGGGTCTCCTTGCCCCTGCTCCCAACAGGGATGTTCTCCAGGGTGCAGGTAGGAGAACTAAACCTTTCAAAGTGTGTTCATTGTAGAAATTTTGGAAAGGGGGCTGGGCGCGGTGGCTCATGCCTATAATCCCAGCACTTTGGGAGGCTGAGGCAGGTGGATCACCTGATGTTAGGAGTGCAAGACCAGCCTGCCAACATGGCAAAACCCCATCTCTACTAAAAATACAAAAATTAGCTGGATGTGGTGGCAGGTGCCTGTAGTCCCAGCTACTTGGGAGGCTGAAGCAGGAGAAGTGCTGAACCGGGGTGGCGGAGGTTGCAGTGAGCAGAGGCCGCACCACTGCACTCCAGCCTGGGTGGCAGAGCGAGACTCCATCTCAAAAAAAAAAAGGAATTTTGGAAAGGAACTTTGAATCATCATCTTTTATGTTGGGAGACCCTATAATTCCATCCAGAAATACAGTATTATACAATAGTTATGCAGTAGTATTATACAGTATTATATAACTATAGTATTATACTGTCGTTCTGTAACTCAGGAGCTGTAGAGAGTTTCATGGTGTGGTGCACTAATTTGTTCCTATTGTGAGACATTTAGGCAGTTCACAGTTTCCCACAATTTATTATAAACATTGCTGCAGCAAACGCCATCCTTGTAGATGGATGGTTTCTCAAGCCCATCGTCCCGTTCTTGGGTAAGTTTCCTCACAGGGCTGCATCTGGCCACGCTTGTGTGTCCTTCTTGGCTTTGCTGTCTTTGGGTCGGCAGCCATGCTGGGTAGAGCAGTGTGTGCACCCATGCTGTGCTCTTCCCAGAGCCTGGTGATCTGCTCCTTTCTAGACTCTGGACTCACTCTATCCTTGAGGCACCTCTGCTGACACCACATGCCCAGGAGCCCATCTTTCTCCTACGCTTCCACTCTCTGCCGTGCCTCTCTTCAAGCCACCCCCTCTCTCCTGGACTTTAACAGCCTTGTCCCTATAGCCAGTGGTCCCTATGAGACACAGGACAGCCCTTCACACCCACTGCCTATATGACCAGACCACTGCGAGGTCCCCAGGCCGCGTTTCAGCCTCTCCTTGAGGCACTTGGTGCCACCTTTGTGCCCTTGCACCTCCTCACTGGGTGCACACTTTTGTTCAGGGTCTGTTTTCCCTGCCCCTCTGCAGGCTTCCAGAGGGTGGCAGCACAGGCCCCCGCACCAGGGGAGGAGGGGCGTGTTTTCACCTGAAGTGTCCCCCCACACATACCCAGGGAATTTGTTCAAATTCAATAATAACAGAAATAGTAACTGTCTCCATTTACTGAGAACTTCTTATGTGCACAGACAGCTCTGCTCCTCCCATCAGTTCCCCAGTTACATGGGGAGGCTGGGACTTCTAAAAGAACTTAGAGGAATTTTCACTCTTCCTCAGCTGCCATGCTGACAGTGGAGCCCAGGTATTTCTGATTTCAGAGTCTGCAGTCTTCACCACTCGTGGCCTCTTGGCCAGAAGGCCCTACGAGGCTTTCCTGGAAGAAGGGGTTAGACCTGGTCTCTGTTCACAGACTGGGCCTCATGGAGTATGCTTGCACCCTGGGCATTGCACCACCCATCCTGCTCTCCAGCCGCACTGGACACACCTCACCCCCCAACCTGAACATGCACAGACACTTAGAGTGGCCTCTGGTTGGGCAGAACCATCTAACATAATACATATCTTATAAGAAAAAGTTGAACATCTCATGTAAATTATTGGACACTCCTGAAAATGAAAACACAGAATAGTTGTATGGGTACTTGGAGCATGGTTTTCCTATTAAATGCGTGTGTCTTTCAAACCATCATAAAGTCACAAAATTGTAAGTCAGGGGCCATGTGTGGCTTATACATTCGGTCATTCCCCTTGTCCTTCATAGTTCCTGTCAGCTGATGCTTGTCCACATCATTTTATCAGCGCTTGAGAGCTGTGATTTTAGGGTTCAGTCTCTGGTTCTTGGAGTAAGAAGCTGATGGATTCTGTGTAGCTTCACTACAGCCTGCACAGGGTGGGACAGAGAGGTCATCTTTGAGACCTATGAGGTCATGTTTTTTGTTTTTTTGAGGCAGAGTCTCACTCTGTTGCCCAGGCTGGAGTGCACCGCTGTGAACTCGGCTCACTGCAACCTCTGCCTCCTGGGTTCAAGCGATTCTCCTGCCTCAGCCTCTCGAGTAGCTGGGATTACAGACCCAGCACCCACCACCACAGCTGGCTAATTTTTATATTTTTAGTAGAGACGGGGTTTCACCATGTTGGCCAGGCTGGTCTCAAACTCCTGACCTCAGCCTCCCCAAGTGCTGGGATTACAGTCATGAGCCACCGCGTCCAGCCAAGGTCATGATTCTTTCATGCAGTAAACTTGGGAGTGCCTCCGCCTGGTCCCCTGTGTGAGATGCAGGCTGTGCTGAGGTCTCCATGACTCTTCTTTCCTGCCCTTCTGTGCTCACATTCAAACAGGCTAAGTGCTACAAGGCTCGGTGGCCTGGTCTGGATGGGCATCTGACGGGGTGGGGGTGCTTCCCTGAAGCAAGGGTGAGTGTGAACCAGGAAGCCAGTGGAGGAGGGCTCGGGTGGAGACCCGGGAGCATGACAGTGAGCTGCGGGGCACGACAGCAAGCTGCAGGGCACTACAGGGGGCGCCAGGTATGCAGGGCTATCCTCCTCTGAGCTGGACTTGGGTTCACCTTTGTGGTCCCTAGTGTCCCTGTGGTGTGGCCTCCAGGAAGTATTTGACCACGCATACTTTCGTAGGCACGTAGTTAATATTTTGAGCTCTGTCATCTATGCATATTTTTCTTCTGTCAGAGCCAGTTTAATAATGTTTGTTGGCCAGGCATGGTGGCTCACGCCTGTAATCCTAGCACTTTGGGAAGCCGAGGTGGGTGGATCACAAGGTCAAGAGATCAAGACCATCCTGACCAACATGGTGAAACCCCATCTCTACTAAAAATACAAAAATTAGCTGTGTGTGGTGGCGTGCACCTGTAGTCCCAGCTACTTGGGAGGCTGAGGCAGGAGAATCGCTTGACCTGGGAGGTGGAGGTTGCGGTGAGCCGAGATCACATCACTGCACTCCAGCCTGGCGACAGCACGAGACTCTGTCTCAAAAAATAGTGATAATAATGTTTGTTAAATAAATGCTTTGTTTTCTCTGTAATCTTACACTTTCTACATTAAAACCCCAGTGGGTTTCTTCTTTTGGTGCATTTTATTTTTGTTGTTTGCTGATTCACGCAGTGTCGCATGACTCCCTGGGGTGTAGTTGGGGGGAAGGCTTTTCAGTAAACACTCAAATCTAAACAGGTATCCCAAGAATCACCAGTGCCACTGGAACCCCTGAATCTTCAGATTAGGGCCAGTCTGTCACCAATCCTGGGCACACACTAACTGGTTTGTTGACCCTATGCTTTTAGTTCCACAGTAAATACCAGAACTGTGATCAATGTACAAAAGAAATAATGGTCAACAGAAGTCATTAACAACTTGAACTGCCGGGTTCAAATGATTCTCCTGCCTCACCCTCCTGAGTAGCTGGGATTACAGGTGCCCGCCACCACGCTTAATTTTTGTATTTTTAGTAGAGACCAGTCATCATGTGTGGATATTGCGGACTGATTTTTTGTTGTTGCTTTTCCTCATTTTGGAAGTTGTTTAGGACGGGGCATCTTGGTGTGTCCTGCTCTCGCCTCTGATGCTTCCTTCCCAGTGGGAGTGGGTGGGAATACTCAGAGACACAGAATTGTGCCCACGCTGATGTGGGTGTCACAGCCACTGTCCCCAAGAAAACAAACCCACCCACACATATTCACGAGCACCCCCGTGTCTGCAGTGTTGCTGCCATGCCGCGTTCCTGTTGCCTTCGTTATCCCTTCCATGACCTGCAGGCCCTTGCCACCCTGACCCTGTGGCCTCGCCGCCTCCTGCCCTGGCTGGGCCCTCTGTTTGGATCCTCCTTCTCTGAGTCTACTCTCGTCCTCCCTCCTCTCCTGGCTTCCATCTTGTGAGGCCCCTACTTTGTCCTCTTCCTTCCCCTAGCACTCCCTTTCTGATGTCCTCTTTCAGTGATTCTCATTCTCTGTCCCTGCTGAGCGTGGGCTGTAGGAGAGCAGGAGGTGTCTGTCTGGTTAAGGCTGCTTCCTGGGCACTGGAGTCAGCGTGCCCTGAATGAGTAAATAGACGAGGGATCCCCAGCCTTTGATGGGTCAAACAGTAAAGCAGATGAAAGATGTGTATGTTTCATGGGTGTGGTTTCTGCTTCTGCCCCCATCACGGAGCTGTGGGTCTCTGTGGGACGTGCTGTCCTGCCTGGCCAGGCTCTCACCCTCACCAGCAGTGCGTGTGGACCTTCTGCTGTGTGCACAGATGGGAATAAAAGGTCACTAGCATGGTGCTGGTCTTACCTTAGACGTAGAGCTTCCACCGGGCCAATGTGTTTCTCTATGTATGAGGCTGGGTGCAAGGCCTGCTGGATTCAGCTCATCACTTAGGCCTGTTCTTTGCCAGGTTACCTGTCCTGCTGCCGATTCCTGGATGACAATCAGATCGTCACCAGCTCTGGAGACACCACGTGGTAAGTACCTGACCCGGGGCAGGCAGTGCCTTGAGAACCCACAGCCCCTGGCACATTCCTCTGTGAACATGGAGGAAATAAGGTTCTTGACATAATATTAGGCCATCTGTAATTTAAGTGGCCTTAAGATTTAAAACACATAGTAGCAATGTGTGAATTCATTATACTTTTTTTTTTTTTGAGATGGAGTTTTGTTCTTGTCACCCAGGCTGGAGTACAATGGCTCAATCTTGGCTCTGCGACATCTGCCTGCCGGGTTTAAATGATTCTCCTGCCTCATCCTCCTGAATAGCTGGGATTACAGGTGCCCGCCACCACGCCTGACTAATTTTTGTATTTTTAGTAGAGACCAGGTTTCACCACATTGGCCAGGCTGGTCCTGAACTCCTGACCTCAGGTGACCTGCCCACCTCGGCCTCCCAAAGTGCTGGGATTACAGGCGTGAGCCTCCGTGCCTAGCCTCATTATACTTCTAATAAATTTACAAAGTTTAATTTTCAGCAGCTGAGAACTAAAATACACATTTTTTTCTTTTTTTTTTTTTTTTTGAGATAGAGTCTCTCTCTGTCTCCAGGCTAGAGTGGAGTGGCGTGATCTCGGCTCATTGCAACCTCTGCCTCCCAGATTCAAGCAATTCTCCCCTCTCAGCCTCCCGAGTAGCTGGGAACTACAGGTGTGCGCCACCACACCCAGCTAATTTTTGTATTTTCAGTAGAGACGGGATTTCACCACGTTGGCCAGGATGGTCTCTTATCCGTTGACCTCGTGATCTGCCTGCGTCAGCCTCTGAAAGTGCTGGGATTACAGGTGTGAGCCCCCATGCCTGGCCAACATAGATATTTTAACTACAATCAGGCTCAAAGTACCTGCTCTTCTTTTTTTTCCCCTCTATATATTTGTACCTCCTTAGGTGATGATAGGTGGGAGTAGGGTGGGTTTTGATTGTCCCTTTCTGATAGCATCATGTCATTGTGAACAATGAGCACAGACTAAAAATAACAGACGTCACAATTCAAGTGATTCCATCAGACTTCATTTTTAGTGTTTTCACCTTACAGGTAAACGGAAGCCCACTTAAATGCTAGAATTTTTTCATTTGTGGCATCAAAGTACTAAATTAAATGTCCAGATAGTTATTTTATGAGAGTCATTTTAGACTTCAGCTGGCCATGTGGGTTTTTCTGGTCTTCTGAGGCATGATTTGGTGGCAGGAGCTGTGCCCAGCCCAGGGCACAGACCCCTAGTCACGCAGTTGGTGGGGTTCACCGAGACATGGGCCCTTAACCAACTTGTCAGCAAAGCATCTGTGGTATTATAAGGTGTCCTCGTTGTATAAATTTCATAGATTTACAAAAGATTTGTCACCTAGATTGTCAATCTTGAGAAGACTTTATTTATTAGAAGATATTTTTAAAGTGCTTCTGTTCATTAATCATTTTTTTCAGACTCTTTTACGTATCTTGCTTCCCTTCTGCAGTCAGTCCCTCAGGCCCTAGAGAGGAGGCTCCCTGTGCAGTGTCTGTTGAGATTGGCTGATTGGATTTGCATTGCCAGGCCCAGCCAGGCTTTCCTCTGAGGCTGACATGAACGGACAGTGCTCTCTGGTGTTGCCTTCCATGGGTCGAGGCACAGGAGAATAGTATGTTGGTGGGCGTGTGGCCCTCACAGCTGTCCTTACACCTGAGCCAGGCTTCTGCTCTGTGCAGGGCTCTGTCAGCGTCTCACCTTTTGACAGCTTGTTAAGCAGAAATGTGATAGAATACCAGGTATGGCCGGGCGCGGTGGCTCATGCCTGTAATCCCAGCACTTTGGGAGGCCGAGGCGGGCGGATCACCTGAGGTCAGGAGTTCGAGACCAGTCTGACCAATATGGAGAAACCCCGTCTCTACTAAAAATACAAACAAAATTAGCCGGGCATGGTGGCGCATGCCTGTAATCCCAGCTACTGGAGAGGCTGAGGCAGGAGAATCGCTTGAACTCGGGAGGCGGAGGTTGTGGTGAGCCAAGATCGCGCCATTGCACTCCAGCCTGGGCAACAAGAGTGAAATTCGGTCTCAAAAAAAAAAAAAAAATACCAGGTGTGATCACTGAGAACTCAGCTGCTCTCCTGTTTGTGATTCCAGGAAAGGGCAGGAGGACCTCAGAATTGCTGTGAGCCATTTGTTTACCTGGCATTGGCCTTCTCCTGCCTGCCTTTTCTGAGACCCTGTGGAGGGGAGGCCAAGGGAGGGCACAGAGGGAGCAGCCACAGATAGAGTCGCGTCCCCTCCGCCATCCAGGGCCTCCACGTAGCTTCCTGCCACCCCTTCCATGCCCATCCATGACCAAAGAGGGGGCACAGCCTCAGTGGTGCTGCTTGAAAAGTGCCCCCAGCTCCCTGTTTGCTGGCATTTGAGTTGAGGTAGCGATCCCGTCATTCTGAAGCCCAGGCCCTGTGCTCATCTCTGTATAATTTTGCTTGCTTTGCTTTGTTTCCCTTCCAAAGTTGTATTACATTTAAATTTGTCTTTAAACAATTTACGTTTTTAAAGTAACAGTGCAGAGGCTCACTGTGGCCCTGGGTGGTTTGAAGGACAGATTGTCTGTCACATGACTAGCCACCCAAGAAGTTAAGGCTGATGTCCCCTTGTCATTCGCTCCTGCTCCAGTGCCCTGTGGGACATCGAGACCGGCCAGCAGACGACCACGTTTACCGGACACACTGGAGATGTCATGAGCCTTTCTCTTGCTCCTGACACCAGACTGTTCGTCTCTGGTGCTTGTGATGCTTCAGCCAAACTCTGGGATGTGCGAGAAGGCATGTGCCGGCAGACCTTCACTGGCCACGAGTCTGACATCAATGCCATTTGCGTGAGTCTGGGTGGAGGTGTGGGGTCGGGTCCTCTGCCGTCTCTGCTAGCCGTTCAGATTGCTAAATTTTAAACTTTTCTGGATTAGATGTTCTCCTTTCTGATCCTTATACAACCTCATGTACAGATGGGGATACAGAAAACTCCCGATGGGAAACTTCTCTGTGTTGACCACTTGTCTCACAGATACTCACAGGGTGTTGTATGCCAGTCCCCGTTCCCACCTCTACAGCTGAGCAGTGGTTGGGATCCTGGAGGGGAAAGACAGTAAGATAACTCAGGCCACCAGTGGTTACAGAGCCTTACTGGTCAGGGGCACAGCTAACCAGGGAACCTGCCCTCCTCTTTAGCACGCGGATGGCTAGGCAGTGTTTCCAGCCCCTGGCCTTGTGAGGAGACTTAGAAGGATGTATCTGTTGGTTGGACAGAGCTCTGCTGCAGTCCTGACCACAGCCTTGGTCAGCCCGCTTCCCTCCTTCCTCCATGAGATTAGCCCTGATGGCTGGCAGCTACAGCAACATGCACACCTGTCAGTGATGACTACTTTCTCACTATCCTTTGGAATAAATTCTACTCTTTGGGGACAGTAATCACAGTGTCCAAGATCACAGTGTTTGTGTGCCTCCCCAGTGCAAATCCCCTCCCATCCCAGTCCCCTGTAGTTCCTCCCCCATCCCCCCACCCTTTTTTTTTTTTTTTTGAGACGGAGTTTTGCTCTTGTTGCCCAGGCTGGGGTGCAATGGTGCAATCTTGGCTCACCGCAGCCTCCGCCGCCTCCCGGTTTCAAGCAGTTCTCCTGCTTCAGCCTCTTGAGTAGCTGGGATTACAGGCGCACGCCGCCACGCCCAGCTAATTTTGTATTTTTAGTATAGATGGGGTTTCTCTATGTTGGTCAGGCTGGTCTCAAACTCCCCATCTCAGGTGATCCACCCGCGTCAGCCTCCCAAAGTGCTGGGATTACAGGCATGAGCCACCGCACCCGGCCCAGCCCTCTGTTCTTACCAGAGCACAGTCTTGCTGGTCTTTGCCTGCTGTGTTCTCTGCAGCCCTACCATTGAGCAATCCATATTCCCAATGTTTCTTTCTGAGCGTTTACATGATGTCTTGATTTGCTTTCTCTTTCCAGTTCTTTCCAAATGGCAATGCATTTGCCACTGGCTCAGACGACGCCACCTGCAGGCTGTTTGACCTTCGTGCTGACCAGGAGCTCATGACTTACTCCCATGACAACATCATCTGCGGGATCACCTCTGTCTCCTTCTCCAAGAGCGGGCGCCTCCTCCTTGCTGGGTACGACGACTTCAACTGCAACGTCTGGGATGCACTCAAAGCCGACCGGGCAGGTACGTGGCCATGGGGCCTTTCTGTGTCTTGTGGACATTTACGTGGTATCTTTAGAGCAAACACAGAGTGGTTGCATAAGCTGCAGTGTTTTAGTATCGGTGGGACTGTGGCATGGCGTAGCAGGAGTGACAGTCGCAAACTGATGGCCCAGCTCTGACCCTCCAGGCAAGTGGACTCCGAGGAGTACCAGCAGATCTTCCCACATGCGTCGGGGAGGGCTCTGGGGAGAGTCAGTGGGCAGGAGAGGGTCAGCTGTGCAGGCTCCAGGGCCCAGCCCCGTGCTTTCCCCTCTGAACTCTGCTTCAGGGGGAGGAGTTCCATGCAGGGACACCTCTGGGTGCCGTTACAGTTAACATATCAAAGGCAAGCGTGTTATTGCCAGGTGTACAAAAGATGAGACTTCCTTACTAAAAATGGTCATTTGGGCATTTGAATTTGAGAACTGTTGACACTTACAGACTTAGATTCATTTGTCTCAGTACCTGGGAGGACAGAAGGGAGCATGGCTCCAGGTCTTGGCCCTTACCGGGGCTTCCTGCTTCCGGATGGGTGCCACTCCCACCTCCTGGTTAAACACATTTCTTTTTCTCCCCAGCCTGGGGGGACCAGAGTGGAGCCATTTCCAGCCAAGTCTCACAGTCACAGTGCTGTTGAAGGGCGGTGGAAGCCAGCCCAGGCCTTGGCAGAGCACACGCCGGCCCCTGTACTCAGCTGTGTGGTGGCTGCAGGAGGTGGAGGAGGGTGGCTGAAATGGGCCTTCGGATCCCCCTGGGAGGAAGTGGAGCTTCTGGCTGGTGATGATCCAAGCCAAGGTTATTGGGAGTGTTGACAGAAGGCCCCCTCATCACATGACAGTGACAGTGCAGTGCCAGTGGTCTCAGCCACCATCGCTACTCCTGTGTTCTGTGCCTTGTGCTGGGCTCTAGGGATCACAGACAAAGGAAAAACGGCTCATGCCTCTAAGCTCCTGTGTTACAGATTGCTTTGAGATTGGGGCGGTTTTGATTTTTTTTTTTTTTTTTTGAGATGGAGTCTCGCTCTGTCGCCCAGGCTGGAGAGCACTGGCACGATCTTGGCTCACTGCAAGCTCCACCTCCTGGGTTCCAATGATTCTCCTACCCTAGCCTCCTGAGTAGCTGGGACTACGGCCCGCACCACCACGCCCTGCTGGTTTTTGTATTTTTAGTAGAAATGGGGTTTCACCATATTGGCCAGGCTGGTCTCAAAGTCCTGACCTCATGATCTGCCTGCCTCGGCCTTCCAACGTGCTGGGATTACAGGCCTAAGCCACTGCGTCTGATGATAGTTTTGATTTTTTTGATAGTGGCCTTTGCTTCTTTTTTTAAGTTTTATAAGTGAGTGCTGAGAAGTCAATGCCAGGGGCTCTGGATTTATCGATTGCGTGTGTGTGCGTGTCTTTGAATTTTAACAAGGCTGGCCATATGCTGCAGGTTAATTCCCCACGTGGATGCAACTTTCCCTCCCTTCCTGGCCGTGGGAGACTCTGGGTCTTGTCCCATGAGAGATGCACCATCCGTCCTCGTCACAACATGGCACACAGGTGAGATCGATGCCTCTGGGCTTTGGTGTGATTCTGCTGTTGTTTGCTCCCAGGTGTCTTGGCTGGGCATGACAACCGCGTCAGCTGCCTGGGCGTGACTGACGATGGCATGGCTGTGGCGACAGGGTCCTGGGATAGCTTCCTCAAGATCTGGAACTAACGCCAGTAGGTAATGCAGCAGCCCAAATGCCCTTCTCTGAGGAGAACTGTGCGTGTTTCTCATAGAACATTTGAAGTTGTCATTAACGGTTTCTAGATAAATGTTGATGTAGCATTGATTTGGAATTGTGTTGTGGGAAACGTTTACAGAAAGCTGAAGTCACGTGCCCTCAGCTGCAGACACTCATGCAGTGATGGGAAGAGCAGTGACCTGGCTGTGCGTCTGCACTTAGATTCTCTGCCTCTTTTCACATTTCTTTAAACTCTGTTTAAAACAGCATGTGGATGCCATGGAGACTGGAAGACCATTCCAACTTGGACGCGTTACCATGAGAGCATATCCTATCCAACCGTACTAACGTGGACACCCTACACCTCCCCTCAGAACTTCAAAAGGGCAAGATCTTTTTTCCTTCACTTATTGCTGAAACCAAGAGCACAATTCCCATTGAGAGAAAGATCTCTGTGCTGTAAACTAAAACAAATTGTGCATTCCTTCCGGGGCCATCGTCTTTGTTTTCTTTTTTGTCTTGAATGAATTTTAAAAGGAAATATATAATAAAAATGTTAACCAGAAGGTAAACTTGAGTGTAATTGTCAGACAGACACACTTTTCCACCAGTGTATTTGAATTTTAGACCAGTGACCCTGTTTTGTGGCATTCATGCAAAACATGCTGAGGGCTTTGTTCATCTGGTCATCGTGTCCAAATTTCAGTCATGTTTGTAGCAAGATTTTGGAAGCATTCATATTTCCTTTTTAAAATGTATTCCTTTGTGTTCAACAGTTAATCAAAACCAGAGAGTCTAGGGCAGCCTCTCTGATGTTGTCAATGATGTAAATTCAGTCCCTGGTTTTTAATTTTCTGTCTGATGTCACAGATCATTGTTGCACACAAACGTGGCATAGAAAAGAACATGTTCAGAAGCCATGGGGCCAAGCACATGCGGGGACGGTCTCAAATGCGTGATCAGAGAATCCTTCACCTTTGCTGAAAAGTGAGCTCAGATCCAGCACCATGTTCCTCCTGACCCATCCTGTCTATCTTCTCAGTTGAGTTTTTAATCTCACTTTGGGTTTCCTTGTGAAGTTGGAGGGAAGTTTATAATAGCCTAACACTACCCCACCCCCAACTAGGAGGAACCTCTGTTTTCAAGAGAGATGCCTGTCCTGTGCTTGGATAGTCAGTCAATTATTTGTGTATGAAACAATGTACAAATCAATGTTTTGAAAATAATGATCTCAGACTTTCTAAGTTAAATTTTAAAAATTTTGATTGTTTGCCATATTGGGTGGGTTTACTCTTAGAATCGCATGCTGTAGAAATGCTCAAAAGTGCATATGGGACTCAGTCCTTAGGTGTTCTTTTTCTTTTAAGAAATAACCTCTTACAGTTGTAACCATTGCGGCTCTGTCCACTTCTCGTTGCTGCTCTGTGGCACATATCGGAAGCAGTACAGCGCGCGGCTCTACACGCTTGGGTAGCGGGATAAGTCACTGTTTTCTTTATTTCTTTAAAAAAAAAAAAGTTCTGTTGCAAACGACTGCTGTTGGATTCTGAGGGTGGGGAGGGAGAGAGAGGGAGGGAGAGGGAGTGAAGAGCCTGCCCTCCTATATGGATTCTTCAGGGCCCTCCACATCTGAGGTGGCTCATTCCCATCACACACAGATTGTCCTGGTGTTCATTTCAAGGCCAGTGTTCAGCAGCAGCGTTTGGAAAGCAGGTTCTGTGGGACCCCCCGCCCCGCCCCCCGCACTCCTTCATAGCAGCAGTAGTGGCTTCTCCATCCTGTTTTCTGCAACATTCTATACAAAACTGTGCTGTGACCTTGCGGTAGGCCTGGATCTGGCAAAGAGAATACAAATGAAACCCCTTCTTTCTCTTTCCGTCCAACAACTCTGTAGAGCTCTCTGCACCCTTACCCCTTTCCACCTTTTGTATTTAATTTTAAAGTCAGTGTACTGCAAGGAAGCTGGATGCAAGATAGATACTATATTAAACTGTACTGTTATTTAAGATGTAATAAAGCAGTTTGACATGAGGGACTTTGGTGTGGTGATTATTTACGGGTCCACTTCCAGTTTGCAACGCGCCCGCTTCCCTAAGCTGTCCCTGTTGCTGTGAGGTCTGACGGGCCTGCTCATGCCAGGCGGTGCCATGGCCGCCACCACGTCACAGAATCCATGAGTGGCGCATTGGCTCCTCGGAGGGGTTCCTGGGAAGCTCCACCTCACAGGCCAGCAGAGCAGGGAGGTCCACCTGCCATCGCCCAGACCCCTCCCCAGGCATAGGCCTTGCCCACAGCACCGTGGGAGTCTCCACAGGCGGCTGCCTTGCCTTTCTCCTCTGCCATTTCCCTCCCTTAGAATGTCTGAGGATGTTACTCCAGAGACTAGCTTTCCTTGGGACTGAACTGAGTGTTCCTCTTGGTCTGAATATAAAGAACTGCATCTAGTAAGAAAAAAATGAGCACTGGCCATGGTAGTGTGGAAAACCATGGCTGTGTGTGTCCCAAATAGCCGCTCCTAGGCTCCAGAACCATCCACTTCCCTGCTTTCCAAACTGGTGATTTTTTAAAATCTTAAATAGGCAATACAAAATTAGCTGGGCATGGTGGCACACGCCTGTAATCACAGCTACTCTGGAGGCTGAGGCAGGAGAATGGCATGAACCCGGGAAGGCGGAGTTTGCAGTGAGCCAAGATCGCACCACTGCACTCCAGCCTGGGTGAGAGAGCAAGACTGCCTCTCAAAAAAAAAAAAAAAGTAATTTTTTAATTCCCATGGCTCCAGCAGCTGGAACTTTTTTTTTTTTTCTCCCTTGATGTGGAGTCTCGCTCTGTGGCCCAGGCTGGAGTGCAGTGGCGCTATCTCAGCTCACTGCAACTTCTGCCTTCTGGGTTCAAGTGATTCTCCTGCCTCAGCCTCCCAAGTAGCTGGGATTACAGGCACGTACCACGACGCCCCGCTAATTTTTTTTTTTTTTTTTTTTTGAGACGGAGTTTCGCTCTTTTTTGCCCAGGCTGGAGTGCAATGGTGCGATCTCAGCTCACTGCAACCTCCACCTCCCAGGTTCAAGCGATTCTCCTGCCTCAGCCTCCTAAGTAGCTGGGATTACAGGCGCCTGCTACCATGCCCAGCTAATTTTTTGTATTTTTAGTAGAGACAGGGTTTCACCATGTTTGCCAGGATGGTCTCGATCTCCTGACCTTGTGATCCACCCACATCAGCCTCCCAAAGTGCTGGGGTTACAGGTGTGAGCCACCGCGCCTGGCCCAGATGCCCGGCTAATTTGTTGTTGTTTTTTGAGATGGAGTCTCGCTCTTGCCCAGGCTGGAGTGCAGTGGCGCGATCTCGGCTCACTGCAAGCTCTGCCTCCTGGGTTCACGCCATTCTCCTGGCTCAACCTTCCGAGTAGCTGGGTCTACAGGTGCCCACCACCACACCCGGCTAATTTTTGTATTTTTAGTAGAGACGGGGTTTCACCATCTTAGCCAGGATGGTCTCCATCTCCTGACCTTGTCATCCGCCCTCCTCAGCCTCCCAAAGTGCTGGGATTACAGGCCGAGCCACCGCACCCAGCCAAACTTTTTCCTAGTAAGTGAAGAAGGCTCTCAGCAGAAAGTACCTGTAGGCCCCCTCCTCCCCTGGGCACCAGAGAACCCAGCAGCCCCTCCTCTAGGCTGGCAGTCCCTGGCCGGAGAGGCTCCCATAGGGCACTTGGGATTCACGGAGCAGGGCCCAGCCGCCCTGCTCCAGGCAAGGTGCTGGGTGTGTTTCTGACGCCACCAAGGGTGCCCATCTGCCAGCACTGCAAGTGACACTATGGCGTTGTCTCCCTGGTGGGGTGACCTGGTGCTGTTTTAGGCTGCTGAAGTGGGTGTGATTGGCAGGCTGAACGGGGTGGGCTCGCCTGGCTTCGTCATCCCCCACTTTTCCCTGAAATAAATCAGTTCTTCATAGACATGCAAGTTCTTCACAAGCCCTAACCCTGCCAGCTGTCTTACAAAAACCCCACTTAAAATCACTAGAGAGTTGAACTTGTCTTGGAGGCGTCAAAAGAAAAAAAAAATTAAAAATTAAATGCAGAGAGTACCTGAGGCTCTTTCCTGGCTGGCAGTTCCTGGGAGGGAGGGGCTCCAGCAGCCGGGAGGCAGGGTGCCGGCCTGCAGTGGCCTATCTTGGTCCCTGCCCAGAGTAAATAAAGGCCGAGCATCTCAGCACGGCTGCCACACCCCCGACTCCACTTCCTCCCTTTGGGGATTCCTGTTGGCTTCTGTGTCCTAGCCTGGCACCCCGCAGACTGAGGGAGCTGGCATGTGGGACCTGGGACCCTCTGGTGCCCCTTCCCCTTGGCTTTGGCCTGGAAGAGCCAGAGCTGAGGGGGACCCCTCCCTGGGGCGGCCTGCCTGTCCCTTGGCGGGCATGGAGGCCACTGCCCCACTTTCTTAGCAAAACAGGAAATGAAAACGGGCGCCAACAACGTGCACTTGGACAGCGGCACTGACTAAGGCAGTGTGGAAAGAGGAGGATAATTCCACACTGGCTGAGTGAACTGCAATCATTTTCAAACTGTAGGCACAGAAATCTAGTTTGTAGATTGCATTAGCCTGGCCTATGCAGGAGCAGCGCCCTTTGTCGCCAGCAGCTCCGCGGTGTGGGGGCCCCTGGCGCGCTTCCTGTGTCCGGGTCACCTGGCTCCGCCCCGCTTGCGCGGGCGCACCTGTCGCAGGTGGACACAGGCAGTGGAGTGACCTGCAGCTCGCTCCGGCTGTGGGCTGTTCCTGCAGGGCCTCGGACCTCCTTTGACCAAGCGGCGCGGGGTCGCCCCTGTGCTCCATGTCCCAGGGATGGAGGTTCCCCACCTCAATTTTACTCTAGCACGTGGCACGCACGTCCACACTTGAGCAGGACAAGGTTTCCGTTCTGTCCCCTCCGTGTCACGCACCTAGCAGAGGCTGGCCCTCAGCAGGATGCGTGGGGAGGCGCGCTCTGCCCACGCGAAACGGGGACACTTCAGCGGCCTGGCGCGGCCCCCCGCTCCCCCCCGAGCCGGACCTGGGAGCCTGAGTGACTGGGGCCAATAGAAGGGCCGGCCGGGAACCGAGCGCTCCCGGGAAAGGCCGCCTCGGCCCCTCCCACTACTCTCTGGCCTCGCCCTGTCCCCTACCCCCACCCCCCAGCTCCCTTTCCTCGCTGGGTGACCTTGAGCAAGTTACTTGGCCTCTCTGTGCCTCTGGCCCCCGCGTGAAAAATGTGGACAATAAACGTACCAGGCTGTGGCCGGGCGCTGTGGCTCACGCCTGTAATCCCAGCACTTTGGGAGGCCGAGGTGGATGGATTACCTGAGATCAGGAGTTCAAGACCAGCCTGGCCAACATGATGAAACCCCGTCTCTGCTAAAAATACAAAAAATGAGCCGGGTTCAGTGGTGTGCGCCTGTAACTCCAGCTCTGGAGGCTGAGGCAGGAGAATGGCTTGAACCCGGGAGGCGGAGCTTGCAGTGAGCTGAGATCATGCCACTACACTCCAGCCTGAGCTACAGAGCGAGACTTCGTCTTATACTAGGCTGCTTGGTAAGGATCTTGTGAGGACACAGGGAGTCCCAGTCCTGCCAGGTGGTTACTGTTGATGATCCCCGCCCACTCTAGGCTCTCACCACTTCAGGGTCCTGGTCCTTGCTGCTGCCTCTGCCTGAGAGAGAAACACTTGTCCCTGGGTACCTTGGTCAAAACTGTACCCCAACCCCTGCCTGCCCCCACCAATTCTGCTTCTTGCCCGTCTGCCCCACTAGAAGGTGAACACCTGATGGACTTTGGTTTCCACTGTTGAATCCTCAGTATGCCCTGCACATGGCTGGCATCCTGGGAAAGAGGTTGCCCCTCGCCCCAAACCAGGCCAAACAGAAGACTGTCATGTGAGCAGATCCAGACACTGGCCCCTGCAGACGCCCCTATCCTGGCTTTCAGCCTGGGCAGGGCCTGTGCCGGGTGCTGGCTGGAGGCTGGATGAGATGACCAGATAGCCTGCCATACTGATGTCCTTCACTGGGAGCCTCAGTCCTTCCCAGTCATCCTTTCCCCAGGCTCCAGGCCACTTACCCTTGTGGGTTCTGGGCAGACTTCGTTCACCCAGTTTACTGGAGCCAGGCCACCTGAAGCCAACTTCCCTCTCTCCTCAGCCTCCCCAGGAGCAACCTGTACCCCAGTGCACCCCATCCTGCTCCATCCCTCATGGCCTCCGTTCCCCCTTCTCCCTCCACCCTCCCCATCCCTGCTGACCCCCAGAAGAGGATGGGTCCAGGTTTTGGGGGTTCTGAAGTAAACAACATGGGAGCCATCCTTAAAGAATACAAAAAACAATGCGAAATTATGTGAAGAGTCCACTGCCACCTTGAGCAATGGCAGCCCTGGGGCTGAGGAAGGTCAGGGCAGGGGATGCCACCCACTGCTGCCCCATCCCTGGGGCCTGGTCAGGCAGGAGGGGGCCTTTCCTGACCCCCAATCCCTTGAAGGCAGAGCCTCTTCCTGTGCACCATCTGGCAGAAGCCCCCATGATAGCCCTGGACCCTTCTGTTCCTGCTGCGGGAACATCTCTTCCCTTTGGTCTCAGCCCAAGCAAAGCTGCCTCTTGGACCATTCTGGGTGCCCTAAGGAGCCTTCCCAGCTTTGGTCTTAGTTATTGCTGGCCAGGCCTGGGGTGAGGTGTGGGTGTGAGATCTTGGCCCCTGAATCTTCAAGGTCATATCCGGGGCCTGCCCTGAGAAATTGCACAACCTGTCAGCTGAAGGAAACCACAGCCCTGGTTTTGTTTTCTCATCTCTGAAACAGGGAAGCTCTCCTGCAGGCAGTGCCCAGGCCCAGGGTAGACAAAGGGTTTTCATGCCACAGACGGGGCAGCTGCTGGAGCTCCCTACACAGCGGGACACGCGAAGGGCACCTGCTGTGTGACCTGGGGCCCACGACAGTCACTGGTTGCCTCTGCAGAAGCAGTTGACTGCCTCCACTCTAGAAGATTCTACTGAGGCCTGGCTCAGTGCCTGGCTTGTGGGTGCGCCATCTAGATCAAGCATTATTATGCTAATGATCATATGCAAAAACTCAGCTCACGCATTATTATGTTAATGATCTTATCCGCCCCCTCTCCCCCCGCCAAAGAAAAAGAACTGGGCAGCTCAAGGCCGCTTCTGTGGGTGTGGCTGGTGGTCACTTTGAAACAGTTGGGTTTGCAAAATAACCCCGGGAGAAGTTACAGAGCTTAAGAAATCCCCCAAGTTCTCATGATCCTTGCTTCCCTTTCCAGTCACCCTTGGTGCCCTGTACTTCACTGTGGTCCTGAACTGAAGAGCTGTGTTTTTCAGGAAGACTTGGCCAGGCCGTGTTCCGTGTCTCTGGATTCAAGTCCCAGGAGTCCTGACCAGAGAGCAGGTATGCGGGTGTGGGGAAGGGCTGCAGAGGACTCAGGTCCACACCGACCCTGGGCCAGGTGATCACACAGAAAGTATAGACAGGGACTGAACCTCAGAAAACAATGGCTGGGCCAGGTGCAGTGGCTTACGCCTATAATCCTAGTACTTTGGGAGGCCGAGGCGGGTGAAGTTTGAGACCCAGCCTGGGCAAAATGGTAAAACCTCATCTCTACACACACACACACACACACACACAAATATATATATATATGAATGAAGTAGTCGAGTGTGGCGGGACCTACTTGTAGTCCCAACTACTAGGGAAGCTGAAGTGGAAGGATCGCTTGCACCTGAGAGGTCAAGGCTGCAGTGAGCCGTGAGCCCGCCACTGGACTCCGGCCTGGGGGACGAATGAGACACTATCTCAGAAAAACAAAACAATGTCTGGCACCTGGGGGACCAGCAGGTTAGAGCAGCTGGTCGTGCATTGCCAGTTTACCTGACAGTGACTCGAGAGCTGAGAACTGGGTATAGGGCACATTATTGGGATATTTGAGGCCTGAAGGCGCTGATGAGCAGCCACCAGTTCAGCAAGTGCGGGCTGGGTGGGACCCGCAGTTCCAACAAACACTACAAAGTCCGCTCCTGTGGCTTTGGCCTCCTCCCCCAACTCCCCGAGTCCTCCAGCCTGTGGGGTGCGCAAAACACGGCTCCCTGGTCCCCCTAGAGGTGCCCCAGGCCACCGGGTCCTCCCTCCACTGCCAGCCTTGGGATCCCAAGCGTAGACCTCTGAGGACGTTCGTGGGCGTGCAAGGCGCACCTGGCCGCTAGAGGTGGGCGTGAGGCCGATCGCGGTTCCCCCAGGCGCAGGGCCGCCCTCCCAGCCCCGACGGACAGCCCCGAGGGAGCGCAGCGCTGCCGCAGCTGCTCTAAGTTTCGGTTCCCAAATCCGGCTCGGCCCACACCGTGTCACAGCCCGGTAATTAGGGAAGCGGCGGCGGGCGGGGCCAGCTCTCGCGGGGCACCTGCACTCCCCTGAGCCGGCCCACGTGGTCCGGGAGGTCCCGCCCGCGGTGGCGGTGAGTTGGGGGCGGGACGCCGGGCTGGGATCACAATGTCGGGGGCGCCTAGGCGTAGACGTGGCGGGCGGACCCGGGGGCGCCCTCCGGACGCGGCAGGTGAGTGGGGACGGGAGCCGGGGGCCGCCCTCCTCGGGGCGCCGACCCCCGCCTACCCGAGTCGCGGACGCCCGCCCCTGTCCCCGCTGCCCGCCTCCACTCCCTGGTCACTGCTCTCCACCGCGATTCGCCCCTCTTCCCCACCGCCCGCCTCTTTCCCGCCACGCCCGCCGCCTCCCGCCCGCGCGGGGTGTCCCGGCGCCGGTGGGACCCGGCAGACGCGCGGGACGCCCCACGTGCGCGGCAGCGCGCATGCGTGGCGGGTGCGCCTGCGCAGTGGGCGGGCGCGGCGCATTGCTGCTCGGCGGCGCCGGCGCCGGGGTCCGGGCGGCCATGGGGCAACAGGCGGCCAGGGCGCCAAGGGCCAGGTAGCGACGGCTGGCGGCGGCGCGGCGGCGGGGCCTGCGGGCTCGGTCCGGCATGTAGACGCCCCCGCAGGCGCCCGCGGCAGCGAACGGTGAGTGAGCAGACCCGGCCTGCCGTCCGCCTGGGGTCGCCCGCTGCCTGGGGTCATCGCTGCCCGCGAGCGCGCGGCCAGGCGGGGAGACACCAGGCCGGCCCTGCCCATCTGGCCTGCTGAGGAGGCCGTGGAAGTGCTGACGGGCCACCGCTCCGTCCCGAATGGGGCACCAGCACGGCCCAGGGCGAGGCTCGGCCTTGGGGACGGGTCTGAGGGAGGCCGCTGTCCGGCCTGGCTCTCCCGGGCGGGGAAGGTGGGGCCGTCCAGCCCGGACCGCGCTTGTCAGTCGCCTCTGCTTGGGCGGCCAGGTCCTCGGTGTCCGGCCTTCCGTGGGTGGTTTCAGCAAGCAGGAGGGGTCTTTGACTCGTGAAAGCTTAGAGGGGCCCAAACCTAGTGGGAAAGTATGAATAAAAGATTCTATACAGCAGTATTGGCATGGAATTCTCTAAAAACACATCTCTGATTTAGTGCCCAGTACTTGCCAGAAAATTCCAATAGTCTATGGTGATGTTCCTACAGGCGGCTGCCATCCAGTAGGTCAGATGTCAGCACCGGCCTTGAGCTCTAGGTCGTCGTTTTTTTTCTTAATTGTGGGAACAGGGCGTGCCCAGCTCCGAAGGCCTGGTGGAGTTTTCCTTCCCAGGCCAAGGACCACCCCCACCCTCCCATCCCTCCTCCCCAAGCAATGAGATTCCTTTTGGCTTCGATTCCGAGTAACAAGTTATTTTTCCTTTCTTGTTTTGGAACACACTAAGTTTTACATTCAAAAGTTCATTATTCTTGGCTCTTGATGGGAATACATTTCAAAACTCTTCTCTTCTTGTGTTCCATGTCTCTCTGACAGCCTTAGTTGGCCTGAAACTGACATGTTTGCCTTAATAAGTTTTTTTTTCCTCCTGATGTCATCTTGTCTAAGAAGCTAGTTACTTTAACACCTTGTTAGATAATTCCCTTCAAGTACTTATTCCCCTGAACATTGTCCTCTCAAGCCTCTGGAAATTTCCTGTCCCCTTGGAACTTCTCTGTAAGGCCTGTTTGCTCTCAGCAGTGACTTCACTGGGACTTTTGCAGCCACTTTATGGTGTTAGCACGCTGATTCCAAGCTACTTGAGGAATCACAGGTGCCACCGCAGTACCCAACAAAATAGCTTCATCATTTGGAGGTGTCCTCTCGAGATGTTTCTGTGTGTATATGTGTGTGTATGTTAGAAACAGGGCCTCACTCTGTCCTCCAGGCGTGTTTATGGTGGCATGATTATAGCTCACTGTAACCTCAAATTCCTGGGCTCAATTGATCCTCCCACCTCAGCCTCCTGAGTAGCTGGGATTACAGGCCTGCACCACCACACCTAGCTGATTTATAAAATTTTTTGTAGAGATAGAGTCTCACTGTGTTGTCCAGGCTAGTCTCAACCTCCTGGCCTCAAGAGATCCTCCTGCCTCCACTTCCCAAAGTGCTGATCTTACAGACGTAAGCCACTTTGACCAGTCTTTTTTTTTTTTTTTTTTTTTTAAGACAGAGTCTAGCTCTGTTGCCCAGGCTGGAGTGCAGTGGCACAATCTCGGCTCACTGCAACCTCCACCTCCCGGGTTCAAGTGATTTTCCTGCCTCAGCCTCCTGAGTAGCTGGGATTACAGGCGCCCACCACCACGCTCAGCTAATTTTTGTATTTTTAGTAGAGACGGGTTTCACTGTGTTGGCCAGGCTTGTCTCGAACTCCTGACCTCGTGATCAGCCCACCTTGGCCTCCCAAAGTGCTGGGATTACAGGTGTGAGCCACCACAGCTTGCCTCACTTGGACCAGTCTTTTTGTTTGTTTGTTTCATTTGAACTTGGAGGTGGGTTTATGTTGTTTCAGTTGGCAGCCTGCTGTTTGGTTCCAAAACAGCATTTTCTTCTTGAAACAACTGCTGTCAGCAGTTAGATTTCCAGGCTAGCACAAAAACCTGTTTGACTCATAAATCCTTGTAGTGAGGGTGTCCCAGAAAGTTGGCCAAGTCAAGAGCAGTTCTTGTGGAGTGGAGGCGGTGAACAAATAGGGGGAAAGTGGCGCTCGTGATGAAAACGGAAAACAATAGTTGATTTTATTGAGCTTCACGCTTGAGGAAATGTAGGTCTCACTTGGAAAATTAAGAGGCAGGTGGGTGTTTGCGGGACTCGACGGCCTTGCATCTGGATTACCTCCAGTCTGCAGGTGTGGTAGGATGACAGCAAGAGGGAGTGTTGAGCACACAAGCCCAGCACTTGGGGGGAGGCTGTGTCATGGCAGGAAGGTACAGGGCCTCCTCCAGCAGCTCCACTTTCTA
Organism: Homo sapiens; assembly: GCF_000001405.40. NCBI lineage: Eukaryota > Metazoa > Chordata > Mammalia > Primates > Hominidae > Homo > Homo sapiens. Next base: position 1,775,978 of record NC_000001.11, on the reverse strand, counting down.
GTCCGTATATACCTGTTGACAGTCACCGCCCAGCTTCAGCCGTTCTGGACAAGTGGGTGTCAGTAATGCTTTAGCTTGTAACCCCAGGATTTCATTTCTACTCTCTGTGCTGGTGGCTTATCATTTGCAATCTTTCCTGGCCCACAATTGCAAAGGTCCTAGCATTCATGCATGGGAATGGGGAAGTGAATAAAATGTGTGTGTGTGCTTCAGACAGATGGTGAAAAGTGTTCAGAGAAAAAGCGAAATTGAGGCAGATGGGATGTGAGGATGCCACGCACACTTTGTGCAACTGAAGAGGGAGGTGATGCCTGGCCTTCCCATTCAGAACTGCCCAGACCCCTGTTTTCTTCATCTGCCCCTAAGTAGGTGGAGCCACATCTAAAGAAAGCCCCCTTCAGACCTGTAATCTGCTTAGGTTTAATGAGGTCACAGGGTGAAGCCCTGTGGTCACATGGCTGTAGCACTTTCCAGAAAGTCTTTCTCAGTTTGTATACTGCCAGTGTGCATGCCAGCACTGGGCATTATTTACCGGGGTGAGATGAGATGGGTAATTTAGTGGGCAGTAAGTTTTTTCCCACTCAGGGTTGAGGTTGAATGTTTCCCCATTTCTGTCACTAAATAAATTTTCCTTTTTCATTTAGTCTTGCAACAAATATTGATTGAGTTCTTACATGGGAACGAACTCGTGTATTATGTTTGTATTTGTGTGTGTGTGACTTTTGTTCATGTTCTTTGCACATTTATTTATTGGCATCTTAATGTTTTCCTTGCTACTTTGTATAAGTTCGTTATGAATATTTTCTTATTGTGCTCTAGTATTTTTTTCTAATAAAACTTCCTAATACAGAGGATTTTTTTTTTTTCTTTGAGGCGGAGTCTCACTCTGTCCCCCAGGCTGGAGGGCAGTGGCGTGATCTCAGCTCACTGCAACCTCTGCCGCCTGGGTTCAAGCGATTCTCCTGCCTCGGCCTCCTGAGTAGCTGGGATGACAGGCGCCTGCCACCGCGCCCAGCTAATTTTTTTTGTATTTTTAGTAGAGACGGAGTTTCACCATCTTGGCCAGGCTGGTGTTGAACTCCTGATGTCGTGATCTGCCCGCCTCGGCCTCCCAAAATGCTGGGATTACAGTCGTGAGCCACCATGCCCGCCCTACAAAGGTTTTTTAAAATTAGATTCATGCTATGAGGAATTTGAATGCACTTTGGTGCAGCTAGCATTGTGTGTCCTTTTAAAGCAGTTAATATATCAAACAAATGAATTAAGTGTCAGTCCTGACTCACCCTTGTCAAAAAATACAGTGGTGACCGCGCACGGTGGCCACGCCTGCAATCCCAGCACTGTGGGAGGCCGAGGCACAATGGTGGCCGCGCGCAGTGGCCACGCCCGTAATCCCAGCACTGTGGGAGGCCGAGGCATAATGGTGGCCGTGCGCGGTGGCGACGCCTGCAATCCCAGCACTTTGGGAGGCCAAGGCGGGCGGATCATCTGAGGTTGAGAGTTTGAGACCAGCCTGACCAACATGGAGAAACCCCTCCATGTTGGAGAATTAAGAGGCAGGTCTCCACTAAAAATACAAAATTAGCTGGGCGTGGTGGCGCACACCTGTAGTCCCAGCTACTTGGGAAGCTGAGGCAGGAGAATTGCTTGAACCTGGGAGGCAGAGTTTGCGGTGAGCCGAGATCGCGCCACTGCACTCCAGCCTGGACAACATCAGCGAAGCTCCATCTCAAAAAAACAAAAAATACACTGGTTGTGGTATTGGAGATACTTGTTAAATATATATATATGTGTGTGTGTGTGTGTATATATATACACACACACACATACATAGGTGAAGATAATTGTTTAAAGTTGGTTTTAATATTTAATATTATTTTATAAATTAGTTTACTGCTTAGTCATCAAATTGATCTTCGCAAATAAATATGAACAGAGCTTCTAGGCTGGGTGCAGTGGCTCATGCCTGTAATCCCAATGCTTTGGGAGGTCAACACAGGAGGGCCACCAGAGCCCAGGAGTTCAAGGTCAGCCCGTTCAAGGTAGCGAGACCCTGTCTCTACAAAAAATTTAAAAATTAGCTGGACATAGTGGCTCATGCCTGTAGTCTCAGCTACATGGGAGGATCCCTTAAGCCTGGGAGATTGAGGCTGCAGTAAGCTGTAATTGCACCACTGCACTCCAGCTTAGGTGACAGAGCAAGACCCTACCTCTCAGTCTCTCAATATCTCTATTTCTCTCTCTCTCTCACACACACACACACACACACACACACACACACACACACACACACACACACACAAAATAGAGCTTCTAGGTAATGTAGCAGTAATAATACATTTTTTTTAACATTTTGTGATTTTGATTTGTTTATTTTTTATTAATGTTTTTGTAGAGACGGGGTCTTGCTGTGTTGCCCAGGCTGGTCTCCAATTCCTGGCTTCAGGTGATTCCCCTGCTTCGGCCTCCCAAAGTGCTGGGATTACAAGTGTGAGCCACTGTGTCTGACCTTTATTAACTGTTTATTTTGAAATAATTGGCTGGGTGCGGTGGCTCACACCTGTAATCCCAGCACTTTGGGAGGCCGAGGCGGGCGGATCACCTGAGGTCAGGAGTTTGAGGACCAACCTGGTCAACATGGTGAAACCCCATCTCTACTTAAAATACAAAAATTAGCCGGGTGTGGCGGCGGGCACCTGTAATCCCAGCTACTCAGGAGGCTGAGGCAGGAGAATTGCTTGAACCCTGGAGGCAGATGTTGCAGTGAGCCAAGATTGCGCCATTGCACTCCAACATGGGGGACAAGAGCGAGACTTCGTCTGGGGAAAAAAAAAATAATCATAGACTAATTCATAGGAAGTTGTAAAAATAGTACAGAGAGACCCCTGTGCCCTTCACCAGCTCCCTCTGTGTTAACATCTTTTTTTTTTTTTTTTTGAGATGGAGTTTGGCTCTTGTTGCCCAGGCTGGAGTGCAATGGCGTGATCTCAGCTCACCGCAACCTCCCCCTCCCAGGTTCAAGTGATTCTCCTGCCTCAGCCTCCCGAGTGGCTGGGATTACAGGCATGCGCCACCACGCCGGGCTGATTTTTTGTATTTTTAGTAGAAACGCGGTTTCTGCATGTTGGTCAGGCTGGTCTCAAACTCCTGACCTCAGGTGATCCGCCCGCCTTGGCCTCCGAAAGTGCTGGGATTACAGGCATGAGCCACCATGCCCGGCCCTTGTGTTAACATCTTACACCTCCATACACCTCCATAGTACAATATCAAAACCAGGGAATTGAAATACTGCTAACTAAACTATAGACCTTATTCAGGTTTCACCAGTTTTACATGTGTGTATGGCTCTATGCAGTGTTACCTCTTAAATTAATTATATAACCACTAGCAAGACACAGAACTGGTCTTGAACTCCTGGACTCAAGCGATCCTCCCGCCTCGGCCTCCCAAAGTGCTGGGATTACAGGCACAAGCCACCACACCCAACTGTATTTTAATTTTCTTAACAGTGTTTTGGCTAGGCACAGTGGCTCATGCCTGTAATCCAAGCACATTATGATGCTGAGGCAGAGAGATTGCTTGAGCCCAGGAGTTCGAGGTCAGCCTGGGCAACATGGCAAAACCTCATCTCTACAAAAAAATACAAAAATTAGTCAGGCATGGTGGTGCATGCTTGTAGTCCCTGGTACTCAGGAGGCTGAGGTGGGAAGATTGTCTGAGCACAGTAGGTAGAGGCTACAGTGAACCATGATTACATCACTGTACTCCAGCCTGGGGACAGAGTAAGACCCTGCCTAAAACAGGAAAAAAAAAAAAAATTCAGGGTTCCATTAAGTATAAAAGATTTTAAACACCACTAAGACTTTTTCCAGCTGGGTGAGGTGGCTCACGCCTGTAATCCCAACACTTTGGAAGGCCAAGGTGGGAGGATCACTTGAGACCAGGAGTTTGAAACCAGCCTGTGCAACATAGGGAGACCCCATCTCCACCAAAAAAAAAAAAAAATTTCCAGGTGTGGTGGTGCATGCCTGTAATCCCAGCTACTTGGGAGGCTGAAGTGGGAGGATTGCTTGAGCCTGGAAGGTTGAGGCTGCAGTGAGCTGAGATCACACCACTGTACTCCAGCCTGGGCAACAGTGGGAGATCCTGTCTCACAAAAAGACAAAAAAAAAAAAATTTCCAGTGCTTTCTTCTAAAAAGTTTCATAGTTTTAGTCCTCACATTTAGGTCTATAATCCATTCTGAGTTAATATTTGTATGTAGTATGAGGAAGTGGTTGGGCTTCGTTCTTTTAGACGTGGCTGTCCAGTTGTTCAGAACTATTAGGTGAAAAGATGATCCTCCTCATGTTGAATCACCTCAGCACCTGTCAAAAATTCATGGACTGCATGTGTGTGAGGGTCTGTGGCGTCTACCTTTGGGCTGGCCGTCCTGTTTCCTTGATGTGTATGTCCGTCTTGATGCTGCCACGCTGTCTGGTTCCCGTAGTTTTTCAACAAGTCATGAACTTAGCCCTTCGCGTTTGTTCTTGTTCAAAGTTTTTTCAGCTGGTCTAGATACTTTACATTTTCATGTGAATTTTATCAGCTTGTCCTTTCCTTTAGAGAAGCCTGCTTGGCTTTTGATGGTTGTGTTTGGGTAACATTTGCAGATCAATTTGATGAGAACTAAGATCTCAATATTGAGTCCTCCAATCCATGAACATGGTATGTCTCTCCATTTATTTAGGTTTCCTTTCATCTCTGTCAGCAATATTTTGTAGTTTTCAGTGTGCAGTTCTGACATGTCTTTTGCCAAATATATCCCCACATATTTTATATTTTTAATGCTATTATAGATCATATATATGTATATATATTTTAATAAGATATATATTTTTAATAATATATGTGTGTGTGTGTGTATATATATATATATATATATTTTTTTTTTTTTTATAAGATGAAATCTCACTCTTGTTACCAAGGCTGCAGTGCAATCTCGGCTTACTGCAACCTCCACCTCTCAGGTTCAAGTGATTCTCCTGCCTCAGCCTCCCAAATAGCTGGGATTACAGGCATGTGCTACCATGCCTGCCTAATTTTTTATATTTAGTAGAGACAGGGTTTCACCATGTTGGTCAGGCTAGTCACAAACTCCTGACCTCAGGTGATCCCCACCCACCTCGGCCTCCCAGTGTTGGGATTACAGGCGTGAGCCACCACACCCAGCTGTAAATTATATTGTTGTTATTATTATTATTATTTTGAGACAGAGTCTCTCTCTGTCACCCAGGCTGGGGTGCAGTGGTGCGATCTCCGCTCACTGCAAGCTCTGCCTCCTGGGTTCACACCATTCTCCTGCCTCAGCCTCTTGAGTAGCTGGGACTACAGGCACCCGCCACCATGCCCGGCTAATTTTTTGTATTTTTAGTAGAGACAGAGTTTCACCATGTTAGCCAGGATGGTCTCAATTTCCTGTTGTCTATTGCTAGTATATAGAAATACAGGCGATTTTTGTGTATTGAATTTGCCTTCTGAAACCTTGCTAATAAACTCACTTATTTGTTTTTCTACATAGAAATGTCATGTCATCTGCAAGTACAACTTCACTTGTTCCTTTTCTTATTTTGTTTAACAGACCTACATTTCATGCCAAACCTTTTCTGTCACTGTACCTTTTATTTTTTTCTTATGTTATTGCACTGGCTGTGGCCTCTAGTATAGTCCTCAATAGGAGTAGTTATACCAGACATGTTTTTGTAGGTTCTGGTTTTCATTGAATTTTTCATGGTTTTTTTTTCTTTTTTTCTTTTTTCTTTTTATTGAGGCAGAGTCTCACTCTGTCACCCAGGCTGGAGTGAGTGGTGCGATCTCGGCTCACTGCACCCTCCACCTCATAGGTTCCAGCAATTCTCCTGTTCTCCTTCCTCAGCCTCCTGCATAGCTGGAGTTACAGGTGCCCACCACCACTCCAGGCTAATTTTTTTGTTTTTGTTTTTGTTTTTGTTTTTGTTTTTGTTTTTGTTTTGAGTGCTGGGATTACAGGCAAGAGCCACTGCTCCCAGCCCTTTTTTTGTATTTTTAGTAGAGACAGGGTTTCACTGTGTTGGTCAGGCTGGTCTCAAACTCCTGACCTCAAATGATCCACCCACCTCGGCTTCCCAAAATGCTGGGATTACAGGTGTGAGCCACCGTGTCTGGCCGAATTTTTCATGTATTTGAATAAAACACTGGTATGTCTTTTTTCTTTTTTTTTTTTTCTTTTCATTTGAGATGGAGTCTTGCTCTGTCGCCCAGGTTAGAGTGCAGTGGCACGATCTCAGCTCACTGCAGCCTCTGCCTCCCAGGTTCAAGGAATTCTCATGCCTCACCCTCTCCAGCAGCTGGAATTACAGGCACGCGCCACCACACGCGGCTAGTTTGTTTTTTGTTTTTTGTTTTTTTTTTGAGACGGAGTCTCGCTCTGTTGCCCAAGCTGGAGTGCCATGGCGCGATATCGGCTCGCTGCAAGCACCGCCTCCTGGGTTCACGCCATTCTCCTGCCTCAGCCTCCTGAGTAGCTGGGAGTGTAGGCGCCCACCACCACGCCCGGCTAATTGTTTTTTGTATTTTTAGTAGAGACGGGGTTTCGCCATGTTGGCCAGGCTGGTCACAAACATCTGACCTCAGGTGATCTGCCCGCTTCGGCCTTCCAAAGTGCTGGGATTACTGGCGTGAACCACCGCACCCAGCCTGTACTTTTAGTCGAGACAGGGTTTCATCATGTTGGCCAGGCTGGTCTTGAACTCCTGGCCTGAAGTGATCCGCCCACCTTGGTCTCCCAAAGCACTGGGATTACAGGCGTGAGCCACCACATCCCGCCTGGTATGTCTTAAGCTAGGGAGATATTGACCCACTGGGACAGTACTGTCAATTCTCGCTAAACATTAGAATCTTCTGGGGAGCTCTTTTAAAGTGCCGGTGCCTGGGCTGTACCTTCAGGTTCTGATCATTCAGTCTGGAGGGCACGTAGGAATTGGTGTTGTTTGAAGCTCCTAAGGTGATTGTAGAATGCAGCCAGAGAGAGAACCAGCTTTTGGGTATTCAGAGAACCCGTTGGCTTTGACCGTAGCATAGGGCCCACAGTCTTGTGTCCATAGTTCCTGAACTTTCCTTCTGCCCACCTTGCCATCATCTCACATATTTTAGTTGTTTTATTTAGGCTGCTGTAACAAAGTGCCACAGGCATGGGGCAGGGGGCGGGTAAACAACAAAAATGTTTGTTCTCAGAGCTCTGGAGGCCAAGAGTCCAAGGTCAGGGTCCCAGCTAATTTGGTTCATCGTAAAGACTCTCTTTCTCACTGTAATGGCCATCTTCTCTGTGTCCCCACATGGCTTTACTTTTGTGCCCAGTGAGGGTGGGAACAGAGGTGAGGAGAGAGCTCTCTGGTGTTCTGTTTTGTTTTTGAGACAGGGTCTCTATTGCCTAGGCTGGAGTGCAACAGCACAATCACAGTTCACTGCAAAACCTCAAACTCCTGGGCTCATTGATCCTCTTGCCGGAGCCTCCAAGTACCTGGGACTGCAGGCATGCACCACTGTGTCCAACTGTTTTTGTTTTGGTTTTGTTTTTGTTTTTGTTTTGTAGAGACAGAATCCTGCTATGTTGCCCAGGCTGTTCCTGAACTCCTGGCCTCAAGTGATCCTCTTACCTCAGCCTCCCAAAGCCCTGGGATTACATGAGTGAGCCACCGTGCCTAGCCTGGTGTCTCTTCTTACAAGGATGCTCATTCTGTCTGATCAGACCCCACACTTATGACCTCATTTTTTCTTTTTTTTTTTTTTTTGAGACGGAGTTTTGCTCTTGTGGCCCAGGCTGGAGTGCAGTGGCACAATCTCGGCTCACTGCAACCTCTGCCTCCTGGGTTCAAGCATTTCTCCTGCCTCAGCGTCCCAAGTAGCTAGGATTACAGGCGCCCGCCACCACGCCCGGCTAATTTTTGTATTTTTTAGGGACAGAGTTTCACTATGTTGGTCAGGCTGGTCTTGAGCTCCTGACCTCAGATGATCTGCCCGCCTCAGCCTCCCACAGTGTTAGGATTACAGATGTGTGCCACCGCGCCCATTTAACTCCTTTCTTAGAGGCCCACCTCCATATTCAGCCACACTGGAAGTTAGGGCTTCAATGTAGGAATTTGGGGGGATTGCTGGGTGGAGTGGCTCACACCTATAGTCCAAGCACTTTGGGAAGCCAAGGCAGGAGGATCACCTGAGCCCAGGAGTTTGAGACCAGCCTAGGCAACACAGAGAGACCTTGTCTCTACAAAATAAAAATAAAAAATAAATTTGGGGAGGACACATTCAGTCCATAATGTCACATTTATCCTTTTTAATGCCAGAATCTACCTTGTCCTCATTAAGATTTATCTTCTTTAATGAGAAGGTATGTTTGGCTTTATTTTGTGTGTTTAGCCTCTGTTGAGTGATTTTTATTGTTTCTGTGCACGGCCCCTCTTCTGTTCTTCTGAAGCTTGTTTTATTCTATTTCTGGCTTTATTGGCTTGAATGCTCAGTTCATGGTTTCCCATGGGCTGTGACCCAGCTTTGATGGGATTGAACCGACCCTGGCAGCCTGTTTATGTCACCTCCAGCTTCTGGGTGTTCCAGATGTTGGGTCTGATCTTCACTTTGATCCCTGGGTTGCTTAAGAGAAAGTTCAGAAACTTCCAAGTGGCTGAGGGCTTTTCTTTGTTTCTATCTCTTCCTGGTTTTATTGTATTGTGGTCAGAAGATGAGGTTCTAGGCTGGGCGTGGTGGCTTACGCCTGTAATCCCAGCACTTCGGGATGCTGAGGCGGGCAGATCATTTGAGGTCAAGAGTTGGAGACCAGCCTGGCCAACATGGTGAAACCCCATCTCTACTAAAAATTCAAAAAAATTAGCTGAGCGTGGTGGCGCACGCCTGTAGTCCCAGCTGCTAGGGAGGCTGAAGCAGGAAAATCACTTGAACCCGGGAAGCAGACGTTGCAGTGAGCTGCGATCACACCACTGCACTCCAGCGTGGGCGACAGAGTGAGACTCTGTCTCAAAAAAAAAAAGATGAGGTTCTAGGCCAGGCATGGTGGCTCATGCCTATAATCCTAGCACTGTGTTGGGAGGCTGAGTTGGGAGGATCACTTGAGGCCAGGAATTGAAGACCAGCCTGGGCAACAGAGCAAGACACCCTGTCTCTACCAAAGGAAAAAAAATTAGCTGGACGTGGTGCTGTACTCCTGTAGTCCCAGCTACTTGGAAGGCTGAGGTGGGATCCTGTCTCAAAAAAAAAAAAAGAAAAAGAAAAAGGGGAAAAAAGGGTGAGGTTTTCTATCCTCACCAGTTTTCTTTGAGGCTTAATATTGGTCAGTTTGGTAAATATTTCATTGGCGCTGAATTCACGATGCAAGGCATGGAGTTCACAACATATCTGCTGGTTCAATTTTATTTGACAGCTTTTCTGGACTAGGGTATTTGAAATTGCACACTTTCTCTCTCATTAATGTGTTGTATTGTTTACGAGAAAAGAGCCTGTCTTTTTTTTTTTTTTTTTTTTTTTTTTTTTTTTTTTTTTTTGAGACGGAGTTTCTTTCGTTCTTGTTGCCCAGGCTGGAGTGCAGTGGCACAATCTCAGCTCACCACAACCTCCGCTTCCCGGGTTCAAGCGATTCTCCTGCCTCAACCTCCCAAGTAGCTGGGATTACAGACATGCGCAACCACGCCCAGCTAATTTTGTAATTTTAATAGAGATGGGGGTTTCTCCATGTTGGTCAGGCTGGTCTCAAACTCCCGACCTCAGGTGAGCCACCGCACCTGGCCAGAGTCTTTCTTTTCTTAAGACAGGGTCTCGCTCATGGGCTACCATGCCCGGCTAATTTTTTTTTTGCTAGAGAAGAGTTCTTTGTTGCCCAGAGTGGTCTTGAACCCCTGGCCTCAACTGATCCTTTCTCTCCAGCCTCCCAAAGTGCTGGGATTACAGGCATGAGCCACCACACCTGGCCACACAGTGTGACTTTCTATTTTGTTCTTTTTTGAAACAATTTTTTTTGTTAATATTATTTTACAGAAAAAATTTTGAGATGAAGTTTCACTCTAGTCACCCAGGCTGGAGTGCAATGGCATGATCTCGACTTACTGCAGCCTCCACCTCCTGGGTTCAAGCGATTCTCCTGCCTCAGTCTACCGAGTAGCTAGGACTACAGGCGCCCACCACAGCTAATTTTTGTATTTTTAGTAGAGACGGGATTTCACCATATTGGTCAGGCGAGGCTGGTTTCGAACTCCTGGCCTCAAGTGATCTGCCCGCCTCTACCTCCCAAAGTGCTGGGATGACAGGCGTGAGCCACGGCACCCAGCCAAAAACCTAGAGTAGTTCTTAAATATCTTTGCAATGGAAACAGTCTGTTTTCAAAGTACTTTGGTAAATTGGACTTCAGCCATTTTTTCCCCTTGATGAAATGGAACATATGTATGTGTAAATTATTATTGTTTCATACATATTTATTTACTTTATTTACATTATTTATTTTATTAAATTAAGGCATCAGTGTTTTTCTGACCGAAGTTCTCATTTCCTGACAATGGAAATGGAACAAGAAAAAATGACCATGAATAAGGAATTGAGTCCAGACGCGGCTGCTTACTGCTGCTCGGCCTGCCACGGCGATGAGACCTGGAGTTACAACCACCCCATCCGGGGCCGGGCCAAGTCTCGCAGCCTGTCTGCCTCGCCCGCCCTGGGGAGCACCAAGGAGTTCAGGTACAACTGGGAGGGATGGTTCCTCTTTTTTTTCTCGTCTGATTTCATAATATTCTTTCTTAAAACGATTATGAAGAATTCTCCTGAGTAGTCTGCGTCGATGCATCCGGAAGGTGAGGCTGGGTCCTTGCCCAGGTGAAGCTGTGCCCTTGAAGGGGGATCCTGGCCCATGGACACCTGCCTGGCGCACGTTCCCAGGTGCCAGCACAGGCACAGGGTGCCACCGTGTTTCTCTATCTGTCTGTATCAGCACAGAACCATCTAACTGGCGCCTACGCTGACCCTTGATGTTAGACTGAAGCGCACTTGGAGAGGAAACTTTTTTTTGAGACTGAGTCTCGCTCTGTCCCCCAAGCTGGAGTGCAGTGGCGCAATCTTGGCTCACTGCAACCTCCGCCTCCCAGGTTCAAGTGATTCTCCTGCCTCATCCTCCCAAGAAGCTGGGATTACAGGCGTGCACCACCATGCCCGGCTAATTTTTGTATTTTTGTAGAGACGGGGTTTCACCATGTTGGCCAGGCTGGTCTTGAACCCCTGACGTCAGGTGATCTGCCCGTCTCAGCCTCCCAAAGTGCTGGGATTACCGGTGCAAGCCACTGTGCCTGGCCTGGAAACATTTGCTCTACAGAAGTCACTGGGGTGTGAGGGGACATCCCTCTTGGCTCTGCTTGTTTTGAGAGGCGAAGGCTGGGGGGTTCTGCACTGTGAGCAGGGCTGGTGGAGGCAGAGTTATGAGCGTGGCCTTGGGCGGGCCCAGCCCTCTCACATGTTGGGCAAGTGGCTCCCTCCTGTGCCAAGAGTGCCCACAGCGCTCACCCTTGCACAATGCTGCTTGGGCAACAGCGCCCCGGGCTTTGCATGACGGTGGCCGCACAAGCACAGCTGTGATGGTGCCTGGGGATGGTGCTCTCGGTTCTGGTGATGGTAAATGTGGTGAGTTTTAGGTGGAAGCTTGCCAGAGCCGGCGCTGCCTAACAAGGATCACGACTATCAAATGCAAGGGGGGCTTTTTGGTGAAAAGTAGTCTTAGAAAGCATGTTGTCTTACCCAGTGAGATGGGAGAGCCTGTAGCGCCTCTGACGTGGTGGCAGCCGTGGAGAAACAGGCTACTCCCACGTTTTCTGTCTACAGAGTCGCTGCCTGAGCCAGGAGGCTACGAGCGCTGGTGGCTGCCTTCATCCCGCAGGCACCACGTCACCACTCAGCCTTTCTCAGATGCCTCGTTGCCTCGTTGTCAGTGGGGGTCGTTGTCCTGTACCTCCAGGCCACCCCAGCGCAGTGACTGCGTGAACAGAATTGCTTTGGGGTTTTATTTTTTTTTCCTGTGGGTTCTTTGGCATAATGCACCATTTCTGTTGCATTCTGAACCTGATGACAGCAGCCCTGGGTCAGAGGTCGCCTCCATAGTGAGTGACAGGCGCCTTCAGGGTGAGGTGGGGGAGGAGGTAGCCAAATACGCCCAAGCATAGCCTGTCCTTGGGAAGGAAACATTAAATCCCAACACCCACTTCGAGAAACATTGTTTTCCGCAATAATCTTTTCAGTTCGTAAGTAAGTAAAATTCTTTTGTAATGTACTTCGTTTTCTTCTTCTTTTTTTTTTTTTTTTTGAGATGGAGTCTTGCTCTGTCGCCCAGGCTGGAGTGCAGTGGTGTGATCTAGGCTCACTGCAAGCTCTGCCTCCCGAGTTCAAGTGATTCTCCTGCCTCAGCCTCCTGAGTAGCTGGGATTACAGGCATATGCCACCACGCCTGTCTAATTTTTGTATTTTTAGTAGAGATGGGATTTCACCATGTTGGCCAGGCTGGTCTCGAACACCTGACTTGAGGTGATCCGCCCACCTCAGCCTCCCAAAGTGCTGGGATTACAGGCGTGAGCCACAACGCCCGGCTAATTTTTTGTATTTTTGTGTAGAGACAGGGTTTCACCGTGTTAGCCAGGATGGTCTCAATCTCCTGCCTCGTGATCCGCCTGCCTTGGCCTCCCAAAGTGCTGGGATTACAGGCGTGAGTCACTGCACCCGGCCTGTACTTACCAATTTTTAAAAGGCTGAGGTAAACAAGTCCGTGACCACTGATGGCCACGCCTGTGTCACCTGTGGAGCAGCCCTCAGGGCACCACGGCTCTCCTGGGGTTGTCTGGCCCTGCGAGGCAGCGGAAGGCCGTTCTTCTGCATTGGGACTTGAGGATTTTGTTGGGCCGTTGCCTGGCCAGCTGTGTGCAAGTTTTCTGAGTTTGTGAAGGGACTGGGAGGCTCCCGGGCACCTAGGACGAGGGCAGCCTCAGTGCTGGACCCTGAGGAGCACAGCGGTCCTGACAGCATTCTCCCCAGGACGCGTGCGGCTGCCACAGCCCCTGGCTGGGTGATTTAACTGTGACCTGGCCATGTTTAAATCACTAGGAAAGTTGTTGAGCCGTTCATCTGGCGTCTTTTATTCATTCATTCATTCATTCATTCATTCATTCATTTTGAGACAGAGTTTCACTTTTTTCAGCCAGGCTGGAGTACAGTGGCTCGATCTCGGCTCACTGCAACCACCACCTCCTGGGTTCAAGCAGTTCTCTTGCCTCAGCCTCCTGAGTAGCTCGGACTGCAGGCACACGCCACCAGGCCTGGCTAATTTTTCTTTTTTTAGTAAGGATGGGGGTTTCACCATGTTGGCCAGGCTGGTCTCAAACTCCTGACCTCACGTGATCCACCCACCTCAGCCTCCTGAAGTGCTGAGATTACAAGTGTGAGCCACTGCGCCCGGCCTACGTCTTTTTTATTGACATGAGTTCAGAGTGAACATTTGTGCTAGAATTTTAATCTAGACGATTTAGAGATGAGATGTTGTCTCAGGTTTTGAGTCCCAAATGCAGATCTAGAGAGGGGTCCTGGAGACACTGAGGAATTCTGATCCCAGGCTGGCCCTGGCCCTGGCATTTTCCTTGTTTGGGCTGAAGCTCTCCCCGGCTTGGGTCATGATCTGAGCGGCGCGTGGGCATGCGTGCTCCTCACAGGTGCCGCTCCAGTGCAGCCATGGACCTGGGCAGAACCTTCCAAGGGCTATTGTGTGGCTGCTGGGCAGATGGAGTTGGCATCTTTCAAATTGCATGTATGCCTTACCGTGTAACCTCCTCTGTATCTGTGTCTGTCACTGCATGTCTGGTTTCAGGCCCTGGTGGCTCTGACACTGCCCTCTCCCCACAGGAGGACACGCTCTCTTCATGGGCCATGCCCGGTGACCACTTTTGGACCAAAGGCCTGTGTGCTGCAGAACCCCCAGACCATCATGTGAGTGCTGGGGCCCCAGGACGGGGGGTTCTTGGAAGGGAGAGAACCCCTAGACCATCATGTGAGTGCCGGGGGCCATGGGATGGGGGAGTCCTCGGGATGTGTGTGGAGTTGTGGGATCGCTGTGTTGAGGAAGATTCTAGCACTTCATGTGAGAAGTACATGTTTAGGTCATTTAAACAAAAAGCCACATGGGCGTCCTCCCTGAACCCCCTGAGTGCAGGCATCCGAGCGGGGGCTCCCCAGCTGTGGCTTTTCCAGTGGCTTTGAGAAAGTGGACGGCAGGCGAGCCGGGGCCTGGAGACCGGGTCACAGCCCGTGGGTGTGGCGGCTTCCACATGAGATCCTCAGGGCTGCCTTTTTGTTTCTTTAAGAGTGAGTGAGAATTCTGGGGTGGGTTGCGTTTGCTATTTGATGGTTCAGTTTGTCAACACATTCTGCCTGGAGGCCCGTCATAGTGTCATGGGAAAAACGCAACAGTGATCGATCTGATATCTGTGTTTTATGTGTAAAGAATTATAATCCAGGCTGGGCGCAGTGGCTCACACCTGCAGTCCCAGCACTGTGGGAGTCCGAAGCAGGCAGATCACTTGGGCCCAGGAGTTTGAGACCAGCCCGGGCAACATGGTGAAAGCCCATCCCTACAAAAAACACAAAAATTGGTCAGCTGCGGTGGCTCACACCTGTAATCCCAGCACTTTGGGAGGCCAAGGGGGGCGGATCACGAGGTCAGGAGTTCAAGACCAGCCTGGCCAATATGGTGAAACCCCATCTCTACTAAAAGTACAAAAATTAGCCAAGCATGGTGGCGCGTGCCTATAATCCCAGCTACTTGGGAGGCTGAGACAGAGAACTGCTTGAACCCGGGAGGCAGATGTTGCAGTAAGCCGAAGATCGCACCATTGCACTCCAGCCTGGGCGACAGAGCAAGACTCAGACTCAGAAAAATACAAAAATTAGCAGGCATCGTTGCACACACCTGTAGTCCCAGTTGCCAAGGAGGCTGGGGCGGGAGGATCACCTGAACCTGGGAGGTTGAGATTGCAGGGAGCTGTGATTATCAAAGTGCATTCCGCCTGGGCGACAGAGCAAGACTGTCTCCAGAGAAAAAAGTGAGCTCCCAGCCAGCCCTGAGAGTCGTATTCTGCACCTGGTAGACATCCTCATTGCCTCTTCCCCAGAGAAGCCTTTGCTTCTGGGACTGGTGCCTCAGCTCTCAGGCCTCTGTGCAGAACGGGCTCTCTTCCTCTGTGCAGAACGGGCTCTCTTCAGGGCCTCCTCCTTCACGGAGTCATGGATGCTTCACTTTCTGCAAGGGAGGACCATGCGGAAGGGCCGAGTGTTCCAGCGCGCAGGCTGCTGGGGACTGTTGACCAGAAAGCGCAATGCGGCCGTGTGATACGGGGGCGGCCACTGCATGGCCCTTTGCTGACAGGCACCGGTGCCATGGAGGCTGGGGGCGCACAGCAGGGACGGAGGCCCCAGCCCTGGGCTGTCACCGAAGTTCAGGTCCCAGGAGCCACGGGGGAGTCATCCGAGGAGCTGCTCTGCAAAGTGTGGGCCCCGCGGCAGCGTGCGTCCCAGGCAGGACGGGGGTTGGCCTTGCTGCTCCAGACGCTGACGGAGCCCCTTAGGATGGAAGTGACTCGCACTTGTGCTTTTGAGGCCCAGCCCTTTCAGTGCCACTGGTTCCCGGAGTGTCTGTGACCTGTCACTGCTGCCAAATGCCTGAGGCGGGGGGCCCGACCCCTGTTTGCTTTCCCTCATCCAGTCCATCTGCAGATTCTGTCACTTTGATCCCAAAATATCCAAGCAGCTCCCCTGCACTATTGCCCGGCTGCCCTCCGCTGTGTGGACTCCTGACCACTCGCCGCGGCCTCACCATCCCTTCCCTGCACAGCAGCCACGTGGGTGACCCAGAGTGCTCCACTGCCCTCCCGGCCCCGCCGTGGCTCTGTCCCGCCATCCTGTGCTTGCTGTGTCCCTGGCACCCCACCGGGCCTCTCCCCCGCTGCCTGGTGCCCTCCCTGCACTTCCTGGTCCTGGCAGAGCCACTCCTTTGTCACTCGCATCTCAGCTGCTGCCTTCACCAGCCGTCAGTCACTCGGGCCAGGGCGGGGTCACCGGACAGGTGCATGTTCTGCCTCAGCCCTCAGACCAGGGCGTACTCAGTGGTCCCCGAGCTGCCCGAGGCCAGACAGCCCCGCAGGAGGAAGCGGTGGGTTTGTGGGGCAGCCTTGAGGGGCATGCAGCTTTCTCGGCACCCCCATGGGAGCACGCCCCCTCTGGGCTCTGTGTCTCTGGGATCATAACCTCCCGCTTCCCATCCCCGCTGTGGAGGGGCAGGGCTTCCCATGCATCTGAACTTCCGTCTTCCCTGATAGTCCAGAGCAAGACCCTGTGGGGGCGCCTGGTGAGGAGGGCACCCGCTTCCTGTTTTGTTGTCCAGGGAATTGGTGGGCCTGTGTTGTGGAGGTGCGTGAGTGCCCGTGTGTCACAGTGTGCGTGGCCACCCATGTGTGAGACAGTCTCAGTAGGAGCTGGCCAGGCGGGCCAGGCTGTGGCCATGCTGGCTTCACGCCACCCCCTGCCCTCTCCGTGCAGTACCCACAGCCGTGTGTGCCTGCAAGCTTCACGCCACCCCCTGCCCTCTCCGTGCAGTACCCACAGCCGTGCGTGCCTGCAAGGGCTGGTGTCCTGCTTTGCAGGTGACCCAGGAAGAGGTCGAGGCGCTGGTTTGTGGTCACACACAGCGGTGGGTGCCTGGGCCGGTGTACGACGCCGCTGCTGGTGGCTCTGGCTGGGCTCAGCTGAGCCTCAGGGCTGGAATGGGTGTAGGCCAGGCCACTGGGTCAGTGGTGACTGTTGGCGGGGAGAGCAGGGGGAGCCGTGTGCAGGGCGGGGGCTTTGCTGGCTGACCAGGCCGGAGGACCGTGAGCCACCTGCACGCCCTTGGGCCGGAGCCAAGCAGAGTGACGCAGCGGGCTAGGAGGCAGGGAACGCCCTTCCACCTGACTGTGGCCTGAGGGTGCCTTCCCTGGGGCCCAGCCGGTTCCGCGGGCCAGAGCGGTGGCTGGCGCAGTGCTGGGGCGAGGCTGGAGGCTGGGTACTTGGCCAGGTCTGAGGCCACGGGAACAGAGGGCTTGGTCCCACCCGGCTCAGTTAGGAGCAGGGAGCTGAAGTGTGGCCTCTTTGCTGCTGAACTGAGGACTTTTTTTCAGAAGGGATTAGGCAGGAGGACCATGTGACCAATGAGGAAACTGTTTTGTTTTGTTTGATTTTTATAAGTGTAGGAAGCTCTTTTGACTTAGTTGCTTTTACAACAACTTTACCAAGTCTCATCACAATTGTGTTTTGCTTTGAGTTTTGAGTATGAAGAGCTTAGGCTTCTAGTGTGGGCGCACAGTCAGGACCATACCGATGGGGCGGCCGCGTGTTCGCCAAGCGTGGCCTGGATGCTGTGGACACACTGGCCGGCTCCCAGCAGGCAGGGGCTACCTCGCGAGCCACATGTGTGACCCGGCAGGTGCTGAGCTCATAGGGGATGGCATGAGTGACCCCACGCCTCCCAGTAATGCCTGCACAGGGTGAGTGCTGACCAGCTTCCGAAGGTCACAAGCGATGGGCTAAGGTCTGTGGCCCTGTGGCTGCCATCGGCGTCTGTGTTGTGGTTCTGGGGGTGTTAGTGGGACGGTCACACTCCTGGGGAAGTCACTGCTGGGAAGAGGCATGGCAGGCAGCAGCTTTCTCGATTGGGCAACTTGGAACTAGCTGGCTGGCGCGGTGGTATAAGAACTTGTCCTTTGGGGCTGAGGATAGGCGGTGAGCGCTGACGACGGTGGCCAGCCCCGCTGCGCCCTCCCTTGGCTTCTGGGAACAGGAGCAGGCTCCGTGGTGTGTGTTCCCGGTTCTGGGCTGGGATGTTTTCTGTGACTAACGTGGTAATGGGAATCCCACCGGGGTGGGCCCTGCCTGTGGAGAAACACCGGGCACAGTGGTCGGGGTCAGAGCCAGCAAAGCGCGGGTGGCTGTGTCAGGGCTGCCACGGACTTTTAAACCTGTGATTTTTACTGTGAGAGTGAGTGAGGTTAAAGTCCGTTCATGCAGGGAGGTAGTGAGCTGTGTGCAGGGGGGGAAGCGGGTCCTTGAGGGGTCCTGGGCTCCCGTGGGGCCAGAAACTGTGTGCAGAGGATCCTAGGGACAGAGTCACCATGTCAACTGGTTTGGGTTTTCGTGGGGGCCTGAGGAGGGCATCAAGCAAAGAGTGGCCCAGCCATGGGCTTTCGTGGTCATTTCTGCCCCACCAGCGTCACTGAGGAGCCAGGCAGGCAAGTGGCCGGGGGCTGGGAAGGGCTGTGGTGCGTGCACTTGGGTCAGCGTGGTGCCCGGGTGGGGGTTGTGGGCCTGAGCCTGCGTGTGATGGGCCAAGCAGGTGAGAGGTGGTCACTCCGGACCCTACTGACCCCTGACCCTGTCTCTGTGGCGCGACCCTAGGCCCTGTGAGCCCGTGGCCACCGAGCACGTTTCCCTGGGAGGTGAAAACACCTTTTTAAAGATTTTTTTTTTTATTTTCTAAGTCATACACCTTTTCCGCAAGAGGGAGATCGCAGCTGGTGTGAACTCTTTTCTCCTCCCCTAAAGGCACATTCAGGACCCCGCGAGCCAGCGGCTGACGTGGAACAAGTCCCCAAAGAGCGTCCTTGTCATCAAGAAGATGAGAGATGCCAGCCTACTGCAGCCGTTCAAGGAGCTCTGCACGCACCTCATGGAGGCACGCGGGGCAGGGGGGAAGGGGGCCTGGGGTGCACATGGAGTTGGGGGGGCCTCCATCCACATCACCGCCCCGTGAGACCATGGGAACCACCTCAAGTGCTGGGCAACGGCTGCTTGTCTGGAACTGGGGACTGAGTGGGGATCTGCCGGGTGTCTGGGTTTGTGTGTGCCGCCATGGCAAGCACCAGACTGGGTGACCAACAATGAGCTGGTGGGCTCGTGGCCCTGGAGGCCGGGAAGTCCGAGATCAAGGGGCCACATCTGACGTGGGCCTTCCTGCTGTGTCTTCTCTTCAGAAGAGCAGGCGTGGGGGTTGCGGCGCCCAGGAAAGCCACTCCTGAAATAACAGCCTTAGTCAATTCCTGAGAGGGAGCCCCCTCCGCCCAGTCATCTCTTAAAGGTCCTGCTTCCTCCTGGCGCGTTGGTGATGAAGTTTCAGCGTGAGCGTGGGGGGGCGGGCATGCAGGCCACGATGCCAGGTCTCTGACCACAGCGCCCGTGAGTCGGGAACCTCCCTGCAGGAGGGTGGGGTCTGCAGGTGGAATGAGCAGGTTGGCACTTTGCTTCCAGGAGAACATGATCGTGTATGTGGAAAAGAAAGTGCTAGAAGACCCTGCCATCGCCAGCGATGAAAGCTTTGGGGCAGTGAAGAAGAAATTCTGTACCTTTCGAGAAGGTGGGCTGTCAGCAGCTCTGTCCTTGGTTTCTCCAGCACAGTTCCCCGCCCCATTGGAAGCTTCTGGCACTGTTGCCCTTGTCATTGGTGTCTGCGCACTGCGCCACAGAGGGGCCACTGTGTGACAGCCTCTTCTTGGTTTTGCTTTGTGTTTCCTAGATTATGATGACATTTCCAATCAGATAGACTTCATCATCTGCCTGGGGGGAGACGGGACGCTGCTGTACGCTTCCTCGCTTTTCCAGGTGAAGCGCTGACATTTCCAGACCCACACCAGGTTCTAGTCTAGGTGCTGCGTAACGAGGGGCTCACAAGCATGGCTTCCATTGCTTTTCACCCCTTTATACGAGAGCAGTCACCTAGAGCGGCCAGCACTGAGGCCCATGGTGGCAGCCCGGTGGGGTGCGACGGTGGGGCCAGGGGCAGTGTGGACACAGTGCTACGGCTGGGGGTGGCCAGCGCCCGCCTGGGACAGCAGGGAGTGGCGCAGGGTGGTGGGTCCTGGGAAACGACCTCGCCTACTGGCCCATCCCCTCTGGGCCTCCCTTGAGCTCCTCTTCCTGGTTTCTCAGCAGCACAGCTCTCCCCTGGGGCTGTAGGGCCACGCTGTGTGGGGGACCCTGGCTCTGCCCTTGGCCCACTGCATGTTGGTGACACCGGAAATGCCCGCAGCCCGCCCTGCTTTTCTCCCCATCTCCCCATTAGCACCTGTGGGGCGCGAGGCTCCGACCCCAAGGCTGCCTCCCACCCGCCCTCGCCAGCTCCCCCAGCCCTCCGTGCCCAGGGGGCCGCTCAGCCCTGCCACCTTTGTTCCTCACCAGCTCCCCACACCAACCTTGGCCCTGGTGGCCCGGCCCACCCTGGCCTGCGACGTCCCCCTCCGCTTGTCCACATGGCCAGTCCCTCCTGCAGAGGGTCGGGGTGCTGTCCCCACAGAGCTGGGTCCCTCCTGAGGTGCTGCTGGAAAGCTGGGTGGTGCGGGGGTGCACGGCGTGGGCACTGAGTGACCTCTCCGTCGGCTCACAGGGCAGCGTCCCTCCGGTCATGGCCTTCCACCTGGGCTCCCTGGGCTTCCTGACCCCATTCAGCTTTGAGAACTTTCAGTCCCAAGTTACTCAGGTGATAGAGGGTGAGTTGGAATGTTCTGGAGCCCACAGGAGCTCTGATCATGGCGCTGCTGTCTCGCTTGCTTGCGGGGGGTTTATTTTCATTTAATGATGCATGGAGCAACATTTAAAGGTTTCAAGATTCAGGGATTTCTAAATCTTGAGTGGTTCAAACCTTTTACTGACACTGAGAAGTTTCAGCAGATCACAGGTTGAAGCTGCCATGTGTGTTGGGCAGAAGTGAGCTGATTCTCACTCTCAGAAGGCACAGAAGTGTCGGCCGGGCGCGGTGGCTCACGCCTGTCATCCCAGCACTGTGGGAGGTCGAGGCGGGCGGATCACGAGGTCAAGAGATGAGACCATCCTGGCCAACACGGTGAAACCCCGTCTCTACTAAAAATACAAAAATTAGCTGGGCGTGGTGGTGCGCACCCGTAGTTCCAGCTACTTGGGAGGCTGAGGCAGGAGAATCACTTGAACCTGGGAGGCAGAGGTTGCAGTGAGCCAAGATCACACCACTGCATTCCAGCCTGGGTGACAGAGTGAGACTCCATCTCAAAATAAAAAGAAAAAGGCACAGAAGTGTGTCAACTTGGGAGAAGAAAGAGCCCTCTGACTCCCACTGGCCTCCCTGGGGTGGGGCCCCTGACCCCACTGACTTCCCTGATGCATGCCCTCTGACTCCTGCTGGACCTCAGGGAACGCAGCTGTTGTTCTCCGGAGTCGGCTGAAGGTCAGGGTGGTGAAGGAGCTCCGGGGGAAGAAGACGGCCGTGCACAATGGGCTGGGTGAGAACGGCTCGCAGGCTGCAGGCCTGGACATGGATGTCGGGAAGCAGGCCATGCAGTACCAGGTGAGTGGAGGCGCCTCGGCCTCGGTGAGGGGCCCAGGGTGGGGCGACTTCGGTCCCAGGGATGAGGACCTTCCGGAGAGCCCGGCTGGGTGAGACGGAGGGTGTCTGCGAGCCGTGCGGCATCCCCCGCCCTGAGTGTGCAATGCTGTCGCCCCTCCAGGTCCTGAATGAGGTGGTGATTGACAGAGGCCCCTCCTCCTACCTGTCCAATGTGGATGTCTACCTGGACGGACACCTCATCACCACGGTGCAGGGCGACGGTAAGGCCCGCAGCACTGTCCTGGGGCCCTGAGCGTCCCTCGGGCGGGAGTGACGCCTGCGCCTGTCCCTGTCAGGAGTGATCGTGTCCACCCCGACGGGCAGCACGGCGTATGCGGCCGCGGCCGGGGCCTCCATGATCCACCCCAACGTGCCGGCCATCATGATCACGCCCATCTGCCCCCACTCGCTGTCCTTCCGGCCCATCGTGGTCCCCGCAGGGGTCGAGCTGAAGGTCAGAGCCAACGACACTCCTTTTCCGGTTTGTGAGTCATTTGACCCCGTGCAACACAAAGCCGGGACCTAGCACCCCGCTCTGCCATGCTGGCTCCAGCCTCAGACGCGGCCTCGTCATCCTAGGGCCATCCTGTGCCCCCTCAGATGCAAGCCTTCCCTTGCTGGTGCCCGAGTTCTGTCCATCAAGGTGCCCAGGGCCCGGGTCTGAGGGGCTTTCTGCCATTGTTGGTCTCTGGCGGTGCTGAGCTGGGCCGGTGCCTGTAGGACGTGCACTGCACCGTCCGCAAGGCAGGGTCAGAGCTGCCCAACCTTCGACCTCTGGCGAGCACTCAGGGGTGGGTGCCTAGAAGCGTCCTCCCCACAGCTGGGGGCCCACACCTCTCCCTGCTTGACCCTCAGATCATGCTGTCACCTGAAGCAAGGAACACAGCATGGGTGTCCTTTGATGGACGGAAGAGACAAGAGATCCGCCATGGAGACAGGTGTGGGCTGCATGCCGGGCTGGGCGCTGCCTGCCAACCTCCTCCCCGGGCCAGGCAGCGCCTGCCCTCTTGCGGTTGGCCTGTAGACACAGCTTGTCCCCTAGGGCACCACAGGGCCTGAGTCCCTGGGTCTTGCAGCATCACAGTCGGGGCACCCGTCCTGGGGGCAGCGGGTCGCATACGGTGGCACATGCAGGCCTGGCCCCAGCAGAGGCCTGAGGGTGTCCCCCCTGGCACTGCTGCCCACCCCCACCCACCTCCTGGGACCTCACCCCTGAGGGCCCTGGGGCAGAGTTTGTCAGTTCCCTGCACCGTCCCCTCCAGGACCTGGGATGGCTCTGTCCCAGCACCCATGGGGCACTGCTCAAGCCTGCCTCGGGGAGGGGCTGCCCGGCCCCACAGGAAAAGAGTCCCGGCCATTCCCAGGGAGGGAGGGAGGAAGGGTTCTTGGCCGGGGGTGGGCCTTTCTGGAAGCCCTGGCTCAGGCTGCTGCTCTCCCGTCCCAGCATCAGCATCACTACCTCATGCTACCCGCTCCCCTCCATCTGTGTGCGGGACCCCGTGAGCGACTGGTTTGAGAGCCTCGCCCAGTGCCTGCATTGGAACGTCCGGAAGAAGCAAGCCCACTTCGAGGAGGAGGAGGAGGAGGAGGAGGAGGGCTAGGTCAAGCCCCTATCCAGGCCCGAATCCTTCCGCTGCCCTCCAAGCGCCCTCTGGGGACAGACCAATCTGCGTGTGTCTGTGACCGCCTGTCTCAGTGGCACGGCCACTTCCTTTCTGTAGCTGGGTTAGAGCCTGGGTCTGCCTTTTGTCCAGATCAGCTGTTTTTTTAAAATGTCTGACTTTTTTTGCATTTCTAAAGAAGCGTGAGAAATGGGCTGGGAGTGCTTCTGTCCTGCTGACACCCCGCGGTGGGTCCCTGGAGCGCGGCCTCCAGCTGCCGCAATTTCCATGCCAGGATATTTTTCCGCAAATCAGTCGGTTGAAATTCAGAGGAGTCAGAATGACTCGACCTGTCCTTCAATGTTGATAATAAATGTCTCAGCCAAAAACCTTCCTTGAGCTGCCATGCTTTTCCCCTTGACCTGCACCTCTTCCCCTAAAACTTCTGCAGGGAAGCCCCTGGCGGAGGCGCCATTGAAAGCATGGTCTTGCCAGTGGCTGGCAAGGCGGTTTTGTTCTGCTCAGTTTCTGGAGAGGGTTGGATGCGTCCCCTGCCATCCAGCCCTCCCCGCTTGAGGCCAGCACTGAGTCTGGGACACTCAGCGGGAAGGGGGCTGGCATCGCCAGCGACCCACACATTCCTCACGTAGCTTCTGCTCCCAGGAAGGTAGTTTAAATCCTGTATATACTTTTTAGAGACTCTTTTAAACTTTCTGAAGTGCTGATGTACATACTTTCTCGTACACACTTTTGTGAAGATTTCAAGGGGAAGGGAGTCGTCTGCCATTCAATGTTTACATTTATGTTCTGCAAGACGCTGTCCTCAGGGACCATTAGGGGACCATTCTGTTCAGTGCGATCCTGATGGTCCGGGAGATGAGGGTTTCCGGGGCTAGTGATCGTGATCCCTTTTATTTGCAACTGTAATGAGAATTTTTCACACTAACACAGCGAGGGACTCAACACGCTGATTCTCCTCCTGCCTCTCCCGTGAGTCTCCAGCCTGCCCAGCACCGGCAGCTGTGGAGCACGTGGATGCTGCCTACCCCGGCGCCCGCGTCTTCCACGGGCACAGGTGTGTGGAGGCCGTGGTCGGACCCTGGTGTCCTGGTTACTGCTGCCCGGGTGTCTTTTTTTTGAGTAACTGCTCTCTGAGTTTTGCACACGAAGTTGCCCTCATCTGCTGGAGATCGATAAGGAAGGCACAAGACGTTCTCCTCTGCCCGTGAGGAGCTTCCCGCAGCCGCCTGGCCCAGCCTGGGCACGTTCTCCGAGGCATGTGTCTCCCTGCTCACCCTCGTCTGGGCACCTCAGCATCTGTGGACTTGAGCGTCCAAAAACCCTGAGTGTGATTCTGGGCAGCCGGCCTGGCTTGAAGTCCGCCATGACCCTGGGCACAGGGGAAGCCCAGCCGTGGGCTTAGGAGAGAGGGACCAGCGCCCAGCGTTAGGGCTGGAAGACGGCAGTGTTCAGAATTCCAGCCGCTCATCTGAACACAGAAGGTGTGAACTGACCTCTAAAGCAGCGTGAGATGGGAATGATCTAGAAAACTTTGGATTTTTGAAGTAAATTTTAATGTTTCATATTAATTTCTTGAAAATGTATTAAATGTCATTGAAAGCCTTATTACGCTTTTCAGATCCTTTCAATAAACAAGACTTGTAGAAAATAAGCTGGGTTAATAACAGCTTTCTTCTGACGCCGTGGAACCAACATAGAGGGGTCGGGCAGGGTCACCCCCATTAAATCCTAGCCCCAAAATGCCCATCCACCGAGTGTGGGGCCGGCAGGGCATCCTCCCCAAGGGGCTGGGGGTGCCGCTGCCTCTTCCGGGCAAGGGGGCAGTGCCCTGGCGGGGGTAGGGGTAGACAGAAGGGACTCAAACCCGAGGGGTGGTGTCGACTCGGGCAGGCTGTGTTGCTCCCGGAAGAGCCACTGAGACCAGGGGGAATTGAGTCCCTGCATTCCCGGGGCCAGCAGGGCTGGAAGAGCCCCTCCATCCGGGCTGCCTAACAGGGGCAGCCACAAGCCAGGTGAGGACCCGCTGGCCCCTGGGCCCAGCCTGGGCACCGATATCGGCCTCCCTCCCTCCACTGACGTGGTCCTGCGCCCCGCAACCCCCCCACCCCGCACCGTCCCTGTTGTCCTAACAAGGCCCAGATGAATGTGGCTCAGGGCTTTGCCGGCAGCCAGTCTGCACTACACGCGTGCAAGTCCAGGAGAGACCAAAACGACCACCCTGTGGACACCTGCGCCTCCAGCACCCTGCCCCGTTTTGGGGACGTGAAACCCTGGGCTGTGGGCCCCGCCCTACCGACCTGGAGCGCCTCTGCCTCCCCGGCCTGGAAGAGGCTGTGGGTCAAGCCTAACCTTCTCGGCTTTGGGGAGCACAGAGTCCCCAAGACATCCTCGGGGGCTGCCGGGCTCAGGCTCTGGGGCATGGAAACCTTTTCGAGCCTGAAACGGCGGCATCCACGGTCCCTGCCGGGCCAGTGCCAGCCTGCACCCTGGGCACCTCTGTGCTGGGCCCGGCACCCCCACCCTGCCTCCCACAGCCAGGGTGTCTCCTCAGGTCAGGTCCAAAGGGGCTGCAGCCAGGCCCAAAGACCCAGCCCAAGTCCCATGGCTCCTGCGGGGTCTGGGTGAGGCCTGTCCTGCTGGGAGCCCAGGAGGCTGCGACCCTGCCTGGAGCTGGAAGTCTGGTTGGGGGGTGGTAGCAGGGTGGGGCGGGTACAGGGTAGAGGAGCCGGCCGGAGGAGCCCAGGGAAGGCTGGCGGTGCTGGGGATGTAGGGGACAGCAGGAGCTGGTACATCACCACGTGGTTCAGCTGCTTCCAGCACATCCCGCCCCAGAAGGATCTCAGCCAGGGCATGGGCTGCCTTCAGGGTCTGGCAACACCAAGGAGCCAAGGCAGGTGGTAAACCGAGGCCACAACCTCCTTAGGAGCCTCCACAACCAGGGCGCACAGCTGAAAGAGGAAGGAGGCCCCTGCGGAGAGCAGGGTGGGCAGGAGTGGGTGGCCAGGACAGGTGGTGCCCAGTGACCGGCGGTGGGGACCCGGGAGCCACAGAGGAGCTGGCTCAGCCACCCCTGTGCAGGAGGCACCTGGGGCCTGTACTCAGGCCTCACCCAGGGCTGCCCCACGCCCACATCCTGCTGACAAGCCCCCAGGACCAGCATCCCCACCCAGCTGCTCTGTGCAGAGGGGACAGGAGGCCAGACAAAAAGATGGACAAACACCCACGTAGATTCACACACACACAAACAGACACACCACACAGAAAAATATGCATGGACGCCACTGAGACACGCTAACACCACACACTCAGACACAAACACACCACACACACAGACTCACACAGATACACACAGAGAAAAATACACATGGACGCCACTGAGACACATACACTCAGAGACAGGCAGTGCGCTCTGGGCAACAGGAAGCTTCCTCCAAACCAGTGAAGGGCCCAGGAAAGCATGAGCGGCCCTGACGTGTATGGAGGGTCCAAAGGCTGCGGGAACTTGCCCGTGAGTGACCTTGGCCTGGAGAACTCCCCGGCCTCAGTTTCCCCACCTGCTGATGAGGACAAACTGCAGGGGCATGAGCGGCTGCTGCTCCCCTACTTCTGCGCAGGTGGCCGAGTGGCCTGCAGGCTGGGTCTCCAGGTGGGGACGCTTCCTTCTTCCTCCCCACCCATGGGGCCTTGGCACAGACCCTTCTCTGGGGCCTCAGTTCACACCCCACACTTCCCTGCTGTCCTCAACGCCCCTTGGGAAACTTCAGCTCCTTTGGGCCGGCAGGTCTCACCCTCCTCCCCAGCGGGAGCCCAGACCCAGACTGAGGCTGGCTGGGGGACAAGGAGGAGCCTGTGGGCCGGGGGGGACCCCGAAGGGGGCAGGACAGAGCTAGCCATGACTGCTTTCCTTCCTGCCTTCTACATCATCCAGGACCTGAAGGCAGAGGAAAGGAATCCCACAGCCCATGGGCCGCTCAGCCTGGGTAGACCCTGCCCCGAGGTCAGCAGACGGCAGGGAGACCCAGAGAGGCTGTGAAGCAAGAGCAGCACAACCCGGAAGGTCCCAGTGAGCCAAGGATGCACTTTGGAGGCGGGGTTTGCACAGCGCCTGGACCCATCAGTCTCCCACACAGCGAGGGCGTCCTAACTGATTCCTAACTGACTCCACGTCATGTGGATAGAAATTCATTAATATGCATAACAAATGACTACATGCAAGCAGGAAAACATTTGCAATAATACAGCAGGTCGATGTTCTCAACTAGGAAAACAGTTGCAATAATACAATGCGTGGATGTTCTCAATACAGTCAAAGCTCATATAATCAACACAAAACATTCACAGAAAAATTGTCAAAGGGCAGAAACCGATGACTCAAGGAAGAATATAAATAGCTAAGAAGTAAATGATCAATAATCAAACTAGAACATAATCAAAGAAATTTAAAATTAAAATTATTAATACACTCCTCCCAGGCAAAATAGCAAAGAGAGGGGACATGGTGGCTCACACCTGTAATCCCAACACTTTGGGAGGACGAGGTGGGAGGTCCTTCTGGGGAGAGGAAGAGAGGAAGGCACACAGGCTTCCAGACACTATTCCAAAATCATTAATACGCACACCCCAGGCCCAGCACGGTGACAGCCACCTGCAGACCCAGCTACTCGGGAGGCTGAGGCCAGAGAGCCCTGAGTTTGAGCCCAGCCTGGGCAAAGTAGCGAGATCCCCCATCTCAAAAATAAAATAAAATGCATGGTTCCTCATGAAATGTAAGGCTTTGCTATAAAAACTTTGAGAGGCCAGGCGTGGTGGCTCACACCTGTAATCCCAGCACTTTGGGAGGCCAAGGTGGGTGGATCATGAGGTCAGGAGTTCAAGAGCATCCTGGCTAACAACGGTGAAACCCCGTCTCTACTAAAAATACAAAACAATTAGCTGGGCATGGTGGCGGGTGCCTGTGATCCCAACTCCTCGGGAGGCTGAGGCAGAAGAATCTCTTGAACCTGGGAGGTGGAGCTTGCAGTGAGCCGAGATCGCGCCACTGCACTCCAGCCTGGGCGACAGAGTGAGACTCCGTCTCAAAAAAAAATAAAGGCCGGGCGTGGGGTAGCTCACGCCTGTAATCCCAGCACTTTGGGAGGCTGAAGCGGGCAGATCACAAGGTCAGGAGATGGAGAACATCTTGGCCAATATGGTGAAACCCTGTCTCTACTAAAAATATAAAAATTAGCTGGGCGTGAGGGCACACATCTGTAATCCCAGCTACTCAGGAGGCTGAGGCAGGAGAATCACTTGAACCCGGGAGGCGGAGGTTGCAGTGAGCTGAGATCGTGCCACTGCACTCCAACCTGGGCGATGAGAGCGAAATTCCATCTCAAAAAAAAACAAGGAGTACTTTTTATAAATCTGCTTTTGAAATCATTTGGATACCACAGCGGCCCTGCTGACCACAACAGCTGAGACTGTTGGGCAAATCACCAGACATTTCTGGGTTTCCTGGAAAGTAGGAGAATCTACTTTGTAAACTGCTCTCAAATTTATGAACTCCGTGTGGATAGTGAACTCAGGCAGCAGGCAGGTGGCACTCCACTGCGTTAATTTCACTTCATTTTATAATTTTCTTTCTTCCTTTTTTTTTTTTTTTGACGGAGTCTCACTCTGTCGCCAGGCTGGAGTGCAGTGGCGCCATCTCGGCTCACTGCAACCTCCGCCTCCCGGGTTCAGGTGATCCTCCTTCCTCAGCCTCCGGAGTAGCTGGGATTACAGGCGCCCGCCACCACGCCCGGCCAATTTTTGTATTTTTAGTAGAGACGACGTTTTACCACGTTGGCCATACCAGGCTGGTCTCAAGCTCCTGACCTCGTGATGCGCCGGCCTCGGCCTCCCAAAGTGTTGAGATTACAGGCGTGAGCCACCGGGCCCGGCCCAAAAGTAATCTCTAAAGAGCCCTTTAGCCGTAACTTCATTCCTGAAAATTATTTGGGAAAGTAACGCTAGGAAAACGCTCGACGAAGCTCCGGAGCCGGGGGTCCTCGGGGCCGCAGGCGCGCCCGCGGGTGTCTGCTCCGGATGTCCCGCGGCAGCCCCGACGCCAGCCTGGATACGAAGGCCCCGCCCCGGAGCGCGCCACCAGCCAATCAGCGCCCTGAGGCGAGTCCTCACCCCGCGCGGCGGCCCCGCCCCCCGCAGCTCCGGGCCCAGCTGTCAGAGCAGCTTTCCCTCAGGCTGGGCGGAGCGTGGCCACTTCCGCCAGGAGGCGCCTTTGTGTCTTCTAAGTTAAGCCTATTCAGTGGATTTCTTATTCCTGGAACCCAAACCTGGGCAGTAAACCCTCCGGGGCTTAGAGGCCGCTGCCTCCACAGACTGGCCGATCCCGCCCTGAAGTGCCGCTGGTGGAACAGCCCGGGCGGAACCAACGGGCTGCCGCGGGGGGTGGGGCCACGGTTCCCCCCCCTTCTGCCTTCAGTGGAACGGCCCCGGCGGAACCAACGGGCCACGGGGATGCACTACGCGCACCGTCGTCCTCTCCCTCTGCCTGCAGTGGAACGGCCCGGGCGGAACCAACGTGCGGCCGCCCGGAGCACTCGGCGCGCCGTGTCCCTCCCCGTGTGGCTGCACTGCAGCGGCCCGGGCTGGACCACCAGGCGGCCGCGGAGAGGCACTTAAAAGCCCCGTGTTACCCTAGACCTTAAAAAAAAAAAAAAAAAAAACTGCGTGTTTCCACCCCCGTCGGCCTGCAGTGGAAGGGCCCGAGCAGAACCAACGGGGCAGGGGACGCTGAGCGCGCCGTGTTTCTCCTCCCGTCTGCCTGGAGTAGAACGGCTCGGGCGGAACCAACGGGCAGCCGCGGGGGCGTTGTGGGCCGCGGCGCGTTTCCCCGGCTCCGTGGCTCTGGGGCACTGAGGAGCGGCGCCCGCGGGGCAGCGAGGAGCCCGATGCAGGGTTCTGCGCGTCATTTCCGGTCCCGCGGGCGCCCCGTGAAGCCCACCTGGATCCGCCAGCGCTGTGCCACTCCCCAGTGCCGAGCTCCGAGCTGTCTCCGCGGCCTCGCGCCCGGCCCCTCCACCGCGCACCTCTTAGGCCCCGCCCGCCAGCGTCCCTTTGTTGTGAAGGCGCCGGGGCCTAGCGCTATGCCTGCGGCGGAGACTGCATCAGGCTCTCGGTGGGTTCTGCGTGCGGGGTGCTCTGCTCGGTGATCGGTGCTTGGTGCTGCGTGCTCGGTGCTCGGTGCTGGGTGCTGGGTGCCGGTACTGATGCTGAGTGTGCGGGCGTCCGGGGTTTCCCTGCCCGGATTCGCTCCTGGGGGTCCTTTCCTATGGCTGGCGCTGTGCGCGGAAAACGCTGGTGGGGTTTTCCCAGCTGGCTTTAAGCGTTTTCACGTCCGGGAGTCCACGGCGACCCCCACGCCCTGAAGCCTGGGAACGCGGTGTGCGTGGCCGCAAAAAGAACAACAACAACAAAAAAACACAAAACAAAACACGCAAAAAACTAAAGCAAAACTCCCGACAGCCGAGCCCCGTTCGGTGCCTTTTCTTTTTTTTTTTCTTTAATGGAGTGAAATCTACTTTGCTCAGGAAGCCTGCAAATCACATTTTCAGGCCAAACGAGGCAGTATTTTAGAAGGGGTCGCTGAGGCAGGAGTAGGAAGGCTTTCCACTCCACTCACGCATTTTCAGTGTAGGCGAATCGTAAAACGGAGGGCAGAACGAAAATGAGCGGATCTGGGAGTGCAGGCTGCGCTTCGTCCACATCGATAACAGATGTTTCCTGGTGAAGATGTGTAGGGCGCAGCGGGTCACCTGGTCGGGGGAGGGCACAGGGCGTCCCTCCACGGGGTGCCTTTGGCGTTGGGCACTTGTGTGGTCTCCAGCTTCCGGGTTTTGGAAGCGGAGTGTCCCCTGCAGCCTGAGCCTCTTGCAGGTGGTTTCCTTGGGACGAACTCCCAGGGGGAGGTCTGAGTTCTGGGGCGTGGTTTGAAGATTTGGGACACATTTTGCCTGAAATTCCCTGCTGGCCGTTTGAACCCACCTGGACTTCCTGACCAGGGGCACGGATTCTTAACCTCTGGTGCAGGGGCCTGGCTAGGAGAGGTCTGCACAGTTGGACGAGGTGCAAAGTGACGCTTTGTCAGTAACCCGGCGTTGAGATTCCTGTGGTGGGACGAGCAGCTCCTATGGCTTTATCCCATTTTAAATCCAAGTTTTCTTTTCCTTCTAGTCCTCGGGCTCCACCCGGGGAGCTGTGCCCAGACAGCAGAAGGGAAGGATGTCACTTCTGAGATGAGGTTCAGAAAGGCCTGGGCTCCTGTCCTGGCTGCTCTCTCCCACTCCCTGATGAGCTTGCTGGATGAAAGCTCCTGTCAGGCTGTGGGGCGTCCTGTGGAGAAGCTGGCAAGAAACTGGTGGGGGCCCTTTCCACCTATAGCCAGCAAGGAACTGAACCCAGCCAGCGTCCACCTGAGTGAGCTCAGAGGTGGGCCTCAGCCCCAGTTGAGCCTTCGGATGAGGTCACAGCCCTGGTCCATGGTGTGACTGCAGCTTCAGGAGGGACCTTAAGCCAGAGGTGCCTGGCTAAGCTTCCCGCAGATTGCTGCCCCACAGGAGCCAACATCAAAAGCATTTGTTGTTTTGAGGTGGTAAGTGTGGAATGACTGTTACAGGGCAGTAGAGAAGGAGCATGCACCCTTCCTGCTTCTTATTTGCCTTTTAGAAATTGTCCTCTGTGAATCGCTTGAACCTGGGAGGTTGAGGTTGCAGTGAGCTGATATCTCACCACTGCACTCCAGCCTGGGCGACAGGAGCGAAACTCCTTCTCCAAAAACATAAATTCTTCTCTGTGAAATATGTTGTTTTGTTTTTTTTTTTTCTTTTCTTTTTGAGACGGAGTCTTGCTGTGTCACCCAGGCTGGAGCAGGCGCAGTCTCAGCTCACTGCAACCTCCGCCTCCCAGGTTCAAGTGATTCTGCTGCCTCAGCCTCCTGCGTGGCTGGGATTACAGGCGCCTGCCACCACGCCTGGCTAATTTTTGTATTTTTGGTAGAGACGGAGTTTCATCATGTTGGCCAGGCTGGTCTCGAACTCCTGACCTCAGGTGATCTGCCCGCCTTGGCCTCCCAAAGTGCTGGGATTACAAGCATGAGCCACCATGCCCCGCCAATATTTTTTTTTTTTTGCCTGTTTTTCTAATTGGTTTGTAGGAATTCTTTATACTTTCTGGTTATTAATCCTTTGTCATGTTGCAAGTATCTTTTGCCAGGTTGTGGCTGTTCATTTCACTTTGTGGTATGTGTGTGTGTGTGTATATGTATATATATATATATATTTTTTTTCTTTTTTTTTTTTGAGACAGAGTTTTGCTCTTGTTGCCCAGGCTGGAGTGCAATGGCACAATCTTGGCTTACCACAACCTCTGCCTCCCCTGTTCAAGTGATTCTCCTGCCTCAGCCTCCTGAGCAGCTGGGGTTAAAGGCATGTGCCACCATGCCTGGCTAATTTTGTATTTTTAGTAGAGATGGGGTTTCTCCACGTTGGTCAGACTGATCTGGAACTCTCAACCTCGGGTGATCCGCCCACCTCAGCCTCCCAAAGTGCTGGGATTACAGGCGTGAGACAAGTCTGGCCTTTTTTTTTCTTAAGACAGAGTCTCGCCCTGTTGCCCAGGCTGGAGTGCAGCGGCGCAGTCTGGGCTCACTGCAACCTCCCCGTCCTGGGTTCAAGCAATTCTCCTGCCTCAGCCTCCCAAGTAGCCAGGATTATAGGTGCATACCACCACACCTGGTTAATTTTTGTATTTTTAGTAGAAACAGGGTTTCACCATGTTGGTCAGGCTGGTCTCGAGCTCCCGACCTCAAGTGATCCGCCCACCTTGGCCTCCCAAAGTGCTAGGATTACAGGCATGAGCCACTGCGCCTGGCCCACTTTGTAGTGTACTTTGGTGAAACAGAATTCTTCATTTAGCCAAGTTAGTCCACCTGACCCTTTTTTTAATGGGTCATGCTTTTGGGGTTTGGTTAGAGAAATTATTGTCCTACCCCAAAAAGGGTCAGGAAGACATTCTCTTATATTTTCCTGAGCATAAAGTTTTACACATTTAAGTTTATCATAAGAGCAGGCCGCCTGGGTTCGAATCATGACGCTGCTGCTGCGAAGCCGTGTCTTTCCTTCGTGTGTCTCACGTGGGTGATAACAGCACCTTCCCCAGAGGGCTGTTGTGCGGATTCACCGCTGTGCAGAGAGTGCTTCGGACCCTCCAGCAGCACAGTCAGGGCTGTGTCAGTGTTACTAATTGTCGCTGTTTGTCTACTGATAATGAGATCAGAATCCAGTTTTTCTTTTTGCCTGGCAGCATGGACAACTGTCCTGGTATCATAGACTGAATAAAGTTTCCTTCTTCAGCAATTCGTGGTGCCTCCATTCTGCGTACACCAGACCTGTTTGTTTTTTTTTTTTTTTTTAAGACAGTCTCGCTCTGTCACCCAGGTTGGAGTGCAGTGGTGCAATCTCAGCTTACTAAAGCCTCCGTCTCCCAGGTTCAAGCGATCCTCGTGCCTCAGCCTCCTGTGTACTTAGGACTACTGGCACCCACCACCATGTCCAGCTAATTTTTGTATTTAGTAGGATTTCGCCATCTTGGCAAGGCTGGTCTCAAACTCCTGACCTCAGGTGATACGCCCGCCTCTGCCTCCCAAAGTGCTGGGATTACAGGCGTGAGCTACTGCACCTGGCCTACGTATGTTTATTCTGTTTTGCTTTTTTTTTTTTTTTTTTGAGAGAGGGTCTTGCTCAGTCGCCCAGGGTGGAGTGCAAAGGCGCGATGTTGGCTCACTGAAAGCTCCGCCTCCTGGGTTCACGCCATTCTCCTGTCTCAGCCTCAGCGTCCCGAGTAGCTGGGACTACAGGTGCCCGCCACCACGCCCAGCTAATTTTTTTGTATTTTTGGTAGAGACGGGGTTTCACTGTGTTAGCCAGGATGGTCTCAATCTCCTGACCTCGTGATGCGCCCACCTCGGCCTCCCAAAGTGCTGGGATTACAGGCTTGAGCCACCGCGCCCGACCTCGAGGTCCTTATTCTTTTGCATTTGTTTACTCGCCCAGCCCTGCACCAAGGTCTCAGACTGAACTAGAAGTCCTCATGTCTTGGGAGGACGGCTGCCACCCCCTCCCTGCGCCTCCGTCTCCTTGCAGGACGTGTTTGTCTTCTACTCATCGTGCGTGCATAGCTTTCTCTCTGATTCACACATGCTTTGTGCGTGCATAGCTTTCCCTCTGTGATTGACATGTGCCTCATAGGGCTGGATCTATCTCGAGACTACATAGCCTCTTGTTTCTAAGCTTTATTTTTTTCTGGGACAGAGTTTCGCTCTGCCGCCCAGGCTGGAGTGCAATGGCGCGATCTCTGCTCACTGCAGCCTCCGCCTCCTGGGTTCAAGCGATTCTCCTGGCTCAGCCTCCTGAGTAGCTGGGATTACAGGCACGCGCCATCATGCCCGGCTAATTTTTTGTAGTAGAAATGGGGTTTGACTGTGTTGGCCAGGAGGATCTCGATGTCCTGACCTTGTGATCCGCCCACCTCAGCCTCCCGAAGTGCTGGGATCACAGGCGTGAGTCACCGTGCCCAGCCTCTTTTTTTCATTTTTATTTTTATTTTTTCACTACAAGGCTGCCTTGAAGGACTTCCTTTCGTGTTTGCATCTCGCTTCACTCACATGATGAAATCTGGCTCTCGTCATGTACAAAATGTTTATGTGTTTGCCCAATCCAGAATTCTAACCCATGAGTCAGCCAAAAAAAAAAAAGAAAAGGGAGGCTGGGCACAGTGGCTGATGCCTGTAAATCCCAGCACTTTGGGAAGCCGAGGTGGGCAGATCACGAGGTCAGGAGTTCGAGACCAGCCTGGCCAACATGGCGAAAACCCGTCTCTACTAAAAATACAAAATCAGCAGGGTTTGGTGGCACGTGCATGTAATCCCCACTACCTGGGAGGCTGAGGCAGGAGAATCGCTTGAACCTGGGAGGCGGAGGTTGTGGTGAGCCAAGATCGTGCCATTGCACTGCAGCCTGGGCAACAAGAGTGAAACTCCATCTAAAAAATGAAATAAAAATACAAAAATTCACTGGGCATGGTGGCGGGTGCCTGTAATCCCAGCTACTCAGGAGGCTGAGGCAGGAGAATCACTTGAACCCGGGAGGTAGAGGTTGCAGTGAGCTGAGATTGCGCCATTGCACTCCAGCCTGGGCGACAGAGACTCTGTCTCAAAAAAATAAAAGACCAGGCACGGAGGCTCACGCCTGTAATCCCAGCACTTTGGGAGTCCAAGGAGGTCGGATCATGAGGTCAGGAGATCGAGATCATCCTGGCTAGCACTGTGAAACCCCGTCTCTACTAAAAATACAAAAAATTAGCCGGGCGTGGTGACGGGCACCTGTAGTCCCAGCTACTCAGGAGCCTGAGGCAGGAGATTGGCGAGAACCCGCGAGGCGGAGCTTGCAGTGAGCCGAGATCGCGCCACTGTACTTCAGGCTAGGCGACACAGCGAGACTCCCGTCTCAAAAAAAAAGAAAGTAGCATGGAATTAGTCCTGGGCACCCGGCAGCGGCAGCCACAAAGCCCATCGAGAAGGTGCAGCTGCCAGGCAGGGCGTGAAGGACCCACAGCCCCAGGTCTGCCAGGACGACAGTCAAGTGTGCCAGGAGACCGTCTCTCAAGAGCAAGGATCCGCCAACACGCGCAGAGAAAAACGGGATTCAATTGCTAAAAATCTTTGGACAGTGAACGATTGCATTTTCTTTTTTTCTTTTCTTGAGACAGAGTCTCACTCTGTCACTGAGGCTGGAGTGCAGTGGTATCATGTCGGCTCACTGCAACCTCCGTCTCCTGGGTTCAAGCAATTCTTCTGCCTCAGCCTCCCGAGTAGCTGGGATTACAGGCGCCGGCCACCATGCCCTGCTAGTTTTTATATTTTTAGTAGAGACGGGGTTTCGTCATGTTGGCCAGGGTGGTCTCGAACTCCTGACCTAAGGTGATCCACCTGCCTCGGCCTCCCAAAGTGCTGGGATTACAGGTGTGAGCCACCGTGCCCGGCCCAATTGCATTTTCAAAGTGATTTTAAATTGGTGGTTGAAACCTTTGAGGACATTAAATGTTCAAAACGGGTGATGTGTTTCCTTTTCTTAATATTTTAGCGTCTGCTTCTACGCTTTGCCTGGGAGAGGCCCTGGTGGCCTCGTTCCTGGCGCCCGGAGTCCCTGCTGCGGCCCCACCCCCGGGCGGTCACGGTGACCCATGCTGCCCAGCCTGGAGGTAAAATCGTTCGTGGCTGTGGCTTCAGCATGTCGTCCTCGGTGAAAACCCCAGCACTGGAAGAGCTGGTTCCTGGCTCCGAAGAGAAGCCGAAAGGCAGGTCGCCTCTCAGCTGGGGCTCTCTGTTTGGTCACCGAAGTGAGAAGATTGTTTTTGCCAAGAGCGACGGCGGCACAGATGAGAACGTACTGACCGTCACCATCACGGAGACCACGGTCATCGAGTCAGACTTGGGTGTGTGGAGCTCGCGGGCGCTGCTCTACCTCACGCTGTGGTTCTTCTTCAGCTTCTGCACGCTCTTCCTCAACAAGTACATCCTGTCCCTGCTGGGAGGCGAGCCCAGCATGCTAGGTAGGCGGCGGCTCGGGCAGGGTGGAAGCCGGCCACCTGCCACCCCACAGGGAGCAGCCAGCAACCACCCGGGAGGGCCGGGGGAGCCCAGGTCAGGATGGGAGACCGGGGGTGGAGCCCACTGCAGGCACGGGAGGGGTGATTCTCCCTCTTGTCTTCGGCCCCCTCCCTCCCGCAGGTGCGGTGCAGATGCTGTCCACCACGGTTATCGGGTGTGTGAAAACCCTCGTTCCTTGCTGTTTATATCAGCACAAGGCCCGGCTTTCCTACCCACCCAACTTCCTTATGACGATGCTGTTTGTGGGTCTGATGAGGTAAAGAATCTCCTGGTTTTGGTTGAGTGTCTCTTTTTCTTTAAATGTAAAGTCCCTCTCGTTACTAGAGCGGGGACTCTGCTGGCTGGTGAGTTTTCAGTGCAGACTTTATAAAAGCACCAGGGCTGTCCAGATTTCAGGACACCAAATGAATGTGGCTTCGTGGCTCTCACTGCCACGTGTGTTCAGTCAGCTTCTTTCCGGGCTGGTGGTCTCAGGACAGGGTGCCTCCTTGTCTCTGGGACGTTTTCAAGGGGTGGCAGAAGTCACTTCCCATTGGACGCAGTGCCGTTTCCTGGGGGCTCGACCTAAAGCGTCACAGAAGCGGGTCCAGGCACCATGTTGGTGATGAGGAGGTGGGCGGAGAGGGGCCGACGTGCCAACCGAGCGAGCGAGCCCCTTGGAGAGCCTGCCCGGTGGGTGCAGGCAGACAGACTCGTTCTAAGGTGATGGTGCTTTTGGCTCATTTTTAGGTTTGCAACTGTGGTTTTGGGTTTGGTCAGCCTGAAAAATGTGGCGGTTTCGTTTGCTGAGACGGTGAAGAGCTCCGCCCCCATCTTCACGGTGATCATGTCTCGGATGATTCTGGGGGAGTACACAGGTGAGGCCCCCTGGGCCCCACCCCTCCGCCTGCGCCCCACCATCCCAGGCCTCCATCCGTGGTGCCCGTCTCTGCTGCCTGCCATGGGGCTCTGCCGCGAGGACCACTCAGAGTGGTGCCCACACTGGCAGTGCCTTCACTTCTCTCACGGTCACATGTGCGGGGGTGTCTTGGAGCCTGGCGTCTGCCAGGTGTTCTCACACTGGCATGCGGAGGTCAGGGCAGGGTTGTGTCTCGTGGCCCTAACTGGGTGGGGAGACAGGTGGGGGCTGGGCAGATTCCTGGCAAGCAAGATTACTGCAGGTGCCAATCACTGATCCGAAGAGGACGGGCGGGGGCCGCCTTCGGCCAGCACCATACAGGCGGCCGTGGCCCCTGGTCCGTGGGCCCTCCTGTGCCAGCACCCCACAGCCTCCCCAGCACCCGCCACCACAGGCCTGTCCTGGGCCCCAGCCCCTGACCTCAGCTGCAACCCAGGCTCCTGCCTCTCCCACCTCTTAATGACTCACAGGCGATTTCCAGTGACATGTCAGCCCCATGTCGCGTACCCAGTGTGGCTGCATGAAAACCAGCGAGGAGCAGAGGCGCCCACAGAGCGCGGCATCTTGAACGGAGTGTGGGGGTGCACACGTGTTCGCTTATTTAAGAAACGACAAGATCTTAAGGCCGAGGGAAGTGTCTGTCTGCCTTTGGGGACGGGAGGAGGCCGAGGGTCCAGGATGGGGTTGGGCTTGCCCCACATGCACTTGAGACCCGCACACACGTTTAGGTGATTATAACAAAATCAAAGCCTAAAAGTCAACTCTGGTTTTTTTTTGTTTTTTTTCTTTTGTTTTTTTTATGTTTTTGAGACAGGGTCTTGCTCTGTCGCCCAGGCTGCAGTGCAGTGGCGAGGTCACGACTCACTGCAACCTCGGCCTCCCAGGCTTAGGCAATCCTCCCACCTCAGCCTGTTGGGTAGCTGGGACCTCAGGCATGTGCCACCATGCCCAGCTAATTTTTGTATTTTGTGTGTCTTTTTGTTTTTTCACTGTGAGTATACGTTAGTCATTTTTCTTAACAATTGAAACTGGGAACTCTGGGGATTCAGAATTAACAGCCTTGGCTGTGAGCTTCTTATCGATACCAGAAAAAGTTTGGACCTTGCGTTCCACGTTGTTCTGCTGGGCTTTGTCCGAATGAACCCTTGTGAGCTGCTGTGTCCATTTCACGCGGATTCTCCTGCCCACAATTTCACCTGGGAAGACCGAGTCCTCGAGGATTGCGACGTGCGCAGCTGTCGGAGCGTGGATCCTGGGACGCTTTTGCTTATTTTTTGTACACCTTTTTTGAGTTGGTTTAGGCAGAATTTTCCTCTAAGCAATAGACGACATACTTACCAGTGAACTTTTTCTCCAATTCACGTACTAGCCAGACTTGGATGTTCTGGAATTATTTCAGTGGCAGAAGAAGAACAAAGATTATGATAACTTCCTTTTTTTTTTTTTTCTTTCTTTCTTTCTTTTTTTTTTTTTTTTTTGAGACAGAGTGTCGCCTTGTCGCCCAGGCTGGAGTTCAGTGGCTCAGTATTGGCTCACTGCAACCTCTGCCTCCCAGGTGCAAACGATTCTCCTGCCTCAGACTCCCAAGTAGCTGGCACTACAGCTGTCTGCCACCACACCCAGCTAATTCTGTTGTATTTTAGTAGAGACAGGGTTTCACCCTGTTGGCCAGGCTGCTCTCGAACTCCTGACCTCAAGTGATCTGCCCGCCTTGGCCTCCCTAAGTGCTGGGATTACAGACGTGAGCCATTGCGCCTGGCCTTTTTCTTTTTTTCTTTTTTTGAGACGGAGTCTTGCTCTCTCGCCCGGGCTGGAGTGCAGTGGTGCGATCTCGGCTCACTGCAAGCTCCATCTCCCGGGTTCTCGCCATTCTCCTGCTTCAGCCTCCTGAGTAGTTGGGACTACAGGCGCCCACCACCACATCCGGCTAATTTTTTGTATTTTTAGTAGAGACTGGGTTTCATTGTGTTAGCCAGGATGGTCTCGATCTCCTGACCTCGTTGATCCGCCCGCCTCAGCCTCCCAAAGTGCTGGGATTACAGGTGTTAGCCACCACAGCCGGCCCTCTTTTTTTTTGAGATGGAGTCTCGCTTTGTTGCCCAGGCTGGAGTGCAGTGGCGCAATCTTGGCTCACTGCAGCCTCTGCCTCCCGGGTTCAAGCGATTCTCCTGCTTCGGCCCCCTGAGTAGCTGGGATTACAGGCACGTGCCACCACACCCAGCTAATTTTTGTATTTTTAGTAGAGACGGGGTTTCACCATGTTGGCCACGCTGGTCTTGAGCTCCTGACCTCGTGATCTTCCCGCCTCAGCTCCCCACAGTGCTGGGATTCCAGGCGTGAGCTGCTGTACCTGCCCATGATAACTTTCTCACCACCACCAACTTCAGTTTCCCTCGCTGCTGTAATAATCAGTTCCCTGAGCTGGGCCTTGAGGTCCGAGTTCATCTCCAGCTCCAGAAGAATCTAAGAAGGCAAGAACACCAGGGTCAACCCTCAGTGCGTGTATGAGCACCCCCAGCCTCATTTTTGTGTTTTCTATAGAGATGGGGTCTCGCTGTGTTGCCCATGCTGGTCCTGAACTCCTTATCTCAAGTGATCCTCCTGCCTCGGCCTCCTAAAGTGCTGGGATTACAGCCATCAGCCGCCGTGTCCGGCTTTAAAAAGCAATCCTAAAAATCGTAAACAAAATGACACAGAGGAACCTTATTGCTCATCGAGCCATGCAAGAAAGGAACCGTTTATTTCCAGCAAGTTTAAAACATCGATTTGACCTCCAGCCATGGTCGATGAGATGTTAGAAAACCAACTCTCTTGCTGACAACAACGAGAAAATCTTGATACCATTTAGCAAAAAGAAGTCTGTGGGGGAGGCGTTGGAGAGTGACGGAACTGCCACGGCCTGAGGCACCCGGCTTCCGGAGCCTCTGGCAGCCCAGAGAAGTCTCTGTCTTGTCGCCCAGGCTGGGGTACAGTGGTGCCATCTCAGCTGACTGCAACCTCCGCCTCCGGGTTCAAGTGATTGTCCTGCCTCAGCCTCCTGAGTAGCTGGGATTACAGGCGCCCACCACCATGCCTGGTTAGTTTTTATGTTTTTAGTAGAGACGAGGTTTTACCGTGTTGGCCAGACTGGCCACGCCCGGCCCCGCATTGGGGTTTCTGTTGCATTTTCCTGATGATGGTGATGTTCAGCCTTTTTCATGTGCTTGTTGTCCATTTGCATCTGCATGGTGAAAATTAATTAGTGCAAAAAATAATAAAAACAAACAAAAAACAGAAAATGGATGAGTGCACAGTTCAGCTGTCCCCTCGAGGCATTTTCAGGGCTGTCCTCAGTGGCAGCAGCTTTACCCAGTTTCTGGGCAGGAGTGGCGCTGGGTGTTCGTGGTGGATGATTAGTAAATGGAAAATGGAAACCAATAGAGTACCCTTTTGTTTGCCACATAGGACGTCCCAGTGATCGGGAGGAGCGGGAAGAGCTTCAGCTACAACCAGGACGTGGTGCTGCTGCTTCTGACAGACGGAGTCCTGTTCCACCTTCAGAGCGTCACGGCGTACGCCCTCATGGGGAAAATCTCCCCGGTGACTTTCAGGTGAGCAGAGGAACTTCCCAAGAGTTGAGTGTGTCCAGGTTGTTTACAAAGGAGACCAGAAATCTAGGTATTTTTATAAGGGACACATGTGATTCTCTTCCACGGGGATGACTGTGGCTATGCAGTGTAATTACTAGGCTATTTTATACCCATGCTGTTTGAAATGCAAACGATAGGCCGGGCCCAGTGGCTCATGCCTGTAATCCCAGCACTTGAGAGGACAAGGCAAGTGGATCACTTGAGGTCAGTAGTTCAAGACCAGCTTGGCCAACATGGTGAAACCCCATCTCTACTAAAAATACAAAAATTAGCCGGGTGTGATGCTGGGCACCTGTAATCCCAGCTACTCGGGAGGCTGAGGCAGGAGAATCACTTGAACCCAGGAGCCAGAGGTTACAGTGAGTCGAGATCTCACCACTGCACTCCAGCCTGGGGGATGGGAGCGAGAGTCCTTCTCAAAAAAAATAAATAAAACAAAAAAACAAATGAGAAACTGTAAAATAAACCGTAAACTGTGTGAAATAGGTATTTAGGGAAATCTCCACTAGAAGTCTCTGAGTTTGAAGGTTTTTGAAATTGAGTGCTTTCTGTCTAGAATAGCAGGGTGCTGCGACTAGTTTTGTCTGCAGGAATGGAATGGTCTCTTCTGGGCTGTCCAGTGCAGGAGCCACTGGCCACATACGGCTTCTGAGCCCTTGAAATGTGGAGAATATAACAAGAACCAGATTCGGAATTCAAGCTGATTGCTGTCAGTTTGAACTTGAACAGACACCTGTGGCCACTGCTTCCTGTGCCATGCGGTGCAGCTCTAGAAACGGGGAGGATCCTTCAGCTTCTTTCCACTTCTGTAACTGGGCAGATTGAATGAAGCTGCAATTTATTTGTTTATGTATTTTATTTTATTTTTTGAGATGGAGTCTTGCTCTGTCGCCCAGGCTGGAGTGCAGTAGCGCCATCTCAGCTCACTGCAAGCTCCGTCTCCTGGGTTCACGCCATTCTCCTGCCTCTGCCTCCCGAGTAGCTGGGACTACAGGCGTCCGCCACCACGCCCGGCTAATTTTTTTTTGTATTTTTAGTAGAGACTGGGTTTCACCGTGTTAGCCAGGATGGTCTCGATCTCCTGACCTTGTGATCTGCCCGCCTCAGCCTCCCAAAGTGCTGGGATTACAGGCGTGAGCCACCGCGCCCTGCCTATGTATTTTATTTTTCCCGAAACAGAGTCTTGCTCTGTCACCCAGAGCTGGATTTCTTTGGTTTGATCTCGGCTCACTGCAACCTCCGCCTCCCGGGTTGAAGTGATTCTCCTGCCTCAGCCTCCCAAGTAGCTGGGATTACAGGCGCGTGCCACCATGCCCGGCTAATTTTTGTATTTTTAGTGGAGACGGGGTTTCACCATGTTGGCCAGGCTGGTCTCAAACTCCTGACCTCAGGCGATCCGCCCGCCTCGGCCTCCCACAGTGCTGGGATGACAGGTGCAAGCCACTGCACCCGGCCAAAGGTGCAATTTAAAGACTGGAGACTAGCCAGGTGGACTGGAGGTCAAGGCAGGCAGATTGCCTGATCTCAGGGGTTCGAGACCACCCTGGGCAACATGGGCAACCCTGTCTTTACTAAAACACAAAAAATTAGCCAGGCCTGGTGAAATGCACCTGTAGTCCCAGCTGCGTGGGAGGCTGAGGCATCAGAATCACTTCAGCCCGGGAGGCGGGTGTTGCAGTGAGCCGAGATTGTGCCACTGCACTCCAGCTTGGGCTACAGAGTGAGACTCCGTCTCAAAAAAAAAAAAAAAAAAAAAAAGACTGGAGACTTTTTGGTGGCAAATACAAAGGAATGAGGTTATGTTACCAGCAAGTATAGGAGTCCATGCAGCTGGCATCAGCAGCTGGCCACCTCATACCCTGTTGCGGAAATCAGCGGACCTTTTTTCTGAAACTTCTGATCTGTCATGAGGAGGTGTAATTGTCCCCAAACATGAAGTGAAAAGCCGACGTTGGGGCTGGCGGGAATGGTGGACAGTCAGGTGTAGCTCTCCCTCTTCTCTGCTTTCCGTCTGGTCCAAGTCAGTGCGGTAAATTCTCAAATACCCATCCGAGCTGGTAGCTGTGCACCACGCACGCAGCGTTCCACAGCTGAGGAGCTGGAGCTTGTGCTTCCTCTCACCTGCAGGTCCCGCAG
This sequence comes from Homo sapiens, assembly GCF_000001405.40. NCBI lineage: Eukaryota > Metazoa > Chordata > Mammalia > Primates > Hominidae > Homo > Homo sapiens. The sequence goes on along the minus strand of NC_000001.11, from coordinate 1,732,514 downwards.
GCCCTGCACCGAGTCGCCTTGTCCATGGCGCTGCCCTGCCCCATGCTTCCTGCGTCCTGAGTAGGAGGTATCTCCGAGACAGGAAAAGTGGCCGCTCTCTCTCACTTTTTCTGGAACTCATGGTGGTCTCCTGGGCTTGGTCACTGTCTCTCACCAGCATGTTTCTTTGTGCGGTCAGGAATTATTTCCAAATGCTCCTGAAGCCTAGTGTTTTAGTGAACATTAGTGATTGTTAGCAGTGGTTCAAAAAAAAAAAACTTTTTTTTTTTTTTTGAGACAGAGTCTTGCTCTGTGACCCAGGCTGGAGTGTGGTGGTGCCATCTCAGCTCACTGCAACCTCCGCCTCCCTGCTCAAGTGATCCTCTCGCCTCAGCCTCCTGAGTAGCTGGGACTACAGGTGTCCACCACCACGCTGGGCTAATTTTTGTTTTTTGTTATTTTATTTTATTTTACTTTTTTTGAGAGATGGGATTTTGCTGTGTTGTCCAGGCTGATCTTGAACTCCTGGCCTCAAGTGATCCACCCACCTTGGCCTCCCAAAGCGCTAGGACTGCAATTATGAGCCACCACACTCAGCCCAATTATTTTTCCTTTTTTTTTTTTTTTTTTTGGAGCCAGAGTCTCACGCTGTTGCCCAGGCTGGAGTGCAGTGGCGCGATCTCGGCTCACTGCAACCCCACCTCCCAGGTTCAAGACATTTTCCTGCCTCAGTCTCCCGAGAAGCTGGGATTACAGGTGCCTGCCACCATGCCCAGCTAATTTTTGTATTTTTAGTGGAGACAGGGTTTCATCATCTTGGCCAGGCTGGTCTCGAACTCCCGACCTCAGGTGATCCGTCTGCCTTGGCCTCCCAAAGTGCTGGGATTACAGGCGTGAGCCACCGCATGTTGCCCAATTATTTTTCAGTAGTATTTTTTTGTTTTATTTAATTTCATTTTATAAGAGCAGTGAATTAAGTACACATTATGGAAAGTTTGCAAAGGGTACTTCCTGTCACCCTTTTTTTGCACGGTCCTAACACTGTGTACTTGGTACCCTTTTCACCCAACAAATGATCTTAAGGGATTGCTTTCCCTGGGGCTACAAAGGCACTGTGAGTGTGTGGGAGATGTTCTTGTTTTTTTTTTTTTTTTTGAGACAGAGTCTCGCTCTGTCACCCAAACTGGAGTGCAGTGAGTGGTGAGATCTCAGCTCACTGCAGCCTCCTCCTCCCGCGTTCAAGCTATTGTCCTGCCTCAGCCTTCCAAGTAGCTGGGATTACAGGCACCCGCCACCACACCCAGCTAGTTATTTGTATTTTTAACAGAGATGGGATTTCACCGTGTTAGCCAGGATGGTCTCGAACTCCTAACCTCGTGATCCGCCTGCCTCGGCCATCCACAGTGCTGGGATTACAGGCATGCGCCACGGCGCCCGGCCTCCTACAGTGCTGGGATTACAGGCTGAGCCCCCACGCCCAGCTTCCCATAGTGCTGGGATTACAGGCGTGAGCCCCCGTGCCTGGCCTCCCACAGTGCTGGGATTCTAGCACCCGACCTCCCACAGTGCTGGGATGACAGGCCGAGCCCCCGTGCCCAGCCTCCTACCTGTGGTGGTTTCCAGCCCTGAGGTTGAGGACAAACCTCTCGTGTTTAACTTGGGAGGAGATGTGTACGTTCCTTTTCTTTTTTGGACTCTGAGTATGAGGCAGGCTGTTCTGAGGTCCCCGTGGGGTGAGCCTGTCTGTCCTCCCTCAGAGCCCACCGTTCCTATCATCATCTAGCACCTGTCCGGTTCCCCACGTGAGCCTTGGGCAGGACGCTGCAGTGTTGATGGTTTGGGTTACGTGGCGTTTACCTGGGCGCCGTCCTTGCTGAAAAAGGAAACGTCCACACTGAATGTTTCTGGGGCGCGTGGTGTGTGTCAGGCGCCCACCCTGTCCCACTCTCCCCAAGGGACAGTAGTACGGCACACTGGGGCCACCAGCCAGCTCAACTCATCCTCCTGTGTCACGCACCCCCGAGGGCGCAGGAGGCCTGAGGAGTGGCTACTGGAGCCGTGTGTTAGGCAGAGGCTTCTGACCATGTCTGAGCTCTTTACCCCCAATCTCGCAGCCGGCGGATTCCCATGCCCGGTGCAGCCTGTTGCCAGCCAGCCTTTGAGACCCAGAGCTCCAGGGCTTGTCAGAGGCAGCATGGGGCTCCAGTGGTCCCGAGTCTCATTTCCCTGCCTGCTCTTTAGGCCTTTGGCACCCATGGTCACTTCACTGGTTTTCCATTTGGCTTCTCACCTGGGAAATACAAAAATAGCCCCTCCTGAAGATAAAATCGTTCAGAAACAGAGCAATAATTCTGACTCATTAACTTCTACCTACTCAAAAAAGTCTGCCATGATGATGGACCGAAGTGAGGCTTTTTAACCCACAAGTAACCTTTTTATTTTTTTGAGACAGTCTTGCTCTGTCTGTCACCCAGGCTGGAGTACAGTGGCATGATCTTGGCTCACTGCAGCCTCGACTTCCTGGGCTCAAGTGATCCACCTCAGCCTCCCATGTGGCTGGAACCACAGGCACGTGCCACCATGCCTGGCTATTTTTTTGTTGAGCTGGGCTCTCGCTTTGTTGCCCAGGCTGGTCTTGAACTCCTCGGCTCAAGCAATCCTTCCCACTCAGCCTCCTGTAGTGTCGAGAATATAGGCGTGGGCTACTACACCTGCTTCAGCCGCTTCTATAAAACCGCTGACCTGTGTGTGGAGGACAGGCCAGGTGTGTGCTCACTGCGCTGCGAAGATGTTTTGTCACGTGACTTTCCCTGGGTTTCCATTTCTTTTTTTCTGCTTTCCTCAAAAACTAATAGAAGACCGGCTGCGGTAGCTCAGGCCTCTAATCCCAGCACTTTGGGAGGCTGCAGATGGCGGATCACAAGGCCAGGAGTTCGAGACCAGCCTGGCCAACATGATGAAACCCTGTCTCTACCAAAAATACAAAAATTAGCTGGGTGTGATGGTGGGTGCCTGTAATCTCAGCTACTCAGGAGGCTGAGGCAGGAGAATTGTTTGAACCCCAGAGGCGGAGGTTGCAGTGAGCCAAGATCGTGCCATTGCACTCCAGCCTGGGCAACAGGGCAAGATTCCGTCTCAAAAACAAACACTATTAGAAAATGCTCTGGAGGTGGCGGGGAGTTGTTGATTTGTGAGGACAGATTGAAAGCAACTCCCAGGGTGGCCTTGTCCACCTCCCCATCGAGAATATGGCTGCCGGCCTCTTTGAAGATTGTGGTCTGGCATAAGGAGAGGTGCAGGCGCCTGGTTCTGAGCACCTTGGAATTTCCAGCCGCACAGAATCTGGTGCCCTCCCCTCCACCCTCACAAGGAGCTGCCATCCTGTTTGGATTTTCTGTTTGTGGACCAGAAACAAACGTTTTTCCAAAGGATTAGCAAATAGGTTGATTTCCTGTGTAACGCTGCTCTGGGGCCTCTTCCTCATCCTGGCAGAAGGAGCCTGGAGCCCATGAGGCAGCCAGCACTGTGCCCTTGCTCAGTCGTGCTGTCCCCTCCCTCTCCCTCAGTCTCTTCTCCATGCCCAAGTCAGTTTCCAGCCGCTGGTCTTCATGGCATTCCCAGCACAGCTGGACACCAAGAGGCAAAACCCAAGGCCTGGCTTGGCCGTGTTAACGATTGTACAGACATTTTTTTAAATAACTTTGTGTAATACTTTTCTAGAATAGTAAGTTCTTGTTGAACTGTCACAGATGAGCTTCTAGGAACACACCGGGTGTGGTTACTTCCACTGGGTGTGTCCATGGTCGTGGTCTGTGCCTTTGTAAACAAACAGAACACTTGAACCACCTTCCGAATTGGGTCATCGGCTTCTTTACATTGATACTTAGAGATTTGCAGCTCTCTAACTTTCAAGGAAACTTCCCCTACTGAAAGGCATAAAAAGGTTAAAAAAGAAAATCCGAGAGTCCCAATTCCCTGTATAACAGCATTAAAATAATCTGCCTGCCTGGAAAGATGAGAACACTGTTGCACAACCCAAAATGTGTTTTTAATTTGTGAAAAATTACCATGGTGAGTCAGACAGTCATTTTAAACAGCTGAACAGAGACTATCATCAGCAAATAGAGCTCAGCTTTGTAGCTGCCTTTAAAATCCTTGTCCCAAATCCGGTGAGCTCTGCTTGCTGCCGCCGCGCTCCTGGGTGATCACTCAGACGGGTCAGTGGGAATAACGGGCCAACAAGACAGCTTTTTACATGTGTCCAAAGGATGGCCTTTCGAAGGCCTGGAAGTATTTCACTGTTGGAAGAAGTAAACAAGAATGACATTCCAGATGGAAATAGAATTCTCTCTCTTGCCTTTGACCAACATGGTACTAAGGGGTTTCTTCTTTCCCAATGTATGTACGTGCCCTGCTGGGGGCCTTACTTTATAGAATGAGAGCATCTGAGCTTCCCTAATGAATCTGGCTAGTTCTGTGTCTGGCTGAGGATACAGGAGTGGGACATCCACTCTCGGATCCCTCAGAGCACAGAAACCTTCAGCTTTGCTGTCTCTGAAGTATTTCCTCCAGTTTCCCTGCGGGCCCCTATGTTTGAGTTTGATGGCTGCTGGATCCTCACTCAACGAAAACTCGGTTGGAAACTGTTCCGCCTGGCAGTCCTTTTTTGTTGTTTTCCATCTCATTTCCCTTCCATCTGAAAGTGGCATTCAGCTGACTTGCTCATTTAGACTGTTCACGGAGTCTGAATCTGCCAACGTGGTGTTGGAGGCTCCACCTTGAAAAGGGCCACAGTCAGGGCAACTTTCCCCATACAGGAAAACTTGAAAATTACATCAACAGTCTACGTCACAGCCAAATTATATTTCCTTTATACCAAACAAAACTATGGAGAACTAAAAGTACATCACACAAAACGTTTATAGTGTTTTGCATGTGACCTATTTCAGTATTTATATAACTAGATTAGTGCTTTCTAGCAAACGGTTCTGTTAATTAGCGAGTCACTGTTGATTCTGCTGTGGTGGTAAGTTGATACCGTGTAACTAATCCCGTGGATGCCTCCTGGTTATTTTTGTCCAAACGAAGCAGCCGTGGTAGTAGCTGTCTATGATTCTTGCTCAGCAAAGTAAAATAAATGTTAAATATGGACTGCTTTGTTTTCTTCCTTGTGGACCTCTGGTGTTCATGCTACTTTGTTCACCGGTGGGGCTGGCTATTGCTAGCAAAGAGGCTCTTCACAGAAGTGGCTGGACCCAAAGTTCTGGTTGGGAAAGGCCTTTGTGGCAGCTCCTATCAAGCGCAAGTGCGAGGCCACCCCCTCCTCGTGGGCTCTGGGGTCGATTTTGTTAGGGTTTGACATGAGTGGCTGCATTTGGGTACTCAACAGATTTCACAAAGGAAGGGTAAACTGGAGATTTTTGGCCGGGCACGGTGGCTCATGACTATAATTCCAGCACTTTGGGAGGCTGGTGGGCAGATACTTTAGGTCAGGAGTTCAAGACCAGCCTGGCCAACATGGCAAAACCCTGTCGCTACTAAAAATACAAAAGTTAGCCAGGTGTGGTGGCGCACGCCTATAATCCCAGCTACTCGGGAGGCTGAGGCAGGAGAATCACTTGTACCCAGGAGACGGAGGCTGCAGTTACCCAAAATTGTGCCACTGCACTCCAGTCTGGGTGACACAGCGAGACTTTCTCTCAAAACAGAAAAAAAAAGGTGCTGTGGCTCACGCCTGTAATCCCAACCCTTTGGGAGGCCAAGGCAGGCAGATCACAAGGTCATGAGATCAAGACCATCCTGGCTAACACAGTGAAACCCCGTCTCAACTAAAAACACAAAAAAATTAGCCGGGCGTAGTGGTGGGCGCCTGTAGTCCCAGCTACTCGGGAGGCTGAGGCAGGAGAATCACTTGAACCTGGGAGGTGGAAGCTGCAGTTACCCAAAATTGTGTCACTCTACTCCAGCCTGGGTGACACAGTGAGACTTATTTCTCAAAAAAAAGGGCAGGGTGCTGTGGCTCACGCCTGTAATCCCAGCACTTTGGGAGGCCAAGGCAGGCAGATCACGAGGTCACGAGATCAAGACCATCCTGGCTAACACAGTGAAACCCGGTCTCAACTAAAAATACAAAAAATTAGCCGGGCATGGTGGCCCAGCTACTCTGGAGCCTAAGATGGGAGAATGGAGTGGAGGCGGGAGAATGGCGTGAACCCAGGAGGCGGAGCTTGCAATGAGCGGAGATCCCGCCACTGCCCTCCAGCCTGGGCCAGAGCGAGTCTCCCTATCAGAAAAAATAAAAATAGCTAGGCGCAGTGGCTCACGCCTGTAATCCCAGCACTCTGGGAGGCCAAGGCGGGCGAATCACAAGGTAAGGAGATCGAGACCATCCTGGCGAACACAGTGAAACCCCGTCTCTACTAAAAAAAATACAAAAAATTAGCCAGGCGCGGTGGCGGGTGCCTGTAGTCCCAGCTACTCGGCAGGCTGAGGCTCGCAGGATAATGGCGTTGAACCCGGGAGGTGGGGCTTGCAGTGAGCCGAGATTGCGCCACTGCACTCCAGCCTGGGCGACAGAGCAAGACTCCGTCTCAAAAAAAAATAAAAATAAAAAAATAGGGAGATTTCCCCAGTTACCAAGAACTCAGGAAGCAACATTAAGAGCTTGGGGGAGGCCAGGCGCGGTGGCTCACGCCTGTAATCCCAGCACTTTGGGAGGCAGAGGCAGGCTGATCACGAGGTCAGGAGATTGAGACCATCCTGGCTAACACGGTAAAACCCCGTCTCTACCGAAAATAAAAAAAAAATTAGCCGGGCATGGTGGCAGGCGCCTGTAGTCACAGGTACTCAGGAGCCTAATGCGGGCGAATGGAGTGGAGGCGGGAGAATGGCGTGAATCCGGGTGGCGGAGCTTCCAGTGACCCGAGATCGCGCCACTGCACTCCAGCCTGGGCAACAGAGCGAGACTCCGTCTCAAAAAAATAAAAATAAAAAAAGAGCTTGGGTACACAAAGCAAGCAGCATTTCATTCCGGGATGAAAAGAATTCCGATACCCATCGCCCTTCTTGGGCCCTTGTCAGTTTCTTGCCACATCTTTCATTTTCCCATTTCAGGCCCAGTAAATGCGGATGTTTATCTTCCATTGTTTGTTTCCTGAGATTCAGATGTCTAAAGCATTTTTCTGTGACTTTTCAAGGCAAGAGGAAAACCTGACATATGGAAAGGGAATTAATTGCTCGTTTTATCCTCTTCTCCTGCAATGCTCTGAATCCATGGGTTTGGAGTGGGGCCCTGGGAGTTGGGGGAAGCACCATACCCAGTGAGTCTGCACTTTGAGGACCCACTGCCAGTGTCAGCTTCAAAATCACATTGTAAAAGGCCCGGCGCGGTGGCTCACGCCTGTAATCCCAGCACTTTAGGAGGACGAAGCAGGCGGATCACTTGAGGTCAGGAGTTCGAGACCAGCCTGGCCAATATGGCGAAACCTCGTCTCTACCAAAAATATAAAAATTAGCCGGGCGTGGTGGCGCGGGCCTGTGGTTCCAGCTACTCGGGAGGCTGAGGCAGGAAAATTCCTTGAACCCGGGAGGAGGCTGCAGTGAGCCAAGACCACGCCACTGCACTCCAACCTGGGCGGCAGAGCAAGGCTCCGACTCAAAAGTAAATACATGAATAAATAAAATAAAATCACATCGTAAGAGCTCTCCCTGCTTTGTTTCTGAGTAAGGTTCAGAGTTAAATTCCGAGATCGGCCTTTACAAGACACACAGACCTGAGGCGCCTCACGAGGTAACCAGCAGGTAAATGGAGCGCGCTCCACCCACCCGCCACTAGGGGTCCCAGCGGTCAAGGGGGTGGAATGCGGGCGTCCATCGCGAAGGCATTCTGCTCGCAAGCCTTGGCACAGGCGCGGGCTTCGCTACCGGAAAAGTCCCGGTAGGATTCCGGAAGCCGGCCACGCGTTCCGCGCAGGCGCAAACTGCTCCAAAAGTCGGCGTCGCTCTGCTCGGCGCCCCGGCCCGCGCCGAAGTCGGAAGTGCAGCTCACGGCGCAGTTTCTTTTGGAGTCCTGGACCTGAGCAAGCGCTGTTTTATGCGTCATCATCCCGCGCAGACACAGGAAGTGCCGCACAGAGCGAGCCCCTGTCGTCTTGAGTTCTGGGCCAGAGGTCGGCTATTATATCATCATTAGGCGTCAACACAGGAAGTGAGGATACTTCTGGCGAGCGCCGGTTGCTGTTTCTTCTCAGGCTCAGGGACCGGCCGCGGCCCCGTAGGGGTGAGTTCCGACTGGGCGGACCAGGTGTGGGAGCGCGACGAGAACTGCGCACCGAGGTCTTTCTTCCGAGCAGGCCTCGGAGCGGGGCGGACCCGGGCCCGGGGGCGAGCGACACCCTCGCTTCCGCGGACAGTCTCATCCCGCACGGAACTTTGGGTGGTGGAGGCGGCGGGTCCAAACGCTGTCTGGAGCCAACGTCTGCCAGGCTGAACCTCAAGTGTGCGGGACTGAACCCGAGGAAATAGCCCAGTGCCCGGGTCAGGTGGCCTTGTTCGCGAGCACATCTCGGAGCATCTCCCCGGTCTCAAGGTGCAGCTGTCCAGTGTGCTAGTGGCTTCACGTAGTCCAAGCGGTCTTTCTAGCAGATTCTGACAGTAAAAGCAGTGTTTGATGAGTGGCAGGTCCTGAGTTAAGAGCCTTTAAACGGATGATCTTTAATCCGCGATCGATACTATCACGTAGGTGTTGTTATTCTGGTTGTACGGAAGACTGAACTGAGGTGAATTACGTTACCCAAGACCATACAAGAATGACAGAAACGAGACTTGATTTCAAGCGGTCATTTTTCAGAACCCATCACTCTTTTTTGTCGCCCATGCTGCAGCGCAGTGGCTGTTCACAAGCGCACTTCAGCCTGGAACTCCTGGGCTCAATCGGTCTCCCATCTCAGCTTGCAGAGTATATGGGACTACAGGCGCTCGCCACCTTGCCTGGCTTACAACTTATCATTCTTGTTTTTTTTTTTTTTTTTTTTTTTTTTTTTTTTTTTGAGACGGGGTCTTGCTGGAGTGCAGTGACGCGACCTCGGCTCACCGGAACCTCCGCCTTTCGGATTCAAGCGATTCTGCTGCCTCGGCCTCCCGAGTAGCTGGGATTACAGGCACCCGCCACCACGCCCAGCTAAGTTTTGTATTTTTAGTGGAGACAGGGTTTTCGCCGTGTTGGCCAGGCTGGTCTTGACCTCCCGACCTTGTGATCCACCCGCCTCAGCCTAGAGCTTACCTTTTTTTTTTTTTTTTTTTAACCAAGTCTTACTTTGTTATCTAGGCTGGAGTGCAGTGGCGCAGTCTTGGCTCATTGCAGCCTTGACCTCTCTGATTCAAGTGATCCTCCTGCCTCTAGCAGCCTCCTTCCTGTAGCTAGGAATACAGGCACGCGCCACCACACTGGGCTAACTTTTGTATTTTTTGTAGAGACGAGGTTTTGCCATGTTGCCCGGGCTGGTGTTGAACTCCGGAACTCCAGCGATCTGCTCGCCTCGGCCTCCCAAAGTGCTAGGGTTACCGTCTTGAGCCACTGCGCCGGGCACAACTTCTTATTCTTAATGAGGATTTATTCTGAATCCCTCAAAAGTGACTAGGTTCAAGTGTTCAGCACCATAGCTTGCTGTGTCCTGATGTAGGCTGAATTATTTTTCTTTTTGCAGTGTTTTAACTCAAATGGGTGATGAAAAGGACTCTTGGAAAGTGAAAACTTTAGATGAAATTCTTCAGGAAAAGAAACGAAGGAAGGAACAAGAGGAGAAAGCAGAGATAAAACGCTTAAAAAATGTAAGCCATATTTTTTTAAGTAAGTGGTTTTCTTAAAGGAGATTTAATTTCTTTGCCCTCATTTTTCCATTAGAACAACGCTTCTTCGGTGAAGTTCTTTTGTACTTCCAAATGTCGCAGGTGAGCCCAAAATGTATTCTAATATTCAGTTGACATTAAAGGCAGATTTAACACACTAAAGCTGTGTCTAGATTGAGCATACATGGAGAATAAAATACGTTGAATGTTAAGTCATTAGCAAAACTGGACTAATTTTTCTCGGTTCATTATTAGTATATTCATAATACTATCTCTAAGTATTTTTAATATAGTGGGAACTTGCCTTGAAATTAATATAAATATTTTACGTCTTTCTTGGTTTGCATGGTAATGTACTCAGGAAACCTTTTTAGTAATTTGGTAAGAGGCATTGGCAAAGTACCTCTTTTGCTAAGATTTGTAGCATCATTTGGGATGTTAGTGAGTACAGGCATACCTTGCACTTCACTTTATTATGCTTCACAGATATTGAAATTTTTCCAAATTAAAGGTTTGTAGCAACTCTGCTTTGAGTATTTTTCCAATAGCATGTGCTCACTTTGTTAGCTTTTTTTTTGTTTTTGAGACGGAATCTCGCACTGTCGCCCAGGGCCAGGTTCACACCATTCTCCTACCTCAGCTTCCTGAGTAGCTGGGACTACAGGGGCTCACCAACATGCCAAGCTAATTTTTTGTATTTTTAGTAGAGATGGGGTCTCTCCGTGTTAGCCAGGATGGTCTTAATGTCCTGACCTCGTGATCCACCCGCCTCGGCCTCCCAAAGTGCTGGGATTAACAAGCGTGAGCCACTGCACCTGGCCAAAAATTCTTTATATTTTATAACACTGGCTCATTCAGAGTACATGTGAAAGTTTGTTTTGGGATGTTGCCCAGGTTTGATTATCATTAAAAATACTTTTATCTATGAAGAAAAAAAAACTTATAAAGAAAATGATTAACTTTCTCTTTGCTTCTTAGTCTGATGACCGGGATTCCAAGCGGGATTCCCTTGAGGAGGGGGAGCTGAGAGATCACTGCATGGAGATCACAATAAGGAACTCCCCGTATAGAAGAGAAGACTCAATGGAAGACAGGTGAGCGGATGTACAGATGTGCAAGACCCAACTGTACACAGCCCTGGCCTGGCCAGTCCTTCCTAGGGTCACTGTGACAACTGTGTGCTATTGTAACTATTAAGGTTTACTCTTTCCTAGAGTTACCGTGACAGGGCGTGTTGTAGCTGTTGTACTACTGAGATTACTCTTTCCTAAGGTTACCGTGACAGGGTGTGCTGTTGTAACTATTGAGGTTTACTCTTTCCTAGGGCTACTGTGACGGGGTGTGCTGTTTTAACTATTGAGGTTTACTCTTCCCTAGGGTTACGTGACGGGGTGTGCTATTGTAACTATTAAGGTTTACTCTTTCCTAGGGTTACTGTGACAGTGTGCTCAGTGTGCTGTTGTAAATACTGAAGTGTACTCTTTTTTTTTTTGAGACGGTGTCTCAAGAGTCTTGCTCACCCAGGCTGGAGTGCAGTGGCGCCATCTCGGCTCACTGCAAGCTCCGCCTCCCTGGTTCACACCATTCTCCTGCCTCAGCCTCCTGGCTAACACGGTGAAACCCCGTCTCTACTAAAAATACAAAAAATTAGCCAGGATGGTCTCGATCTTCTGACCTGGTGATCCGTCCACCTCGGCCTCCCAAAATGCTGGGATTACAGGTGCGAGCCACGACCTAGGATTACTGTGACAGGGCATGCTGTTACAACTATTGAGGTTTACTCTTTCCTAGGGTTACTGGTGAAAGCCTGTCTCTACTACAAATACAAAAATTAGCCTGGCATGGTGGTGTACACCTGTAGTCCCAGCTACTCAGGAGGCTGAGGCAGGAGAATTGCTTGAATGTGGGAGGCAAAGGTTGCAGTGAGCCAAGATTGTGCCTCTGTATTCTACCCTGGGGGACATAGCAAGATTCTGTCTGAAAAAAATAATAAGTCCGGGTGCGATGGCTCATGCCTGTAATCCCAGCACTTTGGGAGGCTGAGGCGGGTGGATCATGAGGTCATGAGTTTCAGATCAGCCTGACCAATATGGTGAAACCCCGTCTCTACTAAAAATATAAAAATTAGCTGGGTGTGGTAGCGCACGCCTGTACTCCCAGCTACTCCGGAGGCTGAGGCAGGAGAATTGCTCGAACCTGGGACAGGAGGCAGAGGTTGCAGTGAGCCAAGATTGCGCCGCTGGACTCCAGCCTGGGCAACAGAGCGAGACTCCATCTCAAAAAAATAAATACAGGCCGGGCGTGGCGGCTCACACCTGTAATCCCAGCACTTTGGGAGGCTGAGGCGGGCAGATCACAAGGTCAGGAGATCGAGACCACCCTGGCTAACACAGTGAAACTCCGTCTCTACTAAAAAATACAAAAAAAATTAGCCGGGCGTGGTGGTGGGCGCCTGTAGTCCCAGTTACTTGGAAGGCTGAGGCAGGAGAATGGCATGAACCCAGGAGGTAGAGCTTGTAGTGAGCCGAGAGTCTCGCCACTGCCCTCCAGCCTGGGCGACAGAGCAAGACTCCAATCTCAAATAAAATAAATAAATAAATAAAATTAAATTAAATAAATAAGATGTGATGTATTTTTACATGCCCCTGAAACTGTCACCACAGTCAAGCTAATGAACCTGCCCCTCACCCCCTGCAGGTCCTCTGAGAGGCATTTCGTTCCATCTGCACAAAACATTGATTTCTTACATTTTTCATCTGAATCTTAAGACTCCTAGGCCGGGCGCGGTGGCTCACGCCTGTAATCCCAGCACTTTGGGAAGCCGAGGCAGGCAGATCACCAGGTTAGGAGATTGAGACCATCTTGGCTAACACAGTGAAACCCCGTCTCTACTAAAAATACAAAAATTAGCTGGGTGTGGTGGCGGGTGCCTGTAGTCCCAGCTACTCCGGAGGCTGAGGCAGGAGAATGGTGTGAACCCGGAAAGGTGGAGGTTGCAGTGATCCGAGATCGCGTGTCTACACTCCAGCCTGGGTGACAGAGCGAGACTCCGTCTAAAAAAAAAAAAAAAAAAAGATGCCTGAAGTTGGAGAATTAATGTAATTTTTTAAATGATGTTTCAGCTTCGTTCCTATCTGAATCATGCATTTTTCTGGGTTGAAAAAACCTCATAATAGCCTGATGCTTTTCCGCACTTTCTCAAGCATGACGCAGTGCTGTTGTGTTTTATTTCAGAGGAGAAGAAGATGATTCTTTGGCCATCAAACCACCCCAGCAAATGTCTCGGAAAGAAAAAGTTCATCACAGAAAAGATGAAAAGAGAAAAGAAAAATGTAGGCATCATAGCCATTCAGCAGAAGGGGGTACAGAAGCATTTACTTTCTTTGACATCATGTTCAAGTGTGGTTTCTTTCCTGTTCCTACTCTTCTGCCTTCCCCAGAGCACCACTGAAAAACCAGAGAAAGCAAACTGTAGCTGAAAGCATAATGGTGTCACAGACCGTTCAGAAGGGCTATAGAGAGAATAGCTGAAAGCATGCATGTGTCACAGACCATTCAGAGGGGCTATAGAGAGCAAACTCTAGCTGAAAGCATGTGTGCGTCACAGACCGAAAACCAGAGAGAGCAAACTAGCTGAAAGCATGCGTGTGTCACAGGCCATTCAGAAGGGCTATAGAGAGAGCAAACTCTAGCTGAAAGCATGCGTGTGTCACAGACCATTCAGAAGGGCTATAGAGAGAATACTCTAGCTGAAGGCCGGGCGTGGTGGCTCAAGCCTGTAATCCCAGCACTTTGGGAGGCTGAGGCGGGTGGATCACAAGGTCAGGAGATCAAGACCATCCTGGCTAACACGGTGAAACCCAGTCTCTACTAAAAATACAAAAAATTAGCCGGGCGTGGTGGCGGGCACCTGTAGTCCCAGCTGCTCTGGAGGCTGAGGCAGGAGAATGGCATGAACCTGGGAGGCGGAGCTTGCAGTGAGCCGCTATCGCACCACTGCACACTCTAGCCTGGGCGACAGAGCAAGACTCCGTCTCAAAAAAAAAAAAAAGAATACTCTAGCTGAAAGCATACGTGCGTCACAGACCGTTCAGAATGGCTATAGAGAGAATACTCTAGCTGAAAGCGTGCGTGTGTCACAGACCGAAAACCAGAGAGAGCAAACTCTAGCTGAAAGCGTGCGTGTATCACAGACCGAAAACCAGAGAGAGCAAACTCTAGCTGAAAGCGTGCGTGTGTCACAGACCATTCAGAAGGGCTATGGAGAGCAAACTCTAGCTAAAAGCCTGCGTGTGTCACAGACCGAAAACCAGAGAGAGCAAACTCCAGCTGAAAGCATGCGTGTGTCACAGACCGTTCAGAGGGGCTATAGAGAGAATACTCTAGCTGAAAGCATGCGTGTGTCACAGACCGAAAACCAGAGAGAGCAAACTCCACCTGAAAGCATGCGTGTGTCACAGACCATTCAGAAGGGCTATAGAGAGAATACCCTAGCTGAAAGCATGCGTGTGTCACAGACCGAAAACCAGAGAGAGCAAACTCTAGCTGAAAGCATGCGTGTGTCACAGACCGAAAACCAGAAAGAGCAAACTCTAGCTGAAAGCGTGCGTGTGTCACAGACCATTCAGAAGGGCTATAGAGAGCAAACTAGCTAAAAGCATGCGTGTGTCACAGACCGAAAACCAGACAGAGCAAACTCCAGCTGAAAGCATGCGTGTGTCACAGACCATTCAGAAGGGCTATAGAGAGAATACTCTAGCTGAAAGCATGCATGTGTCACAGACTGAAAACCAGAGAGAGCAAACTCTAGCTGAAAGCATGCGTGTGTCACAGACCGTTCAGAGGGGCTATAGAGAGGATACTCTAGCTGAAAGCGTGCGTGTGTCACAGACCGAAAACCAGAGAGAGCAAACTCTAGCTGAAAGCATGCGTGTGTCACAGACCGTTCAGAGGGGCTATAGAGAGGATACTCCAGCTGAAAGTGTGCGTGTGTCACAGACCGAAAACCAGAGAGAGCAAACTCTAGCTGAAAGCATGCGTGTGTCACAGACCGAAAACCAGAGAGAGCAAACTCTAGCTGAAAGCGTGCGTGTGTCACAGACCATTCAGAATGGCTAGTCCATTTTTCCTCTGGGGTTTTCTCTCCCCCATTATATTGTTTGGGAGCAGTTTGTTTACATTTAAAATGACCTGAATTCAACAAGTATAGGAGAAAAACACACCCCAAAATGGGTATTTGCTCAAGTCCAAAGAATGGGTTAGGCTTGAGCAGTTTGATCTCGTACCAACATCAGGAGATTCTTACGGGTGTTAGGAAAATTGGACCTGGAGCCCGATTGAAATCTCATTATTATAAATACGCTTGATTAATTAATGTGGCTTCATTGCACAGTGGAGAAGCCCACTGATAGCAAAGCTTTGTTCTGTAGTCTTTGTGAAGAGTGGTTTTTGTATTATAAAACTGATAATTATAGTTTATTCAGTATAGAAAATTTTTAAAAGATGAATATTACAATTCTCTTCTGTGATAGCAGAATTGTTTTTCTTTTTTCTTCTTTCTTCATAATTAGACGCTTACTGCAGATAGTTTTCTATTTTCAAAGTTTTTTATTTAACATAAAATCATGATTATTCGACTGGGTGCAGTGGCCCAGGCCTGTAATCCCAGCACTTTGGGAGGACAAGGATGGAGGATCACTTGAGCCCAGGAGTTCAAGACCAGCTTGGCCAATATAGTGAGACCCTGTCTCTTCAAAAAAAAAAAAAAAAAGATTAGGATTACTTAACATCATTATTTAAATATTTAATGTTCTTGATTTAATTTCATTTTCATGTGATTTTTTTTTTTTTTTTTTTTTTTTTTTTTTTTTTTTTTGAGATGGAGTCTCACTTTTTCGCCCAGGCTGGAGTGCAGTGGCACGATCTCGGCTCACCGCAACCTCCACCTCCCAGGTTCAAGTGATTCTACAGCCTCAGCCTCCCTTAGTACCTGGGATTACAGGTGCCTGCCACCACGCCCAGCTAATTTTTGTATTTTTAGTAGAGACGGGGTTTCACCATGTTGGCCAGGCTGGTTTTGAACTCCTGACCTCAGGTGATCCACCCGCCTCGGCCTCCCAAAGTGCTGGGATTACAGGCGTAAGCCACCGTGCCCGGCCTCGTGAAATTTTTGAAGTGAGGTTTCTTTGCATGACACTTTATTTCTCATTAGGGAAGCATGCTAGAGTGAAAGAAAGAGAGCACGAACGTCGGAAACGACATCGAGAAGAACAGGATAAAGCTCGCCGGGAATGGGAAAGACAGAAGAGAAGGGAAATGGCAAGGGAGCATTCCAGGAGAGAAAGGTGAGTGGGCTGGGTCAGTTGAGGACTTTATGAAAGGGCCGTGGTAGTGTGTCCTGTCACAGCAATGAAGAAGAATTTGGCAATAGAAGTCACATTTGTTGCAGAAGTGGTAGACATGGAAACAGCACAGTGAACGCTGGACGAGGCTGACCAAGAGAACTGTCCTGAGGGAGTGAGTTTTCACTGCATCTGGAAGTAAGAACGGGTGTGATTTGATTGAGGGAAGACAATGAAGGGATCAGAAATCTGCACGTCCCGCCGGGCGCAGTGGCTCACGCTAGAATTCCAGCACTTACGAGGCTGAGGTGGTTGGATCCCTTGAGCCTGGGAGGTCAAGGCTGCAGTAAGCTATGACCATGCTACTGCACTCCAGCCTGGTTGACAGAGTGAGACTGTCTCAAAAAAAGGAGAAGGGAGATCCCAAAAACCTTGAAACAGTCTGGAAATCGGGACACTGGACTCCTAGGACTCCTGGCCATTAGTCTGTATATTCGTTCCCCTTTATGAGCCAGATTCCCAAGAAAGAACATCGGTGTAGCCCCAGATCTGTTCTGTGAACCAGGAAAAAGGCTGTAGGCCAGGTGCGAGCAGGCCCATCTCCGCCTTCAGAGTGAGTCCACAGAAAGCTTGCAAGCTGCTCCAGGAAGAGAGGAGTCTGAAGCGGAAGGGCGTGTGCAGCGATGTTTGCCAGCAGCCAGGGCTGGGTACACAGCATGTAAAGATGATGAGAGGGCGCTGGTTCTTGTTGATGCCGAAGGGTGTGGGAGACACTGAGGCCCAGGGGTCAAGGTCCGAGACCGCTGCTGGGTGAGCAAGGTTTCAGTTGGCCTAGTTCCTGTTAGTGTGTGAAACATTCATGTATGCCACGCCCTGTGCCAGACATTGAGTGTGTCTTGTCCCACGAGAGTAGAGCTTGGGATAGAAGTGGAGGTTGGTAGATGAAATTTGGGCTGTCATATTGATTTCCCAGAAGGTAAAGACAGGAGAGTGAATGAACAAAAATTGTTGGGGGCAGACTTCTGGGTAGGGCCGATTCAGATCAGCCAATCCAGAACTGGGTGTGGTAGCATATGCTACGTGGGAGGCTAAGGCCAGAGGACCGCATGACGCCAGCCTGGGCAACGTAGAGAGACCTTGTCTCTGACAAAAAGGAAACTGATAAGGATAATCTGAGAAGCACTGATGCTTGGAAAACTGCTGAGCTGTGGGTAAAAGCAGTAAGAATCTGACCTTCTGGCCTGAGAGCTGCTCCCTTTACTGCTTCCACTCTGCACTTGGAAGCACGGAGGTTCCACTGGGACAGGGCAGCTGCAGGACCTGCAGTTTCCTTGCTGCCTTGGAAGGGGTTACTCCGTTTAGAGCAGTGGGCAGTGGCCTTGCCCACCAGCATCCTCAGTGGAGGGAGGAAAAGGCCAAGAGGTCTGCTAGAATGAAGTACAGTGTGGTTGGGAGCAGCTGTGATCCCGCCAAAGACGTGCAGCAGAGACTGGAGAGAGCTCGAGCCGCCACCCACTTGTGACCAGCCCTGAGGATGCAGCTGCGTGAAAGGACCTAGCAGAAAATAGAAGCCGCCACAGATGCGAATGACGCCTGAACGTTCAGTGTGCTCCCTGTCCACACACAGCCGTGGGCCAAGGAAGCCTTACTGTGCTCGAGGTATTTGAGCCCAGCCTTTTTCCAGTGCTGGCTAATTGCTAAGCTGTGCAGCCATGGTGGTGACCCCTAGGAAGCCAAGGTTGAAAATTAAAATAGGCATGTGGGAAGGAACGGGGTGGCCATGAGCTATGAGGGAGATGGATTTCACGGACAACCAGACAGGCCTTGGTGGTAACAACGAAAGGGAAAACTTAGAATCCAGAATTGCTACAAATGTATTATCTAAAATACAAAGAAGTATGACAGTGTGACCCGTACTGAGGAAGAACATCATCAGTAGAAACTGTCTTGAGTGTCCAGATGTTGAATTTAGTAAAGGCTTGGAAACAACTTGTGGATGGAGCAGTAGAAATTATCCATTCTGAAGAACAGAGAGAAAAAAACAAGAAAAATGCACAGAGCCTCAGAAACCCGTGGTACAACATCTGCTGTACCAAAGCACGTCGAATGGGGGTTCCAGGAGAGAGGAAAGATATTTGTTACAATAATGGTTAAAAACTTTCCAAATTTTAATTAAAAAATATGCACATTCAAGAGCACAGGAAGTTTGAACTAGAATAAATGCAAAGTCACATCATAGTCAAACTGGCAAAGGCCAAAGAGAAAATGTTGAAAGGGCTCAGAGAAGAATGACCCATCCCATGAAAGGGGAGCTTCAATACCGCCAGCCACTGACTTCTTAGAAACAATGGAGGCCAGAAGGCAGTGGAGTGGCATACTCAAGCTGCTTAGAGAGAAGAACCATCAGCCAGGAATCAAAACTGTTCTACACAAGTGAAAGGGAACGAACGACATTCCCTGAGAAGCAGAGACTGGTGGGATTCATTGTTGGCGAAACCTGCCTTAAAGGAAATACTAAAGGAAGACCTTCAAGTTGAATAGAAATGACACCAGACGGTAACTTGAATCCTCAGGAAGGAAGGACAGGCACTGCAGATAGCAAGTGTAGGTTGACGTCAATATCCTGTAAATATCTCTCCTCACATCTTAGGTTTTACTGGAACTACGATTGTGTAAAATAATTACACTGTTGTCGTGGTATGTGGCATAAATGGACTGCACAAAGAAGACAGGGAATGAAGCTGTGTTACAACAGTTTTATATTGTACTGGACTTGAGCTAGTATCATGAGGCATATGGTGATCCCTAGAGCAACCACTAAGAAAGTTGTTTTCTTAGTGTTCTAAAAAGTACAAATAAATTAAAATGGTATGCTAAACGTATGTAATTTAAAATCAAAAAGGGAAGAATAAAAAAGACACAACAAAGCAAGGAAAGTAAATCCAACTGTACGTGTAATTATATGACATGTGAAAGGTCTCTGTGCCCCAAACAGACAGGGCAGATTATCAGATAGAAAAACAAGATCTAACTGTATGCTGTCTGCTAGAGAACAGGAAAAGACGCAGCGTACAAACATCAGCTGTCATAGGAGAGCTTGAATGGCTGTACTCATACCAGACAAAACAGATGTTAAGAAATATTAGAAACCAGCCTGGCCAACATGGTGAAACCCTGTCTCTAGTAAAAATACAAAAATCACCTGGGTGTGGTGGTGCACACCTGTAATCCCAGCTACTCGGGAGGCTCAGGTATGAGAATCACTTGAACTCGTGAGATGGAGGTTGCAGTGAGCCGAGATTGCGCCACTGCACTCCAGCCTGGGTGACAAACCAAGACCCTGTCTCAAAAAAAAAAAAAAAGCTAGAAACAAGAAGGAGCAAGGACTTCACAGCCAGAAACAGGCCAATACAGCAGGAAGATACAGCAATGATACATGTGAATGCATCTAACCACAGAGCCCAAAATCCATGAAGCAAACACCGATCGAATGGAAAGAAATGGATCATTTATTAATTAGAATTGGAAATGGCAGCTGGGCACGGTGGCTCGGGCCTGTAAACCCAGCACTTTGAAAAGCGGAGGCAGGCGGATCACGAGGTCAGGAGATTGAGACCATCCTGGCTAACATGGTGAAACCCTCGTCTCTACTAAAAATACAAAAATTAGCTGGGAGTACAGGGCGCACGCCTGTAATCCCAGCTACTCGGGAGGCTGAGGCAGGAGAATCGCTCGAACCCGGGAGGCGGAGGTTGCAGTGAGCCGAGATCGCGCCACCGCACTCCAGCCTGGGGGACAGATGAAGACTCCGTCTCAAAGAAAATAAAATAAAAAAATGAAAAAAAAACTTCACGGATTGAATTACGTAGAAAGCCAGCTTACAAATGTGGACAAAAACGCGATAAGCAAGCTTCTGTTTAGGGGGAATGATGGCGTGTGCCTCTTCAGGGACCGCTTGGAGCAGTTAGAAAGGAAGCGGGAGCGGGAGCGCAAGATGCGGGAGCAGCAGAAGGAGCAGCGGGAGCAGAAGGAGCGCGAGCGGCGGGCGGAGGAGCGGCGCAAGGAGCGGGAGGCCCGCAGGGAAGGTAGGCGGCGCGGTGGGCAGCTGTGCTCGGCGGGACGCGTGTCTGCTGCCCCCTGGTGCTGGGCACTTGCTGTCACAGGCGGGCGCTTGGTTCCGGTGCTTGCTTTTCGCCCCTGCCTTTTTTTTTTTTTTTGGAGGCAGAGTTTTGCTCTTGTCCCCCAGGCTGGAGTGCGGTGGCGCGATCTCGGCTCACTGCACCCTCTGCCCCCCGGGTTCAAGTGATCCTCCTGCCTCAGCCTCCGGAGTAGCAGGGATTACAGGCACCCGCCACCATGTTCAGCTATTTTTTTATATTTTTAGTAGAGACAGGGTTTCACCGTGTTAGCCAGAATAGTCTCTTGATCTCTTGGCCTCGTGATCCACCCACCTCGGCCTCCCACAGTGCTGCGATTACAGGCGTGAGCCACCGCGGCCGGCCAGTACGAGCTTTTATAGTCACCCACGTCCTCACCTTAATGGAGATCTTTATTTCTTCACCCAGCTTCCGGTTTCTGTCTCGCGTCCTTTCCTTACACCCCACACAACTCCCTGGAGCTTATTCTTCAAGGCAGGTCTAGGTCTAGTAGTAATGAACTCCCTCTGCTTTTGTTTATCTGAGAATATCCTCATTTCTCCCTCATCTTTGAAGGAAAGTTTGCTGGATACGTGGTTCTTGGTTGACAATTTTGTTGTTGTTGTTTTGAGACAGAGTCTTCTTCTGTTGCCCAGGCTGGAGTGCAGTGGAGCGATCATAGCTCACTGCAACCTCGAACTCCTGGGCACAAGTGATCTTCCCACCTCAGCCTCCCGCGTAGCTGGGACCTACAGGCGTAGCGTGTGCCACCACACCTGGCTCATTTTTCAGTAGAAACAAGGTGTCCCTGTATTGCCCAGGCTGGTCTTGAATTCCTGGGCTCAAGGAACCCTCATGCCTAGCTGACAGTTTTTCCTTTTCACTTGGACTATTTCAGCCCATTGTCTTCTGGCCTCCAAAGTTTCTGATGAGAAATCTGATGATCTTATAGAGGATCCCTTGGATGCTTTAATCTGATGACCTAATTGAGGATCCCTTGGATGCTTTGAAGATTCTCTTTGCCTTAGGCTTTCAACTGTTTAATAATGGGTTTTCCTGTGGGCCTCTTGACTTCATTCTACCTGGAGTTCACTGAGCCTCTCTAATGTTTATATTTACGGTTTTCATCCAATGTGGGGGTTTTGAGGAATTCTTCAGATACCCTCTCTGCTCCTCTCCTCCCTCCTGGGCTCCCACAGATCTGTTGGGGTCCCCGAGGCCGCTCAGCACTGCTCCCTTTTCTTCAGTCTCTTCTGCTTTCTTTTCCTCAGACGATGTGATTTTATTGTCTTCAGGCTCACCGATTATTTCTTCTGCCTGCTCACATCTGCCTGTGAGTTTCTGTTGTGAATATTTACTTTTTAGTGTCTATTGTGAGCATGTACTTATTAGCTCTGGAATTTCTCTCTGGTTTCTTGTTGGATCTTCTGTCTCTGTTGATATTTCCGTCGTGTTCACGCGTCATTTTCTTGACTTTCTCCACATCTTCCTTTCGTTCTCTGAGGAACTGAAGGTTTAAGACAGTTCCCTAAAATCTTTGTCTGGGACATCTACCGTCAGGTGATTTTCAGGAACCGTGTCTGTTGGCTTCTTTTTTTCCCCTCTGAATGGGACATACTGTCCTGTTTCTTTGTTTCTCTTGTGTTTTTCTTAGTCAAAAAAATGGACATTTGATTCTCATGATGTGATTCTTCCTGGTCCCCACTCAAGGGTGTGCACTTGTTGTTTTGGTTGTGCTGGGCTGTGTCTGTGGGGTCGGCCTGTTGTGGAAACTCAGGGTCTTCACGGGTCTTTTCTGAGCCTGAGCCTTTTCCTGGTCACGTGCAGCCACTTTTTAACGTTCCCGTCAATACAGATGTTTTTAATGTTCTTGTCCTGAAGTGTCTGCCTCCTAAAGGGGGAATAGAGAGAAATGAAGGGGGCAACGGGGGACGTGGTGCTCATGCCCTGGAAGTACCTTCAGCTTGGGGGTGGCCGTGGCTGCTGCCTCTTCATGCCTCTGGGGTGGGACACGCAGTCATCACACTGACCTCGGGTGTGTGTGTCCGTCTGCCCACCTGGGTCCGGCGAGCTGCATGCAGGCTGCTGCCTGCCAGCGGGGAGTGAGGTGGGAGCCACTAATGTGCGAAGCGGTGACGTTGATTAATGAATCACAGTTTACTCTCCAAGATTCCCCCTGAAGTTGCAAACCTTCAGTAGACTCCAGAGCACCTCAGTAGTTGCACAGGCCTGATCCTGTGATGCAAGTGTTGTCTCGGTGGGGAGACTGATTCCCAGTGCTTCCTACTCCATCTTTCCAGAATCTTCTCCCGCCCCTTCCTTTTTGACCAGTGAAGATCAGTCTAGAAGGTCCACCTGGGTCCTCGGGCTCACGGCCTCCAGGTTGGAGCTTTTTCTCCCTGGGCTTCCTGGGAGACCTCTGGCCTCTGACCCCGATGCTGTCAGCACCCTGTGCACGCTGTGGGTGTGTCTGCCAGGTGCGGGTGTGGGAGACGAGGCAGCTGTGCCGGGTGGGGCCTTTTGAGGAAGGCAGTGCTGCTAGTGCCATCTCCCTCTCTGCCCTGCGCGCCAGTGTCTGCACATCACCGAACGATGAGAGAGGACTACAGCGACAAAGTGAAAGCCAGCCACTGGAGTCGCAGCCCGCCTCGGCCGCCGCGGGAGCGGTTCGAGTTGGGAGACGGCCGGAAGCCAGGTGAGGCCAGGCCGGCGCCTGCGCAGAAGCCAGCACAGTGTGAGTCTTTTCTGGGGGATGTTTGGCATAAGTGTGTAGGATTCATTTAAAGCCCAGCTAAGTAACCGCTTCAGAAGAAAGTGAGAGATGTGCTGGCTGAAGTCCTCTCGTGTCGTGAGAGGGACCGTGAGTGTCTGTGTGCGGCCAGGACACAGGACGTGTGTTTATCCGCTGGGACATTCGCCACTGGCCCCGTTAGAGAAGTGGCTTCCAGCGTCTGTGGATGAGCTGGTTTCCGACCAAGCAAAGTTAATCGTTACGTGAAAGGCACTAGTTTTGGGGTGGTGGTAGCTTGTTTGTTTAAAAACATTTCCCCAAATTCACCTTTATGGTTTATCTCATAAGTAAAAGAAGAGAAAATGGAAGAAAGGGACCTGCTGTCCGACTTACAGGACATCAGCGACAGCGAGAGGAAGACCAGCTCGGCCGAGTCCTCGTCAGGTACCTGGAACCGCCTGGCCAAGGCCTTGACCACTGCTGCCCAGGAAGGCCCAGGTTCACCCTCTGCTCTGCTGTCTTTCTACAGCGGAATCAGGCTCAGGTTCTGAGGAAGAAGAGGAGGAGGAGGAAGAGGAGGAGGAGGAAGGGAGCACCAGTGAAGAATCAGAGGAGGAGGAGGAGGAAGAGGAAGAGGAGGAGGAGGAGACCGGCAGCAACTCTGAGGAGGCATCAGAGCAGTCTGCCGGTGAGGCACCGCGACGACTGTGTGAGGTGTTGTGACTTCACTATAGTGTTAGAAACCGCAGAGAAGTAGCTGGCGGGCGGGGGAGTTGAAACTCCCTTCTATCTAGGACTCTCTCGGGACACCTCCACATCGATTCTTTTTGTTTGTTTTTTTGAGATGGAATCTTGATCTGTTGCCCAGGCTGGAGTGCAGTGGCATGATCTCGGCTCACTGCAACCTCTGCCTCCCGGGTTCAAGTGATCCTCCCGCCTCAGCCTCCCAAGTAGCTGGGAGTACAGGTGTGCGCCACCACGCCCGGATAATTTTTGTATTTTTAGTCGAGACGGGGTTTCACCACGTTGGCCAGGATGGTCTCGAACTCCTGACCTCAGGTGATCCACCCGCCTCGGCCTCCCAAAGCACTGGGATTACAGGCGTGAGCCACCGCGCCCAGCCTCCATATCCATTCTTGGGAACACTTGTTGCTTAGCTGAAGCGGAGCCCGCATCCTGCCTGTGGCAGCACTCGCCCCGGTGCTGGTCTGAGCAGACGCCTCCTTTCTCTTGCAGAAGAAGTAAGTGAGGAAGAAATGAGTGAAGATGAAGAACGAGAAAATGAAAACCACCTCTTGGTTGGTAAGAACCTCCCTGGAGACAGAGCCCCCTCCTTGTCTGTCTCCGAGTGCAGCAGCCCTCTCCTAAGACAGCCGGTCCTGCGCGGCGTGGGGCACGCCAGGGTCTGGGAGGCCGCCTGATTCGTTGGCCGCTCCAGGCTGTGCCGGTGGGGCCCGCATTCCTCAGCGAGGCACAGTGCTGACCAAGGGCGTCCTGAGTGCCCAGCAGGGCCGAGGAGCTGGGAAGCCCAGGACCAGTTCCCCACAGGGGAGGCCCGTCAGATGGTGGCTCCGGGCCTGTCCCTGCAGAACAGAGGCCTGGCCCAGCCTCCGACAGGCAGTGAGGTTATGTCCTCAGCCTGGTGGACGTGGATGTGGGCTTGTCCCCCACATGACACCCGACGCCTCCTCCCAGCTCAGCATCCGGGCTCTGTCTCAGCCGAGCCTGCCAGCACTCTTAGGCCTCGGTGCCCTGTGTCCAGGGGACGAGAGCCCAGCGCCAGCACCTCCCAGCGGGACACGGGGCAGCCCTGCCACGCGCTTGATGCCCCCGGGGCAGGAGGAGGTTCATGATCCTTACTTACTCCTAGCTTCGTAATTAGGTTCAACTTTTCCAGTTCCAGAGTCACGGTTCGACCGAGATTCCGGGGAGAGTGAAGAAGCAGAGGAAGAAGTGGGTGAGGGAACGCCGCAGAGCAGCGCCCTGACAGAGGGCGACTATGTGCCCGACTCCCCTGCCCTGTTGCCCATCGAGCTCAAGCAGGAGCTGCCCAAGTACCTGCCGGCCCTGCAGGTCAGGCCCTCCCCTCGCCCCGGGCCGCTGTCCGCATTGGCAGTCGGAGTTACCACAGGGGCTGAGCGAAGCCTGGCCCCCGTGTTGGCGTCTGTCGCCTCACAGGGCTGCTGGGCCCACTGGGGCAGTGACGGGCGGGCACAGCCACTGGCCCCTCATGCTTCTAGGTCCCGCCTCTTTCTCATGCTGGACGGAACTGGGTGGACAGGGAGCTGCCCGCAGGACTGCTCTGCGGCTTGAAAGGCAGCCTGGGCGTGCGGCCGCGCTGCTGTCACTGCTGCCCGAGTTGCGTCCTCCTCCGCACTGGAGAGCAGTGCCTTCCACTTGACCCCTGCGTGGGCGGGTTATGTAGGCACCAAGGCCTTGTTACCGGCATCTGTGCAGGGCTTGGATGGGGGAGCGGCTACGGGAGTCAGTGTAGATGTGTGACCAGAAGCCTTTTGCTCAGGCAGCTATCAATAAGGCAGGATATTGTTGGGAGTGATTTGGAAGGGACAAGCCTGAGAAGGTACCAGTGGCCTCGGGGGCCTGGGAGACCGGCAGGGACTCGGCCCCCTCCTTGGTGCCTGTGGGCGGAGAGGTTCTCTCTGGCGCATGCAGCAGGCCTCTGTCGACTGCCCTATGCCTTGTGAGCGCCTCTGCCCCTTAGTGCTGCTGAGCGTAGGCGTCGGGCCACAGGCCACCCAGAGTACGTGACATCCGGCCTGGGCACCGGCCCCAAGGTACACCGAGGGGTAGGTGCCCTGGCATGGGGCATCATGCTGCGCCTGGCAGGTAGGGCCCGTCCTCAGTGTCATCCTGGTACAAGCAGGGGACACATCCACTTTGACAGAGAGACTCTCCGGATGGCCTTTTTTTTGGAGACTGGGTCTGTCTCTGTCATCCAGGCTGGAGTGGAGTGGCTTAATCATAGCTCACTGGAGCCTCCACCTCCCAGGCTCAAACAATCCTCCCATCTCAGCCTCCTGAGTAGCTGGAACTACAGGCGCAAGCCACCATGCCTGGCTAATTTTTTTATTTTGTAGAGAAGAGTTTTGGCCAGGCACAGTGGCTCACGCCTGTAATCCCAGCACTTTGGGAGGCCGAGGCGGTGGGCGGATCAGAGGTCAGGAGTTCGAGACCAGCCTGGCCAATATGGTGAAATCCTGTCTCTACTAAAAATACAAAAATTAGCCTGGCGTGGTGGTGCGTACCTATACTCCCAGCTACTAGGGAGGCTGAGGCAGGAGAATCGCCTGAACCCAGGAGGTGGAGGTTGCAGTGAGCCGAGATCTCACCATTGCACTCCAGCCTGGGTGACAGAGCGAGACTCCATCTCAAAAAGAAAAAAAGAAAACAGAGTGTTGCTATGTTGGCCAGGCTGGTCTTGAACTCCTGGGCTCAAGCAATCCTCCTGCCTTGCCCTCCCAAAGTGCTGGAATTACAGGCCTGAGCCCTTGCACCTGGCTGGGATGGCCTTTTGTTCACACTGGTTTTGTTTCATAATAAAGTGTCAGATGGTTTTGCAAGGAAAGAGACTTTGAAAGAACTGAGCTGCTCCCAGCTCCACCCCCGGCCCAGTCCCAAGGCTCTGCCCTGCACCTGCCCCGTGCTGGGTGTGCCGTGCCTGTGGACGCAGCCGCCCTCCCTCCAGCTGGCATGGCCACTGAGACCTCACACAGGCGCTTCCTTCCCAGGGCTGCCGGAGCGTCGAGGAGTTCCAGTGCCTGAACAGGATCGAGGAGGGCACCTATGGAGTGGTCTACAGAGCAAAAGACAAGAAAACAGGTGGGTGGGGTCCCCTCACCCCACAAAGGCAGGGGAAGTGGGGCAGGGGCTGGCTGCCCGAGAGCTGCGACTGCACCTGGGCCCGCTTCACCTGAGCAGCTACTGGAGGTTGGACCCCTCAGCACCTCTAGAAGCCAGAGGTCAGCCTGGCCCTGGGGCTTTGCCACTCCCTTGCAGTAGCAGGCGGCCTGCCCCACAGGGCCGAGGCCCAGCGCGTGGAGTGGTCTGTGCCGGGGCTGGTGTGCAGGTTTGCGTTCCCAGCGTCCCACCCAAGCAGGTGTGTGAGCCGGGAACTCTGTTGGGAGTCGGCCACTGGGATCCCAGGTGAGGCCGGCTCTGTTGGGGAAGTCGATGTGGAGTCGGCGTGGCCGCTGGGATCCCAGGTGGCTGTAGGTGGCTGTGAGTGTCTGTGGTGTGTTGAGTGGGAAGCCGTGGGTGTTGCCGAGACCTCAGCTGGGGCGTTCTCCTGGTGCCCACGTGCCCCCACCTAGAACGAGACCCCCCTCCGTGAAATGCTGGCGCTTTGGGCACTGCCTGCGGTCCTCACTGAACGAGTCCACTGTTGGTACCGTGACTTTGAGAATGCCTCTCAGTGCCGTCTGTATTTTCTTCACAGATGAAATTGTGGCTCTAAAGCGGCTGAAGATGGAGAAGGAGAAGGAGGGCTTCCCGATCACGTCCCTGAGGGAGATCAACACCATCCTCAAGGCCCAGCATCCCAACATTGTCACCGTTAGAGTGAGCATGGCCCCACCACGCCTGGCCCCGGGTGGAAGGCTTTTCCGACAGGGCCCCGTGCTGTCCTGGGGCCGGGTGCTTCCTACACTCTCCTGCACTTAGTGGAGCCCTTCACAGACCACACAGAAGCAAGTATTTGCCTCCCGGGTGGCACCGGAGGTCCTTACTGTCCCTCAGCATCTGCGCCCGGGTGCAGGGGTGGGTGGGGGCCTGGAGGTGCCCAGCACCCACAGAGCCGTGCCCTGCAGGAGATTGTGGTGGGCAGCAACATGGACAAGATCTACATCGTGATGAACTACGTGGAGCACGACCTCAAGAGCCTGATGGAGACCATGAAACAGCCCTTCCTGCCAGGTACAGCCGCGCCCCGGGGTCCTGTCTGCGTACAAGTGGGGGCAGTGTCCTGGTCACCCCCGCGGTGACAGTGCTGCAGGGAGGGCCAGCTGCATCCACAGGGAAAGCCCTGAGAAGCCTCTGTTGCTGCCGAGGCGAGCGGGCCACCCTGAGTGCCCTGGGCTTGGGGCGGCCGGGTCCACATGGGAGCCTCCCTCCCTCCCAGGGGAGGTGAAGACCCTGATGATCCAGCTGCTGCGGGGGGTGAAACACCTGCACGACAACTGGATCCTGCACCGTGACCTCAAGACGTCCAACCTGCTGCTGAGCCACGCCGGCATCCTCAAGGTGAGCCCCCCTCCGAGTGGCCCATCCCAGGGTGACCCGCCCAGGCCCACCCACAGCCGCCCATCTGTCGTTGCAGGTGGGTGATTTTGGGCTGGCGCGGGAGTACGGATCCCCTCTGAAGGCCTACACCCCGGTCGTGGTGACCCAGTGGTACCGCGCCCCAGAGCTGCTGCTTGGTGCCAAGGTGAGTCCTGGGCGTCTGAGTGCCTCCCCTGTCCCCCATGCAGCCTCCCACAGCTTCGCGGGCACTGGCCTTCCTGAACACCTCTCCTGGCGTCTTAGGAATACTCCACGGCCGTGGACATGTGGTCAGTGGGCTGCATCTTCGGGGAGCTGCTGACTCAGAAGCCTCTGTTCCCCGGGAATTCGGAAATCGATCAGATCAACAAAGTGTTCAAGGTGGGTCTGGCCCTGCCGCAGGTGCGCTATGGATTTCAGAGGAGTTGCAGGAATGGGGCTGCGGGGCGCACAGGTGCTGGGTTGAGATGGGGACCAGGGCCACTGAGAGCCCTCCTGGTGGCTTGTCTTCTCTGACGGGACACAGGTGCCAACACTGTGGGCCACTTGGTGTGGCTGTTGAAGCACCTCTGTCTTTCAGGAGCTGGGGACCCCCAGTGAGAAAATCTGGCCCGGCTACAGTGAGCTCCCAGTAGTCAAAAAGATGACCTTCAGCGAGCACCCCTACAACAACCTCCGCAAGCGCTTCGGGGCTCTGCTCTCAGACCAGGGCTTCGACCTCATGAACAAGTGAGCCCAGTGCAGCCGGGTGGCGGGAGGTCCCGAGCCATAGCGGTGACTTCCCAGTCCCAGGCCTACCTGCTGGCTCACCACGTTCCAGAACTGCTCTGGTGCCTGGCGTCCCATGCCCTGAGCCCCGTCCCAACACAGCCCATCTTTGGGGGACCCAGTGGAGCACACGAGCACCTCCTGGGCCTCTGGCCCTCTCCCCCCAGGTTCCTGACCTACTTCCCCGGGAGGAGGATCAGCGCTGAGGACGGCCTCAAGCATGAGTATTTCCGCGAGACCCCCCTCCCCATCGACCCCTCCATGTTCCCCACGTGGCCCGCCAAGAGCGAGCAGCAGCGTGTGAAGCGGGGCACCAGCCCGAGGCCCCCTGAGGGAGGCCTGGGCTACAGCCAGCTGGTGAGGGGCCTGGCGGGTGGGGCGTGCCCACAGGTGGGGCTGGCTTGGGCAGGGTTCTCACGGTAGCCGACTCGTCCCAGGGTGACGACGACCTGAAGGAGACGGGCTTCCACCTTACCACCACGAACCAGGGGGCCTCTGCCGCGGGCCCCGGCTTCAGCCTCAAGTTCTGAAGGTCAGAGTGGACCCCGTCATGGGGAGAACTCAGCCGGGACCACAGGCGTGGCTACTGCGGCTGGAGCTGCGATGAGACTCGGAACTCCTCGTCTTACTTTGTGCTCCATGTTTTGTTTTTGTATTTTGGTTTGTAAATTTGTAGAATTAAATCATTTTCCTTGTTGTGGAGGAAAGAGCTGTGTTTTCTCCGTGACTTGCCAGGGCATCTTCGGGTGCCCACGTGGGGCAGCACAAACCTCCACACACCCTCTCCCACTCTCGACACGCACGGGGCTGGCTGGGCCGTGATTTGGAAAGGAACTGGTGGGAGCCGGGTGGATTGTTTAATCTTCGGAGCTGGAGACCTGTTTCTGTGTTGGGATGAGCGATGCCCTCTTGCCCCAACCCACTCGTCCAGACCAGCCCTGTCCACACAGGCCCCCGGCCCCCAACCCCCAGCCCCAGCTGTGCCAGCAGACTCGACAGGTTTTTATACAAGGTTGTTGAGTTTTAAAATGTATTAAAATATTCTTCGAGGAAAGCTCCCCGTGTCGTCCTTTGAGTGACCCGGGACCATGTGTGGGAGGGGAGTCGCAGACCACCGGGCTCTAGGGGAAGAGGGTGGGGTGGGCGGCTGTGGCCTCTGACCCCATGTGGGCCAGTGTCTTCCCCAGGCAGGAGGGGAGCTCCTACCTCCTGGGGGGCCTCCACTCTGGCAAGGTGGTCCCCCACCCTGTGCCAGTCCTCCCAGCCCCCACCCACATCTCCTTGCAGAAGATCCTGGAGGCCCATCCCAGCCACATCTTTCAGGAAGCCCCCTTTGCCTCCCTCCCCCAGCTCTGAGCAAGTCCTAGACAGAACCCAGGCTTCTGGGGCTACCCCAGGTGCTGCTCCACGTGCTGCCCCTGTCACTGGGGCCTCCTCTTATCCCACTTTCCCAGGGGCCACCTTAGCAAAGCCCGTCCCGTCCTGTGCTGTACCTGTGGTCCGCTGTGCGGGGAAGCAGGGGTGCCCAGCCCCGAGGACGCCCAGCTCTCGGTGGACCAGGGGCTGGGGTGTCCACCTGCCCAGACTGGCTGCCCGCTGCCCTCCCAAGAATGAGCGAGGAGCCATCAGAGAGAAAGTGCTTTATCAGCCGGGCTCAGCCCCGCACACGGACTCGCCAGGAGTAGGTGGTCAGCACGCGCTGCTGGCGGCGCACCACGCAGGTGTAGGTGCCCTCATTGACGGCGTTGGCGATGATGCTCAGGTGCGCCTCGCCCAGGGCCAGGTAGCCGGGGTAGGAGAACTCCAGGGGCTCCTGGTCCTTGTACCAGCTGCAGGGGGGCGGGGCGTCTCCTGCAGGCACAGCCCCCCCCCGCTGCCTGCCCCGCACCCCTGCCCCAAGGCCGCCCGCGGGCTGCCCACCCCGAGGACCGCCCGGGGCGCTCACTCACTACACTTTCCCTTTCTTGTGGAGGATCTTCTGGCCGCAGCGGAAGGTCACGTTCCTGCCCTCGGGCACCAGCCTGGTTTTGGTCCTGGGGGGCGGTGGGGTGGTGGCCACCGTGGGGAAGGGGAATTCTGCTCCGGGTGGGGGAAAGAGCCCCGTCAGTGCCCCCTCAGCCCCGACCATGGCCAAGGCCCAGCTCCCACGCAGCCCTGTCCCGGCCCCGTGGGCATCACCGTAGCAGAAGTCGCAGCTGCTGGGGCAGAGCCTCTTCATGAGCCGCCGGCGAGCGTCGCAGAAGCCCCTCCGCGCCCAGGACGCGCACACGAACAGCCTGTCGAGGCATCCTGTCGGGAGCGTGGGGAGCACGGCCTGGCTCAGGACCGCCCGGTCCCCGCCCTCCCGCCCGACAAAGGGACTCACCGTAGAGCCGGTGCAGCCCCCACAGCTCGTCCTGGGACAACGCCTTCCAGCCGCGCAGCGTGGCGTTCAGGTGCATGAGCGCCCGGCCGTGTTGTGAGTGCATCAGGCCCAGCGCGTGGCCGATCTCGTGGGCCGCCACGTGCACCAGGTCCGTGAGCCACACGCCTGCGGGCCCCGGGGGTCAGCGCCTGGGAGCCCCGGGCCCAGCCCCGCCGCCCGTGGGCCAGCTCCCCGAGGCCCGGTGTATCTGCTGGAGCGCAGCCGCGGAGCCGCCCTCGGCCGCAGCCACGGAAAGATAAGAATGTTCTGGGCCCAGGCGGTGAGCTCGGCCCCCAGGAATGCAGCTCCAGCTCCCGCTCCAGAGGCGCAGGGGGATGGGAAAGGGAGTTCAGGGCTGCCGGGATGGGGGCTCCCACGGGCTCCCCTCCTTGCCTGCTAGACTCCAGTGGCAGCCACCACCCCGGAAGGTCCCTCCTGCCGTCTGCCCCAAAGCCCGACCGCGGCAGCCCACTGTGCTGCAGAGGAGAGGCCTCCAGGAGGCCAGCCTGGACGGTCACCTTTCTTCCAGCTGTAGCGCGTGGGGCCCAGGACCCAGTACTCGCTGTCGTCGAAGTGGATGCCGCCGTGCGGGGGGAAGAAGGCGTGGGCCAGCTCCCCCGTGGGGCCGTCGAAGCAGTGGTGCAGCGCGGAGACCAGGCAGTCCGTGTGGTTGATCGGGTAGAAGCCTGGGGGGAGCACGGGGCTGAGAGGCCGGGCGCGCAGGGCCGGGCCGGGGCGGGGGCGGGCGCCCACCTATCCGGAGGTCGCTGGGCTGCTCGGGGGCCACCTCGCGGAAGCTGAAGGGGGACACGTCGCTCCACATGCGGAAGGCGGCAGCTAGGGCCCGCCGCGTCTCCCGCGGGCTCAGCAGGTTCCGCGGGAAGGAGAGGATCCTGCAGGGAGAGTGAGCTCAGCGGGCGCCGGCCGCGCCCCCTCCCCCGGGGCCCAGCCAGGGCGCACCTGTAGGTGAGGTTGAAGTGGTCCCAGCGCAGCCTGGCTGGAGTCAGCGTGTAGCGGCGTCTGCGGGGGGCCAGTGGGCCCGGGACCCGGGTGGGGGGGACCGCCGAGAGGCCCAGCGCAGCGACGTCTCCCTTCAGGGAAGAAAGCGTGCGTGGGAGGCATCGGTGACGGTCCCCAGGACCAAAAACTGCCGCGGAAAATGGACTGGAAGGAAACGGGGGTGGGGGTGCCCAGGGCTGGGAGCGGGCGTGGCGGGTCCTGTCTGCCTGTGGTTTCGGGTCTCCTAACCTGAGCGCCCTGTTGCACGTCCCTGGGAACGCGGCCCAGTGGAGGGGAAGGGGCTGAACAGCAGGGCGAGGCCTCCCACCCCTCCCAACAACTGGACACAGGGGCGTCCAACCCTCCGACCTCGGGACGCACATCCGGACCCTCAAACACCCCGCACACCCCGCACACCCTGCACACCCCGCACACGTCCTGTGGGCCCCTTTTCTGAAGTGCTGATGTACATACTTTCTCGTACACACTTTTGTGAAGATTTCAAGGGGAAGGGAGTCGTCTGCCATTCAATGTTTACATTTATGTTCTGCAAGACGCTGTCCTCAGGGACCATTAGGGGACCATTCTGTTCAGTGCGATCCTGATGGTCCGGGAGATGAGGGTTTCCGGGGCTAGTGATCGTGATCCCTTTTATTTGCAACTGTAATGAGAATTTTTCACACTAACACAGCGAGGGACTCAACACGCTGATTCTCCTCCTGCCTCTCCCGTGAGTCTCCAGCCTGCCCAGCACCAGCAGCTGTGGAGCACGTGGATGCTGCCTACCCCGGCGCCCGCGTCTTCCACGGGCACAGGTGTGTGGAGGCCGTGGTCGGACCCTGGTGTCCTGGTTACTGCTGCCCGGGTGTCTTTTTTTTGAGTAACTGCTCTCTGAGTTTTGCACACAAAGTTGCCCTCATCTGCTGGAGATCGATAAGGAAGGCACAAGACGTTCTCCTCTGCCCGTGAGGAGCTTCCCGCAGCCGCCTGGCCCAGCCTGGGCACGTTCTCCGAGGCATGTGTCTCCCTGCTCACCCTCGTCTGGGCACCTCAGCATCTGTGGACTTGAGCGTCCAAAAACCCTGAGTGTGATTCTGGGCAGCCGGCCTGGCTTGAAGTCCGCCATGACCCTGGGCACAGGGGAAGCCCAGCCGTGGGCTTAGGAGAGAGGGACCAGCGCCCAGCGTTAGGGCTGGAAGACGGCAGTGTTCAGAATTCCAGCCGCTCATCTGAACACAGAAGGTGTGAACTGACCTCTAAAGCAGCGTGAGATGGGAATGATCTAGAAAACTTTGGATTTTTGAAGTAAATTTTAATGTTTCATATTAATTTCTTGAAAATGTATTAAATGTCATTGAAAGCCTTATTACGCTTTTCAGATCCTTTCAATAAACAAGACTTGTAGAAAATAAGCTGGGTTAATAACAGCTTTCTTCTGACGCCGTGGAACCAACATAGAGGGGTCGGGCAGGGTCACCCCCATTAAATCCTAGCCCCAAAATGCCCATCCACCGAGTGTGGGGCCGGCAGGGCATCCTCCCCAAGGGGCTGGGGGTGCCGCTGCCTCTTCCGGGCAAGGGGGCAGTGCCCTGGCGGGGGTAGGGGTAGACAGAAGGGACTCAAACCCGAGGGGTGGTGTCGACTCGGGCAGGCTGTGTTGCTCCCGGAAGAGCCACTGAGACCAGGGGGAGTTGAGTCCCTGCATTCCCGGGGCCAGCAGGGCTGGAAGAGCCCCTCCATCCGGGCTGCCTAACAGGGGCAGCCACAAGCCAGGTGAGGACCCGCTGGCCCCTGGGCCCAGCCTGGGCACCGATATCGGCCTCCCTCCCTCCACTGACGTGGTCCTGCGCCCCGCAACCCCCCCACCCCGCACCGTCCCTGTTGTCCTAACAAGGCCCAGATGAATGTGGCTCAGGGCTTTGCCGGCAGCCAGTCTGCACTACACGCGTGCAAGTCCAGGAGAGACCAAAACGACCACCCTGTGGACACCTGCCCCTCCAGCACCCTGCCCCGTTTTGGGGACGTGAAACCCTGGGCTGTGGGCCCCGCCCTACCGACCTGGAGCGCCTCTGCCTCCCCGGCCTGGAAGAGGCTGTGGGTCAAGCCTAACCTTCTTGGCTTTGGGGAGCACAGAGGCCCCAAGACATCCTCGGGGGCTGCCGGGCTCAGGCTCTGGGGCATGGAAACCTTTTCGAGCCTGAAACGGCGGCATCCACGGTCCCTGCCGGGCCAGTGCCAGCCTGCACCCTGGGCACCTCTGTGCTGGGCCCGGCACCCCCACCCTGCCTCCCACAGCCAGGGTGTCTCCTCAGGTCAGGTCCAAAGGGGCTGCAGCCAGGCCCAAAGACCCAGCCCAAGTCCCACGGCTCCTGCGGGGTCTGGGTGAGGCCTGTCCTGCTGGGAGCCCAGGAGGCTGCGACCCTGCCTGGAGCTGGAAGTCTGGTTGGGGGGTAGTAGGGTCGGGGGAAAGCAGGGTGGGGCAGGTACAGGGTAGAGAAGCCAGCTGGAGGAGCCCAGGGAAGGCTGGCGGTGCTGGGGATGTAGGGGACAGCAGGAGCTGGTACATCACCACATGTTTCAGCTGCTTCCAGCACATCCTGCCCCAGAAGGATCTCAGCCAGGGCATGGGCTGCCTTCAGGGTCTGGCAACACCAAGGAGCCAAGGCAGGTGGTAAACCGAGGCCACAACCTCCTTAGGAGCCTCCACAACCAGGGCGCACAGCTGAAAGAGGAAGGAGGCCCCTGCGGAGAGCAGGGTGGGCAGGAGTGGGTGGCCAGGACAGGTGGTGCCCAGTGACCGGCGGTGGGGACCCGGGAGCCACAGAGGAGCCGGCTCAGCCACCCCTGTGCAGGAGGCACCTGGGGCCTGTACTCAGGCCTCACCCAGGGCTGCCCCACGCCCACATCCTGCTGACAAGCCCCCAGGACCAGCATCCCCACCCAGCTGCTCTGTGCAGAGGGGACAGGAGGCCAGACAAAAAGATGGACAAACACCCACGTAGATTCACACACACACAAACAGACACACCACACAGAAAAATATGCATGGACACCACTGAGACACACGCAGGCACCACACACTCAGAGACACACACACAGACACATCACACAGAAAAATATGCATGGACGCCACTGAGACACACGCTAACACCACACACTCAGACACAAACACACCACACACACAGACTCACACAGATACACACACAGAAAAATACACATGGACGCCACTGAGACACATACACTCAGAGACAGGCAGTGCGCTCTGGGAAACAGGATGGTTCCTCCAAACCAGTGAAGGGCCCAGGAAAGCATGAGCGGCCCTGACATGTATGGAGGGTCCAAAGGCTGCGGGAACTTGCCCGTGAGTGACCTTGGCCTGGAGAACTCCCCGGCCTCAGTTTCCCCACCTGCTGATGAGGACAAATTGCAGGGGCATGAGCGGCTGCTGCTCCCCTACCTCTGCGCAGGTGGCCGAGTGGCCTGCAGGCTGGGTCTCCAGGTGGGGACCCTTCCCTCTTCCTCCCCACCCACTCTATCCCCTTCCGGCGTCATGTGGATAGAAATTCATTAATATGCACAACAAATGACTACATGCAAGCAGGAAAACATTTGCAATAATACAGCAGGTCGATGTTCTCAACTAGCAAAACAGATGCAATAATACAATTCGTGGATGTTCTCAATACAGACAAAGCTCATATAATCGACACAAAACATTCACAGAAAAATTGTCAAAGGGCAGAAACCGATGACTCAAGGAAGAATATAAATAGCTAAGAAGTAAATGATCAATAATCAAACTAGAACATAATCAAAGAACTTTAAAATTAAAATTATTAATACACTCCTCCCAGGCAAAATAGCAAAGAGAGGGGACATGGTGGCTCACACCTGTAATCCCAACACTTTGGGAGGACGAGGTGGGAGGTCCTTCTGGGGAGAGGAAGAGAGGAAAGCACACAGGCTTCCAGACACTATTCCAAAATCATTAATACGCACACCCCAGGCCCAGCACGGTGACAGCCACCTGCAGACCCAGCTACTCGGGAGGCTGAGGCCAGAGAGCCCTGAGTTTGAGCCCAGCCTGGGCAAAGTAGCGAGATCCCCCATCTCAAAAATAAAATAAAATGCATGGTTCCTCATGAAATGTAAGGCTTTGCTATAAAAACTTTGAGAGGCCAGGCGTGGTGGCTCACACCTGTAATCCCAGCACTTTGGGAGGCCAAGGTGGGTGGATCATGAGGTCAGGAGTTCAAGAGCATCCTGGCTAACAACGGTGAAACCCCGTCTCTACTAAAAATACAAAACAATTAGCTGGGCATGGTGGCGGGTGCCTGTGATCCCAACTCCTCGGGAGGCTGAGGCAGAAGAATCTCTTGAACCTGGGAGGTGGAGCTTGCAGTGAGCCGAGATCGCGCCACTGCACTCCAGCCTGGGCGACAGAGTGAGACTCCGTCTCAAAAAAAAATAAAGGCCGGGCGTGGGGTAGCTCACGCCTGTAATCCCAGCACTTTGGGAGGCTGAAGCGGGCAGATCACAAGGTCAGGAGATGGAGAACATCTTGGCCAACATGGTGAAACCCTGTCTCTACTAAAAATATAAAAATTAGCTGGGCGTGAGGGCACACATCTGTAATCCCAGCTACTCAGGAGGCTGAGGCAGGAGAATCACTTGAACCCGGGAGGCGGAGGTTGCAGTGAGCTGAGATCGTGCCACTGCACTCCAACCTGGGCGATGAGAGCGAAATTCCATCTCAAAAAAAAAAGGAGTACTTTTTATAAATCTGCTTTTGAAATCATTTGGATACCACAGCGGCCCTGCTGACCACAACAGCTGAGACTGTTGGGCAAATCACCAGACATTTCTGGGTTTCCTGGAAAGTAGGAGAATCTACTTTGTAAACTGCTCTCAAATTTATGAACTCCGTGTGGATAGTGAACTCAGGCAGCAGGCAGGTGGCACTCCACTGCGTTAATTTCACTTCATTTTATAATTTTCTTTCTTCCTTTTTTTTTTTTTTTTTTTTTTGACGGAGTCTCACTCTGTCGCCAGGCTGGAGTGCAGTGGCCCAATCTTGGCTCACTGCAAGCTCTGCCTCCTGAGTTCAAGTGATTCTCCTGCCTCAGCCTCCCAAGTAGCTGGGATTACAGGCACGTGCCACCATGCCCGGCTAATTTTTTTTCGTATTTTTTGTAGAGACGGGGTTTCATCGTGTTAGCCAGGATGGTCTCGATCTCCTGACCTCGTGATCCGCCCGCCTCGGCCACCCAAAGTGCTGGGATTACAGGCGCGAGCCAACGCACCCAGCCTTTTTTTTTTTTTTTTTTTTTTTTTTTTTTTTTTTGTGAGACAAGGGTCTCACTCTGTCGCCCAGGCTGGAGTGTGGTGCTGTGATTCTAGCTCACTGCAGCCTCAAGCTCCCAGGCTCAAGCCATCCTCCCACCTCAGCCTCCCGAGTGGTTGGAACCACAGACACCATCGCTGCGCTCTGACCGGCTCCCGGGGGCGCTCCGTGCCCCTCCTCCTGCCCCACTCCTCTGGGGACATCCCCACCAAAGACCCCACGGGAGGAAACAGTCCCAGCCTCTGGCCCAACCCGGCTGCGGGCGCCACGGGGAAGCCTGGGGAAGGAGGCTGCCATCAGCCTCCTGAAGCTTTACGAAGGTTCATGCAACGGAAACAAAAACAAGTGGAAGTTTAACAAAACGTAAAAGTAATATTTATTTATTTATTTATTTATGAGATGAAGTCTCCCACTGTCGCCCAGGTCGGAGAGCAGCGGCGCTATCTCGCCTCACTGCAACCTTCAACTCCAAGGTTCAAGCGATTCTCCTGCCTCAACCTCCCGAGTAGCGGGGACCACAGGCACGCGCCACGAGACCCGGGTAATTTTTTTTTGTATTTTTAGTAGAGATGGGGGGGGGTTCACTATGTTGGCCAGGCTGGTCTCGAACTCCTGACCTCAGGCGATCCGCCCGCCTCAGCCTCTCAAAATGCTGGGATTACAGACGTGAGCCACCTCGCCCGGCCAAAAGTAATCTTTTCTTTTTTCTTTTGACAGGGAGTCTCGCTCTGTCGCCAGGCTGGAGTGCAGTGGCGCCATCTCGGCTCACTGCAACCTCCGCCTCCCGGGTTCAGGTGATCCTCCTTCCTCAGCCTCCGGAGTAGCTGGGATTACAGGCGCCCGCCACCACGCCCGGCCAATTTTTGTATTTTTAGTAGAGACGACGTTTTACCACGTTGGCCATACCAGGCTGGTCTCAAGCTCCTGACCTCGTGATGCGCCGGCCTCGGCCTCCCAAAGTGTTGAGATTACAGGCGTGAGCCACCGGGCCCGGCCCAAAAGTAATCTCTAAAGAGCCCTTTAGCCGTAACTTCATTCCTGAAAATTATTTGGGAAAGTAACGCTAGGAAAACGCTCGACGAAGCTCCGGAGCCGGGGGTCCTCGGGGCCGCAGGCGCGCCCGCGGGTGTCTGCTCCGGATGTCCCGCGGCAGCCCCGACGCCAGCCTGGATACGAAGGCCCCGCCCCGGAGCGCGCCACCAGCCAATCAGCGCCCTGAGGCGAGTCCTCACCCCGCGCGGCGGCCCCGCCCCCCGCAGCTCCGGGCCCAGCTGTCAGAGCAGCTTTCCCTCAGGCTGGGCGGAGCGTGGCCACTTCCGCCAGGAGGCGCCTTTGTGTCTTCTAAGTTAAGCCTATTCAGTGGATTTCTTATTCCTGGAACCCAAACCTGGGCAGTAAACCCTCCGGGGCTTAGAGGCCGCTGCCTCCACAGACTGGCCGAT
Source organism: Homo sapiens (assembly GCF_000001405.40). Classification (NCBI taxonomy): domain Eukaryota; kingdom Metazoa; phylum Chordata; class Mammalia; order Primates; family Hominidae; genus Homo; species Homo sapiens. The sequence continues at coordinate 1,693,247 of NC_000001.11, read as the reverse complement.
CCCGCCCTGAAGTGCCGCTGGTGGAACAGCCCGGGCGGAACCGCCCGGGCGGAACCAACGGGCTGCCGCGGGGGGTGGGGCCACGGTCCCCCCCCTTCTGCCTTCAGTGGAACGGCCCCGGCGGAACCAACGGGCCACGGGGATGCACTACGCGCACCGTCGTCCTCTCCCTCTGCCTGCAGTGGAACGGCCCGGGCGGAACCAACGTGCGGCCGCCCGGAGCACTCGGCGCGCCGTGTCCCTCCCCGTGTGGCTGCACTGCAACGGCCCGGGCTGGACCACCAGGCGGCAGCGGAGAGGCACTTAAAAGCCCCGTGTTACCCTAGACCTTAAAAAAAAAAAAAAAACTGCGTGTTTCCACCCCCGTCGGCCTGCAGTGGAAGGGCCCGAGCAGAACCAACGGGGGAGGGGACGCTGAGCGCGCCGTGTTTCTCCTCCCGTCTGCCTGGAGTAGAACGGCCCGGGCGGAACCAACGGGCAGCCGCGGGGGCGTTGTGGGCCGCGGCGCGTTTCCCCGGCTCCGTGGCTCTGGGGCACTGAGGAGCGGCGCCCGCGGGGCAGCGAGGAGCCCGATGCAGGGTTCTGCGCGTCATTTCCGGTCCCGCGGGCGCCCCGTGAAGCCCACCTGGATCCGCCAGCGCTGTGCCACTCCCCAGTGCCGAGCTCCGAGCTGTCTCCGCGGCCTCGCGCCCGGCCCCTCCACCGCGCGCCTCTCAGGCCCCGCCCGCCAGCGTCCCTTTGTTGTGAAGGCGCCGGGGCCTAGCGCTATGCCTGCGGCGGAGACTGCATCAGGCTCTCGGTGGGTTCTGCGTGCGGGGTGCTCTGCTCGGTGATCGGTGCTGGGTGCTGCGTGCTCGGTGCTCGGTGCTGGGTGCTGGGTGCCGGTACTGATGCTGAGTGTGCGGGCGTCCGGGGTTTCCCTGCCCGGATTCGCTCCTGGGGGTCCTTTCCTATGGCTGGCGCTGTGCGCGGAAAACGCTGGTGGGGTTTTCCCAGCTGGCTTTAAGCGTTTTCACGTCCGGGAGTCCACGGCGACCCCCACGCCCTGAAGCCTGGGAACGCGGTGTGCGTGGCCGCAAAAAGAACAACAACAACAAAAAAACACAAAACAAAACACGCAAAAAACTAAAGCAAAACTCCCGACAGCCGAGCCCCGTTCGGTGCCTTTTCTTTTTTTTTTTCTTTAATGGAGTGAAATCTACTTTGCTCAGGAAGCCTGCAAATCACATTTTCAGGCCAAACGAGGCAGTATTTTAGAAGGGGTCGCTGAGGCAGGAGTAGGAAGGCTTTCCACTCCACTCACGCATTTTCAGTGTAGGCGAATCGTAAAACGGAGGGCAGAACGAAAATGAGCGGATCTGGGAGTGCAGGCTGCGCTTCGTCCACATCGATAACAGATGTTTCCTGGTGAAGATGTGTAGGGCGCAGCGGGTCACCTGGTCGGGGGAGGGCACAGGGCGTCCCTCCACGGGGTGCCTTTGGCGTTGGGCACTTGTGTGGTCTCCAGCTTCCGGGTTTTGGAAGCGGAGTGTCCCCTGCAGCCTGAGCCTCTTGCAGGTGGTTTCCTTGGGACGAACTCCCAGGGGGAGGTCTGAGTTCTGGGGCATGGTTTGAAGATTTGGGACACATTTTGCCTGAAATTCCCTGCTGGCCGTTTGAACCCACCTGGACTTCCTGACCAGGGGCACGGATTCTTAACCTCTGGTGCAGGGGCCTGGCTAGGAGAGGTCTGCACAGTTGGACGAGGTGCAAAGTGACGCTTTGTCAGTAACCCGGCGTTGAGATTCCTGTGGTGGGACGAGCAGCTCCTATGGCTTTATCCCATTTTAAATCCAAGTTTTCTTTTCCTTCTAGTCCTCGGGCTCCACCCGGGGAGCTGTGCCCAGACAGCAGAAGGGAAGGATGTCACTTCTGAGATGAGGTTCAGAAAGGTCTGGGCTCCTGTCCTGGCTGCTCTCTCCCACTCCCTGATGAGCTTGCTGGATGAAAGCTCCTGTCAGGCTGTGGGGCGTCCTGTGGAGAAGCTGGCAAGAAACTGGTGGGGGCCCTTTCCACCTATAGCCAGCAAGGAACTGAACCCAGCCAGCGTCCACCTGAGTGAGCTCAGAGGTGGGCCTCAGCCCCAGTTGAGCCTTCGGATGAGGTCACAGCCCTGGTCCATGGTGTGACTGCAGCTTCAGGAGGGACCTTAAGCCAGAGGTGCCTGGCTAAGCTTCCCGCAGATTGCTGCCCCACAGGAGCCAACATCAAAAGCATTTGTTGTTTTGAGGTGGTAAGTGTGGAATGACTGTTACAGGGCAGTAGAGAAGGAGCATGCACCCTTCCTGCTTCTTATTTGCCTTTTAGAAATTGTCCTCTGTGAATCGCTTGAACCTGGGAGGTTGAGGTTGCAGTGAGCTGATATCTCACCACTGCACTCCAGCCTGGGCGACAGGAGCGAAACTCCTTCTCCAAAAACATAAATTCTTCTCTGTGAAATATGTTGTTTTGTTTTTTTTTTTTCTTTACTTTTTGAGACGGAGTCTTGCTGTGTCACCCAGGCTGGAGCAGGCGCAGTCTCAGCTCACTGCAACCTCCGCCTCCCAGGTTCAAGTGATTCTGCTGCCTCAGCCTCCTGCGTGGCTGGGATTACAGGCGCCTGCCACCACGCCTGGCTAATTTTTGTATTTTTGGTAGAGACGGAGTTTCATCATGTTGGCCAGGCTGGTCTCGAACTCCTGACCTCAGGTGATCTGCCCGCCTTGGCCTCCCAAAGTGCTGGGATTACAAGCATGAGCCACCATGCCCCGCCAACATTTTTTTTTTTTTGCCTGTTTTTCTACTTGGTTTGTAGGAATTCTTTATACTTTCTGGATATTAATCCTTTGCCATGTTGCAAGTATTTTTTCCCAGGTTGTGGCTGTTGATTTCACTTTATGGTATGTATATATATATATATATTTTTTTTTGTTTCTTTTTTTTTTTTTTGAGACAGAGTTTTGTTCTTATTGCCCAGGCTGTTGTGCAATGGCGCGATCTTGGCTCATCACAACCTCTGCCTCCCGTGTTCAAGTGATTCTCCTGCCTCAGCCTCCTGAGCAGCTGGGGTTAAAGGCATGTGCCACCATGCCGGCCAACTTTGTATTTTTAGTAGAGATGGGGTTTCTCCATGTTGGTCAGACTGATCTGGAACTCCCAACCTCAGGTGATCCACCCACCTCAGCCTCCCAAAGTGCTGGGATTACAGGCGTGAGCCAAGTCTGGCCTTTTTTTTTTTTTTTTGAGACAGGGTCTCACCCTGTTGCCCAGGCTGGAGTGCAGCGGCGCAGTCTGGGCTCACTGCAACCTCCCCGTCCTGGGTTCAAGCAATTCTCCTGCCTCACCCTCCCGAGTAGCTGGGATTACAGGTGCATACCACCACACCTGGTTAATTTTTGTATTTTTAGTAGAAACAGGGTTTCACCATGTTGGTCAGGCTGGTCTCGAGCTCCCGACCTCAAGTGATCCGCCCACCTTGGCCTCCCAAAGTGCTAGGATTACAGGCATGAGCCACTGCGCCCGGCCCACTTTGTGGTGTACTTTGGTGAAACAGAATTCTTCATTTAGCCAAGTTAGTCCACCTGACCCTTTTTTTAATGGGTCATGCTTTTGGGGTTTGGTTAGAGAAATTATTGTCCTACCCCAAAAAGGGTCAGGAAGACATTCTCTTATATTTTCCTGAGCATAAAGTTTTACACATTTAAGTTTATCATAAGAGCAGGCCACCTGGGTTCGAATCGTGACCCTGCTGCTGCAAAGCCGTGTCTTTCCTTCGTGTGTCTCACGTGGGTGATAACAGCACCTTCCCCAGAGGGCTATTGTGGGGATTCACCGCTGTGCAGAGAGTGCTTCGGACCCTCCAGCAGCACAGTCAGGGCTGTGTCAGTGTTACTAATTGTCGCTGTTTGTGTACTGATAATGAGATCAGAATCCAGTTTTTCTTTTTGCCTGGCAGCATGGACAACTGTCCTGGTATCATAGACTGAATAAAGTTTCCTTCTTCAGCAACTCGTGGTGCCTCCATTCTGGGTACACCAGACCTGTTTGTTTGTTTTTTTTTGAGACAGTCTCGCTCTGTCAGCCAGGTTGGAGTGTAGTGGTGCAATCTCAGCTCACTAAAGCCTCCGTCTCCCAGGTTCAAGTGATCCTCGTGCCTCAGCCTCCTGTGTAGTTGGGACTACTGGCACCCACCACCACGTCCAGCTAAGTTTTTTGTATTTTTGGTAGAGACGGGGTTTCACTGTGTTAGCCAGGATGGTCTCAATCTCCTGACCTCGTGATGCGCCCACCTCGGCCTCCCAAAGTGCTGGGATTACAGGCTTGAGCCACCGCGCCCGACCTCGAGGTCCTTATTCTTTTGCATTTGTTTACTCGCCCAGCCCTGCACCAAGGTCTCAGACTGAACTAGAAGTCCTCATGTCTTGGGAGGACGGCTGCCGCCCCCTCCCTGCGCCTCCGTCTCCTTGCAGGACGTGTTTGTCTTCTACTCATCGTGCGTGCATAGCTTTCTCTCTGATTCACACATGCTTTGTGCGTGCATAGCTTTCCCTCTGTGATTGACATGTGCCTCATAGGGCTGGATCTATCTCGAGACTACATAGCCTCTTGTTTCTAAGCTTTATTTTTTTCTGGGACAGAGTTTCGCTCTGCCGCCCAGGCTGGAGTGCAATGGCGCGATCTCCGCTCACTGCAGCCTCCACCTCCTGGGTTCAAGCGATTCTCCTGGCTCAGCCTCCTGAGTAGCTGGGATTACAGGCACGCGCCATCATGCCCGGCTAATTTTTTGTAGTAGAAATGGGGTTTGACTGTGTTGGCCAGGAGGATCTCGATGTCCTGACCTTGTGATCCGCCCACCTCAGCCTCCCAAAGTGCTGGGATGGCAGGTGTGAGCCAGCGCGCCCGGCCGTTTCTAAGCTTTTACTCAGTAGTTTTAGTCTCTTGGTGACTCGTCGTGATTGTGATGATGATCGTGATGGTGGCCAGATGGTGGCTTCTCATTCTGTCACTCTGATGATCATGGATTGACTTTGTGCTGGGAAGAAAGACTTCCCCTCCTTTGCCATTCGTTCATCAGCATGGCCTTGTGGGCTGTTGTTTTACTGGGGGTTCTGATCCTTTACTGTGTTACGTACTCTGCCTTTCAAGCCCCCTGCGCCCTCCCTCGGCCAACCCTGAGTTCATTCCTAGATCACAAACTTTCGGCGCAGCCAACATGACCGCTCCTCTGGTGTCTTTCCCACCACAGCCCGAGAGTCAGTCATTTTTCAAAGAAGCCTGGTTGGCTTTGTGGAGAATGATATATGTTATTATTATTTTTTGTTTTGTTATGTTGTGTTTTTTAGACAGTCTCGCTCTTTGCCCAGCCTGTAGTACAGTGGTGCAATCTTGGTTCCCTGCAACCTCCGCCTCCGGGTTCAAGCGATTCTCATGCCTCAGCCTCCTAAGTGGCTGGGACTACAGGCACCCGCCAGGATTAATCTTTTTTTTTTTTTTTTGAGATGGAGTCTCCCTCCATCACCCAGGCTGGAGTGCAGTGGCCCGATCTAGGCTCACTGCAACCTCCGCCTCCCGGGTTCAAGAGATTCTCCTGCCTCAGCATGCCAAGTAGCTGGGACTACAGGCGCCTGCCACCATGTCTGGCTAATTTTTTTTGTATTTTTAGTAGAGATGGGGTTTCATTATGTTGGCCAGGCTGGTCTCCTGACCTCATGATCTGCCCGTCTCGGCCTCCCAAAGTGCTGGGATTACAGGCGTGAGCCACCACGCCCGGCCTAATTTTTTGTTTTTTTAGTAGAGACTAATTTTTTGTATTTTTAGTAGAGACAGGGTTTCGCCACATTGCCCAGGCTCGTCTAGAACTCCTGAGCTCGGGTAATCCGCCTGCCTCAGCCTCCCAAAGTGCTAGGATTACAGGCGTGAGCCATTGCGCCCAGCCCCTTTAGTGGAGAATGATATTTAGAAACCAAGGTTAGGGCGCTGGGAGCGCGCTGTGCAGGTGTGACTGTCTCTGGGCAGATGTGCTGTGTTGGGGTGTGTGTGTGCGTGCGTGTCGCCCGTCCGCCCATCCGTTCAAGCCTGTGCGCTCGGGCCCGACAGCACCCTCACAGGCCGACACCGCGGGGGTCATTCCATCCATCTTCTTTCTTCTTTTTATTTATTTATTTATTTGTTTTTGAGACGGAGTCTCACTCTGTGGCCCAGGCTGGAGTGCAGTGGCACGATCTCAGCTCACTGCAAGCTCCGCCTCCTGGGTTCTCGCCCTTCTCCTGCCTCAGGCTCCTGAGTAGCTGGGAGTACAGGTGCCCGTCACCACGCCCGGCTAATTTTTTGTATTTTTAGTAGAGACAAGGTTTCACAGTGCTAGCCAGGATGATCTCGATCTCCTGACCTCATGATCCGACCCCCTTGGACTCCCAAAGTGCTGGGATTACAGGCGTGAGCCTCCGTGCCTGGCCTTTTTATTTTTTTGAGACAGAGTCTCTGTCGCCCAGGCTGGAGTGTGGTGGCATGATCTCGGCTCACTGCGACCTCCGTCTTCTAGGTTCAAGTGATTCTTCTGCCTCAGCCTCCCGAGTAGCTGGGATTACAGGCGCATGCCACTGCACCCAGCTAACTTTTGTATTTTTACTAGGGATGGGGTTTCACCATGAACTCCTGACCTCAGGTGATCCACCCGCCTCGGCCTCCCAAAGTGCTGGGATCACAGGCGTGAGTCACCGTGCCCAGCCTCTTTTTTTCATTTTTATTTTTATTTTTTCACTACAAGACTGCCCTGAAGGACTTCCTTTCGTGTTTGCATCTCGCTTCACTCACATGATGAAATCTGCCTCCCGTCATGTACAAAATATTTATGTATTTGCCCAATCCGGAATTCTAACCCATGAGTCAGCAAAAAAAAAAAAAAAAAAGAAAAAAAAAGAAAAGGGAGGCTGGGCGCAGTGGCTGATGCCTGTAAATCCCAGCACTTTGGGAGGCCGAGGCAGGCAGATCACGAGGTCAGGAGTTCGAGACCAGCCTGGCCAACATGGTGAAAACCCGTCTCTACTAAAAATACAAAATCAGCAGGGTTTGGTGGCACGTGCATGTAATCCCCACTACCCGGGAGGCTGAGGCAGGAGAATCGCTTGAACCTGGGAGGCGAAGGTTGTGGTGAGCCAAGATCGTGCCATTGCACTCCAGCCTGGGCAACAAGAGTGAAACTCCATCTAAAAATGAAATGAAAATACAAAAATTCACTGGGCGTGGTGGCGGGTGCCTGTAATCCCAGCTACTCAGGAGGCTGAGGCAGGAGAATCACTTGAACCCGGGAGGTAGAGGTTGCAGTGAGCTGAGATCGCGCCATTGCACTCCAGCCTGGGCGACAGAGCGAGACTCCGTCTCAAGAAAAGAAAAGGGAAAAAAGCATGTTTAGAACTCGGTATTTGTTTGGAGCTCCTGTGTCTGGAGCTACTTGTGTGTCTGGAGCCCTTGTGTCCATCACCTGCGTACCCACATCCAGCGTCCATGCACCCGAGTTCCCAGGGCTTGTTCTGCTTCTCCCCTCAGGGTGATTGTGTCGTTTGTTTGATCTGTGGTGTGGTTCATGCATTCGTGTTCGTGTTCCATTTCAGAGACCCTTTTCCCCTACCCTTGTTGATTTAATTATTTTTGCTTTTTAAGCAAGCGACATATTTTCATGGTTCTGAAAGTCAGACCTGGAGCCGCCCCCACCTCACTGCACTGCACTCCTGCCTGCCCTGTCACTGAAGAGTCTCCTTATTCTTGGGTATATCCTTCCTGTATTTCTTTTTCCTTTTCTTTTTTTTTTTTTTTTTTCTGAGAAAACGTTTCACTGTGTCGCCCAGGCTGGAGTGCAGTGGTGAGATCACGGTCACTGCAGGCTCATCCTCCCAGACTCAAGCAGTCCCCCCACCTCAGCTGGGCACACAGGCGCACACCACCGTGCCCAGGCCTAATTTTTGTACTTTTTTGGTAGAGATGAGGTTTCGTCATATTACCCAGGCTGGTATTGAACTCCTGGGCTCAAGCAATCCTCCTGCCTCGGTCTCCCAAAGTGCTAGGATTACAAGCATGAACCAACACACCTGGGCAAAAAATGCTCCAACTTTTTTTTTTTTTTTTGAGACGGAGTTTTTGCTCTTGTTGCCCAGGCTGGAGTGCAATGGCGCAATCTTGGCTCACTGCAACCTCCACCTCCCAGGTTCAAGTGATTCTCCTGCCTAAGCCTCCCAAGTAGCTGGGACTACAGGCATGCGCCACCACGCCCGGCTAATTTTGTATTTTTTTAGTAGAGACAGGGTTTCTTCATGTTGATCAGGCTGGTCTCGAACTCCCAACCTCAGGTGATCTGCCCGCCTTGGGCTCCCAAAGTGCTGGGATTACAGGTGGGAACCACTGCACCCGCTGGCTGTCCTGTTTTTTTTTTTTTTTTTTTTTTTTTGAGATGGAGTCTCGCTCTGTTGCCCAGGCTGGAGTGCAATGGCGCGATCTCGGCTCACTGCAAGCTCTGTCTCCCAGGTTCACGCCATTCTTCTGCCTCAGCCTGCCAAGTAGCTGGGACTGCAGGCACCCACCACCACGCCCAGCTAATTTTTGTATTTTTAGTGGAGACGGGGTTTCACCATGTAGGCCAGGATGGTCTCAATCTCCTGACCTTGTGATCCACCCGCCTCGGCCTCCCACAGTGCTGGGATGACAGGCGTGAGCCACTGTGCCCAGCCTCCTGGGATGACAGGCGTGAGCCCCCGCGCCCGGCCTCCTATTCTTAATTTCCAAGGCCCACTTGGGTTGTGGGTGGTCCCCACTTACCATGGTCTGAGTTGTGATTTTCTGACTTTATGATGGTGGGAAAGCAAACGCCTTCAGCAGAAACGCTGCCCTGAGCTCACAGCCGTCCTCTCTCTCACTTCCGGTGGGGTTGTCTGAATTTCACGAGCGGCTCAGCGCGCTTATAGCCACTCTGCATTAGGCGGCTTAGCCCAAATGTCACTGATGTGGGTGTCAGCACGCGGAGGTGGATGAGGCACATTAAGAGCCAAAGGACGGGCTGGGGGCTGTCTGTGGAGATGTCAGTGGCCTTGAAAAGACAGTGCACTGGGGCAAGCGTCTCACGACTGCTGAGTGTCTACCCTGCGGCCCACGGGTCTCCTGGGCTGTGCCCCAGACGTGAGTGGACAGCAAGCGATCCTCCCTCCTCGGCCTTCCAAAGTACTGGGGTTCTAGGTGTGGGCCACCGCCGCTGGCCAAACATGAAGGTTTGACTTACAACTTTGTGGTCTCTGGTCTGAACAGGCACCTGCACCTGGAGGACTCTGAGACCCTGTTTCCAACCATGATGTTTTGCACTTGTGCTCTGATATGAAATGTGTTTGGTCTTTGTTCCTGGTTCCTGGCACAGAAGCTCCTCGAAGCCTTGGAATTTCCTGAGTGACAGGAGTGGTTCAGATCACCCCGGAGCTTATGCTGATCACACCTGAGCTTATGCTGATGAGGCAGGGGGTGGGGCCCTGGAGAGCGGGGGTAGGGGGGACTGGTCGCCAGAACACCAGGTGACCCCAGGATTGGAGGCTGGGAGCTTTGAGCCCCACCCGCCAACCTCAGGGACGCAGCGAGCGAAGGTGGAGATTAAACGCTGTAAAAACCCGTGAATGAGAGATGAAAGAGTGGGATGGTCTTCGGATTGTGGTGCTGGGGGCAGGGGGTGGCGCCCAGAGAGGGCCTGAAACCCAGCACCTGCCCAGGCCTTGCCTGCGCGTCTCTGCGGCCGGCTGCTCCTCTGTTTTCTTTTAACGTAAGTGCTTTCTGCAGTTCTGTAGGGCAGTCCTGTCAAACTCATTGATCCTCAGGAGGGTGTCGTGGGAACCCCGATGTATAGCTGCCGGTCAGAAGCACGGCCCACAGGCTGACCAGCATCTGAGGAGGGGGCAGTCTTGTGGGATCCAGCCCTCGCCGCAGGGGACCTGGCACTCTCCCCAGGGGGACGGCTTCGGGAGGGAATTGAACCAGAGGACACACAGCTAGTGTCTGTGGAGAATTGCTCAACGTGGAAATAACCTGCATCTCCTGTGGGAAGTGTTGTGTGGGAGTGCAGAGAAACTGTGCATTCCTCACAGGACTTTATTTATTTGCTTGTTTATTTATTTGTTTGTTTTTGGAGACAGAGTCTCGCTCTGTCCCCCAGGCTGGAGTGCAATGTCTCGATGTCGGCTCACTGCGATTTCCACCTCCAGGGTTCAAGCAATTCTCCTGCCTCAACCTCTTGAGTAGGTGGGATTACAGGTGCCCACAACCACACCTGGCTAATTTTTATATTTTTAGTAGAGACGGGGTTTCACCTTGTTGGCCAGATTGGTCTCGAACTCCTGACCTCAAGTGATCCACCTGCCTCCAAAGTGCTGGGATTACAGGCGTGAGCCACCAAGCCCGGCCTCCCCCATGTAAACCTTGAACTCTCGGAACTACTTAGGAAGGACCCCGGGCTGTGATCTCTCACAACTACTTAGGGAGGACCCCGGAACCCCCTGGCTGCTCAGCTGGGTTCCAGCACCTGAAGGTGCTGTTGCTTTCCCCTGGGGCCCGTCCCCGAGATGAGAGGAGCACGTGCTGGAATTCCCTCTTTCAGGCACTTTCATGCTTTTATTTCTACACGTGGTGCTTCCCGCACAGCTGACAGCGCATGGTGGAGCCGAGTCGTGCGTTTCTGTCTGTGATTCGTCCCTCAGTCTTCCCCCGCTCCGGTGGGTTTGGGCTTGGGGTCCGTCCCTTTGACACTGGGACTGAGCCCCTCATTTCCATCGTAGCTTCAGCTCCATCAATAAGGTGTTTGTTTCTACTGTTGACAGGCACGTAGGTTGGCATTCTTTTGGTGTTTGCTTTGTCTTGTTTTGCTACTAACAAAAAATGCTCATTAAACACCCACCTCCAAGACTTCTATGAGAAGGTGTGAAGAGCCCACCCATTTTCCCGGGACCGTTTGGCCCTCTGTGACCCAAGTCAGCCTCGGCGAAGTGCTTTATTTTCTTGTTTTTTGTCGCTCCCTGTCACCCGCATGACCTCTGAAAGGTTGCACCCAGCCGGGCACGGTCACTCATGCCTGTAATCCCAGTTCTATGGGAGGCCAAGGCGGGCGAATCACATGAGGTCAGGAGATTGAGACCAACCTGGGCAACATGGTGAAACCCTGTCTCTTCTTTTTTTTTTTTTTTTTTTTTTTTTTTTTTTTTTTTTTTTTTTTTTTTTTTTGAGACAGAGTGTTGCTCTGTCGCCCAGGCTGGAGTGAGTGCAGTGGCGCGATCTCGGCTCGCTGCAAGCTCCACCTCCCGGGTTCACACCGTTCTCCTGCCTCAGCCTCCTGAGTAGCTGGGACTACAGGCGCCCGCCACCACGCCTGGCTAATTTTTTGTATTTTTAGTAGAGACAGAATTTCACAGTGTTAGTCAGGATAGTCTCCATCTCCTGACCTCGGGATCCCTCTGCCTCAGCCTCCCAAAGTGCTGGGATTACAGGCGTGAGCCACCACGCCCGGCCTAAATCCTATCTCTTCTAAAAGTACAAAAATTAGCCAGGCTTGGTGGCGCATGCCTATAATTCCAGCTGCCCGAGAGGCTGAGGCATGCGAATCCCTTGAATCCAAGAAGTGGGGGCTACGGTGAGCTGAGATTGTGCCACTGCACTCTAGCCTGGGCGACAGAGTAAGAGTCCCTCTCAAAAAAGAAAAGAAAAGAGGCCGGGCGCGGTGGCTCACGCCTGTAGTCCCAGCACTTTGGGAGGCCTAGGTGGGTGGATCACGAGGTCAGGAGATCGAGACCATCCTGGGTAACATGGTGAAACCCTGTCTCTACTAAAAAAATACAAAAAAAAACAAAATTAGCCAGGCGTGGTGGCGGGCGCCTGTAGTCCCAGCTACTTCAGAGGCTGAGGCAGGAGAATGGTGTGAACCCAGGAGGCAGAGCTTGCAGTGAGCCAAGATCATGCCATTGCACTCCAGTCTGGCTGACAGAGCGAGACTCTATCTCGAAAAAAAGAAAAGGAAAAGGAAAGAAAGGTCTCACTAGACAGTTTCAGGCCGGAATCTGTTTGCATTTGTACCGTCAGGAATTTCCAGCCTGGGAACAGTCAGTGACAGGAACGAACCGTGGGTGCCTCTGCAGGGGTGGCTCCTGCCTGGCTGCCCTTGAGTTGGCTGAGGAGCTGAGAACTTGGACTTCAGGATTCTCTGACTTCACTGGTCTGACGTGGAGCTCCCAGTGTTTGAATAAGAAGCGGCTGGGCGTGGTGGCAGGCGCCTGTAATCCCAGTTACTCGGGAGGCTGAGGCAGGAGAATCCCTTGAACCTGGGAGGTGGAGGTTGCAGTGAGCCGAGATTATGCCACTAAACTCCAGCCTGGGCGACAGATCGAGATTCCATCTAAAAAAAAAAAAAAAAGAATAAGCAGCCAGCCTCAGGCATTTACGCAGGGACAGGTGTTTACGTGGGGGGAAGATTAGATATCGCCTCCTCCTGCGGCCTTGGAGCTGTGGGGACAGGGATGCTGGGGGTGAGGACGGTTCATGGTAGTGAAGTCCTGCAGATTGGGAGGGGAATGGAGACCCCGGGACCACGTGGGCTCAACTGCAGGGACGGGACAGTCACCCACACAGAGCCGGGGCAGGGCTGTGGGAGCACAGGTCGGTGTGACGTTGGCTGGGGCTCAGCATGCGTGTCCCAGGGCTGGGCAGTTCCACTCCTGCACGTAGACACAGACGAGGATGCTCCTAGTAGCCCGTCCCAAGTGCTTCTTGCCAGAATGGGTCCATTTGTCCAGTGGGCTGCTGTGCAGTGATCGGACAGAGAACCCGCGTCCCAGCGCAGCTGCATGGAGAGGCCTTTGTTTGCAGTCGGCTTCTTGTTTAAGCTCTTTTAATTTTTTTTAACTTTTTTTTAATTTTTAGAGTCAGGGTCTTGCTCTGTTGCCCAGGCTGGAGTTCAGTGGCACAATCACGGCTCACTGCAGCCTTGACCTCTCTTGTTCAAGCAATCCTCCCACCCCAGCCTCCTAAGTAGTTAGGACTACAGACATGCACCACCATGCCCGGCTACATTAAAAAAAAATTTTTTTTTTTTGAGACGGAGTTTCACTCTTGTTGCCCAGGCTGGAGTACAACGGTGTGATCTCGGCTCACCGCAACCTCCGCCTCCCGGGTTCAAGCGATTCTCCTGCCTCAGCCTCCTGAGTAGCTGGGATTACAGGCATCCACTACGCCCGGCTAATTTTGTATTTTTAGTAGAGACGGGGTTTCTCCACGTTGGTCAGGCTGGTCTTGAACTCCTGACCTCATGATCCACCCTCCTCGGCCTCCCAAAGTGCTGGGATTACAGGTGTGAGCCATCGCGCCCAGCATTTTTTTTTTTTTTTTTTTTGACGGGAGTCTCGCTCTGTTGCTCAGGCTGGGGTGCAATGGCGCGATCTCAGCTCACTGCAAGCTCTGCCTTCCAGGTTCAAGTGATTCTCCTGCCTCAGCCTCCCGAGTAGCTGGGATTACAGGTGCCAGCCACCACACCCGGCTGATTTTTTTTTTGTACTTTTAGTAGAGACGGGGTTTTGCTGTGTTTGCCAGGCTGGTCATGAACTCCTGAGCTCAGGTGATCCGCCCACCTTGGCCTCCCAAAGTGCTGGGATTCCAGGTGTGAGCCACGGCGCCTGGCCCAGAACCTTAAGTTCTTGATGTACAGAGAACGGCAGCGTCAGTGAAGTGTGATTTCTGTTTTTTTGTTTCCACTAATTGTGAGCAAACATTAGGGTGGGGACTGGGCTGCTTGTGTGGGTCCCACAGGCTTCTTGGAGCACAGTGTCAGCAGAGAAGGGGAATGGGGGTCCTCATTGCGGGGAGCAGTTTTGCCTGGGATGCTGTGAGTTTCTCAGAGGGAAGCTAAGTGGACAGACTGTTCTGGCAAGAGGGAGATGCTTGCCTTTTGAATTCCAGGTTTGCCTCGACGTCAGGTGGGACGTGACTGGCGTCGTCTGCACACGCCCGAGCCCACGTGCTGTTCCTTGCTCCTGGAGGGGTTTCTTGAGCGTGGCCTCCTTGCCATGTAAATGAATTTGGTTTTAGAAACTCGCTGGTGGTGGCAGAGCCTGTGTAGCGGGTGCTGTGACAGCGTCCCCAGCCAGGGGGCAGCCTTCGAGGTGGGAGGGAGAGGTCAAGGGCCGTGAGGCCTAGTGAGGTGGGGAGTGAGATCCACGCCTGCCATGAGCTCCACCCCTGCCTTGCGGAGCCCTGTCGCGAGTGCTCTGTCCTTTTGCTCTGCCGCACCCTTTGTTGTTGGATTTTCACCTCAGGAAAGCCAGGTAGCTGCTCCACCCCCAGCCAGGGCCCATCAGTCCGGGAAACTGGCACAAAGTCTCCTAGCTCCCTGGCTCAGGGCCCAGCCAGTCCTAGCTCCAGGGAGGCTGCAGCCCATGGAGGTTTAGCTCCCAGCTTGTTGTCACCCCAGGCTAAGCAGTGGGACTGTGCTGCTGAACAGGAAGAAGGGAATGGTGTCTTTGTGGAGATCTGGCACTGTCAGTGGCCCGAGGAGTGGATGAGTCCTTTGTTATTCCGAGGCTGTGGGAACTGGTGGAGGGGTCGGCCTTCTCCTCACTGAGGCCTGGGGTGCCCTTGGAGGCAGCTGTCCTGGTGCACCGAGGGGTCAGGGCACACATGGGTGGCCTGGGAGCGTCTGGGTGGCACTGAGCTGGCGGTGTGATGGGCAGACGGGGAGACCTGGGTGCACAGACACACACAGCAGGGGGAGGGGAGGAGAGAGAGGAAGGCTGCAGAGGCCCTGGCATTGCCGCCACTGGGGAGAGGGCAGAAGCGCCTGTTCCCGGGTATGGGGAGGCCAAGTTTCAGGCACCTCTGAGCACTGCTGGGCAGGTGAGCTGGGGGAGAGGCCGGCCTGAGCACCCAGGCGAGGTCTTCATGGGGGAGGGGGTGGCGTGCGTCCCTCAGTGTGAACACAGAATATTTATGTATACATATGGCACGCACGCAAGTGCATAAACATAAACACAGAAGGAGGTCACGAATGAGGTGGGAACCCCAGTTTCCCGGGGGAGAAGTGAGACGAGGAGGGGTACTGGGTCGGGCAGCACGGCCGGCACCACACGCTCCCAGAGCGCCTTGGTGAGACAGGATGGGCGCCCCTTCAGATGCACAGCCTCCCCCGAAGCAGGAAGAGAAACCCAGGTGTGAGAAACAGGAAATCGGGCTGCCTGAGCGCTGGGATTGAGACCTGGGGGAGGTGGGGTCTCGGTGCTGCGGAGTCACAGTGGCGTCTGTGCAAAGCCCCAGCTGGGGGGATGATTCCCACTGGACCTCAGGAGGAAACGGCTGTTCTGACCTTCCTGGAGCTCGTGGGAAGGGAGGGGGTGTCTCGCCCCGAAGCCACAGTCGCCTGAGCGTGAAGCGGGTGTAAGTGTGGTTTTATACCACGGAGTCTGTCTAGAAAGTAGCATGGAACTTTAGGAGGCCGAGGTGGGCGGTTCACGAGGTCAGGAGATCGAGACCATCCTGGCTAACACGGTGAAAACCCGTCTCTACTAAAAAAAAAAAAATTACAAAAAATTAGCCGGACGTGGTGGCGGACGCCTGTCGTCCCAGCTACTCGGGAGCCTGAGGCAGGAGAATGGCGAGAACCCGGGAGGCGGAGCTTGCAGTGAGCCCAGATCACGCCTCTGCACTTCAGCCTGGGCGACAGAGCAATACTCCGTCTCAAAAAAAAAAAAAAAAAGGAAAAAGAAAGTAGCATGGAATTAGTCCTGGGCACCCGACAGCGGCAGCCACAAAGCCCATCGAGAAGGTGCAGCTGCCAGGCAGGGCGTGAAGGACCCACAGCCCCAGGTCTGCCAGGACGACAGTCAAGTGTGCCAGGAGACCGTCTCTCAAGAGCAAGGATCCGCCAACACGCGCAGAGAAAAACGGGATTCAATTGCTAAAAATCTTTGGACAGTGAACGATTGCATTTTCTTTTTTTCTTTTCTTGAGACAGAGTCTCACTCTGTCACTGAGGCTGGAGTGCAGTGGTATCATGTCGGCTCACTGCAACCTCCGTCTCCTGGGTTCAAGCAATTCTTCTGCCTCAGCCTCCCGAGTAGCTGGGATTACAGGCGCCGGCCACCATGCCCTGCTAGTTTTTATATTTTTAGTAGAGACGGGGTTTCGTCATGTTGGCCAGGGTGGTCTCGAACTCCTGACCTAAGGTGATCCACCTGCCTCGGCCTCCCAAAGTGCTGGGATTACAGGTGTGAGCCACCGTGCCCGGCCCAATTGCATTTTCAAAGTGATTTTAAATTGGTGGTTGAAACCTTTGAGGACATTAAATGTTCAAAACGGGTGATGTGTTTCCTTTTCTTAATATTTTAGCGTCTGCTTCTGCGCTTTGCCTGGGAGAGGCCCTGGTGGCCTCGTTCCTGGCGCCCGGAGTCCCTGCTGCGGCCCCACCCCCGGGCGGTCACGGTGACCCATGCTGCCCAGCCTGGAGGTAAAATCGTTCGTGGCTGTGGCTTCAGCATGTCGTCCTCGGTGAAAACCCCAGCACTGGAAGAGCTGGTTCCTGGCTCCGAAGAGAAGCCGAAAGGCAGGTCGCCTCTCAGCTGGGGCTCTCTGTTTGGTCACCGAAGTGAGAAGATTGTTTTTGCCAAGAGCGACGGCGGCACAGATGAGAACGTACTGACCGTCACCATCACGGAGACCACGGTCATCGAGTCAGACTTGGGTGTGTGGAGCTCGCGGGCGCTGCTCTACCTCACGCTGTGGTTCTTCTTCAGCTTCTGCACGCTCTTCCTCAACAAGTACATCCTGTCCCTGCTGGGAGGCGAGCCCAGCATGCTAGGTAGGCGGCGGCTCGGGCAGGGTGGAAGCCGGCCACCTGCCACCCCACAGGGAGCAGCCAGCAACCACCCGGGAGGGCCGGGGGAGCCCAGGTCAGGATGGGAGGCCGGGGGTGGAGCCCACTGCAGGCATGGGAGGGGTGATTCTCCCTCTTGTCTTCGGCCCCCTCCCTCCCGCAGGTGCGGTGCAGATGCTGTCCACCACGGTTATCGGGTGTGTGAAAACCCTCGTTCCTTGCTGTTTGTATCAGCACAAGGCCCGGCTTTCCTACCCACCCAACTTCCTTATGACGATGCTGTTTGTGGGTCTGATGAGGTAAAGAATCTCCTGGTTTTGGTTGAGTGTCTCTTTTTCTTTAAATGTAAAGTCCCTCTCGTTACTAGAGCGGGGACTCTGCTGGCTGGTGAGTTTTCAGTGCAGACTTTATAAAAGCACCAGGGCTGTCCAGATTTCAGGACACCAAATGAATGTGGCTTCGTGGCTCTCACTGCCACGTGTGTTCAGTCAGCTTCTTTCCGGGCTGGTGGTCTCAGGACAGGGTGCCTCCTTGTCTCTGGGACGTTTTCAAGGGGTGGCAGAAGTCACTTCCCATTGGACGCAGTGCCGTTTCCTGGGGGCTCGACCTAAAGCGTCACAGAAGCGGGTCCAGGCACCATGTTGGTGATGAGGAGGTGGGCGGAGAGGGGCCGACGTGCCAACCGAGCGAGCGAGCCCCTTGGAGAGCCTGCCCGGTGGGTGCAGGCAGACAGACTCGTTCTAAGGTGATGGTGCTTTTGGCTCATTTTTAGGTTTGCAACTGTGGTTTTGGGTTTGGTCAGCCTGAAAAATGTGGCGGTTTCGTTTGCTGAGACGGTGAAGAGCTCCGCCCCCATCTTCACGGTGATCATGTCTCGGATGATTCTGGGGGAGTACACAGGTGAGGCCCCCGGGCCCCGCCCCTCCGCCTGCGCCCCACCATCCCAGGCCTCCATCCGTGGTGCCCGTCTCTGCTGCCTGCCATGGGGCTCTGCCGCGAGGACCACTCAGAGTGGTGCCCACACTGGCAGTGCCTTCACTTCTCTCACGGTCACATGTGCGGGGGTGTCTTGGAGCCTGGCGTCTGCCAGGTATTCTCACACTGGCATGCGGAGGTCAGGGCAGGGTTGTGTCTGTGGCCCTAACTGGGTGGGGAGACAGGTGGGGGCTGGGCAGATTCCTGGCAAGCAAGATTACTGCAGGTGCCAATCACTGATCCGAAGAGGACGGGTGGGGGCCGCCTTCGGCCAGCACCACACAGGCGGCCGTGGCTCCTGGTCCGTGGGCCCTCCTGTGCCAGCACCCCACAGCCTCTCCAGCACCCGCCACCACAGGCCTGTCCTGGGCCCCAGCCCCTGACCTCAGCTGCAACCCAGGCTCCTGCCTCTCCCACCTCTTAATGACTCACAGGCGATTTCCAGCGACATGTCAGCCCCATGTCGCGTACCCAGTGTGGCTGCATGAAAACCAGCGAGGAGCAGAGGCGCCCACAGAGCGCGGCGTCTTGAACGGAGTCGGGGGGTGCACACGTGTTCGCTTATTTAAGAAACTACAAGATCTTAAGGCCGAGGGAAGTGTCTGTCTGCCTTTGGGGACGGGAGGAGGCCGAGGGTCCAGGATGGGGTTGGGCTTGCCCCACATGCACTTGAGACCCGCACACACGTTTAGGTGATTATAACAAAATCAAAGCCTAAAAGTCAACTCTGGTTTTTTTTTGTTTTTTTTTTTTTGTTTTTTTTATGTTTTTGAGACAGGGTCTTGCTCTGTCGCCCAGGCTGCAGTGCAGTGGCGAGGTCACGACTCACTGCAACCTCGGCCTCCCAGGCTTAGGCAATCCTCCCACCTCAGCCTGTTGGGTAGCTGGGACCTCAGGCATGTGCCACCATGCCCAGCTAATTTTTGTATTTTGTGTGTCTTTTTGTTTTTTCACTGTGAATATACGTTAGTCATTTTTCTTAACAATTGAAACTTGGAACTCTGGGGATTCAGAATTAACAGCCTTGGCTGTGAGCTTATCGATACCAGAAAAAGTTTGGACCTTGCGTTCCACGTTATTCTGCTGGGCTTTGTCCGAATGAACCCTTGTGAGCTGCTGTGTCCATTTCACGCCGATTCTCCTGCCCACAATTTCACCTGGGAAGACCGAGTCCTCGAGGATTGCGACGTGCGCAGCTGTCGGAGCGTGGATCCTGGGACGCTTTTGCTTATTTTTTGTACACCTTTTTTGAGTTGGTTTAGGCAGAATTTTCCTCTAAGCAATAGACGACATACTTACCAGTGAACTTTTTCTCCAATTCACGTACTAGCCAGACTTGGATGTTCTGGAATTATTTCAGTGGCAGAACAGGAACAAAGATTATGATAACTTCCTTTTTTTTTTCTTTTTTTTTTTTTTCTTTTTTGAGAGGAGTCTTGCTCTCTCGCCCAGGCTGGAGTGCAGTGGCACGATCTTGGCTCACTGCAAGCTCCATCTCCCGGGTTCTCGCCATTCTCCTGCTTCAGCCTCCTGAGTAGCTGGGACTACAGGCGCCCACCACTGCGTCCGTCTAATTTTTTGTATTTTTAGTAGAGACTGGGTTTCACCGTGTTAGCCAGGATGGTCTCGATCTCCTGACCTCGTTGATCCGCACGCCTCAGCCTCCCAAAGTGCTGGGATTACAGGTGTTAGCCACCACAGCCGGCCCTCTTTTTTTTGAGATGGAGTCTCGCTTTGTTGCCCAGGCTGGAGTGCAGTGGCGCAATCTTGGCTCACTGCAGCCTCTGCCTCCCGGGTTCAAGTGATTCTCCTGCTTCGGCCTCCTCTGAGTAGCTGGGATTACAGGCATGTGGCCCCACACCCAGCTAATTTTTGTATTTTTAGTAGAGATGGGGTTTCACCATGTTGGCCATGCTGGTCTTGAGCTCCTGACCTCGTGATCTGCCCGCCTCAGCCTCCCACAGTGCTGGGATTCCAGGCGTGAGCTGCTGCACCTGCCCATAATAACTTTCTCACCACCACCAACTTCAGTTTCCCTCACTGCTGTAATATTCAGCTCCCTGAGCTGGGCCTTGAGGTCCGAGTTCATCTCCAGCTCCAGAAGAATCTAAGAAGGCAAGAACACCAGGGTCAACCCTCAGTGCGTGTATGAGCACCCCCAGCCTCATTTTTGTGTTTTCTATAGAGATGGGGTCTCGCTGTGTTGCCCATGCTGGTCCTGAACTCCTTATCTCAAGTGATCCTCCTGCCTCGGCCTCCTAAAGTGCTGGGATTACAGCCATCAGCCGCCGTGTCCGGCTTTAAAAAGCAATCCTAAAAATCGTAAACAAAATGACACAGAGGAACCTTATTGCGCATCGAGCCATGCAAGAAAGGAGCCGTTTATTTCCAGCAAGTTTAAACATCGATTTGACCTCCAGCCATGGTCGATGAGATGTTAGAAAACCAACTCTCTTGCTGACAACAATGAGAAAATCTTGATACCATTTAGCAAAAAGAAGTCTGTGGGGGAGGCGTTGGAGAGTGACGGAACTGCCAGGGCCTGAGGCACCCGGCTTCCGGTGCCTCTGGCAGCCCAGAGAAGTGACTCTGTCTGTCTTAAGGCACCACCCTCCCCGGTGCATTTGCTGATGGTTTCTGAGCAGAGCAGTCTCCTGGGGCTGGAGGGGCACAAGCTGGAATGGGCGCCCCACCATGGGGACCCCCAGATGCCAGACCTTCAACTGAGATAGGAATCTGGTGCTGGATATAGGCGTCTATGGCACCCCAGCTGCATGTCAACAGCAGCAGCAAGCCCTCCTTGAAGGGTGAAACGGCATTCACAGTCTCCAGTTTTCTCTACAATTTTCATAAATGTTGTCCGTGATTCAACCAGAGTTTCCAGCAGAGGCCGAGACCAGGTGACGGCAGACGAGAGGACGCCCCTCTGGCTGGAGCCTCCCCGCACAGACTCGGGTCCCTCTGCTACGCCAGGGTCTCGACTGGGCAGTATCTGTGGGTTTCCCACGTTAACTTGTCTCAGGTTTCTCTTTCTTCTTTTGAGACAAGGTCTCACTCTATCGTCCAGGCTGGAGCGCAGTGGCATGGTCACAGCCCACTGCAGCCTCGGCCTCCCCCGTGCAGGTGATCTTCCCACCTCAGCCTCCCCAGTAGCCGGGACACACACCCAGCTAATTTTTGTATTGTTTGTAGAGGCGGGGTCTCACCTTTGCTCAGCCCTGTTCTTGAACCCCTGGGCTCAAGTGATCCTCCTGCCTCAGCCTCCCAAAGTGCTGGGATTACAGGTGTGAGCGGTGTTCCATAGATTTTTTAAAAATCCTTCACGTAAAAGTTTTTTGTTACATTTCAGAAGGAAACAGAAAAGCATAAATTCAATGTGGGCATCCCCCTCCCGGCCCACAGGGCCTCTTTCTCTGCAGTTCCCTGGGGACCATCTCCTTCACACTCACCGTTTCACAGGAGCGTTCACAGAATCAGGAAGGTTTCTGTGGCTCACCTGCCCATGGCTGGGGCTCAGTCTCTGGGGGACGCATCTCATGTAGAGTGAAAGGCGCCACCTTTGCCGTGGGGACGGGACTTATTTGCAGACACGGACTTTGATTTGCTTTATCTCACAATGTGAAGAAACTGACAAGTATTGTTTTTGAATTGAAGGAAGCATCCGTTCCTTTCATAAGAGGGGATGGAAACAGCCTGGCCCTCGGGAGGGAGCGTCCGCCCGGCGGGTCAGCCACTCACAGGGGCTGTCCTCTCGCCAGGGCTGCTGGTCAACCTCTCCCTCATCCCAGTCATGGGCGGGCTGGCGCTGTGCACGGCCACTGAGATCAGCTTCAATGTCCTGGGGTTCTCGGCCGCACTGTCCACCAACATCATGGACTGGTGAGTCACAGAGAAGGTGGGCGTGAGGGGGACGAGACCCGGTGCTCACCTGCATCTGGGTGTGCAGATTCTCAGGTGAGCTGAGAATTCCTCCCGTGAGCCAAAGCAGGTGCGTCCAATGCTGCCCTTTCCTAAAGAGCAAAACAACAGGTATCCCCGGCAGGTAAGTTTCTCAAAAATAAGCCGAAATTTCAGGATGGACGGTCTTGGTACTTAAAATGCTAACCATGGAGACACGGTTAGCTGACAAATGCTGAAATACGCAGATACGCTCAGCAGTGTGTCTCGCTCGGTGTGTCTTCATGCGGCTGCCAGAGCAGGGACAGTCCCCCAGCGGCAGGTTCTGCCTGTTTGGGAGCTGCGCGGCCTCCAGGTCGGGCGGATCCTCTGCTTCCTTGTGGCCATCTGTGTCCTGGTGTCACGATGGCAGGAAGGATGAGAGGCCGACTCCCACAGCGAGGACAGCGCGTGGCAGGCTCCCAGAGGAGAGGGCCCTGTTATTTACGTCTTTGTCACTCGGTAGAGAAGAGCGGTGGACGCTGCACTTCGGGGGCCGTTCAGATTCACCCAGAATTGGGCGTCCACCTCCCTGCCGTGCTGTTAATGGCCACACTCCAGCCCCGGCAAAACCTGCCCTTTGAGAATGACCGGCTTCTAGGCTTTTCCTGCTTTTGAGGAAAGAAAGGAAAAGACACCACCACTGGTGTCTGAGAGTTTATCATTATTACTGATAATCAAAACAGGTTTGTGGTGAGATTTTGAATAATACAGAAGTAAAAATAAAAATATGTTGGGCACAGTGGCTCACGCCTGTAATCCCAGCACTTTGGGAGGCCAAGGCGGGTGGATCACGAGGTCAGGAGATCGAGACCATCCTGGCTAACATGGTGAAACCCCGTCTCTACTAAAAATACAAAAGATTAGTCGGGCATAGTGGCGGACGCCTGTAGTCCCAGCTACTGGGGAGGCCGAGGAAAGAGAGTGGCGTGAACCTGGGAGGCGGAGCTTGCAGTGAGCCGAGATTGCGCCACTGCACTCCAGCCTGGGCGACAGAGCCAGACTCTGTCTCAAAAAAAAAAAAAAAATCTGTTGGGCGTGGTGGCTCACACTTGTAATCCCAGCACTTTGGGAGGCTGAGGCGGGTGGATCACTTGAGGTCAGGAGTTGGAGACCAGCCTGGCCAACACGGTGAAACCCTATCTCTACTAAAAATAAAAAAAGTAACCAGGCGTGGTGGCGGGCACCACTGAGGTCTGGTCATTGTCGCCATCGCTCCGTGTGAGCGCAGACACCTTCTCCCCCTGATGTTCCGTGCCGAGGACTAGTATTGATGCATAACCTCTTTTCTTTATTCTAGTTTGCAAAATGTTTTTTCAAAAAAGCTGCTCAGCGGGGACAAATACAGGTTCTCGTAAGTATTATTCGTCAGTGAAATCTCCAAGTCATAAGACGAAGAGGACTTCCTGCTCACTGTAAGAGTCAGAACACCCCACAGGCCTGACTCCCTTCCTGTCTGGCTTGGGTGGCCTTTACAAGTACCCTGTCTAAGCTCGGGAGGGACCCGCCCGTTTCTCAGCTACTCCCTTGAGCCCCTCAGCCAGCCTGGTGTGCGTTTGCGTTTTCATTTCTGGGAAGCTGCAGCACCCTAGTCCTGTCTAGAGAGAATGAACGTCTTCTGGGCTGGGGTGCCTGGGTGTTCTTGCTGTGAGGGAGCTGCGTGTGAACTCGGCCTGTCCCGACACGGGGGGCCCAGCGTGTTCTGTCACCCACAGGGCCCCGGAGCTGCAGTTCTACACCAGCGCCGCTGCGGTGGCCATGCTCGTCCCGGCCCGGGTTTTCTTTACGGTGGGTTTCAGACACAGGCGTCCCGTCCTTACTTGCCGGGCTGCCTTCTCCGGTGATTCAGGAGCAGAATGACTTCCGTTTCCAGGCCGTGTGCTGGCTGGTTGGGCCCAGCTCCGCTGCGGGTCCTGCTTAGCTGAGTTGCCCTGGGAGCCACTCGGGGTTTGCAGCTCAGATTTCTGTGTGAAGACTTTTATTTTGTTTATTGTTTGTTTGTTTTGTTTTGATTCTTCATCATTCAACTTGAGATGACTTTTAGGTTAGCTTAATTTCTTTTTTTTATTAGAAAAACTTTTTTTTTTTATTTTTATAAAGAGTCTCGCTCTGTATCCCAGGCTGGAGTGCAATGGTGTGATCTCTGCTCACTGCAAAGTCTGCCTACCAGGCTCAAGTTATTCTCCTGCCTCAGCTTCCCAAGTAGCTGGGACCTGCAATTTGTAGACTTCCCTAGAGTCCCCCACACAGAGGGTTCTCTGTGTGAGATGCAGTTTCAAGTTCTTATTGCGGTTTTCTGGATTTTAATCCATTAGCTGTCAAGGCTGACTGACTTGGCCATTCTCCCTGCAGGGAAGTTGTGGTTGCCGGCCAGGGCCATCAGTTCTTGTGCGTGTATACCCAGCAGTGGAAGTGCTGGATTATATAATAATTCTATATTTAATTTTTTTTTTTTTTTTTGGAGATGATATCTCACTCTGTTGCCCAGGCTGGGGTACAGTGGTGCGATCTCAGCTCACTGCAACCTCTGCCTCCCGGGTTTAAGTGATTGTCCTGCCTCAGCCTCCCGAGTAGCTGGGATTACAGGCGCCCACCACCACGCCTGGCTAGTTTTTATGTTTTTAGCAGAGACGAGGTTTCACCGTGTTGGCCAGACTGGCCATGCCCGGCCCCGCATTGGGGTTTCTGTTGCATTTTCCTGATGATGGTGACGTTCAGCCTCTTTCATGTGCTTGTTGTCCATTTGCATCTGCATGGTGAAAATTAATTAGTGCAAAAAATAATAAAAACAAACAAACAAAAAAAACAGAAAATGGATGAGTGCACAGTCCAGCTGTCCGCTCGAGGCATTTTCAGGGCTGTCCTCAGTGGCAGCAGCTTTACCCAGTTTCTGGGCAGGAGTGGCGCTGGGCGTTTTTGGTGGATGATTAGTAAATGGAAAATGGAAACCGATAGAGTACCCTTTTGTTTGCCACATAGGACGTCCCAGTGATCGGGAGGAGTGGGAAGAGCTTCAGCTACAACCAGGACGTGGTGCTGCTGCTTCTGACAGACGGAGTCCTGTTCCACCTTCAGAGCGTCACGGCGTACGCCCTCATGGGGAAAATCTCCCCGGTGACTTTCAGGTGAGCAGAGGAACTTCCCAAGAGTTGAGTGTGTCCAGGTTGTTTACAAAGGAGACCAGAAATCTAGGTATTTTTATAAGGGACACATGTGATTCTCTTCCACGGGGATGAGTGTGGCTATGCAGTGTAATTACTAGGCTATTTTATACCCATGCTGTTTGAAATGCAAACGATAGGCCGGGCCCAGTGGCTCATGCCTGTAATCCCAGCACTTGAGAGGACAAGGCAAGTGGATCACTTGAGGTCAGTAGTTCAAGACCAGCCTGGCTAACATGGTGAAACCCCATCTCTACTAAAAATACAAAAATTAGCCGGGTGTGATGCTGGGCACCTGTAATCCCAGCTACTCGGGAGGCTGAGGCAGGAGAATCACTTGAATCCAGGAGCCGGAGGTTACAGTGAGTTGAGATCTCACCACTGCACTCCAGCCTGGGGGATGGGAGCGAGAGTCCTTCTCAAAAAAAAAAAAACAGAAAAACAAATGAGAAACTGTAAAATAAACCGTAAACTGTGTGAAATAGGTATTTAGGGAAATCTCCACTAGAAGTCTCTGCGTTTGAAGGTTTTTGAAATTGAGTGCTTTTCTGTCTAGAATAGTCGGGCGTTGCGACTAGTCTTGTCTGCAGGAATGGAATGGTCTCTTCTGGGCTGTCCAGTGCAGGAGCCACTGGCCACATACAGCTTCTGAGCACTTGAAATGTGGAGAATATAACAAGAACCAGATTAGGAATTCAAGCTGATTGCTGTCAGTTTGAACTTGAACAGACACCTGTGGCCACTGCTTCCTGTGCCGTGCGGTGCAGCTCTAGAAACGGGGAGGATCCTTCAGCTTCTTTCCACTTCTGTAACTGGGCAGATTGAATGAAGCTGCAATTTATTTGTTTATGTATTTTATTTTATTTATTTATTTTTTTGAGACAGAGTCTCACTCTTTCACCCAGGCTGGAGTTCAGTATCGCAGTCTCGGCTCACTGCAAGCTCCGCCTCCCGGGTTCACGCCATTCTCCTGCCTCCGCCTCCCGAGTAGCTGGGACTACAGGCGACTGCCACCACGCCCGGCTAATTTTTTTTTTTTGTATTTTTTAGTAGAGACAGGGTTTCACCGTGTTAGCCAGGATGGTCTCGATCTCCTGACCTTGTGATCTGCCCGCCTCAGCCTCCCAAAGTGCTGGGATTACAGGCGTGAGCCACCGCGCCCTGCCTATGTATTTTATTTTTCCCGAAACAGAGTCTTGCTCTGTCACCCAGAGCTGGATTTCTCTGGTTTGATCTCGGCTCACTGCAACCTCCGCCTCCCGGGTTGAAGTGATTCTCCTGCCTCAGCCTCCCAAGTAGCTGGGATTACAGGCGTGTGCCACCATGCCCGGCTAATTTTTGTATTTTTAGTGGAGACGGGGTTCACCATATTGGCCAGGCTGGTCTCAAACTCCTGACCTCAGGCGATCCGCCCGCCTCGGCCTCCCACAGTGCTGGGATTACAGGCGTGAGCCACGGCGCCCGGCCTCCACAGTGCTGGGATGACAGGCTGAGCCCCCGTGCCCGGCCTCCCACAGTGCTGGGGTTATACACATGAGCCCCCACGCCCAGCCTCCCACAGTGCTGGGGTTACAAGCATGAGCCCCCACACCCAGCCTCCCACAGTGCTGGGGTTACAGACATGAGCCCCCACGCCTAGCCTCCCACAGTGCTGGGATTCCAGGCTAAGCCGCTGCGCCCGGTGATGTTCTTGTTCTTTAGAGAGCAGGCTGAAGTACTCAGGGGTGAGATGTCATGATACCTGTAATTTACTTAAAAATATTTCATCTGGGTGTGGTGGCTCACGCCTATGATCCCAGCTCTGTGGGAGGCCCAGGTGGGAAGATCACTTGAGCCCAGGATTTGAAGACCAGCCTGGGCTACATAGTGAGACCCACCTCGATTGGATGAAGCTGATGAGGCGGATGTCATGAATTCCTGCGTCTAGATCACAGGACGTGGCCGTTACTTAGGTTTCTCCTCCTCTGCCTTTTTTAATAATGAAAAGTACCCCTCAAAAAAGAAGGGACGAGGGAGCAGGCAAGCCCCGCTGAAAGCTCCCAAACCCCTGGGCTGATCTCACCACCACCGAGGTCCCGTTGAGCACCCCCGCCCCATCCTGGCCTCCAGACCCGGGGTCAGCCGAGCTGCTGGCCGCAGGGCTGATGTCACCGTGACGCTGAGTCCCCCAACCCCACCCAGCCTCCAGACCCAGGCTCAGCCGAGCTGCTGGCCACGGGCTGAGGAGACCATAGCCCTGAGCGCCCCTGCTGCCTCCCCTTGCCTCCGCAGCGTCGCCAGCACCGTGAAACATGCCTTGTCCATCTGGCTCAGCGTAATCGTTTTCGGCAACAAGATCACCAGCTTGTCGGCCGTTGGCACAGCCCTGGTGACCGTTGGGGTCCTGCTCTACAACAAAGCCAGGCAACACCAGCAGGAGGCGCTGCAGAGCCTGGCTGCAGCCACTGGCCGGGCCCCAGACGACACAGTGGAGCCGCTGCTTCCACAGGACCCCAGGCAGCATCCCTGAGAGCAGGAAGCTGCCAGCTGCTGCTGTCCTCGTGACACTGCATCCCCCAGAAATGGGCAGGGACGCCCTCCTCCATGGCCCTGCTGGGGTGCAGGACATGGGGAGCTAAGTTGGCCATTGCCTGCGGCTTTCTCGGTTTGTCGGTGAAGACCAGCAGAAACTCAAACTGGGGATTCCAGGTATCAGCTTCCTGGAGTAGAGACCAGACCAGTAGCTGACTGTGTCCGCCGAGCCCATCCCCGTGTAATGTGAAAACAGCCTCTGAGGCTCCCATGCTGGGGGTGCCCACTTCCTCTCTGGGCGACACCCCAGGGTCCACCGGGAGCCAGAGGTGGGTCCAGTGCCAACGAGAGCCGCTCCCTGCCACAGCCAAGAGAGCCCTCGGCTTCCCACACCAGCCATCGAAGGCCCTGAGGCCCTGGACCGGCGGCAGACTGGCCCTGGGCATGAGGCCACAGAGCAGGGCCGAAGGGAGGGGACAGAGGGCCCTGGAAGGAAGGGTCTCCTGCTGCCACGGTGGGCACTCAGAACTTCTCCCCACCTGACCCAGGGCTGTGGGCATCCTCAGACTATCCCAGAGGCATCGCAAGCCTCAAGCTGCAGCATTGCACGGCACTCAAGGGCTATGACCACGGAGGCCGTTCAGTCGCTTCTGTTTAGAGGAAGGCCCCCTACCTCTTCCACACCCTGCCCTCCTATCCCTTCCACACCCTGGGCTGCGTGAGCTCCCCGCAACCCCAGGGCACCCTGCCCTCCTACCTGTGGGGGTTTCCAGCCCTGAGGTTGAGGACAAACCTCTCGTGTTTAACTTGGGAGGAGATGTGTACGTTCCTTTTCTTTTTTGGACTCTGAGTATGAGGCAGGCTGTTCTGAGGTCCCCGTGGGGTGAGCCTGTCTGTCCTCCCTCAGAGCCCACTGTTCCTATCATCATCTAGCACCTGTCCGGTTCCCCACGTGAGCCTTGGGCAGGACGCTGCAGTGTTGATGGTTTGGGTTACGTGGCGTTTACCTGGGCGCCGTCCTTACTGAAAAAGGAAACGTCCACACTGAATGTTTCTGGGGCGCGTGGTGTGTGTCAGGCGCCCACCCTGTCCCACTCTCCCCAAGGGACAGTAGTACGGCACACTGGGGCCACCAGCCAGCTCAACTCATCCTCCTGTGTCACGCACCCCCGAGGGCGCAGGAGGCCTGAGGAGTGGCTACTGGAGCCGTGTGTTAGGCAGAGGCTTCTGACCATGTCTGAGCTCTTTACCCCCAATCTCGCAGCTGGCGGATTCCCATGCCCGGTGCAGCCTGTTGCCAGCCAGCCTTTGAGACCCAGAGCTCCAGGGCTTGTCAGAGGCAGCATGGGGCTCCAGTGGTCCCGAGTCTCATTTCCCTGCCTGCTCTTTAGGCCTTTGGCACCCATGGTCACTTCACTGGCTTTCCATTTGGCTTCTCACCTGGGAAATACAAAAATAGCCCCTCCTGAAGATAAAATCATTCAGAAACAGAGCAATAATTCTGACTCATTAACTTCTACCTACTCAAAAAAGTCTGCCATGATGATGGACCGAAGTGAGGCTTTTTAACCCACAAGTAACCTTTTTATTTTTTTGAGACAGTCTTGCTCTGTCTGTCACCCAGGCTGGAGTACAGTGGCATGATCTTGGCTCACTGCAGCCTCGACTTCCTGGGCTCAAATGATCCTCCCACCTCAGCCTCCCATGTGGCTGGAACCACAGGCACGTGCCACCATGCCTGGCTATTTTTTTGTTGAGCTGGGCTCTCGCTTTGTTGCCCAGGCTGGTCTTGAACTCCTCGGCTCAAGCAATCCTTCCCACTCAGCCTCCTGTAGTGTCGAGAATATAGGCGTGGGCTACTACACCTGCTTCAGCCGCTTCTATAAAACCGCTGACCTGTGTGTGGAGGACAGGCCAGGTGTGTGCTCACTGCGCTGCGAAGATGTTTTGTCACGTGACTTTCCCCGGATTTCCATTTCTTTTTTTCTGCTTTCCTCAAAAACTAATAGAAGACTGGGTGCGGTGGCTCACGCCTCTAATCGCAGCACTTTGGGAGGCAGCAGCTGGCGGATCACAAGGCCAGGAGTTCGAGACCAGCCTGGCCAACATGATGAAACCCTGTCTCTACCAAAAATACAAAAATTAGCTGGGTGCGATGGTGGGTGCCTGTAATCCCAGATACTCAGGAGGCTGAGGCAGGAGAATTGTTTGAACCCCGGAGATGGAGGTTGCAGTGAGCCAAGATCGTGCCATTGCACTCCAGCCTGGGCAACAGGGCAAGATTCCGTCTCAAAAACAAACACTATTAGAAAATGCCCTGGAGGTGGCGGGGAGTTGTTGATTTGTGAGGACAGATTGAAAGCAACTCCCAGGGTGGCCTTGTCCACCTCCCCGTCGAGAATGTGGCTGCCGGCCTCTTTGAAGATTGTGGTCTGGCATAAGGAGAGGTGCAGGCGCCTGGTTCTGAGCACCTTGGAATTTCCAGCCGCACAGCATCTGGTGCCCTCCCCTCCACCCTCACAAGGAGCTGCCATCCTGTTTGGATTTTCTGTTTGTGGACCAGAAACAAACGTTTTTCCAAAGGATTAGCAAATAGGGTAATTTCCTGTGTAACGCTGCTCTGGGGCCTCTTCCTCATCCTGGCAGAAGGAGCCTGGAGCCCATGAGGCAGCCAGCACTGTGCCCTTGCTCAGTCGTGCTGTCCCCTCCCTCTCCCTCAGTCTCCTCTCCATGCCCAAGTCAGTTTCCAGCCGCTGGTCTTCATGGCATTCCCAGCACAGCCGGGCACCAAGAGGCAAAACCCAAGGCCTGGCTTGGCCGTGTTAACGATTGTACAGACATTTTTTAAAATAACTTTGTGTAATACTTTTCTGGAATAGTAAGTTCTTGTTGAACTGTCACAGGTGAGCTTCTAGGAACACACCAGGTGTGGTTACTTCCACTGGGTGTGTCCATGGTCGTGGTCTGTGCTTTTGTAAACGAACAGAACACTTGAACCACCTCCCGAATTGGGTCATCGGCTTCTTTACGTTGATACTTAAGAGATTTGCAGCTCTCTTTCAAGGAAACTTCCCCTACTGAAAGGCATAAAAAGGTTAAAAAAGAAAATCCGAGAGTCCCAATTCCCTGTATAACAGCATTAAAATAATCTGCCTGCCTGGAAAGATGAGAACACTGTTGCACAACCCAAAATGTGTCTTTAATTTGTGAAAAATTACCATGGTGAGTCAGACAGTCATTTTAAACAGCTGAACAGAGACTATCATCAGCAAATAGAGCTCAGCTTTGTAGCTGCCTTTAAAATCCTTGTCCCAAATCCGGTGAGCTCTGCTTGCTGCCGCCGCGCTCCTGGGTGATCACTCAGACGGGTCAGTGGGAATAACAGGCCAACAAGACAGCTTTTTACATGTGTCCAAAGGATGGCCTTTCGAAGGCCTGGAAGTATTTCACTGTTGGAAGAAGTAAACAAGAATGACATTCCAGATGGAAATAGAATTCTCTCTCTTGCCTTTGACCAACATGGTACTAAGGGGTTTCTTCTTTCCCAATGTATGTACGTGCCCTGCTGGGGGCCTTACTTTATAGAATGAGAGCATCCGAGCTTCCCTAATGAATCTGGCTAGTTCTGTGTCTGGCTGAGGATACAGGAGTGGGACATCCACTCTCGGATCCCTCAGAGCACAGAAACCTTCAGCTTTGCTGTCTCTGAAGTATTTCCTCCAGTTTCCCTGCGGGCCCCTATGTTTGAGTTTGATGGCTGCTGGATCCTCACTCAACGAAAACTCGGTTGGAAACTGTTCCGCCTGGCAGTCCTTTTTTGTTGTTTTCCATCTCATTTCCCTTCCATCTGAAAGTGGCATTCAGCTGACTTGCTCATTTAGACTGTTCACGGAGTCTGAATCTGCCAACGTGGTGTTGGAGGCTCCACCTTGAAAAGGGCCACAGTCAGGGCAACTTTCCCCATACAGGAAAACTTGAAAATTACATCAACAGTCTACGTCACAGCCAAATTATATTTCCTTTATACCAAACAAAACTATGGAGAACTAAAAGTACATCACACAAAACGTTTATAGTGTTTTGCATGTGACCTATTTCAGTATTTATATAACTAGATTAGTGCTTTCTAGCAAACGGTTCTGTTAATTAGCGAGTCACTGTTGATTCTGCTGTGGTGGTAAGTTGATACCGTGTAACTAATCCCGTGGATGCCTCCTCGTTATTTTTGTCCAAACGAAGCAGCCGTGGTAGTAGCTGTCTATGATTCTTGCTCAGCAAAGTAAAATAAATGTTAAATATGGACTGCTTTGTTTTCTTCCTTGTGGAACTCTGGTGTTCATGCTACTTTGTTCACCGGTGGGGCTGGCTGTTGCTAGCAAAGAGGCTCTTCACAGAAGTGGCTGAACCCAAAGTTCTGGTTGGGAAAGGCCTTTGTGGCAGCTCCTATCAAGCGCAAGTGCGAGGCCACCCCCTCCTCGTGGGCTCTGGGGTCGATTTTGTTAGGGTTTGACATGAGTGGCTGCATTTGGGTACTCACAGATTTCACAAAGGAAGGGTAAACTGGAGATTTTTGGCCGGGCACGGTGGCTCATGACTATAATTTCAGCACTGTGGGAGGCTGGTGGGCAGATACTTTAGGTCAGGAGTTCAAGACCAGCCTGGCCAACATGGCAAAATCCTGTCGCTACTAAAAATACAAAAGTTAGCCAGGTGTGGTGGCGCACGCCTATAATCCCAGCTACTCGGGAGGCTGAGGCAGGAGAATCACTTGTACCCAGGAGGCGGAGGCTGCAGTTACCCAAAATTGTGCCACTGCACTCCAGCCTGGGTGACACAGCGAGACTTTTTCTCAAAACAGAAAAAAACGTGCTGTGGCTCACGCCTGTAATCCCAACCCTTTGGGAGGCCAAGGCAGGCAGATCACAAGGTCATGAGATCAAGACCATCCTGGCTAATACAGTGAAACCCCATCTCAACTAAAAACACAAAAAAATTAGCCGGGCGTAGTGGTGGACGCCTGTAGTCCCAGCTACTCGGGAGGCTGAGGCTCGCAGGATAATGGCGTTGAACCCGGGAGGTGGGGCTTGCAGTGAGCCGAGATTGCGCCACTGCACTCCAGCCTGGGCGACAGAGCAAGACTCCGTCTCAAAAAAAAATAAAAATAAAAAAATAGGGAGATTTCCCCAGTTACCAAGAACTCAGGAAGCAACATTAAGAGCTTGGGGGAGGCCAGGCGCGGTGGCTCACGCCTGTAATCCCAGCACTTTGGGAGGCAGAGGCAGGCTGATCACGAGGTCAGGAGATTGAGACCATCCTGGCTAACACGGTAAAACCCCGTCTCTACCCAAAATAAAAAAAAAATTAGCCGGGCATGGTGGCAGGCGCCTGTAGTCACAGGTACTCAGGAGCCTAATGCGGGCGAATGGAGTGGAGGCGGGAGAATGGCGTGAACCCGGGTGGCGGAGCTTCCAGTGACCCGAGATCGCGCCACTGCACTCCAGCCTGGGCAACAGAGCGAGACTCCGTCTCAAAAAAATAAAAATAAAAAAAGAGCTTGGGTACACAAAGCAAGCAGCATTTCATTCCGGGATGAAAAAAATTCCGATACCCATCGCCCTTCTTGGGCCCTTGTCAGTTTCTTGCCACATCTTTCATTTTCCCATTTCAGGCCCAGTAAATGCGGATGTTTATCTTCCATTGTTTGTTTCCTGAGATTCAGATGTCTAAAGCATTTTTCTGTGACTTTTCAAGTCAAGAGGAAAACCTGACATATGGAAAGGGAATTAATTGCTCGTTTTATCCTCTTCTCCTGCAATGCTCTGAATCCATGGGTTTGGAGTGGGGCCCTGGGAGTTGGGGGAAGCACCATACCCAGTGAGTCTGCACTTTGAGGACCCACTGCCAGTGTCAGCTTCAAAATCACATTGTAAAAGGCCGGGCGCGGTGGCTCACGCCTGTAATCCCAGCACTTTAGGAGGACGAAGCGGGCGGATCACTTGAGGTCAGGAGTTCGAGACCAGCCTGGCCAATATGGCGAAACCTCGTCTCTACCAAAAATATAAAAATTAGCCGGGCGTGGTGGCGCGGGCCTGTGGTTCCAGCTACTCGGGAGGCTGAGGCAGGAAAATTCCTTGAACCCGGGAGGAGGCTGCAGTGAGCCAAGACCACGCCACTGCACTCCAACCTGGGCGGCAGAGCAAGGCTCCGACTCAAAAGTAAATACATGAATAAATAAAATAAAATCACATCGTAAGAGCTCTCCCTGCCCTGTTTCTGAGTAAGGTTCAGAGTTAAATTCCGAGATCGGCCTTTACAAGACACACAGACCTGAGGCGCCTCACGAGGTAACCAGCAGGTAAATGGAGCGCGCTCCACCCACCCGCCACTAGGGGTCCCAGCGGTCAAGGGGGTGGAATGCGGGCGTCCATCGCGAAGGCATTCTGCTCGCAAGCCTTGGCACAGGCGCGGGCTTCGCTACCGGAAAAGTCCCGGTAGGATTCCGGAAGCCGGCCACGCGTTCCGCGCAGGCGCAAACTGCTCCAAAAGTGGGCGTCGCTCCTCCGGAGTCCCGATTCCTGCGTCACAGCCCGCGCCGAAGTCGGAAGTGCGCTCACCGGGCTGTTTCTTCTGGCGTCCTGGACCTGAGCAAGCGCTGTTTTATGCGTTATCATCCCGCGCAGACACAGGAAGTGCCGCACAGAGCGAGCCCCTGTCGTTGTCTCGAGTTCTGGGCCGGAGGTCGGCTATTATATCATCATTACGCGCCAATACAGGAAGTGACGATACTTTTGGCGCGCGCCGGTTGCTGTTTCTTCTCTGGCTCCGGGACCGGCGGCGGCGGCGGCGGCAGCGGCGGCGGCGTAGGGGTGAGTTCCGACTGGGCGGACCAGGTGTGGGAGCGCGAGGAGAACTGCGCACCGAGGTCTTTCTTCCGAGCAGGCCTCGGAGCGGGGCGGACCCGGGCCCGGGGGCGAGCGACACCCTCGCTTCCGCGGACAGTCTCATCCCGCACGGAACTTTGGGTGGTGGAGGCGGCGGGTCCAAACGCTGTCTGGAGCCAACGTCTGCCAGGCTGAACCTCAAGTGTGCGGGACTGAACCCGAGGAAATAGCCCAGTGCCCGGGTCAGGTGGCCTTGTTCGCGAGCACATCTCGGAGCATCTCCCCGGTCTCAAGGTGCAGCTGTCCAGTGTGCTAGTGGCTTCACGTAGTCCAAGCGGTCTTTCTAGCAGATTCTGACAGTAAAAGCAGTGTTTGATGAGTGGCAGGTCCTGAGTTAAGAGCCTTTAAACGGATGATCTTTAATCCGCGATCGATACTATCACGTAGGTGTTGTTATTCTGGTTGTACGGAAGACTAAACTGAGGTGAATTACGTTACCCAAGACCATACAAGAATGACAGAAACGAGACTTGATTTCAAGCGGTCATTTTTCAGAACCCATCACTCTTTTTTGTCGCCCATGCTGCAGCGCAGTGGCTGTTCACAAGCGCACTTCAGCCTGGAACTCCTGGGCTCAATCGGTCTCCCATCTCAGCTTGCAGAGTATATGGGACTACAGGCGCTCGCCACCTTGCCTGGCTTACAACTTATCATTCTTGTTTTTTTTTCTTTTTTTTTTGAGACGGGGTCTTGCTGGAGTGCAGTGACGCGACCTCGGCTCACCGGAACCTCCGCCTTTCGGATTCAAGCGATTCTGCTGCCTCGGCCTCCCGAGTAGCTGGGATTACAGGCACCCGCCACCACGCCCAGCTAAGTTTTGTATTTTTAGTGGAGACAGGGTTTTCGCCGTGTTGGCCAGGCTGGTCTTGACCTCCTGACCTTGTGATCCACCCGCCTCAGCCTAGAGCTTACTTTTTTTTTTTTTTTTTTTTTTTTAACCAAGTCTTACTTTGTTATCTAGGCTGGAGTGCAGTGGCGCAGTCTTGGCTCATTGCAGCCTTGACCTCTCTGATTCAAGTGATCCTCCTGCCTCTAGCAGCCTCCTTCCTGTAGCTAGGAATACAGGCACGCGCCACCACACTGGGCTAACTTTTGTATTTTTTGTAGAGACGAGGTTTTGCCATGTTGCCCGGGCTGGTGTTGAACTCCGGAACTCCAGCGATCTGCTCGCCTCGGCCTCCCAAAGTGCTAGGGTTACCGTCTTGAGCCACTGCGCCGGGCACAACTTCTTATTCTTAATGAGGATTTATTCTGAATCCCTCAAAAGTGACTAGGTTCAAGTGTTCAGCACCATAGCTTGCTGTGTCCTGATGTAGGCTGAATTATTTTTCTTTTTGCAGTGTTTTAACTCAAATGGGTGATGAAAAGGACTCTTGGAAAGTGAAAACTTTAGATGAAATTCTTCAGGAAAAGAAACGAAGGAAGGAACAAGAGGAGAAAGCAGAGATAAAACGCTTAAAAAATGTAAGCCATATTTTTTAAGTAAGTGGTTTTCTTAAAGGAGATTTAATTTCTTTGCCCTCATTTTTCCATTAGAACAACGCTTCTTCGGTGAAGTTCTTTTGTACTTCCAAATGTCGCAGGTGAGCCCAAAATCTATTCTAAAAATTAACAAAAACATTCAAATATTCAGTTGACATTAAAGGCAGATTTAACACACTAAAGCTGTGTCTAGATTGAGCATACATGGAGAATAAAATACGTTGAATGTTAAGTCATTAGCAAAACTGGACTAATTTTTCTCGGTTCATTAGTATGTTCATAATACTATCTCTAAGTATTTTTAATATAGTGGGAACTTGCCTTGAAATTAATATAAATATTTTACATCTTTCTTGGTTTGCATGGTAATGTACTCAGGAAACCTTTTTAGTAATTTGGTAAGAGGCATTGGCAAAGTACCTCTTTTGCTAAGATCTTTAGCAGCATCATTTGGGATGTTAGTGAGTACAGGCATACCTTGTTGTATTGCACTTCACTTTATTATGCTTCACAGATATTGAAATTTTTCCAAATTAAAGGTTTGTAGCAACTCTGCATTGAGCATTTTTCCAATAGCATGTGCTCACTTTGTTAGCTTTTTTTTTGTTTTTGAGACGGAGTCTCGCACTGTCGCCCAGGGCCGGGTTCACGCCATTCTCCTGCCTCAGCCTCCCAAGTAGCTGGGACTACAGGGGCCCACCAACATGCCAAGCTAATTTTTTGTATTTTTTAGTAGAGATGGGGTCTCACGGTGTCAGCCAGGATGATCTTAATCTCCTGACCTCATGATCCACCCACCTCGGCCTCCCAAAGTGCTGGGATTACAACAGGCATGAGCCTCCGCGCCCGGCCTTTTTTGTTTGTTTTTGAGACAGTCTTGCTCCATTGCCCAGGCTGGAGTGCAGTGGCATGATCTCAGCTAACTGCCACCTCTGCCTCCTGTGTTCAAGCAGTTCTCCTGTCTCAGCCTCCTGAGTACCTGGGACTACAGGCACCTGCCAGCACGCTCGGCTAATTTTTATATTTTTAGTAGAGACGAGCTTTCACCTTGTTGGTCAGGCTGGTCTGGAACTCCTGACCTCAGGTGATTCACCTGCCTCACCCAGCCTCCCAAAGTGCTGGGATTACAGGCGTGAGCCACCATGCCTGACCTAAACCAAACTTTTATATGCGTTGGGAAACCAAAAAATCTGTGTGACTCACTTTATTGTGGTGTTTTGGAGCCAAACCCAAAATATCTCCAAGGGATGCCTGTACCATATGAGGTATCACAAAGTATTTGGTTTGCAAGATACGCCTTAAGATTCATTTTTGGCTCATATAAGCAACTAACATACTTGGCATAGAGTCTAATGTCCCTTGTCATATATGCTATTTTTAAATTTCTCATCTCAGGTTTCAGATTACAGAGAGTTGTAATTTTAATGTGATAAGATTTGAATTAAAGTTTGTTTGTTTGTTTGTTTGTTTTCCCTGATACGGAGTCTAACTCTGTCGCCAGGCTGGAGTGCAGTGGTGTGATCTCGGGTCACTGCAATGTCCGCCTCCCGGGTTCAAGCAGTTCCGGTCACTACGCCCAGCTAATTTTTGTATTTTTAGTAGAGATGGGGTTTCACTGTGTTGTCCAGGGTGGTCTCGAGCTCCTGACCTCGTGATCCGCCTGCCTGGGCCTCCCAAAGTGCTGGGATTACAAGCGTGAGCCACCACACCCGGCCAAAAGTTCTTTATATTTTATAACACTGGCTCATTCAGAGTATATATGAAAGTTTGTTTTGGGATGTTGCCCAGGTTTGATTATCATTAAAAATACTTTTATCTATGAAGAAAAAAAAACTTATAAAGAAAATGATTAACTTTCTCTTTGCTTCTTAGTCTGATGACCGGGATTCCAAGCGGGATTCCCTTGAGGAGGGGGAGCTGAGAGATCACCGCATGGAGATCACAATAAGGAACTCCCCGTATAGAAGAGAAGACTCTATGGAAGACAGGTGAGCGGATGTACAGATGTGCAAGACCCAGCTGTACACAGCCCTGGCCTGGCCGGTCCTTCCTAGGGTCGCTGTGACAACTGTGTGCTGTTGTAACTATTAAGGTTTACTCTTTCCTAGAGTTACTGTGACATAGCGTAACTATTGAGGTTTTTATGTCACAGTTGTGACTGACTCTCAAGTGTTGTCTGTGGCCCTCCAGACCCTTGCCCCTTCTTTCTGTAAAGAACTTTGCCATGTGTTACACTGATTAATAAAATATACTATATAGGATTTTGCACAGGCCAGGTGTGGTGGCTCACACTTGTAATCTCAGCACTTTCGGAGGCCAAGGCGGGCTGATCAGCTGAGGTCAGGAGTTCGAGACCAGTCTAGCCAACATGGTGAAACCCCGTCTTAAAAGGAAAAAAAGGCCGGGCGCGGTGGCTCACGCCTGTAATCCCAGCACTTTGGGAGGCCGAGGTGGGCGGATCACAAGGTCAGAAGATCAAGACCATCCTGGCTAACACAGTGAAACCCCGTCTCTACTAAAAATACAGAAAATTAGCCGGGCGTGGTGGCAGGCGCCTTTAGTCCCAGCTACTCGGGAGGCTGAGGCAAGAGAATGGCGTGAACCCAGGAGGTGGAGCTTGCAGTGAGACAAGATCATGTCACTGCACCCCAGCCTGGGCGACAGAGCAAGACCCCGCCTCTAAAAAAAAAAAAAGGAAAAAAAAGATTTTGCACAAATAAAGTAGAATGCTGAAAGATACCTGAGGAGGGCCGCTGATGAGAAATGTTCATATTGGCCGGACGCGGCAGCTCACGCCTGTAATCCCAGCACTTTGGGAGGCCGAGGCAGGCAGATCACTTCAGCCCAGGAGTTCAAGACCAGCCTGGGCAACACAGGGAGACCTCGTCTCTACACAAAATAAAAAAAAGAAGATGAGAAAAACTAAATGAGTTTTCCTGCCATAGCAGGTGCCCCTCATGGTCATCATCAGGGTTTTCAGGGCCTAGCTTCTAAGCACCCCTGACAGAGCCTAGAATAGAGACAAGGAAATGGATGAGACTGGGGTAACAGAGCAAGACCCTGTGTGGAAAAAAAGGAAATGTTCTTGTTGAGACCTGTGTGTTCCGACGTTTCTTCCTGTGCCATGAACTGTTTCTCGTTTGTTTTCTTCTCATATCTAGCTCGTATACGTCATCAGGTATTAGTAATTAAAGGAAACACAGCCAGAAATTACGGTATAATGGTTTTCCTGAGAAGCTTAAGGTGTGAATTTTCCCAGAATTTTGGTGATACAGAAATCAGCTGAAGATACTGTTAAATGACGCTTTGAGATTATGAAGATTGTTTTGTTGTTGTTGTTGTTGCTTTGACACAGAGTCTTACCCTGTCGCCCAGGCTGGAGTGCACTGGCATGATCTCGGCTCACTGCCACCTCCAGCTCCCGGGTTCAAGTGAGTCTCCTGCCTCAGACTCCTGAGTAGCTGGGATTACAGGCATGCGCCACCACGCTCGGGTGTGTGTGTGTGTGTGTGTGTGTGTGTGTGTGTGTGTATTTTTAGTAGAGACGGATTTCACTGTGTGGTCACACTGGTCTTGAACTCCTAACCTCAGGTGATCTACTTGCCTCAGCCTCCCAAAGTGCTGGGATTACTGGCGTGAGCCACTGCACCCAGCCAAAATTGTAGGATCTTTTAACAGATTTATTGGGGAATAAATAACATAAAATGAGCTGCCCTTGTTTAAATATGATGTGAATGGCTGGGTGCAGTAGCTCGCGCCTGTAATCCCAACACTTTGAGAGACTGAGGCAGGTGGATCACCTGAGGTCAGGAGTTCAAGATCAGCCTGGCCAACATGGTGAAAGCCCGTCTCTACTACAAATACAAAAATTAGCCTGGCATGGTAGTGTACACCTGTAGTCACAGCTACTCAGGAGGCTGAGGCAGGAGAATTGCTTGAACCTGGGAGGCAAAGGTTGCAATGAGCCAAGATTGTGCCTCTGCACTCTAGGCTGGGGGAAAGAGCGAGATTCTATCTGAAAAAAATAAAAATAAAGCTGGGTGCGGTGGCTCACACCTGTAATCCCAGCACTTTGGGAGGCCGAGGTGGGTGGATCATGATGTCACAAGTTTGAGACCAGCCTGACCAATATGGTGAAACCCCGTCTCTACTAAAAATAAAAAAATTAGCCGGGTGTGGTGGCGCATGCCTGTAATCCCAGCTACTCCTTAGGCAGAGGCAGGAGAATTGCTTGAACCTGGGACTGGAAGGGGAGGTTGCAATGAGCCGAGATCGTACCACTGCATTCCAGCCTGGGCAACAGAGCGAGACTCCGTCTCAAAAAAATAAATACAGGCCGGGCGCAGTGGCTCACGCCTGTAATCCCAGCACTTTGGGAGACCGAGGTGGGCGGATCATGAGGTCAGGAGACCAAGACCATCCTGGCTAACATGGTAAAACCCCGTCTCTACTAAAAATACAAAAATTAGCCAGCGTGGCGGCGGGCGCCTGTAGTCCCAGCTACTCGGGAGGCTGAGGCAAGAGAATGGCATGAACCCGGAGGGTGGAGATTGCAGTGAGCCGAGATCGTGCCACTATAGCCCGGGCAACAGAGCGAGACTGTCTAAAAAAAAGAAAAAAAGAAAAAAAAGATGCCTAAAGTTGGAGAATTAATGTAATTTTTTAAATGATGTTTCAGCTTTGTTCCTGTCTGAATCATGCATTTTTCTGGGTTGAAGAAACCTTATAATAGCCTGATGCTTCTTTGCACTTTCTCAAGCATGATGCAGTGCTGTTGTGTTTTATTTCAGAGGAGAAGAAGATGATTCTTTGGCCATCAAACCACCCCAGCAAATGTCTCGGAAAGAAAAAGCTCATCACAGAAAAGATGAAAAGAGAAAAGAGAAACGTAGGCATCGTAGCCATTCAGCAGAAGGGGGTACAGAAGCATTTACTTTCTTTGACATCATGTTCAAGTGTGGTTTCTTTCCTGTTCCTACTCTTCTGCCTTCCCCAGAGCACCACTGAAAAACCAGAGAAAGCAAACTCTAGCTGAAAGCATACGTGTGTCACAGACCGTTCAGAATGGCTATAGAGAGAATACTCTAGCTAAAAGCATGCGTGCGTCACAGACCGAAAACCAGAGAGAGCAAACTCTAGCTGAAAGCATGCGTGTGTCACAGACCGAAAACCAGAAAGAGCAAACTCTAGCTGAAAGCGTGCGTGTGTCACAGACCATTCAGAATGGCTATAGAGAGAATAGCTGAAAGCATGCATGTGTCACAGACCGTTCAGAAGGGCTATGAGAGCAAACTAACTAAAAGCATGCGTGTGTCACAGACCAAAAACCAGAGAGAGCAAACTCTAGCTGAAAGCACGCGTGTGTCACAGACCATTCAGAAGGGCTATACAGAGCAAACTCTAGCTAAAAGCATGTGTGTGTCACAGACTAAAAACCAGAGAGAGCAAACTCTAGCTGAAAGCATGCATGTGTCACAGACCATTCAGAAGGGCTATACAGAGCAAACTCTAGCTAAAAGCATGCGTGTGTCACAGACCAAAAACCAGAGAGAGCAAACTCTAGCTGAAAGCGTGCGTGTGTTACAGACCATTCAGAAGGGCTATAGAGAGAATACTCTATCTGAAAGCATGCGTGTGTCACAGACCATTCAGAGGGGCTATAGAGAGCAAACTCCAGCTGAAAGCATGCGTGTGTCACAGACCGTTCAGAAGGGCTATACAGAGCAAACTCTAGCTAAAAGCATGCATGTGTCCCAGACCGAAAACCAGAGAGAGCAAACTCCAGCTGAAAGCATGCGTGTGTCACAGACCATTCAGAAGGGCTATAGAGAGAGTACTCTAGCTGAAAGCGTGCATGTGTCACAGACCATTCAGAGGGGCTATAGAGTACTCTAGCTGAAAGCATGCGTGTGTCACAGACCGTTCAGAGGGGCTACAGAGAGCAAACTCCAGCTGAAAGCATGCGTGTATCACAGACCGAAAACCAGAGAGAGCAAACTCTAGCTGAAAGCGTGCGTGTGTCACAGACCATTCAGAATGGCTAGTCCATTTTTCCTCTGGGGTTTTCTCTCCCCCATTATATTGTTTGGAAGCAGTTTGTTTACATTTAAAATGACCTGAATTCAACAAGTATAGGAGAAAAACACACCCCAAAATGGGTATTTGCTCAAGTCCAAAGAATGGGTTTGGCTTGAGCAGTTTGATCTCGTACCAACATCAGGAGGTTCTTACGGGTGTTAGGAAAATTGGACCTGGAGCCCGATTGAAATGTCATGATTATAAATACACTTGATTAATTAATGTGGCTTCATTGCACAGTGGAGAAGCCCACTGATAGCAAAGCTTTGTTCTGTAGTCTTTGTGAAGAGTGATTTTTGTATTATAAAACTGATAATTATAGTTTATTCAGTATGGAAAAGTTTTAAAAGACGAATATTACAATTCTGCTCTTCTGTGATAGCAGAATTGTTTTTCTTTTTTCTTCTTTCTTCATAATTAGACGCTTACTGCAGATAGTTTTTTATTTTCAAAGTTTTTTATTTAACATAAAATCATGATTATTCGGCTGGGTGCAGTGGCCCAGGCCTGTAATCCCAGCACTTTGGAGGATCAATTGAGTCCGGGAGTTCAAGACCAGCCTGGCCAATATAGCGAGACCCTGTCTCTTTAAAAAAAAAAAAAAAAAAAAAAAAGGCCGGGCGCGGTGGCTCACAACTGTAAT
Source organism: Homo sapiens (assembly GCF_000001405.40). NCBI lineage: Eukaryota > Metazoa > Chordata > Mammalia > Primates > Hominidae > Homo > Homo sapiens. The sequence goes on along the minus strand of NC_000001.11, from coordinate 1,650,635 downwards.
CCCCACACTTTGGGAGGCCGAGGCCGGCAGATCACGAGGTCAGAACATCAAGACCATCCTGGCTAACATGGTGGAACCCCGTCTCTACTAAAAAGACAAAAAATTAGCCGGGCGTGGTGGCAGGCGCCTGTAGTACCAGCTACTCGGGAGGCTGAGGCAGGAGAATGGTGTGAACACGGGAGGCGGAGCTTGCAGTGAGCCGAGATTGCGCCACTGCACTCCAGCCTGGGCGACAGAGCAAGACTCCATCTCCAAAAAAAAAAAAGAAAAAAAAGAAAAATTAGGATTACTTAACGTTAACATCATTATTTAAATATTTATTTAAATATTTACTGTTCTTGATTTAATTTCTTTTTTTTTTTTTTTTGGGACGGAGTCTTGCTTGTCACCCAGGCTGGAGTACAGTGGCGCAATCTCAGCTCACTGCAAATTCCATCTCCTGGGTTCACGCTATTCTCCCGCCTCAGCCTCCCGAGTAGCTGGGACTACAGGTGCCCGCCACCACACCCAGCTAATTTTTTGTATTTTTAGTAGAGATGGGGTTTCACCGTGTTAGCCAGGATGGTCCCGATCTGACCTTGTGATCCGCCCACCTCGGCCTCCCAGAGTGCTGGAATTACAGGCGTGAGCCACCGCGCCCGGTCTTAATTTCAGTTTCACGTGGGTTTTTTTTTTTTTTTTGCCCAGGCTGTAGTGCAGTGGCGTGATCTCGGCTCACTGCAACCTCCGCCTCCCGGGTTCAAGCAATTCTTCTGCCTCAGCCTCGCTTAGTAGCTGGGATTACAGGTGCCTGCCACCACGCCCAGCTAATTTTTGTATTTTTAGTAGAGACGGGGTTTCACCATGTTGGCCAGGATGGCCTTGAACTCCTGACCTCAGGTGATCCGCCCGCCTCAGCCTCCCAAAGTGCTAGGATTACAGGCATAAGCCTCCGTGCCCGGCTTCATGTGAAATTTTTGAAGTGAGGTTTCTTTGCATGACACTTTATTTCTCATTAGGGAAGCATGCTAGAGTGAAAGAAAAAGAAAGAGAGCACGAACGTCGGAAACGGCATCGAGAAGAACAGGATAAAGCTCGCCGGGAATGGGAAAGACAGAAGAGAAGGGAGATGGCAAGGGAGCATTCCAGGAGAGAAAGGTGAGTCGGCTGGGTCAGTTGAGGACTTTATAAAAGGGCTGTGGTAGTGTGTCCCATCCTAGAAATGAAGAAGAATTTGGCAATAGAAGTCACATCTGAGCCAGGTGTGGTGGCTCACGCCTGTAATCCCAGCACTTTGGGAGGCCGAGGTGGGCGGATCATGAGGTGAGGAGATGGAGACCATCCTGGCTGACATGGTGAAACCCCGTCTCTACTAAAAAAATACAAAAAATTAGCTGGGCATGGTGGCGGGCACCTGTAGTCCCAGCTACTTGGGAGGCTGAGGCAGGAGAATGGCGTGAACCCGGAAGGTGGAGCTTGCATTGAGCTGAGATCCCGCCACTGCACTCCAGCCTGGGCGACAGAGCGAGACTCCGTCTCAAAAAAAAAAGAAGAAGTCACATTTGGTGCAGAAGTGGTAGACATGGAAACAGCACAGTGAACGCTGGACGAGGCTGACCAAGAGAACTGTCCTGAGGGAGTGAGTTTTCACTGCATCTGGAAGTAAGAACGGGTGTGATTTGATTGAGGGAAGACAATGAAGGGATCAGAAATCTGCATGTCCGGCCGGGCGCGGTGGCTCATGCCTGTAATCCTAGCACTTTAGGAGGCTGAGGTGGTTGGATCCCTTGAGCCTGGAGGTCAAGGCTGCAGTAAGCTATGACCATGCTATTGCACTCCAGCCTGGTTGACAGAGTGAGACTGTCTCAAAAAAAGGAGAAGGGAGATCCTAAAAACCTTGAAACAGTCTGGAATTCGGGACCCTGGACTCCCAGGACTCCTGGCCATTAGTTTATATATTCGTTCCCCTTTATGAGCCAGATTCCCAAGAAAGAACATCGGTGTAGCCCCAGATCTGTTCCGTGAACCAGGAAAAAGGCTGTAGGCCAGGTGGGAGCAGGCCCATCTCCGCCTTCAGAGTGAGTCCACAGAAAGCTTGCAAGCTGCTCCAGGAAGAGAGGAGTCTGAAGCGGAAGGGCAGCGATGTTTGCCAGCAGCCAGGGCTGGGTACACAGCATGTAAAGATGATGAGAGGGCGCTGGTTCTTGTTGATGCCGAAGGGTGTGGGAGACACTGAGGCCCAGGGGTCAAGGTCCGAGACCGCTGCGGGGTGAGCAAGGTTTCAGTTGGCCTAGTTCCTGTTAGTGTGTGAAACATTCATGTATGCCACACCCTGTGCCAGACATTGAGTGTGTCTTGTCCCACGAGAGTACAGCTTGGGATAGAAGTGGAGGTTGGTAGATGAAATTTGGGCTGTCATATTGATTTCCCAGAAGGTAAAGACAGGAGAGTGAATGAGCAAAAATTGTTGGGGGCAGACTTCTGGGTAGGGCCGATTCAGATCAGCCAATCCAGAACTGGGTATGGTAGCATATGCTACGTGGGAGGCTAAGGCCAGAGGACCGCATGACGCCAGCCTGGGCAACGTAGGGAGACCTTGTCTCTGACAAAAAGGAAACTGATAAGGATAATCTGAGAAGCACTGATGCTTGGAAAACTGCTGAGCTGTGGGTGAAAGCAGTAAGAATCTGACCTTCTGGCCTGAGAGCTGCTCCCTTTACTGCTTCCACTCTGCACTTGGGAAGCACGGAGGTTCCACTGGGACAGGGCAGCTGCAGGACCTGCAGTTTCCTTGCTGCCTTGGAAGGGGTTACTCCGTTTAGAGCAGTGGGCAGTGGCCTTGCCCACCAGCATCCTCAGTGGAGGGAGGAAGAAAAGGCCAAGAGGTCTGCTAGAATGAAGTACAGTGTGGTTGGGAGCAGCTGTGATCTCGCCAAAGACGTGCAGCAGAGACTGGAGAGAGCTCGAGCCGCCACCCACTTGTGACCAGCCCTGAGGATGCAGCTGCGTGAAAGGACCTGGCAGAAAATAGAAGCCGCCACAGATGCGAATGACGCGTGAACGTTCAGTGTGCTCCCTGTCCACACACAGCCGTGGGCCAAGGAAGCCTTACTGTGCTCGAGGTATTTGAGCCCAGCCTTTTTCCAGTGCTGGCTAATTGCTAAGCTGTGCAGCCATGGTGGTGACCCCTAGGAAGCCAAGGTTGAAAATTAAAATAGGCATGTGGGAAGGAACGGGGTGGCCACGAGCTGTGAGGGAGATGGATTTCACGGACAACCAGACAGGCCTCGGTGGTAACAACGAAAGGGAAAACTTAGAATCCAGAATTGCTACAAATGTATTATCTAAAATACAAAGAAGTATGACAGTGTGACCCATACTGAGGAAGAACATCATCAGTAAAAACTGTCTGAGTGTCCAGATGTTGAATTTAGTAAAGGCTTGGAAACAACTTGTGGATGGAGCAGTAGAAATTATCCATTCTGAAGAACAGAGAGAAAAAAACAAGAAAAATGCACAGAGCCTCAGAAACCCGTGGTACAACATCTGCTGTACCAAAGCACGTCGAATGGGGGTTCCAGGAGAGAGGAAAGATATTTGTTACAATAATGGTTAAAAACTTTCCAAATTTTAATTAAAAAATATGCACATTCAAGAGCACAGGAAGTTTGAACTAGAATAAATGCAAAGTCACATCATAGTCAAACTGGCAAAGGCCAAAGAGAAAATGTTGAAAGGCCTCAGAGAAGAATGACCCATCCCATGAAAGGGGAGCTTCAATACCGCCAGCCACTGACTTCTTAGAAACAATGGAGGCCAGAAGGCAGTGGAGTGGCATACTCAAGCTGCTCAGAGAGAAGAACCATCAGCCAGGAATCAAAACCGTTCTACACAAGTGAAAGGGAACGAACGACATTCCCTGAGAAGCAGAGACTGGTGGGATTCATTGTTGGCGAAACCTGCCTTAAAGGAAATACTAAAGGAAGACCTTCAAGTTGAATAGAAATGACACCAGACGGTAACTTGAATCCTCAGGAAGGAAGGACAGGCACTGCAGATAGCAAGTGTAGGTTGACGTCAATATCCTGTAACTATCTCTCCTCACATCTTAGGTTTTACTGGAACTACGATTGTATAAAATAATTACACTGTTGTCATGGTATGTGGCATAAATGGACTGCACAAAGAAGACAGGGAATAAAGCTGTGTTACAACAGTTTTATATTGTACTGGACTTGAGCTAGTATCATGAGGCATACGGTGATCCCTAGAGCAACCACTAAGAAAGTTGTTTTCTTAGTGTTTTAAAAAGTACAAATAAATTAAAATGGTATGCTAAACATATGTAATTTAAAATCAAAAAGGGAAGAATAAAAAAGACACAACAAAGCAAGGAAAGTAAATCCAACTGTACGTGTAATTATATGACATGTGAAAGGTCTCTGTGCCCCAAACAGACAGGGCAGATTATCAGATAGAAAAACAAGATCTAACTGTATGCTGTCTGCTAGAGAACAGGAAAAGACGCAGCGTACAAACATCAGCTGTCATAGGAGAGCTTGAATGGCTGTACTCATACCAGACAAAACAGATGTTAAGAAATATTAGAAACCAGCCTGGCCAACATGGTGAAACCCTGTCTCTACAAAAATCACCTGGGTGTGGTGGCGCACACCTGTAATCCCAGCTACTCGGGAGGCTCAGGTATGAGAATCACTTGAACTCGTGAGATGGAGGTTGCAGTGAGCCGAGATTGCGCCACTGCACTCCAGCCTGGGTGACAAACCAAGACCCTGTCTCAAAAAAAAGCTAGAAACAAGAAGGAGCAAGGACTTCACAGCCAGAAACAGGCCAATACAGCAGGAAGATACAGCAATGATACGTGTGAATGCATCTAACCACAGAGCCCAAAATCCATGAAGCAAACACCGATCGAATGGAAAGAAATGGATCATTTATTAATTAGAATTGGAAATGGCAGCTGGGCACGGTGGCTCGGGCCTGTAAACCCAGCACTTTGAAAAGCGGAGGCAGGCGGATCACGAGGTCAGGAGATTGAGACCATCCTGGCTAACATGGTGAAACCCTCGTCTCTACTAAAAATACAAAAATTAGCTGGGAGTACAGGGCGCACGCCTGTAATCCCAGCTACTCGGGAGGCTGAGGCAGGAGAATCGCTCGAACCCGGGAGGCGGAGGTTGCAGTGAGCCGAGATCGCGCCACCGCACTCCAGCCTGGGGGACAGATGAAGACTCCGTCTCAAAGAAAATAAAATAAAAAAATGAAAAAAAAACTTCACGGATTGAATTACGTAGAAAGCCAGTTTACAAATGTGGACAAAAACGCGATAAGCAAGCTTCTGTTTAGGGGGAATGATGGCGTGTGCCTCTTCAGGGACCGCTTGGAGCAGTTAGAAAGGAAGCGGGAGCGGGAGCGCAAGATGCGGGAGCAGCAGAAGGAGCAGCGGGAGCAGAAGGAGCGCGAGCGGCGGGCAGAGGAGCGGCGCAAGGAGCGGGAGGCCCGCAGGGAAGGTAGGCGGCGCGGTGGGCAGCTGTGCTCGGCGGGACGCGTGTCTGCTGCCCCCTGGTGCTGGGCACTTGCTGTCACAGGCGGGCGCTTGGTTCCGGTGCTTGCTTTTCGCCCCTGCCTTTTTTTTTTTTTTGGAGGCAGAGTTTTGCTCTTGTCCCCCAGGCTGGAGTGCGGTGGCGCGATCTCGGCTCACTGCACCCTCTGCCTCCCGGGTTCAAGTGATCCTCCTGCCTCAGCCTCCGGAGTAGCAGGGATTACAGGCACCCGCCACCATGTTCAGCTATTTTTTTATATTTTTAGTAGAGACAGGGTTTCACCGTGTTAGCCAGAATAGTCTCTTGATCTCTTGGCCTCGTGATCCACCCACCTCGGCCTCCCAAAGTGCTGCGATTACAGGCGTGAGCCACCGCGGCCGGCCAGTACGAGCTTTTATAGTCACCCACGTCCTCACCTTAATGGAGATCTTTATTTCTTCACCCAGCTTCCGGTTTCTGTCTCGCGTCCTTTCCTTACACCCCACACAACTCCCTGGAGCTTATTCTTCAAGGCAGGTCTAGGTCTAGTAGTAATGAACTCCCTCTGCTTTTGTTTATCTGAGAATATCCTCATTTCTCCCTCATCTTTGAAGGAAAGTTTGCTGGATACGTGGTTCTTGGTTGACAATTTTGTTGTTGTTGTTTTGAGACAGAGTCTTCTTCTGTTGCCCAGGCTGGAGTGCAGTGGAGCGATCATAGCTCACTGCAACCTCGAACTCCTGGGCACAAGTGATCTTCCCACCTCAGCCTCCCGCGTAGCTGGGACCTACAGGCGTAGCGTGTGCCACCACACCTGGCTCATTTTTCAGTAGAAACAAGGTGTCCCTGTATTGCCCAGGCTGGTCTTGAATTCCTGGGCTCAAGGAACCCTCATGCCTAGCTGACAGTTTTTCCTTTTCACTTGGACTATTTCAGCCCATTGTCTTCTGGCCTCCAAAGTTTCTGATGAGAAATCTGATGATCTTATAGAGGATCCCTTGGATGCTTTAATCTGATGACCTGATTGAGGATCCCTTGGATGCTTTGAAGATTCTCTTTGCCTTAGGCTTTCAACTGTTTAATAATGGGTTTTCCTGTGGGCCTCTTGACTTCATTCTACCTGGAGTTCACTGAGCCTCTCTAATGTTTATATTTACGGTTTTCATCCAATGTGGGGGTTTTGAGGAATTCTTCAGATACCCTCTCTGCTCCTCTCCTCCCTCCTGGGCTCCCACAGATCTGTTGGGGTCCCCGAGGCCGCTCAGCACTGCTCCCTTTTCTTCAGTCTCTTCTGCTTTCTTTTCCTCAGACGATGTGATTTTATTGTCTTCAGGCTCACCGATTATTTCTTCTGCCTGCTCACATCTGCCTGTGAGTTTCTGTTGTGAATATTTACTTTTTAGTGTCTATTGTGAGCATGTACTTATTAGCTCTGGAATTTCTCTCTGGTTTCTTGTTGGATCTTCTGTCTCTGTTGATATTTCCGTCGTGTTCACGCGTCATTTTCTTGACTTTCTCCACATCTTCCTTTCGTTCTCTGAGGAACTGAAGGTTAAGACAGTTCCCTAAAGTCTTTGGGACATCTACCGTCAGGTGATTTTCAGGAACCGTGTCTGTTGGCTTCTTTTTTTCCCCTCTGAATGGGACATACTGTCCTATTTCTTTGTTTCTCTTGTGTTTTTCTTAGTCAAAAAAATGGACATTTGATTCTCATGATGTGATTCTTCCTGGTCCCCACTCAAGGGTGTGCACTTGTTGTTTTGGTTGTGCTGGGCTGTGTCTGTGGGGTCGGCCTGTTGTGGAAACTCAGGGTCTTCACGGGTCTTTTCTGAGCCTGAGCCTTTTCCTGGTCACGTGCAGCCACTTTTTAACGTTCCCGTCAATACAGATGTTTTTAATGTTCTTGTCCTGAAGTGTCTGCCTCCTAAAGGGGGAATAGAGAGAAATGAAGGGGGCAACGGGGGACGTGGTGCTCATGCCCTGGAAGTACCTTCAGCTTGGGGGTGGCCGTGGCTGCTGCCTCTTCATGCCTCTGGGGTGGGACACGCAGTCATCACACTGACCTCGGGTGTGTGTGTCCGTCTGCCCACCTGGGTCCGGCGAGCTGCATGCAGGCTGCTGCCTGCCAGCGGGGAGTGAGGTGGGAGCCACTAATGTGCGAAGCGGTGACGTTGATTAATGAATCACAGTTTACTCTCCAAGATTCCCCCTGAAGTTGCAAACCTTCAGTAGACTCCAGAGCACCTCAGTAGTTGCACAGGCCTGATCCTGTGATGCAAGTGTTGTCTCGGTGGGGAGACTGATTCCCAGTGCTTCCTACTCCATCTTTCCAGAATCTTCTCCCGCCCCTTCCTTTTTGACCAGTGAAGATCAGTCTAGAAGGTCCACCTGGGTCCTCGGGCTCACGGCCTCCAGGTTGGAGCTTTTTCTCCCTGGGCTTCCTGGGAGACCTCTGGCCTCTGACCCCGATGCTGTCAGCACCCTGTGCACGCTGTGGGTGTGTCTGCCAGGTGCGGGTGTGGGAGACGAGGCAGCTGTGCCGGGTGGGGCCTTTTGAGGAAGGCAGTGCTGCTAGTGCCATCTCCCTCTCTGCCCTGCGCGCCAGTGTCTGCACATCACCGAACGATGAGAGAGGACTACAGCGACAAAGTGAAAGCCAGCCACTGGAGTCGCAGCCCGCCTCGGCCGCCGCGGGAGCGGTTCGAGTTGGGAGACGGCCGGAAGCCAGGTGAGGCCAGGCCGGCGCCTGCGCAGAAGCCAGCACAGTGTGAGTCTTTTCTGGGGGATGTTTGGCATAAGTGTGTAGGATTCATTTAAAGCCCAGCTAAGTAACCGCTTCAGAAGAAAGTGAGAGATGTGCTGGCTGAAGTCCTCTCGTGTCGTGAGAGGGACCGTGAGTGTCTGTGTGCGGCCAGGACACAGGACGTGTGTTTATCCGCTGGGACATTCGCCACTGGCCCCGTTAGAGAAGTGGCTTCCAGCGTCTCTGGATGAGCTGGTTTCCGACCAAGCAAAGTTAATCGTTACGTGAAAGGCACTAGTTTTGGGGTGGTGGTAGCTTGTTTGTTTAAAAACATTTCCCCAAATTCACCTTTATGGTTTATCTCATAAGTAAAAGAAGAGAAAATGGAAGAAAGGGACCTGCTGTCCGACTTACAGGACATCAGCGACAGCGAGAGGAAGACCAGCTCGGCCGAGTCCTCGTCAGGTACCTGGAACCGCCTGGCCAAGGCCTTGACCACTGCTGCCCAGGAAGGCCCAGGTTCACCCTCTGCTCTGCTGTCTTTCTACAGCGGAATCAGGCTCAGGTTCTGAGGAAGAAGAGGAGGAGGAGGAAGAGGAGGAGGAGGAAGGGAGCACCAGTGAAGAATCAGAGGAGGAGGAGGAGGAAGAGGAAGAGGAGGAGGAGGAGACCGGCAGCAACTCTGAGGAGGCATCAGAGCAGTCTGCCGGTGAGGCACCGCGACGACTATGTGAGGTGTTGTGACTTCACTATAGTGTTAGAAACCGCAGAGAAGTAGCTGGCGGGCGGGGGAGTTGAAACTCCCTTCTATCTAGGACTCTCTCGGGACACCTCCACATCGATTCTTTTTGTTTGTTTTTTTGAGATGGAATCTTGATCTGTTGCCCAGGCTGGAGTGCAGTGGCATGATCTCGGCTCACTGCAACCTCTGCCTCCCGGGTTCAAGTGATCCTCCCGCCTCAGCCTCCCAAGTAGCTGGGAGTACAGGTGTGCGCCAGCACGCCCGGATAATTTTTTTATTTTTAGTCGAGACGGGGTTTCACCACGTTGGCCAGGATGGTCTCGAACTCCTGACCTCAGGTGATCCACCCGCCTTGGCCTCCCAAAGCGCTGGGATTACAGGCGTGAGCCACCGCGCCCGGCCTGCATATCCATTCTTGGGAACACTTGTTGCTTAGCTGAAGCGGAGCCCGCATCCTGCCTGTGGCAGCACTCGCCCCGGTGCTGGTCTGAGCAGACGCCTCCTTTCTCTTGCAGAAGAAGTAAGTGAGGAAGAAATGAGTGAAGATGAAGAACGAGAAAATGAAAACCACCTCTTGGTTGGTAAGAACCTCCCTGGAGACAGAGCCCCCTCCTTGTCTGTCTCCGAGTGCAGCAGCCCTCTCCTAAGACAGCCGGTCCTGCGCAGCGTGGGGCACGCCAGGGTCTGGGAGGCCGCCTGATTCGTTGGCCGCTCCAGGCTGTGCCGGTGGGGCCCGCATTCCTCAGCGAGGCACAGTGCTGACCAAGGGCGTCCTGAGTGCCCAGCAGGGCCGAGGAGCTGGGAAGCCCAGGACCAGTTCCCCACAGGGGAGGCCCGTCAGATGGTGGCTCCGGGCCTGTCCCTGCAGAGCAGAGGCCTGGCCCAGCCTCCGACAGGCAGTGAGGTTATGTCCTCAGCCTGGTGGACGTGGATGTGGGCTTGTCCCCCACATGACACCCGACGCCTCCTCCCAGCTCAGCATCCGGGCTCTGTCTCAGCCGAGCCTGCCAGCACTCTTAGGCCTCGGTGCCCTGTGTCCAGGGGACGAGAGCCCAGCGCCAGCACCTCCCAGCGGGACACGGGGCAGCCCTGCCACGCGCTTGATGCCCCCGGGGCAGGAGGAGGTTCATGATCCTTGCTTACTCCTAGCTTCGTAATTAGGTTCAACTTTTCCAGTTCCAGAGTCACGGTTCGACCGAGATTCCGGGGAGAGTGAAGAAGCAGAGGAAGAAGTGGGTGAGGGAACGCCGCAGAGCAGCGCCCTGACAGAGGGCGACTATGTGCCCGACTCCCCTGCCCTGTCGCCCATCGAGCTCAAGCAGGAGCTGCCCAAGTACCTGCCGGCCCTGCAGGTCAGGCCCTCCCCTCGCCCCGGGCCACTGTCCGCATTGGCAGTCGGAGTTACCACAGGGGCTGAGCGAAGCCTGGCCCCCGTGTTGGCGTCTGTCGCCTCACAGGGCTGCTGGGCCCACTGGGGCAGTGACGGGCGGGCACAGCCACTGGCCCCTCATGCTTCTAGGTCCCGCCTCTTTCTCATGCTGGACGGAACTGGGTGGACAGGGAGCTGCCCGCAGGACTGCTCTGCGGCTTGAAAGGCAGCCTGGGCGTGCGGCCGCGCTGCTGTCACTGCTGCCCGAGTTGCGTCCTCCTCCGCACTGGAGAGCAGTGCCTTCCACTTGACCCCTGCGTGGGCGGGTTATGTAGGCACCAAGGCCTTGTTACCGGCATCTGTGCAGGGCTTGGATGGGGGAGCGGCTACGGGAGTCAGTGTAGATGTGTGACCAGAAGCCTTTTGCTTAGGCAGCTATCAATAAGGCAGGATATTGTTGGGAGCGATTTGGAAGGGACAAGCCTGAGAAGGTGCCAGTGGCCTCTGGGGCCTGGGAGACCGGCAGGGACTCGGCCCCCTCCTTGGTGCCTGTGGGCGGAGAGGTTCTCTCTGGCGCATGCAGCAGGCCTCTGTCGACTGCCCTATGCCTTGTGAGCGCCTCTGCCCCTTAGTGCTGCTGAGCGTAGGCGTCGGGCCACAGGCCACCCCGAGTACATGACATCCGGCCTGGGCACCGGCCCCAAGGTACACGGAGGGGTAGGTGCCCTGGCATGGGGCATCATGCTGCGCCTGGCAGGTAGGGCCCGTCCTCAGTGTCATCCTGGTACAAGCAGGGGACACATCCAGTTTGACAAAGAGACTCTTGGGATGGCTTTTTTTTTGGAGACTGGGTCTGTCTCTGTCACCCAGGCCGGAGTGGAGTGGCTTAATCATAGCTCACTGGAGCCTCCCCCTCCCAGGCTCAAACAATCCTCCCATTTCAGCCTCCTGAGTAGCTGGAACTACAGGCGCAAGCCACCATGCCTGGCTAATTTTTTTATTTTGTAGAAAGGAGTTTTGACCGGGCACAGTGGCTCACACCTGTAATCCCAGCACTTTTGGAGGCCGAGGCGGTGGGCGGATCAGAGGTCAGGAGTTCGAGACCAGCCTGGCCAATATGGTGAAATCCTGTCTCTACTAAAAATACAAAAATTAGCCTGGCGTGGTGGTGCGTACCTATACTCCCAGCTACTAGGGAGGCTGAGGCAGGAGAATCGCCTGAACCCAGGAGGTGGAGGTTGCAGTGAGCCGAGATCTCACCATTGCACTCCAGCCTGGGTGACAGAGCGAGACTCCGTCTCAAAAAAAAAAAAAAAAAAAAATAGAAAACAGAGTGTTGCTATGTTGGCCGGGCTGGTCTTGAACTCCTGGGCTCAAGCAGTCCTCCTGCCTTGCCCTCCCAAAGTGCTGGAATTACAGGCCTGAGCCCTTGCACCTGGCTGGGATGGCCTTTTGTTCACACTGGTTTTGTTTCATAATAAAGTGTCAGATGGTTTTGCAAGGAAAGAGACTTTGAAAGAACTGAGCTGCTCCCGGCTCCACCCCCGGCCCAGTCCCAAGGCTCTGCCCTGCACCTGCCCCGTGCCGGGTGTGCCGTGCCTGTGGACGCAGCCGCCCTCCCTCCAGCTGGCATGGCCACTGAGACCTCACACAGGCGCTTCCTTCCCAGGGCTGCCGGAGCGTCGAGGAGTTCCAGTGCCTGAACAGGATCGAGGAGGGCACCTATGGAGTGGTCTACAGAGCAAAAGACAAGAAAACAGGTGGGTGGGGTCCCCTCACCCCACAAAGGCAGGGGAAGTGGGGCAGGGGCTGGCTGCCCGAGAGCTGCGACTGCACCTGGGCCCGCCTCACCTGAGCAGCTACTGGAGGTTGGACCCCTCAGCACCTCTAGAAGCCAGAGGTCAGCCTGGCCCTGGGGCTTTGCCACTCCCTTGCAGTAGCAGGCGGCCTGCCCCACAGGGCCGAGGCCCAGCGCGTGGAGTGGTCTGTGCCGGGGCTGGTGTGCAGGTTTGCGTTCCCAGCGTCCCACCCAAGCAGGTGTGTGAGCCGGGAACTCTGTTGGGAGTCGGCCACTGGGATCCCAGGTGAGGCCGGCTCTGTTGGGGAAGTCGATGTGGAGTCGGCGTGGCCGCTGGGATCCCAGGTGGCTGTAGGTGGCTGTGAGTGTCTGTGGTGTGTTGAGTGGGAAGCCGTGGGTGTTGCCCAGACCTCAGCTGGGGCGTTCTCCTGGTGCCCACGTGCCCCCACCTAGAACGAGACCCCCCTCCGTGAAATGCTGGCGCTTTGGGCACTGCCTGCGGTCCTCACTGAACGAGTCCACTGTTGGTACCGTGACTTTGAGAATGCCTCTCAGTGCCGTCTGTATTTTCTTCACAGATGAAATTGTGGCTCTAAAGCGGCTGAAGATGGAGAAGGAGAAGGAGGGCTTCCCGATCACGTCGCTGAGGGAGATCAACACCATCCTCAAGGCCCAGCATCCCAACATCGTCACCGTTAGAGTGAGCATGGCCCCACCACGCCTGGCCCCGGGTGGAAGGCTTTTCTGACAGGGCCCCGTGCTGTCCTGGGGCCGGGTGCTTCCTACACTCTCCTGCACTTAGTGGAGCCCTTCACAGACCACACAGAAGCAAGCATTTGCCTCCCGGGTGGCACCGGAGGTCCTTACTGTCCCTCAGCAGCTGCACCCGGGTGCAGGGGTGGGTGGGGGCCTGGAGGTGCCCAGCACCCACAGAGCCGTGCCCTGCAGGAGATTGTGGTGGGCAGCAACATGGACAAGATCTACATCGTGATGAACTATGTGGAGCACGACCTCAAGAGCCTGATGGAGACCATGAAACAGCCCTTCCTGCCAGGTACAGCCGCGCCCCAGGGGCCTGTCTGCGTACAAGTGGGGGCAGGGTCCTGGTCACCCCCGCGGTGACAGTGCTGCAGGGAGGGCCAGCTGCATCCACAGGGAAAGCCCTGAGAAGCCTCTGTTGCTGCCGAGGCGAGTGGGCCACCCTGAGTGCCCTGGGCTGGGGGCAGCCAGGTCCACATGGGAGCTTCCCTCCCTCCCAGGGGAGGTGAAGACCCTGATGATCCAGCTGCTGCGTGGGGTGAAACACCTGCACGACAACTGGATCCTGCACCGTGACCTCAAGACGTCCAACCTGCTGCTGAGCCACGCCGGCATCCTCAAGGTGAGCCCCCCTCCGAGTGGCCCATCCCAGGGAGACCTGCCGGGGCCCACTCACAGCCGCCCATCTGTCGTTGCAGGTGGGTGACTTCGGGCTGGCGCGGGAGTACGGATCCCCTCTGAAGGCCTACACCCCGGTCGTGGTGACCCTGTGGTACCGCGCCCCAGAGCTGCTGCTTGGTGCCAAGGTGAGTCCTGGGCGTCTGAGTGCCTCCCCTGTCCCCCACGCAGCCTCCCACAGCTTCGCGGGCACTGGCCCTCCTGAACACCTCTCCTGACCTCTTAGGAATACTCCACGGCCGTGGACATGTGGTCAGTGGGTTGCATCTTCGGGGAGCTGCTGACTCAGAAGCCTCTGTTCCCCGGGAAGTCAGAAATCGATCAGATCAACAAGGTGTTCAAGGTGGGTCTGGCCCTGCTGCAGGTGCGCTGTGGGGTTGTGGAGGAGTTGCAGGAATGGGGCTGCGGGGCGCACAGGTGCTGGGTTGAGATGGGGACCAGGGCCACTGAGAGCCCTCCTGGTGGCTTGTCTTCTCTGACGGGACACAGGTGCCAACACTGTGGGCCACTTGGTGTGGCTGTTGAAGCACCTCTGTCTTTCAGGATCTGGGGACCCCTAGTGAGAAAATCTGGCCCGGCTACAGCGAGCTCCCAGCAGTCAAGAAGATGACCTTCAGCGAGCACCCCTACAACAACCTCCGCAAGCGCTTCGGGGCTCTGCTCTCAGACCAGGGCTTCGACCTCATGAACAAGTGAGCCCAGTGCAGCCGGGTGGCGGGAGGTCCCGAGCCATAGCGGTGACTTCCCAGTCCCAGGCCTACCTGCTGGCTCACCACGTTCCAGAACTGCTCTGGTGCCTGGCGTCCCATGCCCTGAGCCCCGTCCCAACACAGCCCATCTTTGGGGGACCCAGTGGAGCACACGAGCACCTCCTGGGCCTCTGGCCCTCTCCCCCCAGGTTCCTGACCTACTTCCCCGGGAGGAGGATCAGCGCTGAGGACGGCCTCAAGCATGAGTATTTCCGCGAGACCCCCCTCCCCATCGACCCCTCCATGTTCCCCACGTGGCCCGCCAAGAGCGAGCAGCAGCGTGTGAAGCGGGGCACCAGCCCGAGGCCCCCTGAGGGAGGCCTGGGCTACAGCCAGCTGGTGAGGGGCCTGGCGGGTGGGGCGTGCCCACAGGTGGGGCTGGCTTGGGCAGGGTTCTCACGGTAGCCGACTCGTCCCAGGGTGACGACGACCTGAAGGAGACGGGCTTCCACCTTACCACCACGAACCAGGGGGCCTCTGCCGCGGGCCCCGGCTTCAGCCTCAAGTTCTGAAGGTCAGAGTGGACCCCGTCATGGGGAGAACTCAGCCGGGACCACAGGCGTGGCTACTGCGGCTGGAGCTGCGATGAGACTCGGAACTCCTCGTCTTACTTTGTGCTCCATGTTTTGTTTTTGTATTTTGGTTTGTAAATTTGTAGAATTAAATCATTTTCCTTGTTGTGGAGGAAAGAGCTGTGTTTTCTCCGTGACTTGCCCAGGGCGGAGAGGGTGGACATCTTCGGGTGCCCACGTGGGGCAGCACAAACCTCCACACACCCTCTCCCACTCTCGACACGCACGGGGCTGGCTGGGCCGTGATTTGGAAAGGAACTGGTGGGAGCCGGGTGGATTGTTTAATCTTCGGAGCTGGAGACCTGTTTCTGTGTTGGGATGAGCGATGCCCTCTTGCCCCAACCCACTCGTCCAGACCAGCCCTGTCCACACAGGCCCCCGGCCCCCAACCCCCAGCCCCAGCTGTGCCAGCAGACTCGACAGGTTTTTATACAAGGTTGTTGAGTTTTAAAATGTATTAAAATATTCTTCGAGGAAAGCTCCCCGTGTCGTCCTTTGAGTGACCCGGGACCATGTGTGGGAGGGGAGTCGCAGACCACCGGGCTCTAGGGGAAGAGGGTGGGGTGGGCGGCTGTGGCCTCTGACCCCATGTGGGCCAGTGTCTTCCCCAGGCAGGAGGGGAGCTCCTACCTCCTGGGGGGCCTCCACTCTGGCAAGGTGGTCCCCCACCCTGTGCCAGTCCTCCCAGCCCCCACCCACATCTCCTTGCAGAAGATCCTGGAGGCCCATCCCAGCCACATCTTTCAGGAAGCCCCCTTTGCCTCCCTCCCCCAGCTCTGAGCAAGTCCTAGACAGAACCCAGGCTTCTGGGGCTACCCCAGGTGCTGCTCCACGTGCTGCCCCTGTCACTGGGGCCTCCGCTTATCCCACTTTCCCAGGGGCCACCTTAGCAAAGCCCGTCCCGTCCTGTGCTGTACCTGTTGTCCGCTGTGCGGGGAAGCAGGGGTGCCCAGCCCCGAGGACGCCCAGCTCTCGGTGGACCAGGGGCTGGGGTGTCCACCTGCCCAGACTGGCTGCCCGCTGCCCTCCCAAGAATGAGCGAGGAGCCATCAGAGAGAAAGTGCTTTATCAGCCGGGCTCAGCCCCGCACACGGACTCGCCAGGAGTAGGTGGTCAGCACGCGCTGCTGGCGGCGCACCACGCAGGTGTAGGTGCCCTCATTGACGGCGTTGGCGATGATGCTCAGGTGCGCCTCGCCCAGGGCCAGGTAGCCGGGGTAGGAGAACTCCAGGGGCTCCTGGTCCTTGTACCAGCTGCAGGGGGGCGGGGCGTCTCCTGCAGGCACAGCCCCCCCCCCGGCTGCCTGCCCCGCACCCCTGCCCCAAGGCCGCCCGCGGGCTGCCCACCCCGAGGACCGCCCGGGGCGCTCACTCACTACACTTTCCCTTTCTTGTGGAGGATCTTCTGGCCGCAGCGGAAGGTCACGTTCCTGCCCTCGGGCACCAGCCTGGTTTTGGTCCTGGGGGGCGGTGGGGTGGTGGCCACCGTGGGGAAGGGGAATTCTGCTCCGGGTGGGGGAAAGAGCCCCGTCAGTGCCCCCTCAGCCCCGACCATGGCCAAGGCCCAGCTCCCACGCAGCCCTGTCCCGGCCCCGTGGGCATCACCGTAGCAGAAGTCGCAGCTGCTGGGGCAGAGCCTCTTCATGAGCCGCCGGCGAGCGTCGCAGAAGCCCCTCCGCGCCCAGGACGCGCACACGAACAGCCTGTCGAGGCATCCTATCGGGAGCGTGGGGAGCACGGCCTGGCTCAGGACCGCCCGGTCCCCGCCCTCCCGCCCGACAAAGGGACTCACCGTAGAGCCGGTGCAGCCCCCACAGCTCGTCCTGGGACAACGCCTTCCAGCCGCGCAGCGTGGCGTTCAGGTGCATGAGCGCCCGGCCGTGTTGTGAGTGCATCAGGCCCAGCGCGTGGCCGATCTCGTGGGCCGCCACGTGCACCAGGTCCGTGAGCCACACGCCTGCGGGCCCCGGGGGTCAGCGCCTGGGAGCCCCGGGCCCAGCCCCGCCGCCCGTGGGCCAGCTCCCCGAGGCCCGGTGTATCTGCTGGAGCGCAGCCGCGGAGCCGCCCTCGGCCGCAGCCACGGAAAGATAAGAATGTTCTGGGCCCAGGCGGTGAGCTCGGCCCCCAGGAATGCAGCTCCAGCTCCCGCTCCAGAGGCGCAGGGGGATGGGAAAGGGAGTTCAGGGCTGCCGGGATGGGGGCTCCCACGGGCTCCCCTCCTTGCCTGCTAGACTCCAGTGGCAGCCACCACCCCGGAAGGTCCCTCCTGCCGTCTGCCCCAAAGCCCGACCGCGGCAGCCCACTGTGCTGCAGAGGAGAGGCCTCCAGGAGGCCAGCCTGGACGGTCACCTTTCTTCCAGCTGTAGCGCGTGGGGCCCAGGACCCAGTACTCGCTGTCGTCGAAGTGGATGCCGCCGTGCGGGGGGAAGAAGGCGTGGGCCAGCTCCCCCGTGGGGCCGTCGAAGCAGTGGTGCAGCGCGGAGACCAGGCAGTCCGTGTGGTTGATCGGGTAGAAGCCTGGGGGGAGCACGGGGCTGAGAGGCCGGGCGCGCAGGGCCGGGCCGGGGCGGGGGCGGGCGCCCACCTATCCGGAGGTCGCTGGGCTGCTCGGGGGCCACCTCGCGGAAGCTGAAGGGGGACACGTCGCTCCACATGCGGAAGGCGGCAGCTAGGGCCCGCCGCGTCTCCCGCGGGCTCAGCAGGTTCCGCGGGAAGGAGAGGATCCTGCAGGGAGAGTGAGCTCAGCGGGCGCCGGCCGCGCCCCCTCCCCCGGGGCCCAGCCAGGGCGCACCTGTAGGTGAGGTTGAAGTGGTCCCAGCGCAGCCTGGCTGGAGTCAGCGTGTAGCGGCGTCTGCGGGGGGCCAGTGGGCCCGGGACCCGGGTGGGGGGGACCGCCGAGAGGCCCAGCGCAGCGACGTCTCCCTTCAGGGAAGAAAGCGTGCGTGGGAGGCATCGGTGACGGTCCCCAGGACCAAAAACTGCCGCGGAAAATGGACTGGAAGGAAACGGGGGTGGGGGTGCCCAGGGCTGGGAGCGGGCGTGGCGGGTCCTGTCTGCCTGTGGTTTCGGGTCTCCTAACCTGAGCGCCCTGTTGCACGTCCCTGGGAACGCGGCCCAGTGGAGGGGAAGGGGCTGAACAGCAGGGCGAGGCCTCCCACCCCTCCCAACAACTGGACACAGGGGCGTCCAACCCTCCGACCTCGGGACGCACATCCGGACCCTCAAACACCCCGCACACCCCGCACACGTCCTGCGGGCCCCCCGATAGACCAGACCCACAGACGTGAGGACCCCCCCAACCCGGCACCTGGCCTCCCCCCCGCCGCTCACCTGCGCTGCGCTCCAGGCCGGCACCGCCGGGGCCCCCAGCCGGGCCAGCAGCACCAGCGCGGGGAGGAGGCACAGGGCGACCAGCGCGGCTCCAAGCCAGCGGCGCTCGACGCCTGCCCCCGGGGCCTCCGAGGGGACACGGGCCCCGCGGCCCATGGCAGACTTGCTGTGGGGCTCAGGGCTGCATGGGGCAGCAAGGCGCGGGGGCCCGGGCCGCAGAGCCTCCGGGGAGGATCCGGAGGGGAGGCAGTGGCTCGGCGGCTCGGGTTACAGCCCGGTGTGGTGGGGGGGAGGGAGACGGGGCGGGAGAGGGGGCAAGGCTGCCCCTGAAGGGAACCAGCTGGCCCGTCCGTTGGCCGAGCTGCCTGCTGTCTCCAGCCGGGGGCATGGGGACCCGCGTCCCGTGGGCCAGGGGCAGAGGCCTGGGCATGGCCTGCTGGGCGGGGTCCTCGGAGGGGGGAGCGAAGAGGGCCCCAGGCAGCCCGGGAAGGGCAGCGCCAGGGCTCCCGCTTAGGAAAGGGTAGCAGTGGGGGTCCCCAAGCCCCCACTGCTGGGCAGTGAGTGATCTGGTGGCTTTTTTCCCAAATGGAATCCTCAAAAAACCCCTGAGCCCCACATGAGCGGAGTCTCCATCCTGGCCCAGGCAGCTGAGCTGGGCCGCAGGAGACGCGTCGCTCGCCTGACAGTGTCCCCGAGAGCTGGGAGGGGATGGCCGGATGGGGACGTGGCAGTGAGTATGGGGCGGTGGAGGGGGAGGCGGGGAGGGGGTGCGTGGGTAGGCAAGGGCCGCGGAGGGTGCCAGGTTGCGGGGCGGAGGGAGGGAACTTGCCAGGGTCTCCCGGGGAGCCGGGAAGGGGCGGGCCCTGGCTGCGGGAAGCCCCGTGGAGGGTAGCGCGTGAGGTGGAGGGTGTGTGGCTCCTAAATCCCCGGCTAGGCCCCAGCAAAGGGGAGAGGGAGACGGGAGGGACGGGAAACGGAGCTAAGCGCCGGGCCTGGAGGTCTGGACCGGTCCTGATTGGGGGCGGGGGCGGGGAGCTCGGAGACCCAAAGGTTCGACGGGGCGGCCGGCGTCCAGGCGCGAGCGGCTCTGGGCTGGGACCGAGACCGGGCACCGGCGTCCCGCGGGGCGGGGGTGGGGGATTGGGCAGAGGAGCAGGAGATTCCGAGCCAGACCGGCCTGTGTCTGTCTCGTCCCTCCCCGTTTTCCGCGCCGGCGTCGGGCCCAGGGTGACGGCAGCCCGGCCAACGGGGTCAGCGCCAAGCAGCTGGCGGCGGCCGCGGGCGGTTCTTGGAAAGCGCGAGAGGCTGGGCCTGGCCGCCGTATTTGCTCCGACACCGCCCCCCGCCCCCCCAGCTCGTCACCCCGCCTGCGTGCGCCCGGCCCCCAGACCCTGCCTGGGACGCCCCCCAACTAACTCCCTGCTGGGACGGGACCCCACAGCCCTGGGGAGTGTCGGGCCCCTTGGATCAGAGCGCGAGTCCCCGCGGCCGCCCCCAGGACGGAAGAGCGAGGGGGGCCCGGGGGCAGACACAGGAGTCCCCGCCCCGTCGGACCCGGGCCTGGGGGGCGGGAGGCGGCCGTGCCCGCGCCTGGAGGGTGTCCTGGCCCGAAGGCCGCAGTCCGGGCGGGAGTCTGGACCCGAGAGCCTGGGGCGGGCGGGGCGGACCCAGGGAAGGGCCCCCCCCCCCTCGCCCCCAGGCTCGCCCGCGTGTCCCGAGGGGAGGACCCCAGAGGCGCCCGGTCCCCCAGGCAGACAGCAGAGGCAACGTCCGAGAATCTTTCTTTTTATAAAACACAGGGCGGGGGCACGCGAAGGCAGCTCGGGCGCGGCGGACGGCGCGGCTCACACGAAGATCTGGATGCGGTCGCGGATGGGCTGGCGGCAGATGGGGCAGGCGCTGAGCGCGGAGCCGCAGGGGGCGCATGCGCCGTGGCCGCACTGGAACACGAGGCGGATGTGGCTGTCGATGCAGATGGGGCAGGTGATGCGTTCCTCCATCTGCCGGTAGCGGCTCTGCAGCTCCTCCACCAGCTGGCGCGGCGGGCCGGGGGCGGGGGCGGCGCTCGCCACCTCAGAGCCGTCTGCGGGGTGGGGGACGGGTGTGAGCTGGGAGGCCGGGTGGGGGAATGCGGGGAGCAGGGAGCTGCGGGGGGGCGAGGCTGGGGGCGGGGTGTCACCTGGGACGGGTTGTGACCTGCAAGGGGGGCTGGCGGGGTGGGTGATTTGGAGGCAGAGGTGGGGCCCGGGTGCGGGCAGGAGGTGAGCCGTGGAAATCAGGCATAAGGTGGTGTGCGGGCTGGAGTCAGGGCTGCAGGTGGGCTGTGAGCTGGGCCGGGGTGTGATGGGGGGGCGGTGCTCTGGGTGGGCTGTGATCTGGGGTGGGGCTATGGAGGGAGTGTGATCTGGGAGGGGCCGTGAAATCCAGCGGGGCTGGGGTGTGATGGGGGAGGAGGGTGTTACCTTGAGGCGGGGCTGTGGGCCGGGTGTGATCTGGAGCAGGCGGGGCTGGGGGCTGGGGGCTGGGGGGCCGGGTGTGAGCCTTGGGAGGGCGGGGTGTAACCTGGGGAAGGGCCATGGGCGGAAGTGTGGGAGGGAAGGGGTGGGGGACGGGGACCCGCGGGCCACCAGCTGAGCAGGAGGCGTGTTGGGGGCGCAGAGCCTCACCCACCTGGGCGCAGTTTCTTGCTGACGACCACCTGGCACCTGATGCACTTCTTCATCCTGCGCGCGCACTCTGCGAAGAGGAGAGCGCGGTTGGCTGCGGCCCTACTAGCCGGGCCTCCCCACCCCGGGGCCCCCCACTCACCCTCACACACGGTGCGGTGCTGGCACGGCGAGAACAGCACCAGCAGCGCCAGCTCGGAGCACACCAGGCACTCAGCGGCCTCGGGCCCCGGCGCGGCGCCCACGTGCAGGTTCGTCACGGTGTTGGGGGTCCCGAGCGTTTGCCTGGGGCCCGGGGCCGCGCCCCCGCCCGCCTGCCGCTCCCTGCAGGGGGAGGAGGCGGCTTGAGAGGGGCCCGGAGGCCGCCGGACCCCATCCCCGCCGTCCACGGACTCACCGGAAGCGCTGGGCGCAGCCCTGAAGGGCCTTGAGCACGCGACCCTCGGCGGCCAGGTCCAGCGGGCTCCGACCGCGGTGGTTGGTGTAGCTCACGTCGGCGCCCTCCAGCGCCAGGAAGCAGGCGACCGCCGCGCCCACCGTCAGCTCCGCGCTGCCGGGGAGGCCCGAGGCCTGTAGCTGGGCGGCAGGACAGACGCCGGTGAGGGCGGGCGCCGGGGCAGGCCCGAGGGAGGCGTCTCCTGGCACCTGGCAGCCCCAGCAGCCGGCGCCCCATGTCTAAAATACAAGGCAAGGGCACCTCTTCCGGAACCCAAGTGGGACAGGCAGGAGGGGCGCCCTGCTAGGTGAGCTCTGAGACCCTAAGCTCCACCTCTCCCCATCCCATGGGCACCACCCCTTTCCCAGGCTGCCTAGGGGTGCAGGCTGAAGGATCACATAGAACTTGGCTCCCATCTGCTCCACCCCCAGAACGCCTGGCTCCCTGGGCCATCACTGGAGGGGAAGGTGGACAGTGGCACAGGCCCTGCCCAGAGCCTGCTGCCGGCGCCACCGCAGCCTCTCCAGCACCCCACGCCACACTTCCTCACCCTGGACAGCAGCTGCAAGGGCCCTGGGTCCCCCCCGGCCCCATCAGCCACCAGGGGCAGCAGCTGATGACGCTGCAGCGCCACGTGCAGGGCTGTGTCCCCCTCCTCGTCCTCGGCGTTGACACTGCACCCAGCGTCCACCAGTAGCGGCACCAGCCCCACGTGGGCCTGTTGCACGGCGAGATGCAGCGGGGACTGCAGCTTCCGGTTGCGCACGTTCACGTCACAGCGGCCCTGGGGAGGGGTGGGGACGGGCTCAGCCCAGGGACCCCAGTGGGCCTCCCGCTCCCCGGTCCTTGGGCAGGACTGGGCCGCGTCCGCACCTCCCGGATGAGGATCTGGGCCACCTCGCGGTGGTTGTTGAGGGCAGCCAGATGCAGCGCCGTGAAGCCGTCCTCCTTCTTGGCGTCCACCAGCTGCCGCGCCCGAGCCAGAATCTTTCTCACAGCTCTGTGGAGCAGGGAGGTTGGTCTGGGACCTGGGACTGCCCCCAGGCAGCACAGCAAGAGGCCGGCTGCAGCTGTGTGCCCACCCCACACTCACAGCGCGTGACCCTTGAGGGAGGCATGGTGCAGCAGGGTGAAACCCTGGCTGTTGGTGGCGGTAACATCGATGTTTGGCACCTCCGTGAGGACCTCGACAATGCCGCTGGCTCCAGTGCCCGCCGAGATGGCGGAGTGCAGGGGCGTGTCCGAGTGGGCGTCCTGCTGGGGCGGAGTCAGTGGTCACCTGGGGGTGACTTCTGCTTGGGTCAAGAGCCAGGGCACCCAGGGAGCAGCACTCACGGGCAGGGGGCACCCAGGCCAGGGAGCAGCACACATGGGCAGAGGGAACCCAGGCCAGGGACAAGCACTCACGGGCAGGGGGCACCCAGGCCAGGGAGCAGCACTCACGGGCAG
Source organism: Homo sapiens (assembly GCF_000001405.40). Taxonomy (NCBI): domain Eukaryota; kingdom Metazoa; phylum Chordata; class Mammalia; order Primates; family Hominidae; genus Homo; species Homo sapiens. Next base: position 1,627,823 of record NC_000001.11, on the reverse strand, counting down.
GTTGACGTCACAGCCGCGCTCACACAGGGCCCGCACCACCTCCAGGAAGCCCCTCTGCACGGCCACGTGCAGTGCTGTGCTCTGGGTGCTGTTGATGGCGTCCGCCCGGCACCCAGCACTCAGGAGCACCCTGGTGGCCTCGGGCTGGTTCCTGACAGGAGAGGAAGTGGGAGAGGGAGGGCGCCGGGCCCGGTGGCTGGACGCACAGGCTCAGCCCCGCCAGGCCCGACCCCAGGACGCACAGGCTCAGCCCCGCCGGGCCCCTCCCAGGCCTCACCCCAGGACGCACAGGCTCAGCCCCGCCGGCCGGGCCCCTCCCAGGCCTCACCCCAGGACGCACAGGCTCAGCCCCGCCGGCCGGGCCCCTCCCAGGCCTCACCCCAGGGCCGCGTAGTGCAGTGCCGTGTTGCCCTCGTCGTCCGGCAGGTCCACGCCCGCCCTGGCTTGTAGCAGCAGCCGTATCAACTCCACCTGGCCCAGGTAGGCAGCCACTTGCAGAGCGGTCCTGCCTTGGTTCTTGGTGTCCACCTGCCAAGAGTGCCAGCAGGTGAGTCCCTGGCCCTCTGCCCCTCACTCTCAGACTGGCCAGTATGGGAGGACGGGGTCAGGAGCTTGCCTGCTCTGGGCGCCTCCGCAGCAGGTCCAGAGCCCGGGCTGCGTTACCCAGCGCCACCTCCACCACCAGCCTTCCCGGGTGCTCTGGGTCACTCTTCTGGGCCCGAAGCTTGTCCAGGGCCACGCTCAGTGAGCCTGGGGGCAGGGCTGAGGTTAGTGGTGGCCAGGGGCAGCCCCACCTCCCACTGGCCGCCTGAGCTGTGCCGCACTTTTGTTCTCCCGGGCGCGCTCGGCCACGTCCAGGTTGGCATCCTCCTCGGGCCGGTAGGCCACCAGGCAGGAGGGGCTGAAGGTCCACCGCTGACCAGCGACTGCTACACGCAGGTTCCCGTCTCCAAACACTTTCACCACCTTCCCGACGCGGCCCAGGGCCTGCGGGGAGGGGAGGGGGTCACAGCAGGCTGCAGGTGTGGGGGGCAGCGGCGCTAGCGGCGGGGGTGGCAGGGGGACTCACAGGGGCCATGTCGTCCGTCCACTCGCCATGCCCAGCCTGCAGCCGCTTCACTGTGTCAAGGTCGCCGATGACCCGGACCACGTCGCCCACCCAGAAGGAGTGGTGCTGAGCGACAAAGAGGGGCGTGAGGGGCCCCCCAGCTGTGTGTGGCTGCCCAGGCTCATGCAACAGGAGGGCAACCTGCTGAGCTCCACGAGACAGGCAGGCCTGACTCGGCCCCGGCCCCGACCCCGACCCCAGGCACTGCCAGAGGCTCTGGCTGGACGAGAGCCCCAGGTGTCCAAGGCAGCCCTGGGTGTCCCTAGCCCCAGAGCCATGGGAGGAGTGTCCAGGCAGACAGAAGCCAGCTCTGGGCAGGTGTGAAGCCGAGGTGGCTGGCCCTGGGAAGCTGTACGCTGACCAGCAGCAGGCAACATGGCCAGGGCCCGTGAGCCAGCGTGGGGGTGGGGCCCCAGGACCATGGGGTGCAGGACGGGCCCACTCTGCCCCACCTGAGCCCTCATATGCAGGGAACTCACTCTACAAGCCCGTCTCATGACTCCCTTCGGCGCCTCCTCAAAGGTGCCTGGTATCCAGGACCCCAGATCCAGAGCTGAGCTCTGACGCTTTGCCCCGGGCCTGCCCCTCCCAGGGCCATCCAAGCTGCCACCGCCACCACCTCCAGCCCCCTCCCTGCCATCCTGCTTCCCAGGCAGCCCTCACTACCTCCCCCACCACTCTAGGCCAAGCATCCACCTCCCTGTCCTAACCAGCCACCCCCATCGGCCCCCATACAGCACTAACCAGGAGCATCTTAGCCCAGCCGCCTCCCTCCCGCCCACGAAGCTGTCCTGCCTTCCTGGTGTCCTGGAACAGAGGGAGGCCCTAACCTGCCCATTCCAGCTCCCAGAGACATACCCTCCTCTGGGTTCCTTCACACCCAACCCCCTCTTCTCCTTGACCCCACCCACCTCCACCCACCAGTCCCTCCCCTTCCTTCAGGGCTGGGGACTCGTGGGTGCAGCTGGCACCCTAGTCCTGCCTGACCCCCCAAGGCCAAGGGGGTACGTGGAAGGGGTTACAGAAGCAAGCAGATGAGGCGCAGCCCAGCCCCCCCGGCACCTTGGTGAGCGCCCCGGGGTGGAAGGTCCAGCGCGTCTCGTGGTTGAACTGCACGCGCACGTCCCCGCGGTCCGTGATACGATGCACGGTGCCCGTCTGTCCGATAAACTGTGGCGGGTCATGGAGCTGTGGCTGGGTCGGGCTGGACGCTTGGGGAGGAAGGGGCTGAGGGGGCGGAGGGCTGGGAGGGCAGGGCACACAGGGCTCCACGGCGGGGCGGCTCACCTCCGCCATCCTGGGGTTCCAGCCGCCGTGGCCTTCCTGCATCTCCCGCAGGACATCAGTGTCCAGCAGACACTTGACCTTGTCCCCGTGCTGGAAGGGCTGGCTGTCAGCACTCACCCTGCGCTGCAGCTCCGCCGGCTTGCCTGCGGAGGGTGGCAGACCAGGCCTCAGGCAGCGGCCCCTCCCCTCTGGGACTTCAGCCAAGGCAGGAGGGCTGATGGAGTCAGTGTGACAGCCTCATACCGAGCCTTGGGAGGTGGTCCTTGTAGTAGAAGCCGCCCGCTGCCTCGCCCACACACTTGAGGTCCACCTTGCCCTTGTGGCCCACACGGTACACATTGGTGGTACCATCAGCCCACGTCACGCTGGCCACACTCCGGCCTGTCTCCACATCCCAGCCACGGATGTCCACCACACGGCCCGGTTTCCCTTCCCCTCCTGGGGAAAGAGGCCCCCCCAGCAGGCTAAGGCTGAGCCATGAGCCAGCCACAGCCCAGCCCTGACCCCGCCCCTCTGCCTCCACTCACCATCCTGTGAGCCCCACTCCCAGTCGGGGCCTCGCACCACCTTCGCTCCCTGGAAGATGCCCCTTAGTGGGATCCTCGGGAGGCCCTGGCGGGGACTCAGTGTGACACTGCAAGAGGGTTCACAAATAAAGCTCTCAGAAGAAAACCGCCATCTCTTCCCATCTTGAGCCACTTGGGAGAGCGATGCAGTGGAGCAGGCCCCCTGTCCACCCAGCCTGCTGGGCTCCGCAGCCCCAGCTCTTGCCCGGGAATGGCCGGTCCAGCAGGTCAGCATCCTCCACACGCTGTGAGGAAATGCCCCTGGGCTCAGGGGCCTGGAGCGAACCTGCGGACCACGTTCCTCCAGGGACTTCCCTGATGCCAGGCTGGGAAGGCACCCGGGCCCACCCTCGGCAAGACCTCTGGGTGCGGTCGCTTCATGCCTGCTGCCTCCCAGTGAGCTGGGGCACAGCCAGGCCCAGAGGTGGGCTCAGCATGTGGGAAGGGAGGAATGAGGAAAGCAGGCCTGGCCAACAGCACTCCCAAGACAACCACACCTCCCTCCACGTGCAGGGAGGGCCAGAGACAAAGGTGACAAATGCAGGGGACGGGGTGGCACCTCTGGCTGTCCTTGCCCCAAGCAGGCTAGATTCTCCCCGAGCTGATGCCCTCGGACCAGAGCGCAGCAGCCTCCAAGACAGCCCAGGTGCTGGCTCCGGGTATGGGCTGTCCTCCTGGAGGTCTCATGCCGCCCTGGGGGATGCTGGCTGCCTGATGGCCACTGCTGCCTGTAGAGCCACCCAGAGGCCACCCTCTGTGCCCTGCCCATGGCACCACTGCTTAAGGCCACGGCTCTGGAGAGACTTGCTCCGTCTTCCTGGGAGCGGTCAGGAGGCAGCACCCTCCCCGAAGGCCAAGGCCCCAGTGGCAAGGCCTGGGTACCCGCCGCACAGGAGCCGGTGCGGCCCGGGACTCACGGGCGCGAGTGAGCGGTCTCGTAGCGGTCGAAGGCGTGGGCGAGCTCATGCTTGTTGTGCATGTAGCACTGCGTGCAGAGGTCGTAGTCCAGGCACACACGGCACTTCCAGCGCATCCCCCGCAGCCCGTGCTTCTTGCAGCAGTCACAGATGATGTTGGGGTGCCGGACGCCTGGGGGTGGGGTGGGGTCAGAGGGGCGTTCCCGCCCCCGGGTCCTGCCCGTCCCGCCTGCCCTTGGCGCGCACCGATCTGGGCGTTGTCGTACAGCAGCAGGTCGTGCGCGCCCTGGTAGCCGGCGCGGTAGTTGGTGCGCGTGCCCTGGTCCCACTGCACGACCACTGTGCGGTCGGGTGTCGAGGGGCTGCCGTGGCGGCCAAGCTCCACCACCGTGCCCACGCCGCCCTCGCCGCCGTCCTGCTGGCCCCACTTCCAGTCCACGCCGCGCACCACCCGCATGCCCACCTGCACGCCCGCCTGGGGGTCTGGGTCCATGTTGGGCGGGGCTGCTCGGGACCTGTGGGCAGAGGGGTCCATGGTGGGCCGGGCTGCTCGGGACCTGTGGGCAGAGGGTATTCTCAGGCCACCATGGGACACTCCCGGTCAGAGTGGGCTCCGCGGGAGAGCAGAGAGGCCCAACGGGGCAGGCAGGCTGGTTCAAGCCCTAGGGCCCAAGGAGGCCCGCAGTCTGGCACCAGGGAGGCCGGTGGGAAAGGCGGGCGCCGTGCCAGCCTGGCGCGGGAACTGCAGGGTGGTCTGGGCCCAGGGATCAGGGAGCCTGGCCCCGGGGGCTTCATGAAAGGTTCACAAATAACGCTCTCGGAAGAAAACCACCATCTCTTCCCACAGCCAATTAATGAGCTGGACACTGGACTTCACTAAAGTAAGAGCTGCCGTCCCCCGAGACACTCACATGGTTGGACGGGCAGTGGCAAGTGAGCAGACACCGTGACACGCGTCCCTCAGAGGACTCGTGTCCACACAGGGCGAGGAACTCCTATGATCCACACGAAAACGTCAGACAACCCAACAGAAAAACGGCAAACACGATGCAGGCGCCGTACAAGACCAGCAGGCATCGGCCAGCGGGACCAGGAGGCATCTGTCCCCAGACACTGCTCCTGGGGGACACCAGCTTTGGGCCCTGCACGTCAGGGACAGTGCAGCGAGGCCACACAGCACCACAGAGCCTTCTCTGGAAAAGTGGCCCTGGCCACGCAAGGCACTCACGACAGAGGCCGGATACTCGAGCAGAGGCAGGTTCCTGGGTCCTCAGTGGCCACGGGGTCCTGAAGCGGGGCTGAGTCCCAACCAAGCAGGGACCCACTCGCCACACAGAGCACAAGCCAGAGCTCACCAGCAGATGGAGGGAAGTAGCCAAGTGCAAACGCCATGCCAGGCGGCTCCGTTTATACAAAGGTGCAAATCCAGGCTGCCGGAGGCAGGGATGGAGTCAGCCACAGGGCTCGAGGCCCAGGACTGCTAATCCCCAGTCTGGGCGCTGACCCCCGAGAGCTCACTCTGCAGACGTGAGTCACCGTGGGCTGCCTCTCTCCACCATGCTGGGCTTCAGCACAGTCTCGTTAACAAGAAGAATGGATGTGAACATTAAGAGGGAAAATCAGAAGGTGGAGGCTACAGCTGGCTGTGATCGCACCACTACACTCCAGCCTGGCGGGGAGGGGAGGGCCACCACTCAATTTTCATTAAACCACTAGGACCCCATGGCCAGGGAAGGAGGCAGCCCAGGAACACTGCCTGAAGCAGAGGTGGGGGACACGGCAGTCCCAGGAGGCTGGAGGGACCCCTGAGACTGGGTGGATGTGGCTGAGGATGGGAGGGGGCCCTGCCAACTCCAGGACACAGGCCAGCCTGGGCCTCACAGGCCAGCCCTCCACCTGGGCAGCACTGCAACCCAGTGCTTTGCATCTCAGGCCAGTTCAGGAGACACCCTGGCCCGGGAGAGGCTGCAGGTGAGCAGTGAGGAGGGGCCACAGCAAAGCCCCCGACTCCTGCTCTGACTCAGGGGCCTGAGCCCCACAGGTTGTCCCCCGAGCAAGGCCCGGTGAGGAGCCCAGCCCCACTCCGGAGACTGAGTCCAGTGCAGAGGCTCTGCCTGCAGGGCTGGGCTCCCGATCCGTGCCCCCGATCCGTGCCCCGGCTGCGAGTTGGAGCACAGGACTCCCTCTAATTCTCAGGGGCACAAACTTCCTGGCCAGCTTGGCCTCTCCAATGCTCCCTCCTCACCCTGCCCAGGACCGCGAGAGCTTCCACAGGAATGGGTGGATGTTTTACAAGCACAGCTCTCCCTGTCAGTGACTAAGAGGAGCCCCCACCCAGCAGCCGGGCTCTGCTTCTTCAGGGAAACCCCACATGGCCTCATCTGTCCAGAGGCCTCACCTGTCGGGTGACGCTGCCTCCCTCACCTGTCGGGTGACGCTGCCGAGATGTGCACCAAGGCCTGGGCCAGGGCAGGCTCCAGCACCGGGGCTTCCTTTTCCTGTGGCACCAGTGAGCCCCAGACAAGGAGAGGGGTCCCGTGGGCAGCTCCACAGCCATCAGGGAAGGCAGCTGGCTCTGCCCTCCCCACGGCCTCCTGCAGCCTCCCGGCTGGGCCTCCGCATGAGCGGCTTCCACAGCCGGCAGCCAGAGAAACCCCACCTTGCCCTCGGAGGCCCCGCGGAGCCAGGAGCCCACCCACCACCCAGGGTGACCCACAGGCCCTCCCCATGGGCCCCTGTGGCACTATTCCCCTCGCGGGGCCTCTGAGGGCAGCCCCCAGGTGGTGCACTGCTGCGTCCTGTTTGGCCAGGACCCCACCAGCTTCAGCTTTGACTGAATGGCTGCATGAATGAAACATAAGAACCAGAGAGAATCTGTGCCAGGCTTCTGTGACAGCGGCAGCCCCTGTGTCCCGAGGACCCGCCCAGCACAGGCCGCTTCTAGCCATCCCAGCGCTGACTGCGCCTCACCCAGAGCATGTCCAGGTGGACACAGTTCCACCGGCCAGCCCAGCTCCATGGCCCCACCTGGGTCATGACACTTGACTCTCCAGATCTCTGCAGACCCTCCCATCCCCACTGGGGGCTGTCTTGGAGGGAGGTCACTCCCTCCTGCCCCAGCAGCTCCCCACTGCCTGCTCTGCCACCAGCTGGGGGGCAGGCTCTGCAGGGTTCCTGCTCCCAGGATCCACAAACTGACCTCAGCTTTTGCCCATGGAGCACCCAAGAAGGGTGAGGCATGGCCTGGGCTGAGCTCCCCCACTCCAGCCTCCTCTACACAGGGACCTTCGCCACAGAATGGCACAGGCCGGGGAGGCCGACGCAGCAGTCTGCTGGCGGGGGGACAAGTGAGAGGGGCACTGCTCCTTAGGGTTGCAGACCCCACCCCCTGCCAGGCCGTCCACCTCCACCAGATCCACACGCAACCTCCTCCTTGCCAGGATCCCACCAGAATCGGCCACAGCTGGAATCACACTAAGCCGGGGACTCCTCCCTGCCAAACACCTCCACTTAGCCAGAGCAGGGCTCATCACAGGCAGCCGCAGAACCGACTGGAGGTCTTTGCTAGTAGGGGACACGCATCTGCCGACCCCCGAGATGGGCCCGGCAATGGAGATGAAGGACTTGGGACCGCAAAAAAGCCAATGCCATGAGCCCACACTGTGATCCTTCTGCAGCAGGGGGCGCCTTCTGTCTCTGCGCCCAGACTCTCAGCCACAGCCAGCTTAGCCCAGGCCAGCGGCCACACCTGCCCGACCCGCTGGCCATATGCCATTGGACCTTTCCAAAAAGACAGGGGCAGGGTGCCCCATGTGTGAGCCAATGTGTCCTGTGCTTTGGCAAATCTTGCCCTTGGGGGGATGGGCAGAGGGCAGAGATGTCGGGGAGGTCACCAGCAGGGCCTCTGGGAATCAAGACCAAGCCTTGGCGGCCCCCGCGTCACAGGGGCAGTGGGGTGGAGTGCCAAGGCCATCAGCCTGAGACAGGGTAGCCTGTGCCCCAGACTGGCACCTGTCTGCAGCATGCCCGGTATTTTTAGCACAGCCAGGCAGCTCTCCAGCCCTGGCCCACAAACCCCCACCCTCCCAGAGGCTGTCCCTCATGGAAGCCCACCTGAGTTGGGGCACAACTGGGCTGAACACAGGCAGGGCTTCCTCCCTGGCCTCACTTCTTGTGCCTGGAACCAGCCCCCCACTTGCTGAGGGCTGCCCCAACAAGGGGGACGAGCCTGGACAGGGGAGCTGGGTGCGCCCACCCACTCCCACCTCTCCCCGGGGGCTGGGATGTGAGCACACAGGGGCCTGTAGACCCGGCGCCTCCTCAAGGCCTCCCCTGCAGGGCCCCCACCCCAAGGGTCTGGGGTCTGTCCCACTTCCAAGGCAGTCCCTTCTGTCCAGCATGGCACTGCCCTGGAGTGGCCGCCTCATCTGAGCGGGGTCTCCAGCCATGCCTGCCCGCCTGCCAACCCTTCTGCGGTGCCAGTGTGCAGACAGACCACATGCGCGTGGATCCCAGGCTCAGGAGCTCAGTATCCTGGACCCTCTGGAGGGGCCAGCAGTTTTGGTTTTTTTGAGACGTAATCTCGCTCTGTCGCCCAGGCTGGAGCGCAGTGGCGCAATCTCAGCTCACTGCAAGCTCCGCCTCCCAAGTTCACGCCATTCTCCTACCTCAGCCTCCCGAGTAGCTGGGACTACAGGCGTCTGCCACCACACCTGGCTCATTTTTTCTATTTTTTAGTAGAGACGGGGGTTTCACCGTGTTAGCCAGGATGGTCTCGATCTCCTGACCTCGTGATCCGCCCGCCTCGGCCTCCCAAAGTGCTGGGATTCCAGGTGTGAGCCACTGTGCCCGGCCGCCAGCAGCTTTTGAGGCTCTGCCGCCTTTCTCCTCAGCTCCTTCCTGCAGCTGCCTGCCTGGCTTTCTCACCATTGCCCCAGGGCCAGCAGTCACCCAAGACCTGCCACTGGGCTCCTGGCACCCTGGCCCCAGGGCTCAGTACCTGCCTCCGAAGGCCTCTCTAGGGGGTGTTTGTGGTGGGGGCAGGAGGCAGTAATGAGACCCCCACAGGCAGGGAGGAGGGGCACCCCGCCAGGACCCAGCACTTGTATCCCTTGGTCTCTTCTCAAAGGGGACAGAGTGCACCTGCTTAGGGGCGGGAGGATCCAGCCCAGCATCGAGGGGCCTGCCCCATTCCCATTGTTCATGAGAGGTGGGGGCTGTGGGGTCGCACAAGCAGCCTGCCCATGTCAGAGGGAAGCTTGTGGACAAAAGGGCTCATCCCTTGGGCTTCCCTGACCATCCTGTCCTCCTGGGGCCATGGGACAGGTTCTGGGCTGGGTCTGGGTCAAGCTGACCCCGAGGGTACTGGCCACAGGACCCATCCCCTGGGCAGGCCTGGGAGCAGGTGATGTGGGGCTGGCGCTTGGCACACCCGCTGCAGACCTCAGGTGAGGACTTCCTGGAGGCAGGTGAGGAACACCAGATTAGGGGTAGGAGTGGGGTGGGCAGCCTGGAAATCAAGCCCTCTAGGACAGATGTTCCCCCAAGGGCCCCTCACTCCCTCTGCCTCCACCCTGGACCTGTCCAGCATCCATTCCTTCCTGGAGAGCAGGAGGCCTCTGGGTTGCCCCCTCCTATTTTTCTGTTCTACACCCACAAGGCTCCAGGTGCAGAGGAGGGGACCCGTGGGACCTGATCACCCTGATCACCTGCCCACAGCGGGTGAGCTCTGGGCCAGAGGCTGCTATGGGAAGTGCAGATGTCCAAGGCTAGCCCTGCCCTCACACCAACCTGGCCAAGGTTTCCCAGAAAGACAAACCAGAGACAGCCACAGCCACAGCCCAGCACTGGTGGAGGGGCTCCAGGGAGCAGACCAGCAGACCAGAGCTGTGGCCACGCAGCCCCTGGTGTACATCGTGGCGTACATGGCTGTGGCCACTCCTGCTCCTCCTCTTGGAAACATACAGCCCAGGCTTCCGCTTCAGGATGCTGCCCCACAATGGGTATCTTCATCTCAGTCAGAAATTTACTCAGAGAGTTACCAAATGTTTTTTCCTTTGCCAGAAATGCTAGACTTTGCCATCTACCCACAGTTCACAGGCTGTGCCCCTGGCTGGCATCTGAACCCCGCTGCAGGCAACTGCTCCCGATGTTTAAAATGATGGAGGCAGTCAGGGTGTGAAGACTCGGGCGACAGATCGACAGATGTGCTTTGGCAAATCGGAACTTACCTCAGAGCACACACCAGCCTCGAGGCAGCGTCCCAGGCATTTAATTGCTACTTCCTGGGTCACAGATTCGCTCGGCTACCAGGCTTTCCTGTTGGAAGCTAAAGCCACTGGAGACACAACACAGCAAACCAGACGGGCAGCCAGCAAGCCAGGCTGGAGAAAATGGTTTCTAAAGGCAGTGTCACACATTTAGCATTTACCGTCTTAACCACGCAAGCAGACACCGGGTCTGTTCTATTGCTGCTTAGTTTCTCTTTTTCACAAGAAACTGCAAGCTCTCAGAGGGCAGGAGGACTTCCGAACCATCAGTCAGGAGAGTGTAGGAGGAGAGAGTTCCCTTATTGCAAGTATTTTATCGGAGAAGCTTTAAAAGCCATAGAAACCAAATCCTATTTAGCGAGAAAGTTAGCAAATTGCCTTTATTCAGAAGAAGCAAGTTACATGGAACTGGACATGAGGCTGCCCTCCTCCTTGCACCTCCAGCTGTGCCTAATGACACCGAAATGCCGCTGTGTGTGGCACGCCACAGGCCATGGAGTAGCTCCAGCTAACGCAGATGGACATCCCAGGTGCCCCAGGGAGATCAGGCCCACGGAGTGGGATGAAGCCCTGAGGCGGGGAGGCCAGCATGGAGACACCTGCTGAGGGAAAGCCCACGAGCGCTGCGGCCACCTCCAATCCTGCCCATCTGGGTGGAGACCTACAGGCACCCTGCAGGCTGGGGTGTCATCCCACTCACCGCCCAGGGCTGCCCTCGGCCAGGAGAGCGCCACATTCAGACACTTGTTGCATGTGAGGCAACAGGCCAGGGTGGAACCGGACAAAGGGGGCCTCCCGGGAAGGGCCAGGCTTGCCGGCGCTCCTGCGCTGCGGCCGCTCTGCCCCAATCCTGCAGGTGCCTATCAGAGGCCTGTCTGGCACCTCTGCTTTCTTCCTCCATGGGTTCCGAACTCAGAGAGGAGACGCGGGATTACTCACCACTCCCCTCCACTCGCATGCATGCTCAGACACAAACACAGCCTCTCTGACGTGGCTTCCACGGAGCCCCAAAGTGGGAGAGCCAAGTGCAAACTATCAGGCCGCGGACGATCAAGAGCTCACCTGTCCGGCCGTCCAGTCGCCCGCCGGGCCGCCTTGAGGCTCCTGGGCTGCAGCCCTGATGCCTGGAAACTTTGGGACTGGCCTCTAGCCTCGCTGGGCTTCCAACCCTGTGGCCGAGGGGAGATGCCAAGATGCACAGTTAGCACCTCGACCCGCGGCTCGGTCGCCTGTCTGCCCCCGGGGCTGCCCGCCGGCTCCAGGTCCACTCGGGCCCACGGCCGCGACACTCAGGGCCGCCGCCTGCCCGGATGGGCTCCCTGGGGTCTGAGCGCGCAGGAGCCGCCAGCGCCGGGCCCGTAATTGCGTGCGCCCGGGGTCTGGCGGCCGCGGCTCGCAGACGTCAGGAGGCTCCGGGACGCGCACGGGCGCCGGCGCAGGGGAACGGGCGGGCCAGGGGCGGGCACGGCGGGCACCCCCACCCGGAGCGCGCCCCGCCCCCTGTCATTCGTGCCCGTGGCTCGCGGAGGCCGCCCGGCCCTGTCCGCTGCCAGACCTTGCCAGGGCCGCGCAGTACCTGCCGACCCCAACTTGCCCGGACGTTTCCGTCCCGCCCGCTCCGCTCGGGGGCGCGGGACCGCCGGCCAGTCCGTCTGTCGGTCTGTCCCGGCGTTCGAGGCCACCCACCGGCCCCGACTGCTCAGCGGCGGCCAGGCCAGGCCAGAGCGCCTGCCGCGCGCCGCAGCCCACCCGGCCCGGACGACGACCCCAGCGCCGACCCCAGCGCCGCTGGCCCCGGGCCGCGCGAGGCCTGCCGGGAGCTGGAGTCCCGCGCGGGTGGCCGGACCACAACTCCCAGGAGGCCCCGCGGCGGCGCTGCGCGCGCAGCCCCAGCCCATCCCGTGCGGACCCTACGCCGAGTCCAGCCCGGGGCTGCTGGGCCAGCGGGAGCGGGAACCGGACGGCGCTCGCGTTCTGCCAGAGCGGAGAACGACTCGGGGACGGTGCGGAGGACCAGGGGAGGAGATCCGCGCCCGCACGCACCATCAGCCGAGAGGACGGCCCGCATCGCGCCAGTGACCTAGGAGCGACTCGGGGACGGCTTCGGGCTCCCAGGCCCTCCTGGGCCACCGGGCACTGAGGAGAGCGGCGGCTGGAAACTGTGGGACCCGAAGGGCGGGAGCCCAGGGCCCGCCCCCGCCGGAGCGCCCCCGCCATGGCCACGCCCCCGCCACGGGGATGGGCAGGGCAAGCACCGGAAGTGCGTCACGCGGGAGCGTCTGCGTCGCCTACCCTGCGTGGCGCAGCTAGGTTCCGAGCGGCTTAGCCTCCGGGCGCCTGCGCAGTGGCGGTCCTAGAGACGCACTCGGTTGCCATAGAGACGGGGGCTTGGGAGCGACGTCGCGCTCGCTGGCACTGGCGGCACTTGCCGCGCCGCAGCCACCTCTTTCCGACTCCACCAGTGCGGGCCCTATCCGGGGTTTTGAGTCACGCAGACCTGGACACAGCGAGAAACGGCAGTCCGGGCCCGTCCTCCCGCCCCGGGTTCTGCACCCCAGAGTTGGACGCTTGCTTCTCGCTTTCTCCTGAGAGAAGTCTCCGCGTTTCTGAACAATGCACTGCTAGTTTCTCATTTCTTTCTTTCTTTCTTTTTTTTTTTTTGGAGACGGAGCCTCGCCCTGTCGCCCAGGCTGGAGTGCAATGGCGCGATCTCGGCTCATTGCAACCTCCGCCTCCAGGGCTTAAACTATTCTCTTGCTTCAGCCTCCCGAGCAGCTGGGACTACAGGCATGCGCTACCACGCACAGCTAATTTTTGCATTTTTAGTCAAGACGGGGTTTCACCATTTTGGCCAGGCTGATTTCGAACTCCTGACCTCGTGATCTGCCCTCCTAGGGCTCCCAACGTGCTGGGATTATAGGCGTGAGCCACCGCGCCCGGCCTCTCATTTCTTAATTGTAGACATTGCGTACTTCCGGAGAAGGTCCCTGAGAACCTGGCTGATCTTCCCCGCTGCACCCCTCACGTGGTCCTGTTAGCTCCCAAACTGTCAACCTGAAAGGAAACCCAGAGGCAGGCTCTCCAGGACAAGTGAGTTAATCTGGGAATCGCAGGGGGTTGCAGCCTAGGCTGTTCGTGCCATGACAGATCATAGGCCTATCTGAGAGGGCCGGGCGAAGGGGAAAATACAGATGAGCTCACAAAAGTTGTTTTGTAACAAAAACCACTGGCTGTGGGCGCTTGCTGCAGGAGTGGGCGTTAGCTTGTTGTTGGAGAGAGCCTTACCAGGCCGACGTCCTTGTGCAAGCTGCTTATCTAGAATACTGCAGTCCTGAGGAATTTCCCTGCAGTAAGTCCGGTTACAGGCAAACGTGCAGGACGTGCAGGAGCGTCTTGTGAGGAGGCCTGCTGCAGGTATTCCTGCATGAGAGCTCCCCCTTCGTGGCCTCCCGACTCCATTTGTTTAGGGATTGGTGGAAGTAGTTCCATTTTGGTACCTGCAACTTTCACAGCTGTCGTGATGAAATCAGGCTTAGCTCTTCATGATTGAGTACCTGCTGTTCACTGCTACAGTATAAAACCATGCCACAATTCCTGTACAATCTTTTTTTTTCTTTTGAGTTAATAATTACCTAATATTTTCACATATCTAGCTTTTTACTAACCCATGGCCAGCCTTTTTTTCAAGTACCCCAACGTTTTCGCCACATGCCTAACGATACCGTTTTCCAAAGGCTCAAACACATCCGTTGTGTCTAACTGATTCTCCTGTTCCGACCTAGACCGATCACTTCCTGACCCGGCTGCACAGCTCTTATCTCGAGCTTTTCTCTGCTCTCATCCTTGAGACTCACTTTGTCTGTCTCCTTTCTTGGATTCCCTGTGTAAACGAAAAATAAAATCCTAAGCTCTCTACCAACTGTTTTTTGTTTTGTTTTGTATTTGAGACAGGGTCTTGCTCTGTTGCCCAGGCTGGAGTGCAGTGGCACTATCTTGGTTGACTGCAGCCTCTGCTTCCTGGATTCAAGTGATCCTCCCACCTCAGCCTCCTGAGTAGCTAGGACCACAGACATGCACCACCATGCCGGTTATTTTTAAATTTTTAGTAGAGACAGGGTGTCACCATGTTGCCCAGGCTGGTCTCAAACTCCTGGGCTATGCTGTTTGCTCACCTCTGCCTTCTGAAGTGCTGGGATTGGCTGGGTGCGATGGCTTCACGCCTGTAATCCCAGCAGTTTGGGAGGCTGAGGAGGGCAGATCACTTGAGGTCAGGAGTTCATGACCAACCTGACCAACATGGTGAAGCCCTGTCTCTACTAAAAATACAAAAATACAAAAAAAAAAAATATTAGCCAGGCATGGTGGTGCACGCCTGTAGTCCCAGCTACTTGGGAGGCTGAGGCAGGAGAATTGCTTGAGCCCAGGAGGTGGAGGTTGCAGTGAGCTGAGATCGTGACACTGCACTCCAGCCTGGGGAACAGAGCAAGAATCCGTCTCAAAAAAAAAAAAAAAAAAAGCCAGACGCGGTGGCTCATGCCTGCAATCCCAGCACTTTGGGAGGCCAAGGCAGGCAGATCATGAGGTCATAAGATCGAGACCAGCCTGGCCAACATGGTGAAACCCCGTCTCTACTAAAAATACAAAAATTAGCTGGGTGTGGTGGTGGGCACCTGTAATCCCAGCTACTTGGGAGGCTGAGCCAGGAGAATGGCTTGAACCCAGGAATCGGAGGTTACAGTGAGCCAAGATCATGCCACCGTACGCCAGCCTGGTGACAGAGGAAGACTCTGTCTCAAAAAAAAAAAAAAAGAAAAAAAACCAGCCAGGCACAGTGGCTCACGCCTGTAATCCCAACACTTTGTGAGGCCAAGGTGGGAGGATCACCTGTGGCCAGGAGTTGGAGACCAGCCTTGCCAACATGGCAAAACCCCATCTCTACTAAAAATACAAAAATTAGCCGGGCTTGGTGGTGCTCGCCTGTAGTCCCAGCTACTTGGGAGGCTGAGGTGGGAGAATTGCTTGAACCCAGGAGGCAGAGGTTGCAGTGAGCCAAGATCTGGCCACTGCACTCCAGCCTGGGTGACAGAGTGAGACTCCGTCTCAAAAACAAAAAAAACAAAAAAAAAAAAAGAAAAGAAAAAGAAAAAACAAAAGTGCTGGGATGTGAGCCACCACACCCAGCCAGCCCTCCACCAACTGAACAGATTCCCTTTTGACCAAGGGGACCCCAGAGAAATTTTTAAAACTGAGTTTCCAGCCGGGTGGATCCGCCTATAACCTATAAGCCCCCACTTCAAGATATCCCACCTTTTTAGGCCAAACCAACGTATACCTTCTATGTATGTATTTATGTCTTTGCTTATAACTCCTGCCTTTCTAAAGTGTACAAAACCAAACTAAACCGACCACTTCAGAACCACTTACTGAAGGCTTCTCGGATGTGTGTTTTCCTGGGGCCCACAGTCATTCATATTGGCTCAAAGTAAACCTTTTGAAAGTATTTTGTGAAGCTGGACATGGTGGCTCATGCCTGTAATCCCAGCCCTCTGGGAGGCTGAGGTGATTGGACCACTTGAGCCCAGGATTTAGAGACCATCCTGGGCAACATGTTGAAATCCCATCTCTACAAAATATACAAAACTTAGCTGGGTGTGGTGGCACGTGCCTATGGTTCCAGCTACTCTGGGGGCTGCGGTGGGAGGATCGTTTGAGCCTGGGAAACGGAGGCTGCAGTGAGCTGAGATCGCACCACTGCACTCTAACCTGGGCAACAGAATGAAGCCCTCTTTAAAAAAAAGAAGAGCCCGGGCGTGGTGGCTCACGCCTGTAATCCCAGCAGTTTGGGAGGCCGAGGCGGGCGGATCAGGAGGTCAGGAGTTCGAGACCAGCCTGAGGAACGTGGTGAAACCCCGTCTCTTACTAAAAACACAAAAATTACCTGGGCGTGGTGGCACACGCCTATAATCCCAGCTACTCAGGAGGCTGAGGCAGGAGAATCACTTGAATCCGGGACGCAGAGGCTGCAGTGAGCCAAGATTGCGCTGTTGCACTCCAGTCTGGGCAGCGAGAGCAAAACTCTGTCTCCAAAAAAAAAAAAAAAAAAAAAGAAGGAGGAAAGAATGTCTTATTCAGAGTTTGGCTTTTCTGTTAACAGCTGTTTCCTGGAATCTGCGTCCTCCTCCTTCTGGCTTTACTCCTTTACTTTGCTGAAGTAAGACCCCTAGTAACTTCCTGGGGAGGGCCCATGTCTGGACAGTTGCTTATTCTACTGGAAGGTTCACCAGAGCCCCTGCTTTCTCTCTGTGTCCTGCCTGAGAAGCACAGAGCCTGGCCCACTGCATGCTTTCCCTGCAGTCTTGAAGCCCGGCCAGGACCTTGAGTATTCTCAGTTACTGATGAACTAGGTTGTTGTCTGAAACACTGAGAGATCAAACATGTTGCTAAATATGTGGAAACAAGAGTCACATTTCTTAAATCCTCCTGTAAAACTCTCCACTCTAGCCCCTGGGTGCAGGCATTCCTAGGTGGAACCTCTCCATCTCTTGCTGTCAGCCCGAGGATGTGCTGCCTCCCTCTGTACATAAATTCCCCGAACAAATGCTTTGGGCCGATCACCCTGGCGTTTAGTGCTTCTTTTCTTTGGGACCAACCAGCCCCACCTCAGGATGGTTTGAGGCAGTCCCTTGTTGGAACTTGCCTGCTGCCACTTTTGGGGTGATTCTAGCTGTGGGCTGGAGGGATGAAACAGCAGCGTCGGCAGGATTCCAAAGAAATGGGCCGAGGGAACCAGAAGCAATGGGGAGACCCCCGGATGGCCACAAGATCCCTGCAGCCTGCTTGCTTCACGCCATCTCCTTGTACAGCAGCCTTAGGATTAAAACTCTCTTTCTGCTGCAACCCGTGGTGTTGGCGCAGTGACATTCCATGCATCAGGAAATGGGCCCGCTATGGCCACAACAGCAGAGAGATGACTCTCCAAAGAGTTTCTCCAGGAATGACGGGGAATTGCAGTTTGGGATATGCGTGCTATGGCAGACCACAGGCACATCCAGAGAGGCTGGGACAGGGGAAGCTTCTAAAAAAACAGAAAGGAGAAGCCCACCTAAGCTGCTTTGAAGCAAAGAGCATAGGTGACGGGGACTTTGTGTTAGTCCATTCTCACGGTCTTACGAAGAACTGCCTGAGACTGGGTAATTTATAAAGGAAAGAGGTTTACCTGACCCACAGTTCCACGTGGCTCAAGAAACTTAACAATCACAGCAGAAGGGGAAGTAAACACATCCTTCACCTGGCTGCAGGAGAGAAACCTGCTGAGCAAAGGGGAAAAGCTCCTTATAAAACTACCAGATGTCCTGAGAACTCACTGTCACGAGAACAGCATGGGGGTAACTGGCCCCATGATTCAATTACCTCCCACCAGGTCCCTCCCACAACACGTGGGGATTGTGGGAAATGCAAGATGAGATTTGGATGGGGACACAGCCAAACTGTATCAGGCTTGTTGCAGGAGTTGGCATTCATCTGGAGGTGAAGACGGCCCTTGTCAGGCAAGCGTCCTCGTGCAGGCAGCTTAGCGGCAGTACTGTGGTTTTGAGAAATTCCGTAGTTTCTTTCCTGGCACACCTGGGAGAGCCCGTCCTTCGTGGCCTCCTGGCTCCATTTTTCAGGGTTTGACATAAGTGACTCCATTTTGGTACTGGCCACTTTTGCACTGGAGATCCACAGATAATGTCTTCCAGGCTGAGGTCTGTCACTCCCACAGGTGCACGGCTGAGCTAACTGCCACGTGTGTGGCCTTAGGCCCCTCAGCAGCCAGGACAATATGTTTTTTCTTTTTTCTTTTCTTTTTTTTTTTTTGAGACAGAGTTTCCTTCTTGTTGCCCAGGTGGGATTGCAGTAGCGCAATCTTGTCTCACTACAACCTCCACCTCCTGGGTTCAAGTGATTCTCCCGCCTCAGCCTCCCGAGTAGTTGGGACTACAGGCGTGCATCACCACAACCAGCTAATTTTTGGATTTACTATTAATACAGATGGGGTTTCACCATGTTGGCCAGGCTGGTCTTGAACTCCTGACCTCAAGTGATCCACCTGCCTCGGCCTCCCTAAGTGCTGAGATTACAGACGTGAGCCACCGCACCTGGCCGGTACCTTTTTTTTTTTTTTTTTGAGACAGAGTCTCACTGTGTTGCCCAGGCTGGAGTGCAGTGGCACTATCTTGGCTCACTGCAACCTCCGCCTCCCAGGTTCAAGTGATTCTTCTGCCTCAGCCTCCAGAGTAACTGGGACTACAGACGCGTGCCAGCACGCCTGGCTAATTTTTGAGTTTTTGCAGTAGAGACGGGATTTCACCATGTTGGCCAGGCTGGTCTTGAACTCCTGACCTCAAGTGATACACCCACCTTGGCCTCCAATAGTGCTGGGATTACAGGCGTGAGCCACTGCGTCCGGCCGGTACCTACTTTTTTTTTTTTTTTTTTTTGAGACAGAGTCTCGCTCTGTCACTCAGGCTAGAGTGCAGTGGCACGATCTCGGCTCACTGTAAGCTCCGCCTCCTGGGTTCATGCCATTCTCCTGCCTCAGCCTCCTGAGTAGCTGGGACTACAGGCGCCCGCCACCACGCCCAGCTAATTTTTTTGTGTATTTTTTGTAGAGACGGGGTTTCACCATGTTAGCCAGGCTGGTCTTGATCTCCTGACCTCATGATCTGCCCGCCTCGGCCTCCCAAAGTCTTGGGATTACAGGCATGAGCCACCGTGCCCGGCCGCAGTTACCTACTTTTATAACATATTTGTGGACCAGATTTGGCCCCTGAATGAAAATCAAATGATTAAGGAAATCAATGACTATTTTCAGCAATATGGTAAGTCAGGTCACCTGCAAGATCTTCTCAATGAAACAATAAAAGATCTGTATAATGTGTTTTATTGGTATTATTATTATTATTTTTGAGACAGGGTCTCACTCTGTTGCCCAGGTTGGAGTACAGAGGCGCAATCATGGCTCACTGCAACCTTGACCTCCCGGGCTCAAGTGATTCTCCTTCCTCAGCCTCCTGAGTAGCTGGGATTACAGGCTCGTGCCACCACATCCAGCTAATTTTTTTTTGGTACATTTTGTAGAGACAGGGGTCTCGCTGTGCTGCCCAGACTAGTCTCCAACTCCTGACATCAAGCAATCTGCCTGCCTCAGCCTCCCAAAGTGCAGGAATTACAGGCATGAGCTGCCGCGCCCGGCCTATTTTTTAATTATTTTTTAGAGATGGGGATCTTGCTCTGTTCCCCAGGCTGGAGTGCAGGGGTGCAATCATAGCTCACTGCAGCCTCAAACTCCTAGGCTCAAGGGGTCCTCCCGCCTCAGCCTCCCAAGTAGTTGGGACTACGGGTGTGAGCCACTGTGCCTGGCAAACAATCTGTATAAAATATGGAAAGCACAGGAGGCTGAGGCAGGAGAATGACTTGAACCCGGAAGGCAGAGGTTGCAGTGAGCCAAGATTGCACCACTGCACTCCAGCCTGGGTGACAGAGCAAGACTCCATCTAAAAAAAAATACATATATATATAATTATATATATTATACATACATTATATATAATACATATTATATATATACATATATAATATATAGTACATATATTATATATATATATGGAAAGCATTGTTTAAAATCCATGACTGAGCTGACACACAGTAAGGAAGGGAAGAGCGGCCTTGAAACAGAAAACCTGGAGCACAGGAAGAGGAGGCCCGAGGGGAGTGCACGTCAGGCTTGGACTCATGGAGGGATCCGTATTCTCTCCCATCTCTCCATCTGGCAGGGCATCGACATTTTTGACTAACTGTGTGACCCGTGAGTGAATTCTGCATGTTGATGCATTCAGCATGCATTGTGGCTGTGCTTTGCAGAGGTGCCGGGGACACAGCAAGATGCCACAGGGAGCAGAGATGGGAAGCGATGCCAGCCACACGTGCTCAGGAAGGCCCAGGAGGCACTGGTGTGGACAGAGACAGAGACTCAGCTCTGCTTAAGAAGGAAATCAAGGCCGGGCACGGTGGCTCACGCCTGTAATCCCAGCACTTTGGGAGGCTGAGGTGGGCGGATCATCTGAGGTCAGGAGTTCAAGACCAGCCTGGCTAACATGGTGAAACCCCGTCTCTACTACAAATACAAAATTAGCCAGGCGTGGTGGCAGGCGCCTGTAATCCCAGCTACTTGGGAGGCTGAGGCAGGAGAATCACTTGAACCCAGGAGGCGGAGGCTGTAGTGAGCCGAGATCACGCCATTGCACTCCAGTCTAGGCAACAGAGTGAGACTCTCAAAAAAAAAAAAAAAAAAAAGGAAATCAACAACATCATGACAGTTAGTGTAACTTTGCACCAAAGGAGAAGGGGAAGTCCCAGAACTTTCTTCCGGCTTCACAAAGAAGTCGCACACAGGCCTTTCAGGAGAGAGGCCACACTGGAAATGTTCAGGACAGGACATTGCCAGTGGCAGAGACCGCTCCGAGTGCCAGAGTTAGCACGTGGCAGGTCCCACCTCAGAAGTCCAGCTGTGTAGAAAGCTCCTTTCAGCAAAGGACAGGCCCAAGCATAGTTTAACAACATCAGAAAAGACAGCAAGACGGGCTCCTCCGAATTCTCTGCTCCAGGTGGAGGGGGACCCTGTGAGTGCGCTTGGTGACCCCTGTGGAGATGCGGACAGCAGGGGCCACTCACTGTCCTCCAGCAGCTGGTCACTAAGTAGGCTGGAGGCTGGAAGTTCCTGTTAACCTTCTAGAAAGGTGGGCCTCCCTGAACTGGCAGGTTCCTGAAAAGAAAATAATGTTTTAAGAAAAAGAAAAAAAATAGACAGGCCTGCAGAGCTTAAGCACACCGAAGATTAGGGAACAGGTGGAGTAGAGCTTTTCCAAAGAGAACAGGATATGGTACCTGTGGTGGAAAAGAGGACATAATGACACGTGCAGCGGGAACGGGAGCACCACGGACATTCTGACGCCGTGGTGGAGCCTGCTGGAGCAGCCAGCGGGCAGGGGCCAGGCTGACCCCACGCCTGACCAGCCCAGCCCACGCCTGACCAGCCCGCCCCACGCCTGACCAGCCCGCCCCACGCCTGACCAGCCGGCCCCATGCCTGACCAGCCCAGCCCACGCCTGACCAGCCCAGCCCAGCCCACGCCTGACCAGCCCACCCCACACCTGACCAGCCCAGCTCACCGCACACCTGACCAGCCCAGCCCACCGCACACCTGACCAGCCCAGCCCATACCTGACCAGCCCAGCCCACACCTGACCAGCCTGTCCCACACCTGACCAGCCCGTCCCACACCTGACCAGCCCACCCCACACCTGACCAGCCCAGCCCACACCTGACCAGCCGACCCCACACCTGACCAGCCTAGCCCAGCCCACACCTGACCAGCCGACCCCACACCTGACCAGCCCAGCCCACACCTGACCAGCCCACTCCACACCTGACCAGACAACCCCTCACCTCACCACCCCACTCCACACCTGACCAGCCCAGCCCACACCTGACCAGCCCAGCCCACGCCTGACCAGCCCACCCCACGCCTGACCAGCCCAGCCCACGCCTGACCAGCCGACCCCTCACCTGACCAGCCCAGCCCACATCTGACCAGCCCAGCCCACGCCTGACCAGCCCAGCCCACGCCTGACCAGTCCAGCCCACGCCTGAGCAGCCCAGCCCACGCCTGACCAGCCGACCCCTCACCTGACCAGCCGACCCCACGCCTGACCAGCCCACCCCACGCCTGACCAGCCCAGTCCACACCAGACCAGCCCAGCCCAGCCCACGCCTGACCAGCCCGCCCCACGCCTGACCAGCCCAGCCCACGCCTGACCATCCGACCCCACACCTGACCAGCCCAGCCCACACCTGACCAGCCCAGCCCACCGCACACCTGACCAGCCCAGCCCACACCTGACCAGCCCAGCCCACACCTGACCAGCCCACCCCACACCTGACCAGCCCAGCCCACACCTGACCAGCCGACCCCACACCTGACCAGCCCAGCCCAGCCCACACCTGACCAGCCGACCCCACACCTGACCAGCCCAGCCCACACCTGACCAGCCCACTCCACACCTGACCAGACAACCCCTCACCTCACCACCCCACCTCACACCTGACCAGCCCAGCCCACACCTGACCAGCCCACTCCACACCTGACCAGACAATCCCTCACCTCACCACCCCACCCCACGCCTGACCACCCCACCCCACGCCTGACCAGCCCAGCCCACGCCTGACCAGCCCACTCCGCGCCTGGCCAGCCCACCCTAGTCCAGCCAGCTGACCCTGTGCTGAGCAGCGTGGCCCAGTCCTCGTCCTGCCTTCCCCACGGGCCCCGGTTGTCACTGGCTCCATATGGGGTCTTCGTAGGAGAGCAGAAACAGACAGAACCGGGGTGAGCTTCACATGTGCCTTCTCGCTGATCCTCGGAAACAAGCAGATTCTACTTTGCTCACCACTCTTTCTGCTCACTTTGATGCATTTTAGGCAAAAGCTGCCATCTTGCCAAGGCTCAGCCTCCTGGGCGCTGGGAGGGCAGGAGGATGGCAAGCCCCTGGGGGGAATACAGGGCACCTGCAGGTCCCTCCACTTCCAGGTTCCCTCCACAGGGTCTTGGGTCAGCAGAAGCCCCTCGGTGGGACCTGACTCTACTTCCTGGCCTCATGGGCCCTCTGAGCCTCAGTTTTCCTCTCTGCACCAGGGGACAGCCAGTGGTCAGTGGCCCTTTGGGCCTGACTGCTGCCACTCACCTGCCGACTCGCTGCCTGTCTGTACTAGAGGTCAGGTAGTCAAGGGGCGGGTTCCAGGTTAGGCTCATTTCCTACGTGACCTGGTCACCAAGAGGCATAGCTCCTTTCCTAAGTGCAAAGTATCTGAGCACCTGAGGGTCCGCCGTGAGCCCGAGGGTCCACTATGAGTGCTAAGGGTCTGCTGTGAGGGCCTGAGGGTCCACTCTGAGCCCCGAGGGTCCACCGTGAGCCCTGAGGGTCCACTGTGCTCCAGTCCACTTGGGTCTAATGGAACCACTGGACCTGGAGAAACTGCCCAACCCCCATTGCTCAGAACTGGGTGGCCTGGGCTTCCTCAGGGGGACCCTGGAAGCCGGGGCTGCTGCATCCCTGCTCTACCAGGGAGAAAACAGAGGCCTGGGTGGTGGGGCCGTGGCTTCCGGTCTGCTGACCACCTGCCCTAGAAACATGCTTCAAAACGCTGCAGGCCAGGCTCATGCCAGTAATCCCAGCACTTTGGGAGGCCGAGGCAGGAAAATCACTTGAGGCCAGGAGTGTGTGACCAGCCTGGGCAACGCAAGAGACTCTGCCTCTACAAAAAAAAAAAAAAAAAAAAAAAAAAAAAGAAGCAAAGGAAAGAAGGGAAAGAAAGGGCCCAAAGGATCGGGGGTTAGTTGGATGAAGGCTCTGGCAGGCACAAGCTCAGCTCTGGGGTACCTGTCAGTCTCACGGTAACAAGCAGCCAGCACTGCAGGAAACGGGCAGCTGCTGGGAAAGAGTCCGCTCCACCTTCCCTGAAGGCCCTGGAGGATGGGGCTCCTCCCAGCTCTTGCAGCCACCAAGCCCTGGGCCTGGGGTCTGTGGGGCCCCTCAGCTTCACCCCTCCACTGGCGACGCCACTGTGGATGCTCTTGGGATGGGACCCAGGAAGTCACCTCCTCCCCCAGCTCGGGCCACAGAGATGCCCGGGCCAAGGTGTCATCTGCTTCAGTGGTTGGGCTGAGGCACCTGCAGGGACTGGGACCCCATCCTGCGAGAGCCCAGGGAGACTGAGGATAGCACTTGAGAAAGTCACCCCAGAGAGGGGCTTTCAGGTTCTGATCCCACTGAGGTCAGTATTTGGCCCGGGCTCCGAGCCCAGGATCTGGTGAGAATGGGGCACTCCTACCCAGCACCAGCGGAGAAGCAGTGAGGGTGGGGGGCACCCACCTCTCCACCAGGGGCTCTGTCCCCTCCCTGGAATTTTGGAGGCATGACCAGAAGTTGTGAAGGGCTCACAGGGGCACATTTCTGGAAGAGAAAGCGGTCACTGCTGCTGGAGAAATGGGAGACCCACAGGGGCAGGAAAGGGTGGCTCCCGGGAGCCCTAAGGGACACGTGTGCCAGGATGCTGACACTGGCACCCAGCTCCCAGGGTAAAGGGGCTGCGGGTCGTGAGGGCCATGAGAAGCGGGTGGCTGCTGCCCTGGAGCTCTCATTCTTACAGCTCCTAAGCATCGGAGCCATTCCCCAGGTCCCCAGGGACCCACATGCTCAAGTCCCAGCAGACCCCGTGCCAGCTGCAAGGTTCCCTCAAGGCCATGGCCAGCAGGACACCTCGTCTCTGGAAGCTCCCCCGCCCCCATGTCTCCACTAATGCTGGAGACTTCCATCGTTACTGGTCCAGCCTTCCCCTGCCAGGCAAAAGCATTTCCAACCTGTCCTGGAGCTGGGGCAGTTGGAGAGAAGAGGGGTTCCCAGAGGGCGGCCTGCCTAGAGGGCCGGCAGCTTCCCTGCTACAGTGAGGACTGAGCCCTGGCCAGGGCTGCCCACGAGCCCCCGTGGCCCAGTCACCTGTGTGGGGAGATCAGGAGTGGCTGGGTGGGACCTCTGAGGGGTCCCCTGGACAGACACCCCTCCGGGGGCAGAAGTAGGGTCTCAGAGGACAGGGGAAGCACTCATCAAGCAGGGACCCCGTGGGTGGGGCTCAAGCTGTGGCAGAGGATGGGCCAACCTGGGGAGCAGAGGGACAGCATTTCAGAGACCGTCTGATGCTTCCAAGCAAGACAAGAAGCTGAAAACGTCTGATAGTTATTTTTCTGACACTTTCTATTTATGGAAGTGATACTTACTATTCACGATCATGGTCTGCTTTTAGAAAGCACTCTAGGTGAAAAAGTGAACTCATTCAAAGAAAACATTTAGTGACTGTCAGAATGCTGGTGTGTGTACAAACAGCATTGGAGACGGCGCTCCAGGTGGGGAAGCGTGTGCGCGTGAAAGGCCACCGCTGCTCAAGTGCAGGTGCTAAGCAGAGGTCACTCCCTCCCTCTCCTCCTCACCCCTCCCTGTCCCCTTCCCTCCTTCCTTCCTTAGGGTTGGCCCCAGCTGGACTTCGCAATATCTGGGTCCCCATGGCTCAGCAGGAGGCCGCGGGAAACAATGTTTTCCTCTCGCAGGCTCGGTTTCTGCCACTCTGCTAGCAGCCCGAGGCTCCACTCTTTTCTCTGCTGGTCTCTCTTCCCTCACCACTGGCCTCTCACCAGGAGCTCAGTCCCAGAACTACGTCTGCAACCACAGTCCCTAGCTAGAGGCCCGATGCAAGGCAGGCAGGACCATCTTCATAGGGGTCTGCAGGGTCTGCAGCCACGACACGCCGGGACCCTGGGTTGCAATGGTCAGAAACCCTGTGTTTCGGTGTTGACAATGACTTTGCAGTCCAGGAGGTGGCTGGCTTCAGGTGAGGCTGGATCCAGATGCTGGAAGCAGCTGGGCCGGGCTGGCGTCCTACCTCTCCCAAGGCTGGCTTCATTCTCCCGTTCTTCCCACCACCCACCTTCAGGGCCACAGCAGCTGGAATCCAACACCTGTCAGGGGCAGTCGCCCCCTCACATGAGCTTCAGCAAAGGCCTCGAGGCTAAGGGGTCCAGTCTGGCTGGCCGCGCCCAGGTCATCTGCCAACTCCTAGGCAGGGGAGTGTCAGCCCCACCCAAGCTCCCCATGACCTGAGGATGGATAAAGGGGGCTGCCCAGAGGGAAATGCAGGTGCTGCTACAAGAAGCTGGAATGGTCATGGCACAGGGTGAAGGCCCCAGCTGTCCTCAGGCCAACATGCCAAGATAGTTGGGGGCCGCCCCACCCCATATACCATCATCCAGGCTCCTGCCCTGCCCCACTGCCCATGCCCTCACACCTGGGGGCTGAGGGGCTTCCACTGGGAACTGGTGGCAGTAGGTCGGCTGAACCCCTGGGGAGTTCTGGGCAAGGACATGGGGGTCCCCTGAGTCACCATCACTCTCTGCTTCCCTGGGGCAGCCCCTGAGTCGCCTCACAACGCTGGGGCAAGAGTCAGAGCCCAGGGTTTGCCCTTCCTAAGCAGAGGTGGGAGCTGGGGGCAGGGGGCAGGGAGCGCCTCTCCCAAGGTCTCTGCCCCCAACCTCTCTGCGCCAGGTGCAGAGGCCTCAGCAGACCCTGCCAGGGGCCCAACAGGCTGGTGTAGGGGGTCAGGGCCCTCCATGCCGGGGACGGAGGTGCACCGTGACCACAGTTGGTGGGGGCCTGACCGCTGGGCCGGGGCTCTGGCAGAGCCCCTGAGATCCTGTGGGGTCCTGACCACTGCACTGGGTTTTTCAAGATGACCAGGAATTCGTGAGGCTGGGTGGTGACTCCGTGGGGGGGCGGAGACATGGCCATCCAGAGGTCGGGGACCAAGGACACCGTGAGCAGAATAGCCAGTCTCTCCTCACTCTGCCCCCAGGCAAGGAGAGCACAGGAAGGGGTTGCAGGAACTCATGGTCCAGTTGCCAGAGAGCCCCCCACAACCCCTGCAGACCCAGAGCTGGCTCAGCGGAGGTGCCAGCCCAGCCTTAGGTGCGAGGCTTGGCCTCCTTTCCAGTTAGGGCAGGCCGGCCAGGCCCGGCCACGTCTGCATACACAGTCCCTGGCTGTAGTCCTGGCCCTGGAGGGGTGTCCTGGTTGCTGGGTGATCTATGCAGGGACGGGAATGAGGGGCAGGGGTCTTGGGGTGTGTCCCGCCTTCCCCTCCCCCGTCGGTGCCACCTACTCAGTGCACCGGGTGGGCTTTTTGGATTCCCTTTGTCCAGCCCTGACCTCCCCACAGCCATCGGGAGGGCCCCCCAGAGCGCATCTGGAGGAGGAGGGGGCGCAATGAGGCAGGGAAGGTCGGCGCCCTGCAGCTGCCTCCGCTGCGTGTGGAGCGAAGGGAGTTCTCACCTTGCGAAGTCTCATCTGTCAGGCTTTCCTCCGGGTGGGCGCTGTCCGTCCTGAAAGGAACAGAAGCCGCGGGGTGAAGGAAAGTCTCCGTGCTGGTCCCCACCCCATCGGTATGGGCAGGTACCCTGACTGCGCGGGTCCCCGCCGCGGGTCCAGGGCGGCCAGCGTTGGGGTGCAAGGCCCGGGGTCCTGCGCGTGCCAGACCGCTGCGCCCCCATCGTAAAGCACGAAGTCCCCGACTGGTGTGGCCACGGGCGGTCGCGGAGCTGCACGACGCGAAACGAAGCCGGCCACAGCCCGTGAGTTTCGGCTCGGAAAAGCCGCAGGGGTCCAAGGTGCGCTCACTAGGCGGGAAGCCGGGAGAGCGGCGGCCCTGCCCGCACCCCGCGCCCCTGCCCGCACCCCAGCCCCACCGGCACTCCGGCCGCCTCGCTGCGTCCCCCTCCTCCCCCCCACCCCCGATCCCCCGCACCCGTAGGCCGCGGCCCGGCGAGGGTTAAGGGGGGCGGGGCGAGGGGCGGCCCCGCCTCCGCCGCCGCGCCGGGTCCGAGCGCGCACGGGGCGCGGGGGCGGGTCGGAGCGGGCGGCGGCGGAGGGCGCGGCGCGCCGGGGATCGCGGGGAGCGGGCAGCGGGGACGGCGGCGGCGCGGCCCGCGTGACCCAGCGCCGCGCCCCGTGGCCCCGCCGCAGGATGCGCGCCCCGCCGCTGCTGCTGCTGCTGGCCGCCTGCGCGCCGCCGCCCTGCGCCGCGGCCGCCCCGACGCCGCCGGGCTGGGAGCCGACCCCCGACGCGCCCTGGTGCCCCTACAAGGTGCTGCCCGAGGGCCCCGAGGCGGGCGGCGGGCGCCTGTGCTTCCGCAGCCCCGCGCGCGGCTTCCGCTGCCAGGCTCCGGGCTGCGTGCTGCACGCCCCGGCCGGCCGCTCCCTGCGCGCCAGCGTCCTGCGCAACCGCAGCGTCCTCCTGCAGTGGCGCCTGGCCCCGGCCGCCGCGCGCCGCGTGCGCGCCTTCGCGCTCAACTGCTCGTGGCGCGGCGCCTACACGCGCTTCCCGTGCGAGCGCGTGCTCCTCGGGGCCTCCTGCCGCGACTACCTGCTGCCCGACGTGCACGACAGCGTCCTCTACCGCCTGTGCCTGCAGCCGCTGCCGCTGCGCGCTGGGCCCGCCGCCGCCGCGCCAGAGACCCCCGAGCCGGCCGAGTGCGTGGAGTTCACCGCCGAGCCGGCCGGCATGCAGGACATCGTGGTGGCCATGACGGCGGTGGGCGGCTCCATCTGCGTCATGCTGGTGGTCATCTGCCTGCTGGTGGCCTACATCACCGAGAACCTCATGCGCCCGGCCCTCGCGCGCCCCGGCCTGCGCAGACACCCCTGAAGCGCGAGGCCGCCCGCCCATCTTTGCGCCACCTGCCTGAGGGCGCCTGAGCTCCCAGGTCCTCCGCCCGCTCTCCTCTCCTCATTCCTGCTGCCTCCTTAAGATCCCCGCGGAGGAGGACCTGCCGGCGACGGCTCCGGCACTTTGGCATCATCACACGCCCTTTCCAGCCGGGCGTCAGACTCCCAGACTCTGGCCCCGGATTGGCCCCTGGGCTTGCGCTGCTGTGCCAGCCGCATCCAGGGCTCTCCCCGCTCTCCGCAGGCCTTTATAGAGGCGGCCAGGGCATGGAGCCCCTTCC
Organism: Homo sapiens; assembly: GCF_000001405.40. Lineage (NCBI taxonomy): Eukaryota > Metazoa > Chordata > Mammalia > Primates > Hominidae > Homo > Homo sapiens. The sequence continues at coordinate 1,599,033 of NC_000001.11, read as the reverse complement.
AGCAAGAGCCATGGGCACTCCGGCTCACCCCGCACCTCCATCCTGTGCCGAATTGTCCCAGACAGACCGTCGCCATTGCTCGGTCACTGTGCTTTGCAGGCCTGGGGCGCAGCTCTCCAAGCCTGTCCTGCCCCGCCCCACCCCACTGGGCTTAGGTTAGCTTCGTGCCTTAGTATCTCGGGCCCACTGCAGGAGCCAACACCCTCTGCTGTCCAGGGGGGGTCTGTGGCCCTAAGATTGGCCGGCCTCTCCATGCATCTGGCCAGCGTCCCCTTGGAGACACCTTCACCCTCAAGCGCTGCAGAAGCATGAGGTGAGGGCCTGCAGCGCTCTGTACCGTTTAGGGTGTTGGACCAGCCGGGAGCCTGGCAGGCCTGGCCCAGCGGCCAGGGTGAGTGTTCTCAGACCCCGGGCAGCTGGTGGTTCTCCAGGGCCAGGTACCCCTTTTGTGTGTGCGACCTCTGACTAGGTCCCTGTGGGAATGGGGCAGATGGCGGCCATCACCACTGGGTCCCAGGGCAGAAGCTTAGATACCGGCCTTGAGCAGCCCGACCTTCCACCGCTGCCTGGATCCCAAGCCTCAGCCGACCCAGGGGACCTTGGTGGCAACGGTGTGACTGACAGCACCACCCCTAGCCTTTGCATGCCCAGGGGTCGAGAGCCAGTATCCGGCCCAGACAATGCCACCCGCCATGGAAGAAAAGCTGACCCTGCCCACCTGCTGCAGACCCGGGCCCCGGGCCGAGGTTGCTTTCTGTGACGACCGCCTGGTGACGCTGGACACCAGGAGGGTTATGGCACTGCCCTCCCCTCCTGGAGCCCCTGGCACTGACCACCTGGACTTGACCTGACTCCTGGTCACTGGCCAAACACCCATCCTCACCCCAGCCACCCCGGGCCCTGGCTGGTGCCGTGTGACACCTGTAGCCCACCTGTGTGTCTTTGCTCCGCCCACCCCTGCGTGGCGCCGGTCAGGCGCAAACCTGGCGCCAGTGTCTAAATGTCCATCATTCTCAGACCAACAGAGCTGTCTGTGTGTTATTTGGGAGGTGGGAGGGAAGGAAAAGGTGGATTCCCCTTCTCCCCACATCCCCTGGGACCCTTGGGTATGGGCTGGTGTCTGGCCCCAAACCCTCTCCTGGCCTGGGTGGCATTGGCCCAGGCAGCGTGTGCGGCACGCTGCCTTGCAGTTCCTAGCAGGACAGGCAGGGTGCCCCCTGTTTGTCTCTGCACCTTCTTGTCCTGGGCCAGCTGTGTTGGCGGGGGAAGGGGAAGACGGTACCTGCCGTGCTTAGAAATAGCCCATTCCCACGGCGACACACTTGAGCTGTGACAGTGGCAATTAGGCTGCTCCGGAGGGGCTCACCTCCCTGCCTGGGCCTCCCTGGCAGAGCTAGAGCTGGGGTGGGGACGGTGGGCAGAGGACAGCCTGGGGCTCCTGTGTGTATCCTGTGCTGAATGCCACCCTCCCTCCCCCACAGGCTCTTCCAGGCTGTCCTTGAGGCACTTGCAGCCAGGGGTGACCCTGAGGAAGCAAAAACAGGCGGGGGGGGGGGGGGCGGAGGGGGAGGGGGAGGAGGAGCCCAGCTCTGAGGAGTGACTCATCCCTAGAGGGGGTGTGCAGCGATGTGTGTAGACAGCCTGGTGGGAGTGGGGGGCTTCCCGTTCCAGCCACCTTCTGCCCTGGTCACCTGCAAGGGTGTTTCCATGTCTTCTACCAGCAAAGGCAGCGTCCAGGGAGCTGGGGCAGCACGGCTCCTTGGGGAGCAGCCGGGAAGTTTCGGAGGCTCCCTGGCCTGCGGTGGGATTCCGGCTTGTTTGTGAGCTTAGGCTCACACGGGCTATAGCCACAGGCCTGTCCTGCCAGTTCTGGGGGCTTCTCAGAGGCATGGAGTCCAGCTGAGGGTTTGCAGAAGTGGCTTGAGCAGCCTGCAAGGCCCAGGGGACAAGCCTTGGCCTGGGAGTGGGCGTCCCTGCCAGGGAGGGGCGTCTGCATCTGAGCTCGTGGTCACTGGCACAGACTGCTCGTTCCCTAGCTGGCCACCTTCCCGGCTGGCCCCATTATCCTCCCAGGGGCATGGGGACCCCCAACCCCTCCTTCTGACCTGGTGCACCTTCCAGTCCCGCCCCGAAGTTTCTTTCCTTCTGCTCTACCTGGAGGAGCCTCCCCTCCCTCTCTCTGTCTCTCTCCATTCTCTCCCTCTCCTTCCCATGTATCTCTCTGTCTCTGTCTCTGGCTCTCTCTCTCTCTCTCTGTTTCTCTCTCTCTGTTTCTCTGTCTCTCTTCATCTCTCTCTCTCCCTATCTCTCTGTCCCTGTCTCCATCTCCCTCCATCTCTCTCTGCCTCTCTGTCTCCATCTCTCTGCCTCTCTCTGTATCTGTCTCTGTCTCTCTCCATCTCTCTCTGTCCCTATCTCTCTGCCTCTTTCCCTCTCTCTGTGTCTGTCTCTGTCTCCATCTCTTTGTCTCTCTGCCTCTCTATCTGCCTCTCTCTCTCCATCTCTCTCTGCCTCTCTCTGTCTCTGTCTCTCTATCTGCCTCTCTCTCTCCATCTCTCTCTGCCTCACTCTGTCTCTGTCTCTGCCTCTCTCCATCTCTGTCTCTGCCTCTCTTTCTGTCTCTCTCCATGTCTCTCTGTCCCTCTCTGTGTCTTTCTCTATCTCTGTCTTTGTCTCTCTGTCTCTGTCTGTCTCTGTCTCTCTGTCTCTCCCCGCCCTGCTCTCTCTCTCCGTCTCTGTCTGCCTCTCTCTGTCTCTGTCTCTGTCTCTGTGTCTCTCCCCATTCTGCTCTCTCTGTGTCTGTCTGTCTCTCTCTCTGTCTCTGTTTGCCTCTCTGTCTCTGTGTCTCTCTCTGTCTCTCCCTGTTCTGCTCTCTCTGTCTGTCTGTCTCTCTGTCTGCCTCTCTCTGTCTCTGTCTCTGTTTCTCTCTGTCTCTCTGTCTCTCCCCGTTCTGCTCTCTCTGTGTCTGTCTGTCTCTCTCTGTCTCTGTCTGCCTCTCTCTGTGTCTGTCTCTCTCGCTCTCTGTCTCTGTTTCTCCCTGTTCTGCTCTCTCTGTGTCTGTCTCTCTCTCTCTCTCTGTCTGCCTCTCTCTGTCTCTCTCTCTCTCTGTCTCTCCCTGTTCTGCTCTGTGTCTGTCTCTCTCTCTGTCTCTGTCTGCCTCTCTCTGTCTCTCTCTCTCTGTCTCTCCCTGTTCTGCTCTGTGTCTGTCTGTCTCTCTCTCTGTCTCTGTCTGCCTCTCTCTGTCTCTGTCTCTGTCTCTGTGTCTCTCCCCATTCTGCTCTCTCTGTCTGTCTCTCTGTCTCTGTTTGCCTCTCTGTCTCTGTGTCTCTCTGTCTCTCCCTGTTCTGCTCTCTCTGTCTGTCTGTCTGTCTCTCTGTCTGCCTCTCTCTGTCTCTGTCTCTGTTTCTCTCTGTCTCTCTGTCTCTCCCCGTTCTGCTCTCTCTGTGTCTGTCTGTTTGTCTCTCTCTGTCTCTGTCTGCCTCTCTCTGTGTCTGTCTCTCTCGCTCTCTGTCTCTCTGTTTCTCCCTGTTCTGCTCTCTCTGTGTCTGTCTCTCTCTCTCTCTGTCTGCCTCTCTCTGTCTCTCTCTCTCTGTCTCTCCCTGTTCTGCTCTGTGTCTGTCTGTCTCTCTGTCTCTGTCTGCCTCTCTCTATCTCTCTCTCTCTGTGTCTCTCTCTCTCTCTGTCTCTTTGTCTCTCCCTGTTCTGCTCTCTGTCTGTCTCTCTCTCTGTCTGCCTCTCTGTCTCTGTCTCTGTTTCTCTCTGTCTCTCTGTCTCTCCCCGTTCTGCTCTCTCTGTGTCTGTCTGTCTGTCTCTCTCTCTGTCTCTGTCTGCCTCTCTCTGTCTCTGTCTCTCTCGCTCTCTGTCTCTCTGTTTCTCCCTGTTCTGCTCTCTCTGTGTCTGTCTCTCTCTCTCTCTCTCTGCCTCTCTCTGTCACTCTCTCTCTCTGTCTCTCTGTCTCTCCCTGTTCTGCTCTCTCTGTGTCTGTCTGTCTCTCTCTCTCTCTCTGTGTGTCTGCCTCTCTGTCTCTGTCTCTGTCTCACTCTCTCTGTCTCTCCCTGTTCTGCTCTCTCTGTGTCTGTCTGTCTGTCTCTCTCTCTCTCTCTGTCTGCCTCTCTCTGTCTCTTCCCGTTCTGCTCTCTCTGTCTGTCTCTCCCCACCCTGCTCTCTCTGGACCATGGCTCTCTGCTCTTCTTCAGACTTGGTGGCCCAGGCTGGGTGGGGAGGCAGGTGGATGTGGCTCTCAGCCTAGCAACCGCCATGTGCCATGGAGCTGGAGCGCAGATGGCTCCACCTGGCCTTTCTCGCTGGTGCCTGGAGCTATACGCTTTTCCAGTGTGGGGCGGAAGGGACCTGCCCTGACTCGGAAGCTGCCCTGGCTTCATCCTGGCTCATCCGTGCCTGCCCTTCAGAAGGCAGGAGCCTTTCAGTGCCTCCATTGTGGAATGGAAACAGCCAGGTAGAGATGAGAACTGGAGCTATTGTTACTACAGCTTGAACTGCCCCGGGCCGAGACCCCTGGAGCCGCGTCCCAGCCGGAACCTGCTGAGACCCCTGGGGGTGTATCCTGGCCCCACCCTGCCGAGACCCCTGGAGCCGCGTCCCGGCCCGACCCTGCCAAGACCTGAGACCCGTGGGGGCGCGTCCTGGCCCGACTCTGCCGAGACAAGATGCCCTTCTTGAAGTTTTCACTTCGATCACTCAGGGGGCCTCTCACCCCTTTTGTGTCCAAAACAGAACCCTAGGCCTCCCTGCTCACCTCCAGAGCCTGGCCCACAGCGATGGCCCCATCTTAGCCAACTGCAAGGCCCACAGCCATGCTGAGTACGGGAGCTGGAGGCCCTGCATGGTCTGGATGCAGGCAGCCGGGCCCTGCTGTCTCCCCAGGTGCCCCAGGAGGGATGGACTCTAGGTCTCCTGGGAGGAACAGAGGGCTGTGAGGCTGGTGGTTCCATGCTCACTTAGGATGGGGGTCTTGACTACTGGACGGGGGGCTCAGGAATGGCCAGGAGCTGCTGGAGACCCTGACCTGGCAGGTGCAAGATTTGGCCAGTCTAGCAAGTCCTGGGTACCTGGCACCAGGGCCTCTAGCCTTGACCCTAAGAAGGGAGCCCTTAGACGGCGTGAGGGGGCCCCTACTTTCCGATGGGCCAAAAGTCTGAAGGGTGGCAAGCACCCGCATTTTCTTTCCAGGCAGGACTGTGGCCTCTCCCAGGACTGTGGTGCCCCTCCCTCGGGCTCTCCTTCTCCTTTGGACTTTACGGATCTTTTCTAAGTGGTATCATCAGTAGTCGCTTTTCTTTTCTTTTTTTCTTTCCTTTTCTTTTTTCTTTTAAGAGATGGGAGATCTCACTGTGTTGCCCAGGCTGGTCTTGAACTCCTGGACTAAGTGATCCTCTCACCTCAGCCTCCCAAACTGCTGGGATTACAGGCCACTTTTTTTTTTTGAGACACAGTCTCATTCTGTTGCCCAGGCTGGAGTCAGTGGTGCGATCTCGGCTCACTGCAATCTCCGCCTCCCAGGTTCAAGTGATTCTCCTGCCTCAGCCTCCTGAGTCGCTGGCATTACAGGCATGTGCCACACACCCTGCTAATATTGCATTTTTACTAGAGACAGGGTTGCACCATGTTGGTCAGGCTGGTCTCAAACTCCTGACCTCCAGTGATCCGGCCACCTTGGCCTCCCAAAGTGCTGGATTCCAGGAGTGAGCCAGCAGGCCCAACTGGCTCTTCTTTTTTTTCTTTTTGTTTTTTTTTTTTTTGAGATTGAGTTTTGCTCTTTTTGCCCAGGCTGGAGTGCAATGGCACCATCTCAGCTCACTGCAACCTCCACTTCCCAGGCTCAAGTGATGTGGATCATTTTTATTTTTTTTTGGAGACGAGGTCTCGCTCTGCCGCCCAGGCTGGAGTGCAATGGTGTCATCTCAGCTCACTGCAACTTCTGCCTCCCAGGTTCAAGGGATTCTTCTGTCTCAGCCTCCCGAGTAGCTGGGATTACAGGCACACGACACCACACTCGGCTAATTTTTTGTACTTTTAGTAGAGACGGGGTTTCGCCATTTTAGCCAGGATGGTCTCTATCTCCTGACCTCGTGATCCGCCCCCCTCGGCCTCCCAAAGTGCTGGGATTACAGGCGTGAGCCACTGCGCCTGGCCTTGTTTCTTTTCTTGTTTTTTTTTTTTTTTTTTTATTTAGATGGAGTCTGGCTCTGTCACCAGGCTGGAGTTCAGTGGCGCCATCTCGGCTCACTGCAAGCTCCGCCTCTCGGGTTCAAGTGATTCCCCTGCCTCAGCCTCCCGAGTAGCTGGGACTACAGGCCTGCGCCACCACGCCTGGCTAATTTTTTGTATTTTAGTAGAAATGGGGTTTCACCATGTTGGCCCAGCTAGTCTTGAACTCCTGACCTCAGGTGATCCGCCCGCCTCGGCCTCCTAAAGTGCTGGGATTACAGGTGTGAGCCACCACATTCGGCCTGTTTGTTTCATTTTCGTGTATTTATTTATTTATTTATTTATTTTGGGACAGAGTATCACTCTGTCACCCAGGCTGGAGTGCAATGGCGTGATCTTGGCTCACTGCAACCTTCACCTTCTGGGTTCATGTGATTCTCCTGCCTCAGCCTCCCGAGTAGCTAGGATTACAGGCATGCACCACCACAGCTGGCTAATTTTTGTATTTTTAGTAGAGACGGGGTTTCACCATGTTGGCCAGGCTGGTCTCCAACTCCTGACTTCAGGTGATCCACCCGCCTAGGCCTCCCAAAGTGTTGGGATTACAGGCGTGAGCCGCCGCGCCCGGCCAGCTTCTCTTGGTGATCCTTGGGTTGTAGACGCATCAGCCCAGTCTCTGCCTCCGTCCTCACAGGGTGATCTGTCTGCCTGTCTCCACCGTCACTGTGTCCAGATCTCTCTCCTTTCTTTTATAAAGATACCTGTAATATTGGGAAAAACGAAGTGCTGTTTTCCTCTTCTCTCACTCAACAGTCCACACTTCTGTGTCCCAGGAGTGTGGGGTTTCCCACACCAAGGAGTTCTGGTTTTTTTTTGAGACGGAGTCTCGCTCTGTCGCCCAGGCTGGAGGGCAGTGGCGCGATCTCTGCTCACTGCAAGCTCCGCCTCCTGGGTTCACGCCATTCTCCTGCCTCAGCCTCCTAAGTAGCTGGGACTACAGGCACCTGCCACCCGGCTAATCCAAGGATTTCAGGAGCTGTGTGTCATGAAACGGAGGAAGAGCAATGCATGTTTCCCTGTGGCACAGCACCATTGACAGCAGGAGGGCCTGCACTAACTTGACATGACCTCATTTCATTTGATTACGCCTACAAAGATCCCTATTTCCAAATAAGGTCACATTCGTAGTTAATGGGCTTCATCATATCCTGTGGAGGACACAGTAGCTACGAGTCACTGTGGACACTGTGTCTTGGGACAGCGACAACTGTTTGGGCCAGTAGCATGGGGGTAAAAGAATTTACCATCGGCCGGGCGCGGTGGCTCACGCCTGTGATCCCAGCACTTCGGGAGACCAAGGCGGGCGGATCACCTGAGGTCAGGAGTTGGAGACCAGCCTGGCCAACATGGTGAAACCCCGTCTCTACTAAAAATACAAAAATTAGCTGGGCGTGGTGGTGTGCGCCTGTAGTCCCAGCTACTCTGGAGGCTGAGGCAAGAGAATCACTTGAACCCGGGAGGCAGAGGTTGCAGTGAGCCGAGATCGCGCCATTGCACTCCAGCCTGGGTGACCAAGTGAGACTCTGTCTCAAAAAAAAAAAAATTTACCAAGACAGTTGTAGGTAGAGAAAGGCACATATGTTAGTGAAAGTAGGAAAACATGTTGCAAGGAGGCAACGGGCAGCCAGCAAGAGAGGCCAACTGCATGGAGACAAAGACTTGCTGGACGTTTTGTAGGGTGGCTCCTGGGTTGATGGCCAACGCCAAGGCAGCGGGGAGCTTCACCTGCGTTCTCCTGTCAGCCAGGGTGTTTGGTAATTTGAGGCGTTTGATGGTGAGCAGGAAGATTGTGAGTTACGTGCATTACTTGTTCAGGAGGGCCATACAGAAAGGCAGACCTACAGCCCATCTCCTTTCTGTCTTTGCTTTCCCCTGCTCCCTCCAGCCCGACTCCTTTCCCCTAATTAGGGCCCCCCACACGGGACACTTTAATTGCAGCTACTGTGACTGAGGACCTCCATTTTATATTTTAGTTAAACTTTTTTTTTTTTTGAGATGGAGTCTCGCTCTGTCGCCCAGGCTGGAGTGCAGTGGTGCGATCTCTGCTCACTGCAAGCTCCGCCTCGCAGGTTCTCGCCATTCTCCTGCCTCGACCTCCCAAGTAGCTGGGACTACAGGTGCCCACCACCACGCCCGGCTAATTTTTGTATTTTTAGTAGAGACGGGGTTTGACCATGTTAGCCAGGATGGTCTCCATCTCCTGACCTCGTGATCCGCCCGCCTGGGCCTCCCAAAGTGCTGGGATTACAGGCATGAGCCACCGTGCCTGGCCGTTAAACTTAAGTTTAAACAAATAACCTCTTATGTTCGGTGCACACTTTGTCAGACGGCACAGTTCTCAAAACTCTTTTTTTTTTTGAGATGGAGTCTCTCTCTATCACCCAGGCTGTAGTGCAGTGTCGCGATCTCCGCTCACTGCAACCTCCGCCTCCCAGGTTCAAGCGATTCTCCTGCCTCAGTCTCCCGAGTAGCTGGGATTACAGGCAGCCACCACCACGCCCAGCTAATTTTGGTATTTTTAGTAGAGACACGGTTTCACCATGTTGACCAGGCTGGTCTCGAACTCCTGACCTCAGGTGATTCACCCGCCTTGACCTCCCAAAGTGCTGGGATGACAGGCATCAGCCACCACGCCCGGCCTACGTTTCTTATTTCTAATGTAGGTGGTGCGGGTCCTTTAGACTCTGTGCTCCGCACGTGAAATACTCAGGTACACGTAGGGCAGGAGTGGGCGATGCCCTCATTTATCGCCTAGATGGCCACGCGCCCCACAAAGCCCGGCCTCCTCCTTTAGGCATCAACTCTCCCCCGATCCCTGTCACCCAAGGAAGCCCCAGGCATCCTTAAAGATTTCCAACACCTGGTTCTCAGCCTTTTTCTCTAAAATACCACAAAAGCAATGGTAGACGACTTCAGCACCCGTGAAACGGTCCCCAGCGCCCTGGTGTCTGAGTTTCTTGACCTCTTTCTGAGAAGGAGCCTGTTTTCCACCAGGGTCCATGGTCCTTCCCGTCCTAGCTTTATTAAAAGCCACCTCCTGTAATCCCAGCACTTTGGGAGGCTGAGGCAGGCGGATCATGAGGTCAGGAGATCAAGCCCATGCTGGCTAACACGGTGAAACCCCGTCTCCACTAAAAATACAAAACGTTAGCCGGATGTGGTGTCGCGCCCCTGTGGTCCCAGCTACTCGGGAGGCTGAGGCAGGAGAATGGGGTGAACCTGGGAGGGGGAGCTTGCAGTGAGCCGAGATCGCGCCACTGCACTCCAGCCTGGACGACAGAGCGAGACTCTGTCTCGAAAAAAAAAAAAAGAGGTCACCTCCACATCCTCGGTTTTCCACCCCACCACCACTTAGCTCTAGGAATAATTCTCTTTTTTTTTTTTTTTAACAGAGTCTCTCCATCCTGGCTAACATGGTAAAACCCCGTCTCTACTAAAAATGCAAAAAAAAATTAGCCTGGCGCGGTGGCGGGCGCCTGTAGTCCCAGCTACTCGGGAGGCTGAGGCAGGAGAATAGTGTGAACCTGGGAGGCGGAGCTTGCAGTGAGCCCAGATCGCACCACTGCACTCCAGCCTGGGCAACAAAGCGAGACTCCGTCTAAAAATAAATAAATAAATAAATAAATAAATAAATAAATAAATAAAAACAGTCTCGCTCTGTCACTCAAGCTGGAGTGCAGTGGTGTGATCTTGGCTCACTGCAACCTCCAGCTCCCGGGTTCACGCCATTCTCCTGTCTCAGTCTCCCAAGTAGCTGGGATTACAGGCGTCTACCACACCCAGCTAATTTTGTATTTTTAGTAGAGACGGGGTTTCTCCGTGTTGGTCAGGCTGGTCTTGAACTCCTGACTGGTGATCCACCCGCCTCTGCCTCCTAAAGTGCTGGGATTACAGACGTGAGCCACGGCGCCCTGCCTGCTCCAGGGATAATTCTTGCCTTCCACTGGGATCCCCAGCTCGGTGCACAGAGTGCTTTTTCGCGGCTGCCATCCTTCATGCCTTCATTTCTCAGCTCACCTAGTTCTGATTCAGAGTCAAAGTAGAGTCTCTGGGGTTGAAAAACGGGGGAAGGGAAGGGAAGAAGGGAAGCGAAGCAAAACGGGAGGCCACCGTGACACACAGAGCTAAGGAAGGCCATGAAAGGGGGTCTCAGGCCTGCATGCCTCAAAACTATCACAAAGGATTCCAAAAACCGCATACTTGCACAAAGTCCACTGTAACCTTGCACACACACAGAAATACTTCTGTGAGGACATCCGCCCAGGACTGCCTGTCCACCCTCAGATGGTTGTCATCCTTGTTATTGATCTTTGTAGCCAAGGATAATTCTTTCTTTTTTTTTTTCTTTTTTTTTGAGACAGAGTCTCGCTCTGTTGCCCAGGCTGGAGTGCAGTGGCGCGATCTGGGCTCACTGCAAGCTCTGCCTCCTGGGTTCACACCATTCTCCTGCCTCAGCCTCCCGAGTAGCTGGGACTACAGGCGCCTGCCACCGCGCCAGGCTAATTTTTTTTTTGCATTTTTAGTAGAGACGGGGTTTCACCATGTTAGCCAGGATGGAGAGACTCTGTTAAAAAAAAAAAAAAAAGGAATTATTCCTGGAGCTAAGTGGTGGTGGGGTGGAAAACCGAGGATGTGGAGGTGGCCTCTTTTTTTTTTTTTTTTTTGAGACGGAGTCTCGCTCCGTCGCCCAGGCTGGAGTGCAGTGGCGCAATCTCGGCTCACTGCAACCTCCACCTCCCGGGTTCACGCCATTCTCCTGCCTCAGCCTCCGGAGTCGCTGGGACTACAGGCCCCCGCCACCACACCCAGCTAATTTTTTGTATTTTTAGTAGAGACGGGTTTCACCGTGTTAGCTGGGATGGTCTTGATCTCCTGACCTCGTGATCCGCCCGCCTCGGCCTCCCAAAGTGCAGCCAAGGATAATTATTTCAAAACAATGAAGTCATCCTTCTCATCTTTCCTTTAAAAACCTTTGTCTTTGGCTGGGCGCGGTGGCCCACGCCTGTAATCCCAGCACGTAGGGAGGCCAAGGTGGGCAGGATCACAAGGTCAGGAGTTCAAGAACAGCCTGACCAATATGGTGAAACCCCGTCTCTACTAAAAAATACAAAAATTAGGCCTGGTGCAGTGGCTCACGCCTGTAATCCCAGCACTTTGGGAGGCCGAGGCGGGCGGATCACGAGGTCAGGAGACTGAGACCATCCTGGCTAACACAGTGTAACCCCATCTTTACCAAAAATACAAAAAATTAGCCGGGCGTGGTGGCGGGCGCCTGTAGTCCCAGCTACTCGGGAGGCTGAGGCAGGAGAATGGCGTGAACCCGGGAGGCGGAGCTTGCAGTGAGCCGAGATCACACCACTGCACTCCAGCCTGGGCGACGGAGCGAGACTCCGTCTCAAAAAAAAAAATCCCAAAATTAGATGGGCGTGGTGGCCGGTGCCTGTAGTCGCAGCTACTCAGGAGGCTGAGGCAGGAGAATCGCTTGAACCAAGAAGGGGCAGTTGCAGTGAGCAAGCTTGCGCAACTGCACTCCAGCCTGGTGACAGAGCTGTGAGACTTCAACTCAAAAAAAAAAAAAAAAAACCAGCAGGGCGTAGTGGCCCACGCCTGTAATCCCAACACTTTGGATGGCAGAGACGGGCGGATTGCCTGAGCTCCAGAGTTCGAGACCAGCCTGGGCAACACGGTGAAACGCTGTATTTACTAAAATACAAAAAATTAGCCGGGTGTGGTGGCAGGCTCCTGTAATCCCAGCTACTCGGGAGGCTGAGGCAGAATTGTTTGAACCCGGGAGACGGAGGTTGCAGTGAGCCGAGATCGCACCACTGCACTCCAGCCTGAGCGACAAAACGAGCCTTCGTCTCAAAAAAACAAAACAAAACAAACAAAAAAACCAAAAAAAACCTTTGTCTTCTTCTACCTCCCTGAATATGCACATACTTTACTGTGGCACACGCGTTCCCATTGCAATCCTATTCCTGAATAAATATTTTACTTTTTTACTTTTGGTGGAGAAGAGTTTATTTAAGGCCGGGCGTGGTGGCTCACGCCTGTAATCCCAGCACTTTGGGAGGCTGAGGCGGGCGGATCACGAGGTCAGGAAATCGAGACCATCCTGGCTAACACGGTGAAACCCCGTCTCTACTAAAAATACAAAAAATTAGCCGGGCGCGGTGGCAGGCGCCTGTAGTCCCAGGTCCCAGCTACTTGGAAGGTTGAGGCAGGAGAATGGCATGAACCCGGGAGGCGGAGCTTGCAGTGAGCCAAGATCGCGCCACTGCACTCCAGCCTGGGTGACAGAGTGAGACCTCGTCCCAAAAAAGAAAAAGAAGAGTTTATTTAATGTGAGAACAGCATCCTCCCGGTGAGTGTTGAGCTCTTGGCAGACAGGAGGCTGGAGAGGGCGGCTCCTCTCCACAGGAAGTCGTTTGGATGTCTCCGCAGGTCTCAGGCTCTCCACAGACAGGGTAGAGGTAGCTCCTCTCTGCTGACAGGTTGTCTGGGCAGCTCTCAGCGGAGGACAGAGGAGAAGGTACTCCTCTCTGCAGCTGGTCATCCTGGTCGCCTCCCTGCCCTCTTCCTCTTCTGGCTGTCCTCTTCGAATAAATATCATTTTCTGCTAGAGAACCCCTCTCTGTTATTTAGTTTGACATAAATGATGCTCTGAAACAGGACCTGAAGGAAGGTCACTTTAAGAAGGAACTGGCGGTTCTTGGAGCCAGTGCCCCATGCTCGCCGAGCCCTATGGGCTCTCTGCTTCCGTGGTTCGCATGCTCTGCCTTGGAGAATCTTCTGTGGCTGTGCTTCCCTCTTTTTAAAATTGCATTTTATTATTATTATTATTATTATTATTATTTAAGACATGGTCTCTCTGTGTTGCCCAGGCTGGAGTGGAGTGGCACAGTGTTGGCTCACTGAAGCCTCAACATCCCAGGCTCAAGCGATTCTCCCACCTCAGCCTCCTCAGTAGCTGGGACCACAGGCTGGTTCTACTATGTCCAGATAATTTTTGTTTGCTTGTTTGTTTTTAAAAAAAGAGTCTTGGCTGGGCGCGGTATCTCACACCTGTAATGCCAGCACTTTGGGAGGCCGAGGCAGGTGGATCACGAGGTCAGAAGTTCGAGACCATCCTGGCTAACACGGTGAAACCCTGTCTCTACTAAAAATACAAAAAATTAGCCGGGCGTGGTGGCGGGTGCCTGTAGTCCCAGCTATTTGGGAGGCTGAGGCAGGAGAATGGCGTGAACCTGGGAGGCAGAGCTTGCAGTGAGCTGAGATTGCGCCATTGCACTCCAGCCTGGGCGACACAGCGAGACTCCATCTCAAAAAAAAAATTAGCCAGGCGTGGTGGCGGGCACTTGTAGTCCCAGCTACTTGGGAGGCTGAGGCAGAAGAATGGCATGAACCCGGGAGGTGAAGCTTGCAGTGAGCCGAGATTGCACCACTGCACTCCAGCCTGGGCAATAGAGCAAGACTCCGTCTCAAAACAAACAAACAAACAAATAAACAAACAAAAAAAGTTAGCTGGACATGGTGGCATGCACCTGTAATCCCAGCTAGTCTAGAGGCTGAGGCAGGAGAATCGCTTGAACTCACAAGGCAGAGGTTGCAGTGAGCCAAGATTGCACCGCTGCACTCCAGCCTGGACTGCAGAGTGAGATTCTGTTTCAAAAGAAAACAAAACAACAACGAAAGTTACTGGGTCTGTCGCCACCATCTGAAACAGTGGTCCATGTGCTTGACAATTCCTGATAGGATCTATGGAAGCTTCTTTGCTCTTCAGAAAATAAGAAGAAATGAAATGGGATTCTCAAACATTAAGTCACAGCAGATTTTTTGGTTCTCCAGCAGGCTATATTATGGCCCAACTTGGGCAAACTGTACTTATTTATCTTTCTTTTTAATTTTTCTCAGCTTCTGTTCTGCTCTAACTCAGGCACATTTTAAAACTGATGGGTGGCCAGGCACGGTGGCTCACGCCTGTAATCCCAACACTTTGGGAGGCTAAAGTGGGAGGATCACGAGGTCAGGAGTTCGAGACCAGCCTGGCCAACATGGTGAAACCCCGTCTCTACTAAAAATACAAAAAATTAGCCAGGCGTGGTGGCACACGCCTGTAATTGCAACTACTCAGGAGGCTGAGGCAAGAAAATTGCTTGAACCCGGGACGCAGAGGTTGCACTGAGCCAAGATCATGCCACTGCACTCCAGCCTGGTCGACACAGCAAGGCGCTGTCTCAAAAACAAAAACAAAAACAAAAAAACCCCAAAACTGGCCGGGCACGGTGGCTCACGCCTGTAATCCTGGCACTTTGGGAGGCTGAGGTGGGTGGATCACAAGGTCAGGAGACTGAGACCATCCTGGCTAATCGGTGAAATCCCGTCTCTACTAAAAATACAAAAAATTAGCCGGGTGTGGTGGTGGGTGCCTGTAGTCCCAGTTACTCGGGAGGCTGAGGCAGGAGAATGGTGTGAACCTGGGAGATGGAGCTTGCAGTAAGCTGAGATTGCGCCACTGCACTCCAGCCTGGGCCACAGCGAGACTCCGTCTCAAAAAAAAAAAAAAAAAATTAATTGGCGGGCGCGGTGGCTCACGCCTGTAATCCCAGCACTTTGGGAGGCCGAGGCGGGCGGATCATCTGAGGTCTGGAGTCTGAGACCAGCCTGACCAACATGGAGAAACCCCATCTCTACTAAAAATACAAAATTAATGGCGCATGCCTGTAATCCCAGCTACTCGGGAGGCTGAAGCAGAAGAATTGCTTGAACCCGGGAGACAGAGGTTGTGGTGAGCTGAGATCATGCCATTGCACTCCAGCCTGGGCAACAAGAGCAAAACTCCATCTCAAAAAAAAAAAAAAAATTTTTATGCTTTGGGGCAGTGGCAGTGGTAACGGGGCTGTGTGCAGGAGGAGCATCGATCGGGCAGGGTGGATGTGGGCTGGGGCAGCCCCGGGTCCCAGGCCCTGCAACGGTGTGCAGGGCGGGAGTGCCCAGTCGGGCTGCATTCCCAGGTGCACGGCGTGCCACTGAGCTGCTCACGTAGCTGCCACCATCTGTGCTGGGCCCAGCCGAGACGCAGAACCTCGTGGACATGACCTAGGAAGACCCAGACAGTGTGCCCCACGGATGTCCTGGATCAAAGGGACCCAGGTTGGTGATTACTTCTACTCCTTTGGCGGCTGTTATTGGCACGCAGCCTACCGGTAGCTGCAGCAAGGGCCATCCTGGACAAGCTTGTGCAGTCCACCCTCTCGGACCTCAGGGTGTACCTGGGGGCATCCACGCCAGACTTGTAGGAGCAGTCCCCATGGCACCGACTGACACTTCTAAGAGCCCAGAAGATACATCTGGCCCCCGTAGGCTGGGCTGGCAGAAGGGATAGCTGAGATGCGTTCTCTTTGCACTTGGTGGGGAGGGTCTGACTCGAGACACTTCCCCAACAGTAGGGAATAAAATTGTCATGGTTGAATAGACCGATTGTGGATTGTGTTCCATCTACTGAGACTGGCACACTGCCTCCTGAAATGAAAGTGGATCTCATCACCAGAGGAGAAATGAGGAACTGCGTATCAGCTAGCCTTCACTGTGTAACAGACCATCCCAAAATTTGGCAGCAAAAACAGGTCACGTATTTGTCCACAATTCTGTGGGTTGGCAATCTGCACTGGGCTCACCTGCGGACCCTCATGGAGCTGTGGTCATTTGTCACATCCGCTACACCTGGATGGTCTAGGACAGCCTGACTCACTTGTCTGGCAGGTGACAGGTTGTTGGTTGGGGTGGCCTGTCTAGCAGGCTGCTTCAGCCTTAGGGCTCCAGGAGAGTGAGAGTAGAAGCTGCAAGATTTCTTGGGTTCTGGGCCTGGAACTGGGGCTGGGACAACGTCAGTTCTACTAAGTTCTTTTGATCAGAGCAAATCACAAGGCTTTGCCCGGATTCAAGGGATGAGAAAGAGACCGTATGTCTTGATGAGAGGAACCACAAAGAATGTGTGGCCATTTTTCACCTAATGCAAATAACTTTGGGTGGGGAAATAACAATATTTATCTCTCTCAGGGGACCTCACTCTGCCTAGTCTGAAGGCAAAAAGACACTGTCCTGGCCGTCAGGGTCTTGGGGAAGAGGTGTTGAGGCAGGGTGAGGCCTCTTCAAGGCTGGATCCACTATAATAGGGGCACCATGTTTTCTGCACTGGTGGGATGGGGTTTTACTGGGTGGGATGTTCCAGAGGGGCTTCTGAAAGCCAAGAGTCCTGGGGGAAAGGGAGAGGTGGAGAAACATGTGAATACATAACCCCAAATCATTTGAAATGGGAAAAATGGTAAAATGAGGTTTTTTAAAATAATAAACCTCCTATACAAACTGCGATCCCCCAAATTTTGGTCTGTATCCTTCATTAGATCACCTATTTGGGCAAATAAAGTTTAGCCATGTGAACATGTCCCATTTTGTCAGAAATACTATCATATAATTGGGATCCAATTGTCTGTTTTTTGTTGTTGTTGTTTTGAGATGAAGTCCCGCTCTGTCACCCAGGCTGGAGTACAGTGGCGCGATCTTGGCTCACTGCAACCTCCGACTCCCAGGTTCAAGTGATTTTCAGCCTCCTGAGTAGCTGGGATCACAGGCATGTGCCACCACTACACCCGGCTAATTTTTGTGTTTTTAGTAGCCATAGGGTTTCACTGTGTTAGCCAGGATGGTCTCCTGATCGTGATCCGGTCGCCTCGGCCTCCCAAAGTGCTGGGATTATAGGTGTGAGCCACCACGCCCGGCCCCCAGGCTGTAAATCTTTAATAAATAAGCTGGTTTTAAATTTGCTGTAAAATAAAAATAGAAATGTCATAAAAATTGGCAGCATACATTTTTGCCTGGGTTTACTCATTAAGAGTCTCACCTGTCGCCCAGGCTGGAGTGCAGTGGCTTGATCTTAGCTTACTGCAACCTCTGTTTCCTGGGTTCAAGTGATTCTCCCACCTCAGCCTCCCAAGTGGCTGGGATTACAGATGCCCGCCTCCACGCCCAGCTAATTTTTGTATTTTTAGTAGAGACGGGGTTTTGCCATGTTGGCCAGGCTGGTCTTGAACTCCTGACTTTAGGTGATCTGCCTGCCTTGGCCTCCCAAAGTGCTGGGATTACAGGTGTGATCCACCATGACTGGTCTTAGAATGATCTCTTTTGTGTGTAATTATTTGATGAGTAAAACTAATTTGATATTGTTGGCTTAATGAAAAAGCTGTATCTTCTGAGTTATTTACAACATATAGGTGCATTTAAAATTCTTATTTAGGCTAGGCATGGTGGCTCACACCTGTAATCCCAACACCTTGGGAGGCTGAGGTGGGAGGATCACTTGAGCCCAGGAGTTCAAGATGAGCCCTGGAAACACAGCAAGACCTTGTCTCTAATGAAAATAAAAAACTAGCCAGGTAGAATGCTGCACGGCTGTATTCCCAGCTACTGGAGAGGATGAGGTGAGTGGATCACTTGAGCTTGGGAGTTTGAGGCTGCAGTAAGCCATGATCCCACCACTGTACTCAAGCTTGGGCAATGAAGGGGTGGGTTGCCCCTCCACACCTGTGGGTGTTTCTCGTTAGGTGGAACCCAGGGAACCAGTGTTCAGCATATGGAGGATCCTACCAGCCTCTGAGTTCCCTTAGTATTTATTGATCATTCGTGGGTGCTTCTCCAAGAGGGGGATGTGTCAGGGTCACAAGACAATAGTGGGGAGAGGGTCAGCAGACAAACATGTGAACAAAGGTCTTTGCATCGTAGACAAGGTAAAGAATCAAGTGCTGTGCTTTTAGATATGCATCCACATAAACATCTCAATGCTTTACAAAGCAGTATTGCTGCCCGCATGTCCCACCTCCAGCCCTAAGGCGGTTTTTCCCTATCTCAGTAGATGGAACGTACAATCGGGTTTTATACTGAGACATTCCATTGCCCAGGGACGGGCAGGAGACAGATGCCTTCCTCTTGTCTCAACTGCAAGAGGCATGCCTTCCTCTTTTACTAATCCTCCTCAGCACAGACCCTTTACGGGTGTCGGGCTGGGGGACGGTCAGGTCTTTCCCTTCCCATGAGGCCATATTTCAGACTATCACATGGGGAGAAACCTTGGACAATACCTGGCTTTCCTAGGCAGAGGTCCCTGCGGCCTTCCTCAGTGTTTGTGTCCCTGGGTACTTGAGATTAGGGAGTGGTGATGACTCTTAAGGAGCGTGCTGCCTTCAAGCATCTGTTTAACAAAGCACATCTTGCACCGCCCTTAATCCATTCAACTCTGAGTTGACACAGCACATGTTTCAGAGAGCACGGGGTTGGGGGTAAGGTCATAGATTAACAGCATCTCAAGGCAGAAGAATTTGTCTTAGTACAGAACAGAATGGAGTCTCCTATGTCTACTTCTTTCTACACAGACACAGTAACAATCTGATCTCTCTTGCTTTTCCCCACAGGGCAACAGAGCAAAACCCTGTCTCAAAAAAAATTTAACAGGCCGGGTGTGGTGGCTCACAGCTTTGGGAGTCCAAGGCGGGTGGATCACCTGACGTCAGGAGTTTGAAACCAGCCTGACCAAGATGGTGAAACCTTGTCTCTACTAAAAATACAAAAATTAGCCAGGCGTGGTCGTGGGTGCCTGTAATCCCAGCTACTTGAGAGGACAAGGCAGGAGAATTGCTTGAACCTGGGAGGCAGAGGTTGCAGTGAGCTGAGATCGCACCACTGTGCTCCAGCCTGGGTGACAGAGCAAGACTCCATCTCAAAAAAAAAAAAAATTAATATCCCTTTTAATAAACTCATGGCCAGGCATGGTGGCTCACGTCTGTAATCCCAGCACTGTGGGAGGCTGAGGTGGGTGGATCAAGAAGTCAAGAGATCGAGCCCATCCTGGCCAACATGGTGAAACCCCGTCTCTACTAAAAATACAAAAATTAGCCAGGCGTGGTGGTGTGTGCCTGTAATTCCAGCCACTCGAGAGGCTGAGGCAGGAGAATCGCTTGAACCTGGGAGGTGGAGGTTGCAGTGAGCCGAGATCACACCACTGCACTCCAGCCTGGTGACACAGAGAGATTCCATCTAAAAAAAAAATTAATTTACACACATACACACGTGTATATGTATAATGTATGTATATATGTGTTATATATGTGTGTGTGTGTATATATGTAATTTTTTTAAATAGAGAGGGATCTAGCTATATTGACCAGTTTGCTCTCAAATTCCTGGTCTCAAGAGATTCTCTCGGCCGGGTGTAGTGGCTCACACCTGTAATCCCAGCACTTTGGGAGGCGGAGGCGGGCGGATCACGAGGTCAGGAGATCAAGACTATCCTGGCTAACCCGGTGAAACCCCGTCTCTACTAATAATACAAAAAAAAAAAAAAAATTAGCCGGGCGCCTGTAGTCCCAGCTACTCGGAAGGCTGAGGCAGGAGAATTGCGTGAACCTGGGAGGCGGAGCTTGCAATGAGCCGAGATTGCGCTATTGCACTCCAGCTGGGCGACAGAGCGAGATTCTGTCTCAAAAAAAACAGAGATTCTCTCACATTGGCCTCCCAAAGTGTTGGGATTACAAGCATGAGCCAATGTGCCAGACCAAACTAGACACATTTTAAGGGACAAGTCTCATGCCTGATGCATGGGTCACACACAGTGTTCACCAAACTGCCTGATGCCCTAACCAGAAACACCCAAACTTCAAACCCGGAGAAGCTGATGTTTTCATGCTACAGACAGCTTTTCCCAAGACTTCGGAACAAGACTGCAATTATAATGAGACTCTTACTCCCCTCTGATTCTGCTTTTTTCACTGGGCAGGATAATGCTGTCACAGGATCCTTAGGGTGTAACTTTCCCAGCCGGAAACCTCTGTGTCTGGGGCGCCTTTGCCTGAGTTTTGCTCGGGCCCACTGGGCCCATTCCACCCACTCAGCCTGATAGGCTGCACTCAGCTGATGCTACTGGCTCAGATCCCACACCTTCCAGGTGAGGAGCGGCAGGGGTGTGTGTGAACAAGCGCGGGGTCCAGTCACTGTGCACAGCCAGGTGTGCCAGCTGCAGTGGGGCAGGCAGCTCCAGGGACTGGCACAGGTGCCAGCTCTGTGCAAGTCTGTAGCTGGACCAGGTGCACCAGAAGTGGCTTCCACTGCAGGCACTGGGGAACATGGTGGCTCCCAGAATCTTGGAGATACAAGGAGCTGCAGAGTCCCCAAGAGGGTGTCATGGCCCCAGCTCAGGGAGTCCCCGAGAGGGTGTCACGGCCCCGGCTCAGGGAGTCCCCAAAGAGGGTGTCACGGCCCCGGCTCAGGGAGCCCCCAAAAAGGGTGTCAGAGCCCTGGCTCAGGGAGTCTCCAAAGAGGGTGTCATGGCCCTGGCTCAGGGAGTCCCCGAGTCTGGGCTCCCCGAAGGGCCACAGCTCTCTTCTCTCCTTGTTGCCCCCAATGTGGCAAGCAGGAGACGTGTTTCAGCCCTGTTTGTATTACAGCTCTTTCAGTCCTGCTATTCAGCAGGTCCCATGTTCTCATCCTGCGTCCAGGAAGAATGAGGTACGTGGACAACCAGAGGGTGAGCAAGAAAGAGAGGAGCTTCACTGAGCGACAGAACAGCTCTCAGGGGACCCGAAGTGAGTAGCTCCTTCCGCAGGCAGGTCGTCCCGAGTGCCTAGTTCTCAGCGGAGAGGAGACCCGGAGTAAGTAGCTCCTTCCCACAGGCAGGTGATCCCCACAAATTGAGGGGATCCCAAGTGGGTAGATCCTTCCCACAGCTGGTAGTCCTGACATCTCTGTGAGTATAGCTGAGTGGGATTTTTATGGGCTTCAGAAGGGAGAAAGTGTATACTGATTGGCCCATGGGCAGCCATGGACGGGCCCAGAAAAAGCACCATAAATCTCATTCTGGACGGCAGACTCCACCCAGAACTGGCAGCCCAGCCCCCATGTTTCAGGAAGTCCCTAGCTTTAATGGGGGTCTTCACTGGACACCCACCCCTTTCCACCCAGGAGCCTGTGTGCCTCCTACTGCCATCAATCATGTCATCTACAGGACCCAGGCTGTTCAGGTCAAGGGTCGCCTACAGGACTGGGCTGAGCCGCCCTCAGCCCCTCCTTGGCCTTGCTCCCATGCTTGTGAGCACTCAAAGTCCAGAGCGGGCCGAGGCAGCAAGGGGCTGGCATGCTAGCACTGCCCTCAGTGTGTGCACACCTGGCTGGGTTGCAACAGCGCCTGGGCTTGGCTTCAGCTTTGTCGGGAGTCAGGAGAGGCCAGGTAGCAGCTGGAGGCACTTCTGAGCTTTCGGGGGCAGGTGGGGTGGCTTCCCAGCCCTGGGATTGCAGGGATACCTGGGTCCACAGCCGTGGCTGGGCAGATGCAGCTGCTCCCAGGAGGGTGGGGCTCCTGTCCTGCCAACTTGGAAGGGGGCAGGGCTCCCACATGCTCAGTGGAGCACAGAGTCCCAGCTGAGCCTCCCCTGCTGTAGCCAGCATCTTCCCAGCAGCCACTCAAGAGAGGCTGCCACTGCCATCAATGGTATAACTGACATTTCACAATCAATAGCTTCTGCTGGTAACTTCACAAAAACCTGACCTAAGAGATCTTTAGTACCTATTGGTTAAATAAGGTATTA
The DNA here is from genome assembly GCF_000001405.40 of Homo sapiens. NCBI lineage: Eukaryota > Metazoa > Chordata > Mammalia > Primates > Hominidae > Homo > Homo sapiens. The sequence goes on along the minus strand of NC_000001.11, from coordinate 1,577,176 downwards.
AATAAGTATGTCAATACTATATGCTGTATGTGGGTAAATTCCTCTGGAACACTGAGATCCATTTACACACAGAAAGAAAACAGGCACATGGTTACAAGTCTCGTGTAATTTCTATGGCCATTTTATTTATTCAATTGGCTTCCTTTAATCTCTATTTTTCTATTTTTGTTTTCTAATTTTTTTCTTTTTAATTGCTTTCCTTTAAGCCTAGGTTCATGGGTCAAAACCAATATGCAAACTGGGATAGTCATATTATTATTGATTTTACCTTGTATTTTCCCCTTTTAAACTTATTCATTGCCATATTTTGCAAAAGGACAATTTCTTTTTTTTTATTTTTTTGAGATGGAATCTCACTCTGTTGCCAGGGTGAACTGCATAGGCACAATCTCAGCTCATAGCAACCTCCGCCTCCTGGGTTTAGGTGATTCTCCTGCCTCAGCCTCCTGAGTAGCTGGGACTACAAGTGCGCACCACTACATCCGGCTAACTTTTGTATTTGTAGTGGAGACAGGGTTTCACCATGTCGGCCAGGATGGTCTCGATCTCTTGACCTCGTGTTCCACCCGCCTCGGCCTCCCAAAGTGCTGGGATTACGGACGTGAGCCACCGCGCCCGGCTACAAGTACAATTTCTAACAGAATAATGCTGACACAGCACTTTGAGATGATAGAAAGACTACAGAAGTGACAAAAGTTGAAGTTAATAATGGACTCCAGGTTAGACTTAGCCTGAGAGCCACACCCTTCAAACCTCCTTTGATGCTCAAATATGGTAAAAAAGGGTTTTGACAATGACTCCCAGCAGCCACTCTCTCCAGTGTGGGACCAGACCAGCTATCTGGGACAAGTTCATCCCAGCACGGGGACTATCAAAACCTAATTACAGGATGACTCATTAGTGATGCATTTGGAGAAAGATCTCAATCAAAAGGGGAAAATACCCAAGTTGTCAAATAAAAGTGGACTCACTTATGTTTAAAAAATACCTTGACAAAGACAGCTGGGAAAGGCCATGGAGAATTCTCATGAATCAATAATAAGAAAAACTATCACAAGATTCTGCAAAAACCACAACCTTGCACTAAGGCAATCTTACACAAAAAATACTTCAGCAAGGACAGCTGCCCAGCAACTGCCTGTCCAACCCTGGAACGGGAGTACACTTGTTTTTTTTTTTTTTTAGACGGAGTCTGGCTCTGTCGCCCAGGCTGGAGGGCAGTGGCGCGATCTCGGCTCACTACAAGCTCCGCCTCCCGGGTTCACGCCATTCTCCTGCCTCAGCCTCCCGAGTAGCTGGGACTACAGGCGCCCGCCACCACGCCCGGCTAATTTTTTGTATTTTTAGTAGAGACGGGGTTTCACCGGGTTAGGCAGGACGGTCTGGATCTCCCGACCTCGTGATCCGCCCGCCTCGGCCTCCCAAAGTGCTGGGATTACAGGCGTGAGCCACCGCGCCCGGCCGGGAGTACACTTGTTACTGTTCTTTGTAGCCAAGGTTAATTATTTCCAAACCATTATCTTCCTCTTCATTTTTTCTTTAAAAACCATTACTTTCCTGAATGCGCAAATCGTTTACTATGGCACGCATATTCGCCAACGCCCTATTCCCAAATAAATATCATTTTCAGTTAGCCTGTTATTAGGTTGACAATCATTATCACTCCCTCTCCCGTCCGTGGCGCTCCCACGGCAAAACATCAGCCCACTGTCCACCGCGAGGCTGCATCCAGGCAGACAGGCATAGCTGGGGAATGACACACTCGCGTTGACTGGATTTACTGTAACTGGACCCAAATCTCAGACCAGCCGGCGGCCTCTCCAAGGAAGCCCGAGGCGAGGAAGATCCTAGTCGACGTGCACTCCCAACCAGGTCTGTCACAGGTCGGCCCTCGCATTTAAACGTTAAATGTTGAAGGGCTTTCATAAAAGAGCGATGTGCTCCTGCTTGTATGAGCCGGGGCCGGAGGCCGGTAACAGCGGCACGGGACGGGAGCGAGCCTCAGAATGCGGGAATGTCTGTGGGCCTCCGGGACAGTGGAGGGAGCGGGTCTAGTGAAGCGCGACGACTCTGGGGTGGCAGAAGTGAGGACTATGGGCCCCACGGGGACCGAGGGAACGCACAAAATCGTCCCAAGAGACGAAACGCCGGGCCGCGGAAGGGCCCTCAATGCTATCTCCGGCAAGCGCGGCGTTTCGCATCGCTCCCAAAGGCGGCGGCGACACCTTATGACGTCCTGTTGTTCCGCACGTCGTCGCGTCACACTAGGCGCCGGCGCGGGGTGCTGATGTCAGGACGCCGCCGCTTGGCGCCGTGACGCTCAGCCGGGCCTTGTGGAGTGCGGGTCTCTGCTGCGGACGCCGGGGGCCGGCGCGGCGTTGGCCGCCCCCGGCCTCGCCGAGTGCAGCGCGCCCGAAGGCCAGTGCCTGCGCTCCGTCCGCGGCCCGGCGCCCAGGGTGGGCGGGGAGGCCGCCGCGCAGTCGCCGCACGCTACACCGCCGGCGCCGTCGTTTCGCGTCGCCCGCTTCCGGCCACCGCGGCCGCCATTTTGTTCGCGCGGAAGCGCCGCGGTAGGGTGGGAACCCAAGCGGGAGAGCCGCGGGATTTGCGGCCGCCGCCATGCCGTCGTCCCCGCTGCGGGTGGCGGTGGTGTGCTCGAGCAACCAGAACCGGAGCATGGAGGCGCACAACATCCTCAGGTAGTTGGGCTCCACCCTGTCCCCGCGCGCTCTGCTCCGGCGACCGGCCCTCCCTCCTCCCCGGTTCCCCCTGGCCCGCGCCAGGACCCCTGAGAGGAAGCCGGGCCGGGCCGCGCTCGTGGGTCGGCTGGTTGGGATGGCAGCTGGACGGCAGCGCGCGTAGTCCACACGCGGGTGGGCATCACAGGGAAGGCAGGTTCCGGGACGAGGCGCCCGCTGTCCGGTGGTCCTTCGAGCTCTCCGAGGCCGGGCCCGGGGGGCGAGGGTAGCGTCCGCGGCGAGGGGCTGCGCGGCGGCGGCCGATCATGGTATTTCGTGTGCGTCGTTGGCCACCTTCCCTGGAAACGGCGCGCAACACAATCACGGCATACCACGATGTTGTAAATAACAAAGCGGTCTCTTTTTTTAATGCCATGGATTTGTGTGTTTGCTACTTCTTCTTCTTTTTTTTTTTTTGCGAAAGATCCTCTCTTCCTCCCTGGAACGCCTCCAACCGGTAGTTTCTGGAATACAACGTGGACTTGGTTTGGCTCTGCTAGTTTATATTCCCTGCTAACTGGCCGCCTGTGACTCTTGCGTAGCGTATGTCTAATGAAAGTTTATTCCTGCTTGATAACAAGTTTTTTGTTCAGTCACATAGCAAACTGAGAAACTGACCACTTGACTTACAGTTAAAATTTGGTATGTGTCAACTTTGATAGTAAGAAAGTTGAAATGGCTTTTTTACCTCCAAAGTTACCTACGTGAACTTTAAATGAAAACAGTGTTTCGCTTCTCTTCTCGCAGTCCAGCTATAACTTTCCTGAGCAACTTGGGAAAATTAACAGTCCCCCTTTTTTTTCCGTTTTTAACAGTGTCACGTGGGCCAGGCACGGTGGCTCACGCGTGTAGTCCCCGCACTTTGGGAGGCCGACGCACGCGGATCACCTGAAGTCAGGAGTTGGAGACCAAAAAACACCCCCCAAAAATCAGTGTCAAGTGTTCATGATCTGCTGATTCTTTCTCTTTATTCTTTTCTTTCTTTTTTTTTTTTTTTTTTTTTTTTTTTGAGACAGAGTCTTGCTCTGTCGCCCAAACTGGAGTGCAGTAGCGCGATCTCGGCTCACTGCAACTTGTGCCTCCCGAGATCGAGCTATTCTCCTGCCTCAGCCTCCCGAGTAGCTGGGACTACAGGCACCGGCCACCAGGCACGGCTAATTTTTTTTTTTTTTTGTATTTTTAGTAGAGACGGAGTTTCATCATCTTAGCCAGGATGGTCTTGATCTTATGACCTCGTGATCTGCCCGCTCGGCCTCCCAAAGTGCTGGGATTACAGGCGTGAGCCACTGCGCCCGGCTTTTTTTGTATTTTTAGTAGAGACGGAGCTTCACCATGCTGGCCAGGCTAATCTCAAACTCCTGACCTCAGGTGATCTGCCCGCCTCGGCCTCCCAAAGTGCTGGGATTACAGGCGTCAGCCACCGCATCCGGCCAAAGGTTGTTTTTAAAACTAGAAATGTGCTAGAATTACATTGTGCTGGATCTTCATTTATAAACTGCAGTTACCTGTAAAAATTTGATACATTTAAGCAAAACAATGCAAGGCTCACCCCCCCCCCCCCAAGACAAAATTATTGTTAATTGGAATAACAAATGGGCTGGAGACCTTCTGGTTCTGCTGGTTCTCCTTGGTGATCCTTTGTTCAAGATTTTCTGCTGTACCTGCATAACAAAGATGGAGTAGGCCGGGCGCAGTGGCTCACACCTGTAATCCTAGCACCTTGGGAGGCCGAGATGGGCGGATCACAAAGTCAGGAGATTGAGACTATCCTGGCTAACACGATGAAACCCCGTCTCTACTGAAAATACAAAAAAATTAGCCGGGCGTGGTGGCGGGCGCCTGCAGTCCCAGTTACTCGGGAGGCTGAGGCAGGAGAATGGCATGAACCCAGGAGGCGGAGCTTGCATTGAGCCGAGATCATGCCACTGCACTCCAGCCTGGGCGACAGAGCAAGACTCCATCTCAAATAAATACATAAATAAAATAAAGTTGGAGTAGAATATATATTTTTTTTCTTGAGGGGGAGTCTGTAGCCCAGGCTGGAGTGCAGTGGTGCTATCTCAGCTCACTGCAAGCTCCGCCTCCTGGGTTCACACTATTCTCCTGCCTCAGCCTCCTGAGTAGCTGGGACTACAGGCGCCCGCCACCACGCCCGGCTAATTTTTTTGTATTTTTAGTAGAGACGGGGTTTCACCATGTTAGCCAGGATGGTCTCGATCTCCTGACCTCGTGATCCGCCTGCGTGGGCCTCCCAAAGTGCTGGGATTATAGGCGTGAGCTACTGCGCCTGGCAAGATGGAGTAGAAATCTTAACAAAAGGAAATGTTTTAAAAATTCTATTTAGGGCTGGGCGCGGTGGCTCACGCCTGTAATCCCAGCACTTTGGGAGGCCGAGGCAGGTGGATCACGAGGTCAGGAGATCGAGACCATCTTGGCTAACATGGTGAAACCCCGTCTCTACAAAAAATACAAAAAAATGACCCCGGCATAGTGACGGGCGCCTGTAGTCCCAGCTGCTCAGGAGGCTGAGGCAGGAGAATGGCGTGAACCCGGGAAGCAGGAAGCAGAGCTTGCAGTGAGCTGAGATCCGGCCACTGCACTCCAGCCTGGGTGACAGAGCGAGACTCTGTCTCAAAAAAAAAAATTATTTAGCTATCTTGTTAATAAAATCAGGTTTAGCGGCTACTTTAAAGACATGCCAGTCATAACCTCGCTGAGACGATGACTGAAGATGACCAAGTCCTTTTTAGTTCAGAGTGGCCAGTGGCCGTTGCTGGCAGAGCTGTGGTCTCTGGAAAAGGAGCGGAGAGCACCTCTGAATAATGAATTCTTGGGTGTGCTTTTACCTGTGCCGCCATCATTCAAATTTACTCATAAAAGAGTAGACTCAGAAGAGAGTCAAAAGGAAGTAAATTTAAGGTGACATCTATTATGGATATCATGAATATGGATATCATGAAGTTAATTTAGACATAGACCTTCAATTTCCTTTTTTTTTTTTTTTGTTGAAGTCGGAGTCTCCCTCTGTCGCCCAGGCTGGAGTGCAATGACACGATCTTGGCTCACTGCAACCTCTGCATCCCAGGTTGAAGCGATTCTCCTTCAAACCCTCCGAGTAGCTGGGACTACAGGCGCCTGCCACCACTCCCAGCTAACTTTTTTTTTTTTTTTTTTTTTTTTTTTTTTTTTTTTTTGAGATGGAGTCTCACTCTGTCGCCCAGGCTGGAGTGCAGTGGCGCGATTTCAGCTCACTGCAACCTCCGCCTCCCGGGTTCATGCCATTCTCCTGCCTCAGCCTCCTGAGTAACTGGGACTACAGGCACCCGCTACCACGCCCGGCTAATTTTTGGTGCTTTTAGTAGAGTCAGGGTTTCACCGTGTTGGCCAGATGGCCTCGATCTCCTGACCTCGTGATCCGCCCGCCTCGGCCTCCCAAAGTGCTGGGATTACAGGCGTGAGCCACCGCGCCCGGCCAAATTTTTTGTATTTTTAGTAGAGATGGGGTTTGACTGTGTTGGCCAGGGTGGTCTCGATCTCCTGACCTCGTGATCTGCCCGCCTTGGCCTCCCAAAGTGCTGGGATTACAGGCGTGAGCCACCACGCCCAGCCTGCTTGTTGCAGAAATTCTTACTGTAGAAAATGAAAGTGGTCTCTCAGAGGTACCATTTTGGTGTCCGTCTGTCTCCATGTGTTCACGCATGCATCGGGGATAAGCTCTTGTTCTGTTGTCTGCTCCATAGTTAGTATTCACATCATTAGTTTCCTTTTTTTGCCACGAGATGGCTTATTTTCATTATTCATACAAATAATTTTCTATAATACCCCAGTCAAACGGGAGAATTTGGCAGTCCGATTTTGGGGTGGGGGGGGTCCCTGCAGAGACTCACAGACTGGTGGCATTGGCGCTGAGTGCCCAGGTTCACAGCACAGCTTGTGGCTTGTGTCCATCTTGCATGTGGCTCTTCCTCCATGTCATGACTGGGGTCTCGGGGGTAACGGGCAGGAAATCCTTCAGACTCTTAGGAAATTTCACTCCACTTCTCCTGGCCTCTGGTCGGCAGGGTGTTCTTCCATGTCTCGGTTTTCTAGCTTGGCCTTATTGAAGTTGGAATTTATGTCTGTTGTCATTTTCCCTTTTTTTTTTGTTTTTTTTTTCAAGCCAGAGTAAGGCTGGAGTGCAGTGGCGTGATCATAGCTCACCACTTCACCCTTGAATATCTGGGCTAAAACGATCCTCCTGCCTCAGCGCCCCAAAGCATTTGGATTACAGGTGTGAGGCACCGCACCCAGAGCATTTTTGCTTTTGAAAATTACCTGTTTATGTCCTTTGTCTATTGATTTGGGTTTATTTAGAGAGTTTTAATACTCAGAAACTCTGTGTGATAGTGCTTTTCTGTTACACTGGGAAAGCTTGTGAAAGTCAGATTTAGAGAGTCTTTTAGGCGTTAAAAATGATGTGAAAAGCGTAGGAAATGCTTATGGTAAGTGAAAAAAGCAGGAAAATTGTATGCAGTTGGGTAGGGCTACATAAAACTGCACAGGAAAGCTGAAATAAAATTGTCAGAAGGAATTGTAGTTAACTGAGCAGGCACAGTAGCTAGCTGATCAGTGAACCTCGCCCCTTTTAAAAATTTTGGGCCTGGCAAGGTGGCTCTTCGGCCTATAGTCCAGCACTTTGGGAGGCTGAGGGAGGAGGATTGCTTGAGCCCAGGAGTTTGAGCCCTGGGCAACACAGTGAGACCCGCTATCATTACAAAACATTTTAAAACTTAGCCACATGTGGTTGCACATGCCTGTCATTCTGGCTGCTTGGGAGACGGGGCAGCAAGATCACTTGAGCCCAAGAGGTTGAGGCTGTGGTGAGCTATGACTGTGAGCTGTGACTGCGCCACTGAACTCCTGGCTGGACGACAAACCAAGTCTCTGTCTCTAAAAACAGACACAGTAACAATTTCACCCTATTGAAAATCAGCGTGGACTCTATTTTCCTGATAAATCCAAGTGATAGTAAGTGTCGACATGTTAGCGTTCTCTGGGGTGATCATCTTTGGTGTTAGAGACTAAATTGTTTCAAATACCAGAGTCCTGGGAGTCCTCATGTTTCAGGGCAGCGCCAGAAGACTCCGCCGTACGTTTCCACAGAGCCTCCTGCGCTTGGTGCTCCAAGGATTAAAGTGTCCCCTTGGAACCAGTTAGGTTTTTTGTTTGTTTGTTTTGTGGCTTTTTGTTTTTGTTTTTTTGTTTTTTTCTTTTATTTTATTTTTTGAGACGGAGTCTCATTCTGTCGCCCAGGCTGGAGTGCAGTGGCAAGATCTCGGCTCACTGCAGCCTCTGCCTCCCGAGTTCAAGCGATTCTCCTGCCTCAGCCTCCTGCGTAGCTGGGACTACAGACATGCACCACCATGTCCAGCTAATTTTTTTGTATTTTTAGTAGAGACGGGGTTTCACCATGTTGGCCAGGCTGGTCTCAACCTCCTGACCTCAGGTGATCTGCCTGCCTTGGCTTCCCAAAGTGCTGGGATTACAGGCGTGAGCCACCGTGCCTGGCCTTATTTATTTATTTATTTTTACAGACAGGGTCTTACTGTGTTGCCCAGGCTGGTATTGAACTCCTGGCCTCCCAAGTAGCTGGGATTACAGGCATGAGCCACCACGCCTGGCTAGTTTTGTATTTTTAGTAGAGACGGGGTTTCTCCATGTTGGTCAGGCTAGTCTCAAACTCCCGACCTCAAGTGATCCGTCCTCCTCCGCCTCCCAAAGTGTTGGGATTACAGGCGTGAGCCACCATGCCCCGCCTGATGGCTTCTTTATGATAGTTTTTTGGAGTTTTTTTGAGACAGAGTCTCACTTTGTCACCCAGGCGGGAGTGCAGTGGCACCATCACGGGGCCCACTGCGACCTCCACCTCCCGGGTTCAAGCGATTCTCCAGCCTCAGCCTCCGGAGTAACTGGGATTACAGGCGCGCACCACCACGCCTGGCTTTTTTTATTTTTTTATTTTTTTTTTAAAGTAGAGACGGGGTTTTGTCATGTTGGCCAGGCTGGTCTCAAACTCCTGAGCTGAAGTGATCCACCTGCTTGGTCTCCCAAAGTGCTGGGATTACAAGCCCTCTGATAGATTTTTGGTACTTGTAAAGACAGTTGTTTGGCATACCAGACAAATACTTGTCTGGAAGATTAGTTTACAAAGGCGTTGGCCCTTCAGGCGAAGCCTGTTGGTGTCAGGAGTGTTTTCCAAGCTGTCCTTGCTTTTATGTAAGAAACGCTGTTGAGTCGCAAGCTGGCTGCCCTGTCGGTTGCATCAGTTTGGGAGAAATACTGCTTCTGTTGCTAAATAGCCTTTTTGCCATTCGTGAACCTTTTGTTGGGGGAAAAACAAACTGCATTTTGTTTTTAAATAGGCTAACTTAAAGGAACGTCCAGCAGGTGGTGAGTTCTTGTTGGTGTTGGGAGGCAGGCTGTCTCCTTTGGCTGCTGTGATCACGCTGATCCTGGGCTTCTTTGTGCGATTTTTTTTTTTTTTTTTGAAACAGAGTATCGCTCTGTTTCCCAGGCTGGAGTGCAATGGCGCGATCTCGGCTCACTGCAACCTCCGCTTCCGGGGTTCACGCAATTCTCCTGCCTCAGCCTCCCGAATAGCTGGGATTACAGGCGTGTGCCACCATGACTAATTTTTGTATTTTTAGTAGAGATAGGGTTTCACCATGTTGGCCAGGCTGTTGTCGAACTCCTGACCTCAAGTGAGCCACCGCGTCCGGCCCTTGTTTGTGCTTTGACGGAACATATTTTATTGTATGTTGTCTGAATTGGTAAGGAAGTCATTTTAGGCTTGTTGTTTCTCACGTGTGCTCCCTGTGGTATGCCTTGTGTCTGGGCCTCCGTCACCCTCTCAGTCACAACCAACAGTTGACTTTATTGCTTTAACCTCATGTTTCCGTCAGGATCTGTGGTTATGACTGAATGTCAGGAATTTTAATTTTAGCATTTTCACGTTTATTTCACAGTCCGGGTGCCGTGAACACGGGTTTGTAGTCATGAATCGCTGCTATTGTGCCACATTTCTGGCCGTGTGTGGTAGATGTTTGGAGAGCCGGGTTGTGTAGCTCGGAATATCTAGGGATGTAAGGACTGACGCAGCTGTCATCAGCCTCAGGGGACTCAGGTGTTTCACGTACACTAGATGAGCACATCTTCTCTGTGTGTGTGGGTGACGTGTGTGGTGGCGCAGCAGGGTGCCCTTGGGCTCTTTTGCTTCCTCTACTCATCTTCGGAGGTGCGCGTGGAGCCGCATGGCCTGTCCTGCCCCATGGATGGATTATTCTACTTGTCTGTTCTTTTGTGGCTGTGGAAGGCCGGCAGTGGGCATCCTGCAGGCAGCCATGTTGCAGAGGCACGTGTATGTCCGTAGGGCGGGTTTCTAGAAGCCAGTGTCTGTGAGAAAGGCACAGGTAGTTTTCACTTGCTGGGTGTTGCCCCATTATCCGCATAGAGACTGGTTACACTCCAGCAGCCCCCTCTGCCTGAGTTTTTCCTCTCTTGTGACACTGTTACTCATTCAACATTCAGTAATTTTTTTTTTTTTTTGAGACAGGGTCTCGCTCTTGTCGCCCAGGCTGGAGTGCAGTGGCGCGATCTCAGCTCACTGCAACCTCTGCCTCCCGGATTCAAGTCATTCTCCTGCCTCAGCCTCCCGAGTAGCTGGGACTATAAAAGCGCCCGCCGCCTCGCCCGCCTAATTTTTTGTATTTTTAGTAGAGATGGGGTTTCACCATGTTAGCCAGGCTGGTCTTGATCTCCTGACCTCATGATCTGCCCACCTCGGCCTCCCAAATTGCTGGAACTACAGGCGTGAGCCACCGCACCCGGCCTTACTTTTCTTTTTTTAAAATAATATGGAACTCCTCACGTGTCTGTGTGTCATTCTTGCTCAAGAGCGAAGCAGCAGCACTTTTCTGAACAAGAATGACAGGCCTGTAAGAGGAGTTTAGTGTTAATGGAAGTGTATGTGCGCCCTGCGCCCTGAGCCAGGCAGATTCCTTCAGATGCAAACCTTTTGTGATTTATAAATAAAGCTAGGTTGAGAAGTCTATATTTTTTAGGTAATTATAAGTATCAGTTGTGACTTTACAAGAACACATGTTCTATACCAAAGTAACTTTTTTTGTTGTTTTTTTGGGACAGAGTCTCGCTCTTTTGCCCAGGCTGGAGTGCAGTGGTGAGATCTCCAATGTCTGCAACTTGTGCCTGCTGGGTTCAAGCGATTCTCATGCTTCAGCCTCCCAAGTAGCTGGGATTACAGGCACGCACCACCATGCCCAGCTAATTTTTTTTTTTTTTTTAGTAGAAACGGAGCTGGGGTTTCGCCTCCTGGCCAGGCTAGTCTGAAACTCCCAGCCTCAGGTGATCCATTTGTCTCGGCCTCCCAAAGTGCCTGGATTGAAGGTGTGAGCCACCGCACTCGGTGCCAAAGTAACTTTTTTACATGTAACTTGTTGTGACAAACTTAAGTGTGCTTGTCAGCGATGACAGAAGAATTTTCTGGTCTTACCACACTCCATCAGTGTTTGGAGACGACCTCTCTTTCTCCTTGCGTGAACTAGAGCTCATTGGTGGCACATGACACACGTTTCCTGTTCAGCTCTTTTCTCCAGTTGATTAGGAAAAGTATTTGGTCAGTTTCCTCACCTGTGACTAGGAAGTCCAAGGAACAAGCACCGTCGGACCCATCGCGGCATCTGTTCTCTGCCTGCAGCAACCCTGAGCCTGTGGGACTCCTTTGGGTGTTGGGTCTCGGTTCCCATGGAGCCACATCGTGGGGGTGTTGGGAAACTGGGGGAGACAGAGTTTCCTGTGGTGGAGCGGGCAGTTGGACCTTTGTGAGTCCCTTAGGAATCCTGTGAACTTGGATCCTCCAAAGCCAGGACGTTGGTCGATGGCCAAAATGTTCTGATGAAATCTTCCCCAAGTCCACATCAGTCAGTCCTTTCAGTTTAAAGTAAAGCCTTAAACAAGCTATGATGTTCAGATGTGGCTTTGTGATGGTCAGTTCTGGTTTGATTGCTTTTGTGTAACTTGCTACAGCCTGTCGCCCAGGCTGGAGTGCAGTGGTGCTATCTCTGCTCACTGCAAGCTCCGCCTCCCGGGTTCACGCCATTCTCCTGCCTCAGCCTCCCGAGTAGCTGGGACTACAGGTGCCCGCCACCGCGCCCGGCTAATTTTTTGTATTTTTAGTAGAGACGGGTTTTCACCGTGTTAGCCAGGATGGTCTTGATCTCCTGCCTTCATGATCCGCCTGCCTTCATGATCCGCCTGCCTTCATGATCCGCCTGCCTTGGCCTCCCAAAGTGCTGGGATTACAGGCGCGAGCCACCATGCCCGGCCTAGATTAAAAATTTGAAGACATATTCTCTACTATGAGCCAATGAAATTACTCATTTTGTTTCTATCCCATTTGCTGTCCCTTGCTTTTGGAATTTTGTGTCTTAGTGTGACTGTGATTCTTTCTCTCCTTTTGTCTTTCAGCAAACGGGGATTCAGCGTCCGATCCTTTGGAACAGGGACTCACGTGAAGCTTCCAGGACCAGCTCCCGACAAGCCCAATGTTTATGATTTCAAAACCACATATGACCAGATGTACAATGATCTTCTTAGGAAAGACAAAGAACTGTATCCCAGCGGGTTGCCCTTTAAAAACCCCCCGTGTGGTCCTCCCTGGAAGGTGTTACGTGTGGCTCGGGCACAGGAGGCGTGTCACCCTGTGCAGTGCACACACTGGCTCCTCTGTCTTTGCGAGAGCTTGGTTTCTATTCCTGGTGCACGTCGGATCGTCCACGGGTTAGTTCCAGTGCCACCCATGGCAGTAGGCGTGGTGAGGCGCACAGACACGGTGTGGGGTTCACCCTGACGTGGTTCAGCAGAGGGTCGTGACATAGCGTAGACCAGGGATGCTTAGGTGAGGAGGTGGAACCCACAAAATCCCATTGCTTTTCACACTGCAGGGCTGCCCCGTTATTTCCTTTGCAGGTTGGTGTGCGTGCGTGTGTGCGTGCGTGCCTGATACACATGGAGCCGGGCTGCTTCACACATCTGGTGAGGTCGTTAGAAGGTCAGATAAAGAAGAGGGCGGAGCTTGCTAACCAAGCTGTTAGAAGAAATAATGGGAGAGAACATTCCTTCATTTCAGGAGGACACAGAGCAGGCTAGGTCTGCCGCGAAGACTCCTATAGAGAGAAGAGTATTCTTAAACTAGATTCTGATGGACGCAACACCAGTTGCATAATGGTTATGACAATCAGTGCCCGGGTTTTTGACCAGGCATTTCATGGTCACCCCCACGCTAATGGAAAGTTTCTGGATCTTATTTTGTTATAGTGAGTGATTTGTAGTTTTCAGAACGGAGGCCAGGCCAAACGTATTCCAAATGAAAAGAGAATAGGTGTCAAATGCTAAACCTTTTATCTTCGTGTTGGCACTGTTGCCATCCCCGCCCTCTCCCGACATCCCCGCCCTTGACCAGCATCTCTGGCCTTGCCCAGCATTGTCTATGTATTGGCACTCTTGCCATCCCCGCCCTTTCCCAGCAGAGTCTCACTGTGTCACCCCGGCTGGAGTGCAGTGGCGAGATCTTGGCTCACTGCAGACTCACTGCAACATCCACCTCCCGGGTTCCAGTGATTCTCCTGCTTCAGCCTCCTGGGTAGCTGGGATTACAGGCACGCGCCACCACACCTGGCTAATTTTTGTATTTTTAGTAGTCACAGGGTTTCACCATGTTGGCCAGGCTGGTCTTAAACTCCTGACTTCAGGTGATCCACCCTCCTCGTCCTCCCAAAGTGCTGGGATTACAGGCGTGAGCCACCATGCTCAGCCCTACTCTTGTATTTTTTTTTTTTTTTTTTTTTGAGATGGAGTCAGAGTCTCACCCTGTTGCCCAAGGTGGAGTGTAGCGGCTTGATCTCAGCTCACTGCAACCTCCCCCTCCCAAGTTCAAGCGATTCTCTGCCTCAGCCTCCCGAATAGCTGGGATTACAGGCATCCGCTGTCATGCCTGGCTAATTTTTGTATTTTTAGTAGAGACGGGGGTTTCACCATCTTGACCAAACTGGTCTTGAACTCTTGACCTCGTGATCCAGCTGCCTCGGCCTCTCAGAGTGTTGGGATTACAGGCGTGAGCCACCATGCCTGGCCTCTTGGAATATTTAATAAGCTAAAAAATTCTTATACACAGGTAGATTAATTAGGTAGCCAGGAGTGGCCCCTGAAAGTATGTCTGGCAAAACCTAGAACTGCATCCTAGCCATCACTGTACCTTCTGCCCTCCCTGCTGTCTCCTCTGCCAGTTACAGTTAAAAGGTTGTGGGTGAGGACGCTGGGCAGAGTCCCAGGCGTCTGCTGTCAGCTCCCCAGCCCGGCCTGCCTGCCGAGCCATCTGGGCGTCCCACGGTGGAGAGTGTGGTGCTTGTGACGCGGTGGTGCTGGGAGCCATCCTGGTGGCAGATGTGGGCTCTCACTGCAAGTCAGTGTAAGTCCCCAGGGACTGTCAGCAGCACGTCCTGCTGCCCCTCTCTCTGCAGAAGCCCTGGTAACCTGCGTTTGGAAAAATCTCTAAGGATTTCTGAGGAGCTGTCAGGCCATGTCCTTGTCCACCCTGTGTGGGGCACGGCTTCGACATGGCTCTGCTCCCGTCGTGGGCTGAGAAGGAGCAGGTGGGGCTGTGCCTTGGAAAGGAGGCCCTCCCGACATGCCTTTGTGCGAGGTCCCTGTCCATGCTGTCTCCATCCCGGAGCCTTACGGCGATGGGTGGCCACAGAGCCTATTCCAAGAGTCTGGTTTAGGGCTGGGTCTTCCCATCTTCACCTCTGAGTCTTAGGCGATGCGTGACCACGCAGCCCCTTCCAGGAGTCTGGTTTAGGGCTGGGTCTTCCCATCTTCACCTCTGAGTCTTAGGCGGTGCATGACCACGCAGCCCCTTCCCGGAGTCTGGTTTAGGGCTGCGTGCTCAAGAGTCTGGTTTGGGGCTGGGTCTTCCCATCGCCCTGGAGGAGGCTTTTGTCTCATCTCATGATTCACATTAAACTCTGTGCCATGAAGCTTAGCCTGACATCCTGTTTTTGACAATTACTCTTCAGTTAGCACTGTTTATTTTTAAGTTCTTGTATATTCAGTAAGAGAAAGAAAAGCAGAGAGTGACGCACATCCTCACACTCCCTTGATTGGTGTAAGCTCAGCCCCTTCATGTCAGCCCACTGTGACCTCCTGGGTTCCAGACCTGGGAAGTACTTGCCACGTTCTGCAAGGACTGAGTCCAGCTTCAGCAGTCTCATCCGGAAGGACTTGGTATAGGCAGAGGATGAGCCTGTCTCTGGTCATTCTAAAAGAAGGAGCTGAGCCCAGTGTCCCAGAATTCGGAAGCTCCTCCTTTACAGAGGGACTGTAGGGGTTGGTGATCTCCCAGGAAGCATCGGCCCAGAAGAACCCCGCGTGCGTGTGTGTGCTCTTGGTGTGTGGTGGGGGGAAGGAGTGGCAGCAGGGGTGGCGCTGGGACACTGTCAGCCACGGGCTCTGCTTTGGGGACCTCGTGTGGGAAAGGCATTGCCTGTGGTGGCCCCTCAGGAGGCTCTAGGAGGAGCGTGCCTTCATTACCTTATTTCACTCGGGGGGCGTCTTTGCCCCCTAGGTGGGGGCAGAAGGTGCAGAATGGGAAGCCTGCCACTTAGCTAAAGCTCTTGCACATGATGCCCTTGGCCTGGAGAGGAGTGAAGTCCCCAGGCAGTTCCCTGTGGACACTGGCACGATGCCGGGTGGGGCCTCAGGGGTGTTGAGATGTGCAGGTCGGGAGGACCCCGATAACGTTTCCTGGTTAGTGATGGGTGCAGGGGGGCCGCGGGAAGTGACTGTTACAAGTGAGAGCCCGAAAGCAAATCTGCCCCACAGCAGCCGGTGCGTTGGCAGAAGTCATCGCCGTAAACTGCAGTGGAAGCAAGACGGGGTTCAAGATGCGGCCCAAAGATAAGACGCAGCACTTGGTCGAGTGTTCACAGCGTCAAGACAAAGGACGGGCCGGCGCGGTGACTCAGGCCTGTAATCCCAGCACTTTGGGAGGCCGAGGTGGGTGGATCATGAGGTCAGAAGTTAGAGACCAGCCTGGCCAACATAGTGAAACCCCATTTCTACTAAAAATACAAAAATTAGCCGGGCATGGTGGTGCACGCCTGTAGTCCCAGCTACTTGGGAGGCTGAGGCAGGAGAGTTGCTTGAACCTGGGAGGCAGAGCCTGCAGTGAGCCGAGATCGCGCTACGGCACTCCAGCCTGGGTGACAGAGTGAGACTCTGTCTCAAAAAAATAAAAAAGGAAGGACAGTGTGACTTGGGAGGAAAATGCTGCTTGTTCAGAGGCAGGGCCGGGGTCGAGGGGGACCCCACCACTGCCATCTGCCTACTTGCCATGTGGCCAGGGCTTAGGTTTCTCTGTGCATGCCCACCTCGCAGAATTTCTGATAATTAAATAAATTAGGACATGCACACACTGAGCCCGAGACAGTGTTTTAAAGCCTTCAATAAATTTTGGCCAGTTGTCCTATTAGTATTGAAATACTTAATTTATTATTATTATTTTTTTAGATATGGGTCTTGCTGTGTTATCCAGGTTTGTCTCGAACTCCTGGCCTCAAGTGATCCTCACATGTTGGCCTTCCAGAGTACTTGGATTAGAGGCGTGAGCCACTATTCTCAGCTTTCATTTCTTAAATACAAAATCTCCTTGACTTTCTGTGAGGTTGCCTGCTGGTAACCCCATGCTAAAGTGAAAAAATCCTGCATTGAGCCATAATAAGTTAGAGACTGTATTTGGCTCTAGATGGCTGATTTTGGTCTTTTCCCCCACAAGCCAGAAGTGAGCCTGAGGGGTTGAGGGACTTGCTGCCTGTGCCTCTGAAACCTCCCTTGGGGATTGTCAGGGTACGAGTCTAGGTTTGCAGCACTGGGATGCGAGCCTTCGGTAAAGTTAGACGAGCCACGCCTGCAGTTCCAGCCTGGGGAGACCGAGGCAGGAGGCTCAGTTGAGCCCAGGAGCCGGAGGCCAGCCTGGGCAGCATAGCAAGCCTCTATCTCTACAAAAAACACACAGATGTGGTGGGTGTGGTGGCACAGCTACTCGGGAAGCTGAGGCAGGAGGCTTCACTGAGCTGTGATTGCGCCATTGTGCTCCAGCCTGAGGAAGAGAACAAGACTCTTGTTAAAAAAGTTTCATCCACATTTTCTTTTGGGAATTAATAGTATACATACATGGGGCTGGATGCAGTGGCTCACACCTGTAATCCCAATACTGGGAGACCGAGGCAGGTGGATCACCCGAGTTGAGTTTGAGACCAACCTGGCCAACAGGGTAAAACCCTGTCTCTACTAAAAGTACAAAACGCTAGGCATGGTGGCACATGCCTGTAATCCCAGCACTTTGGGAGGCCGAGGTGGGCGGATCACCCAAGGTCGAGAGTTTGGGAGCAGCCTGACCAAAATGGAGAAACCCCCGTCTCTACTAAAAATAAAAAATTAGCCGGCCATCGTGGTGCATGCCTGATCCTAGCTACTCATGAGGCTGAGGCAGGAGAATCACTTGAACCTGGGAGATGGAGGTTGCCGTGAGCCGAAGTTGCACCATTGCACTCCAGCCTGGGCAACCAGAATGAAACTGTCTCCAAAAATAAAATACAAAAAGTAGCTGGGTGTGGTGGCGTGTGCCTGTAATCCCAGCTGCTCAGGTGGCTGAGGCGGGAGGGTCACTTGAACCCAGGAGGCAGAGGCTGCAGCGAGCTGAGATTGTGCTGTTGGACTCCAGCCAGGGTAGTAATAATAGTAGTAGTGTATATACCTGGACCAGGGACGGGGATCTAAGCTCCCCTGACCTTTGTAGACAAATGGGAACTCTACTGTGTAGGTTCTTTCCTTGGGTGGACTGACCGTTTTATCAAGAATTGTTTTTATTGAGATAAAATGTACAAATCATGCACTTCCCTGAGTCGCGTGTCCAGTTCTGTGGGTTTCAGGACATTCATGGAGTTGCAGCCGTCACCACAATTGGTTTTGAGACGCTTTTCGTCTCCCAAGGCCGTTTGCTGCTGCCCATTCTCCTCCCAGTGCCTGTAGCAGCTTCCCGTGCTACAGGTCCGCCCGTTCCACACCGTCCAGTTTAGCTGCTTCCCGTGCTACAGGTCTGCTCATTCCACACTGTCCAGTTCATATGCAGCCTTTTGTTCTTTCGCTGAGCATGCGTGGAACTATTTCTAAGTCCCAGGTTTCTTTGCCATGACTTTTCCTCGCTCAGCCTCAGTGGCACGTGGAGTAGAGCAGCTTTGCGCTGGGTGTCCTGCCGAGGGGCTTGAGCCTGGCTCCCAGGGTCACGTGCAGAGGCTTCTCTATTTTTTTTCATTTTACACTGAAGCCACTTTCCATAGTTGAGCTTTCTTGCAGGATTTTTTCATTTTTGATTGAAAGGAGTCTGGTTAAGCCATCCCAAGCTTGCTTGGAGTGCCTTTGGGGAGAAGACAAGTGACTTCTGTTTCTAAGTTAGTGAATGGCCAGTCTGACCTAGTGAAGTGTCACTCAGCCCAGTGAGGGGGTCCAGGCAACAGCCGCTGGCCCAGAGGGTAGAGGAGGAGGGAGAGGCCGTTGTGAAAGGAGGGCTGGGGTGGCAGACACCGGCCTGGACAGTTCCCCCGCTCCAGGGAAGCCCATTCAGCCACATGAGAAGGTGTGTGGGAGTCTCACAGGATCCTACAGAAAGTTCATCCTGTGTACATGTAAGTTAGTGAAGGTTTACCAGCTTTTTGTGTTATGAACTGCAAAACCACTTGTCTTCAAAAGCAAGTAAACGTGTAGCTCTAAATGTTAATGTGACTGTTGTCCTGTGAAACGCAAGTGCATCTGACACTTTCCTGGGTCTCGTCTGGCCGTGCAGCTGGAGACCAAGCCTGTGTCTGGCATATACTGTTTGTACCTCTCTTGTGGATTTTTTTCTAATTACCTAATTTTTTCTAATGACGTTTGGGGTTTGGATTATTATTATTATTTGGTTTTGAGACAGGGCGTCTCTCTGTCGTGTGGGCTGCAATGCAGTGGTGCTGTCACAGCTCACTGCAGCCTGGGCATCCCAGACTCAGGTGGGTGATCCTGCCACGTCACCCTCCCCAGTAGCTGGGACCAGAGGCCTATGCCATGCCCAGCTTTTTTTTTTTTTTTTAATTGAGACAGAGTCTCACTCTGTTGCCCAGGCTGGAGTGCAATGGCACGATCTTGGCTCACTGCAACCTCCGACCCTGGGTTCAAGCGATTTTCCTGCCTCAGCCTCCCGAGTAGCTGGGATTTCAGGCATGTGCCACCACGCCTGGCTAATTTTTGTACTTTTAGTAGAGATGGGGTTTCACCATGTTGGCCAGGCTGGTCCTGACCTCATGTGATGAGCCCGCCTTGGCCTCCCAAAGCTCTGGGATTATAGGGGTTGCCACTGCACCTGGCCTGTGTTTTAAATTGCACATTTGTTCATGTCCGTCCTCTGAATTCATTGTCTTTTAGGTTAACTTCTGTGTGTGGCCACTTCCCTGTGGACATTTCCTTGTCTCAGAGTAAAATGTGGTAGACTTCTTTTTTGAGATGGAGTCTCAGTCTGTCACCCCTGCTGGAGTGCAATGGCGTGATCTCGGCTCACTGCAATCTTTGCCTCCCGGGTTCAAGCGATTCTCCTGCCTCAGCATCCTGAGTAGCTGGGATTACAGGTGCGGCGTACCACCACGCCTGGCTAATTTTGGTATTTTTAGTAGAGATGGGGTTTCACCACGTTGGCCAGACATGTCTCAAAACACCTGACCTCCGGTGAACCACCTGTTTTGGCCTTCCAAAGTTTTGAGATTACAGGTGTGAGCCGCTGTGTCCGGCCCCATATATATATATATGCTAATTCAGATGAATAGTATAGTTCCCAAAAAGGAAATGCTGATATGAAGCTTTATTTATTTATTTATTTATTTACTTTTTTGAGACAGAGTCTTGTTCTGTCGCCCAGGCTGGAGTGCAGTGGTGCAATCTCGGCTCACTGCAACCTCCGCCTCCCAGGTTCAAACGATTCTCCTGCCTCAGCCTCCTGAGTAGCTGGGATTATAGGCATGCACTGCCACACCCGGCTAATTTTTGTATTTTTAGTAGAGACAGGATTTCACTATGTTGGCCAAGCTGGTCTTGAACTGCTGACCTCAAGTGATTCACCCGCCTCGGCCACCCAAAGTCCTGGGATTACAGGTGTGAGCCACTGCGTCCCGCCCAGCAGCTGTGTTTTAAAATAGTTTTGGGAAGGTATTTGTCAAACAAATGAATGTGTTCCTAAGCCAGACGCCGATTCCCAGAGAAACTCTGATCGTGGGTTTTAGAAAATCATTCATGCCTAAAATGTAAATTACGGCCTTAAGATATTTCAGGTAAGGCCAGAGATACTGGCCTGCTCTTCTCATCTGAGATGACAGAGGTAGAACGGAGCTGACTGGCTGAGGTAGTTGCTGGTGGTCATTTGAGGGTCTGGACAGAATGCAGCTGTGCTGACTGTGCCTTCGTCTTCAAGAGGTAGCCCAGGGTCAGGGCCCACAAGCCTGTGAGTTTTCACCTAGTCTGCAGCAGGTGAGATGCTTTTGCAAAGTAGTTTCACGGTGCCTGCAGTCGCAAGGCCATGGTGGACCCCCCCAGAGCTGGCCTGAGCCTTGTGTGGCTCTGTGTTGAGGCCACGGTTACAGTTGGGTGCCCAGCAGCTCCAGAGATGGCCATGAGACCTTTTCGAGGGGTTCCTGAGTTCTGTTTGTGCAGCCTCTGTGCTTTGCCAAAAAAGCATTCGCTATCAAAATGAAATTTTTTTTTTTTTGAGACAAGAGTTTTGCTCTTTTTGCCCAGGCTGGAGTGCAATGGCGTGGTCTTGGCTCACTGCAAGCTCCACTTCCTGGGTTCAAGCGATTCTCCTGCCTCAGCCCCCGCAAGTAGCTGGGATTACGGGCGCCCCCCACCACGTCCGGCTAATTTTTTGTATTTTTAGTAGACATGGGTTTCACCTTGTTCAAGTGATTCTCCTGCCTCAGCTTCCCAAGTAGCTGGGACTACAGGCACGCCGCCACCACGCCTGGCTAATTCTTTGTATTTTTAATAGAGATGGAGTTTCACCGTGTTAGCCAGGATGGTCTCCATCTCCTGACCTTGTGATCCACCCGCCTTGGCCTCCCAAAGTGCTGGGATTATAGGCGTGAGCCACCGTGCCTGGCCAAACTTTGTGTATTTTTTGTAGAGATGGGGTTTTGCCATGTTGGCCAGGCTGGTCTCAAACTCCTGGCCTCAAGTGATCCACCCGCATTGGCCTCCCATAGTGCTGGGATTACAGGAGTGAGCCACCATGCCCAGCCTCAAAGTGAATTTATTTTTTCGAGACGGTCTCGCTCTGACTTTGATGCTGGAGTTCAGTGGTAACATCATAGCTCCCTGTAGCCTTATGTCCCTGGGCTCAATCCTCCCACCTCAGCCTCCTGAGTAGCTGGGACTCCAGCCATGAGCCACCCCACCTGGCCTGATTTTTTTATTTTTAGTAGAAATGAGGTTTCGCCCTGTTGCCCAGGCTGGTCTTGGATTCCTGAACTCAAGCAGTCTGCCTGCCTTGGCCTCCCAGAGTGCTGGGATTACAGGTGTCAGCCACTGTGCCCGGCCCAGATGTATTTCTTGATACGTTGACATGGAAGTGGTAGCTGGCAAGCTTGTGGCATAGTGTGGTGAGTGGATCCCAGTCCATCCCGGGAGCCCAGAGCATCGTGCTGTGCACAGCCGTGTCGGTGTCACCTGCTCTTCTCACCGTGCCCTTCTGAGTACGGAGCTGCCGTCCACGCTTGTGGCACACTCGGCTGTTCTTGTCACCCACATGCACGACACTCCCTCCAGACATGCCTGCCACAGCCGCCACCTGGCCCCTGCAGCACTGGTTCCTCCTTTCTTGGCCGAGGTGCCACTGCCCAGGCTGTTGGCATCTGGGTCAGAGCCCTGGGCAGTCACTGTGCTGAGCTGCAGCTCTGTCCTCGCTGGAGCGAGGCTCCCAGGAGCTCCACCAGCGCCGCCGAGGCTGTCTCATCCCCGCCATGCACCAGGAGCACAGATACCGGAGCCTCCTGTGTCGGTGCTTTGAGTTTTGCCATGGAAACGGATTGACCCAGCTCTAACCTGACCTTTGAGACCTCTGACCTCCCCTCTGATGTGGGGAGTCTTCTGTGTGTGTGGCAGGGGCATGGCTGTCAGGCTCTGCAGTGTTCCTGTGTGTCCCGTCACTCAGTTACCGGGACAATCTGGCCAATAAGGTGATAGCTGGCCCCCCTCGTGGGTGTGTCTGTCAGGGCAGCAGCACTTAGCATGCTCTGGGATGAGTCATACGTGCAGGGAAGATGGTGTGGCCTTCCGGGGAAGGACCAAGGCTTCCACGGAGCATCAACACCTTCAGGAGACTTGACGTCAAGGAAGTCTCTGCTGCCAGCCACGGTTTGCAAAGGAGAGGCTGAGGGCCAGGAGCTGAGGTGGTCGGGGGTACGTGGGGCTGGCGCCGGCAGCAGGGAACCCAGGATGGTGCTGGGCTGCCCAGGGCTGTTGCTTTCGTGGCTCCAGTGCCTGTGGCCAGCGTGCTGCACCTGACATGGCTTTTTCCCAGGCCGTGGTGGGAGAGTGCGGTCCCTGGTGCCAGCCACACTGGCGTGGCAGTGCCTGTGGGTTCCCTTTCAAGTCCCTGGTGACTCATAGCAGGGTAGTGTGGTCCTGGCCTCTCGGTTCTCCTGTGGGATGGGCAGCTGCGCTCATTCTAACTCCCCGGGATGTTCTGGTCCCACTAAGGCCCCTAGGGAGTGAAAAGAGAAAACCTTGGTAAGGAAAACCGAGCTGTGTTTGGGGCGTTTCCTGGTATGTCCTGGCACCTTGGGGCCCTGGGTGGTTTATCCTGAGAGCAACCACATCAAATGGGTGTGGGTGGTCAGCGAGGGCTCGTGGGGACCCCCAAATGGGCCGGATCCGCCTCATGCTCAGCTTCGTGGGGACCCCCGAGTGGTCCGGATCCGCCTCATGCTCAGCTTCGTGGGGACCCCCGAGTGGTCCGGATCCGTCTCGTGCTCAGCTTCGTGGGGGCCCCCGAGTGGTCCGGGTCCGCCTCATGCTCAGCTTCGTGGGGACCCCTTAGTGGTCCGGATCCGCCTCGTGCTCAGCTTCGTGGGGACCCCTTAGTGGTCCGGATCCGCCTCGTGCTCAGCTTCACTTTTTGCTGATGGTGAATCTCACAACCGCTCCACTCCCTGGAGCTGCACTTCCTCCTCGTTTCTCTTTAGAGGCCCTGGCCACTGACACGTGGTCTCCGTGGCCACCTGACGTCCCCCGGACCTGCTGAGTTCTCACCACTGACGTAGTCTGGTGGTCCCCAGGAGGATCCCTGCTTGAGACAGTCCATAGTGACCACTGGCCTCCTCTGGATGAGGTCTTTATCCTCCGTTTTTTTCAGTAGACAGTTCAGCTGCATTGTCAAGAGAATGTCACACTGGTGACATCCTTCAGATGCGGCCTGCTCCAGTTCGTCTGTCAGCCTGGGTGCCTTTTTTTTTTTTTTTTTGAGACGGAGTCTCGCTCTGCCACCCAGGCTGGAGGTGCAGTGGCGTGGTCTCGGCTCACCGCAAGCTCTGCCTCCCGGGTTCACACCATTCTCCTGCCTTGGCCTCCCGAGTAGCTGGGACTACAGGCGCCTGCCACCATGCCCGGCTAATTTTTTTTTTTTTTTTTTTTTTGTATTTTTAGTAGAGACAGGGTTTCACCGTGTTAGCCAGGATGGTCTCGATCTCCTGACCTTATGATCTGCTGGCCTCAGCCTCCCAAAGTGCTGGGATTACAGGCATGAGCCGCTGCGCCTGGCCACGCCCACCTAGTTTTTTGTACTTTTACTAGAGACGGGTTTCACCATGTTAGCAAGGATGATCTCGATTTCCTAACCTCGTGATCTGCCTGCCTCAGCCTTAAAAGGTTGTATTCCGAAGCTGAATTTCCTGGCAAAACAACTACTGTATTATTATTTTTTTAAATAACTAAATAACTGGAATGTCCTGGGGTGGAGATAAGAAGTCCCTTATGTTCTGTCTGCTGAGGGGGCACAGAGGGGCCGAGCCGGAGACCCTTCTCGGCTGGCAGCAGTGCTGAGGGTGAGGCTGCGGTTACAGATCCAGGGTTTCTGTCCAAGTGAAGCCGGACACCATGGGGCCACAGTGCAGAGACCGGCTTTCCTCCAAGTGGAATGTTTCGGGTTTAGTCTGGTTTTGTGTTGCAGAATAATTCACAATTTAAGACCTTTTTCTTGAAAACTTTAAAAAGTAATTTTTTTTTTTTTTTTTTTTTGAGACAGTCTCATTCTGTCGCCCAGGCTGGAGTGCAATGGCGCAATCTCGGCTCACTGCAACCTCCGCCTCGTGGGTTCAATAGTTTCTCCTGCTTCAGCCTCCCAAGTAGCTGGGATTACAGGCATTAGCTACCATTTCTGGCTAATTTTTGTAGTTTTAGTAGAGATGGGGTTTTGCCATATTGGCCAGGCTGGTCTCAAACTCCTGACCTCAAGTGATCCACCCGCCTCGGCCTTCCAACGTGCAGGGATTACAGGAGTGAGGCACCGCGCCCGGCCAGTCCACCATTTTTGTTATCTGAGAGTCTACTAAGCCTCAGTCTGACTAGATAGTGTGTGGTGATGCCATCTTGCCGTCTGTTGGGTTTACTCCTCAGGCTGACTGAAAGTGTTCAGGAAGGAGACACCGTCCTGAGGGCCATGGAGAGCAGTCACTTGCAGGCAGATGGCCCTGCCCTGGAGCTCAGGCTCTGAGCTGGGGGCTCGGGAGGAATCGCCCTCTGGGCGTGGGGCACAGCTCAGGCACCAAGACCCTGGTAGAAGGTGCTGTCAGTCACACCGGATCATTTGTCAGGAGGCCCTAAAATCGAAGGGGGTCCCAGGCAGGTTCCTGCTCCCTGACCTTTGACCTCACTGCCAGCACCTCCCGGTCCCTAAGGAGGAGGCCGCACAGGGACGATCACAGAAACTGTGCAGAGCCACTTGTGTAAGTACCAGTTGTGTGGGGAGTGGTTACCTTTGAGAAAAATGGGACGGCCTAGTTCTCTGGTTTTCCCAGGGCCTCTGGAAGTGACCTCACCTCCCTGTGCAGGTGCCGTTGAGCAAGCAGAGGGCTTCGCGGAGGAAGCTGTGGCCCTGCGTCCACGCGGCCAGCGTGAGGATGGTCTGCCCTGGGGCAGCCGGCGCCCTCCAGAGCATCTGCTGCTGCACACGTGTAGCAGAGTGCCGGGTCGGAACGCTGGTCAGCCTCACACTCGGTTTCCAGGGGAGTTGCTGATACATTAGTGGAAGATGTGGGGGTGCCGGCTTGGGGATCCCCTGAATTGGAAGGTTCCTGATGAGTTTAGGGGCTGACTTTGCTGTGCTCTGTTGCATTATGGACAGGATCTGAGTCACTGGGCTGCCCACACCGGGCCATTGTTGGGAAAGGTAGTGGTGGCCCGGCGTGGCCCTGCCTGCATGGGGTGAGCACAGGCCTCGGGCCCCACCACCCTCCCTCAGGCCTTCGGGGCGATGTGACGTTGGCGTAAGGATGGGCAAAACGTTCAGGATGTCCCTGGACATGGGTGCTGTGTCCCACGTGGATTTGGGGCAGAGATAGGTTGGGCCGTTGGCGTCCGCGAATCGGGACCCTGGTCGAGAAAGGCTGGTGGGCAGGATGGGAGCTCGGGAAGCAGCGCCCAGTGCAGCAGCTGTCAGGCCTCCCCCTCCCTGACCAGTGGGGATGGGCTCTGGGAATCTGAGTGTACAGGTAGCATTTGGTGCAGCTGGCACACACACGTAGGTAGAATTTGATCGCAAGTGAAATTTACTTTGTACTTCTCAATTCATTTTTTGCTGATTGTAGCCCAACAAAAGCAGCTTGGGTGCTGTGATTTGGGGAGAAGCTGCCCAGCGTGCCTGCTCAGGGGCTCACCCTGCTGCTGTTCCCTTTGCAGCCTCTGGGGTCCTCCCCATGCCTGGCAGGCTGGAGAGCTGTGGGCCACACACTGAGTGTCTTTACTGTGGGGCTTATTTTTCTAGTTTTCATTACTGTTTTTTCATTCCTACAAATGGTGCTATTTATACCTCCCGCAGCCTCTGGGAGACGTGTGTGGCTTCTCCATGGCTGGGACTGCAGCCTTGTTTCTGCCTGCAGGGAGCAGTGTGTGTCCAGATCCAGTGTGTGCTTTAGGCTTTGCCTGGGGTGTGGACATTTAACCCACATGGAAGGTCCCCGTGCAGCTGGCCTGGGGAAGCAGCCAGGCCTGCTCTGCCCTGTAGAGGTTGTTGAAGGCCCGGGCAGCCTGGGGGCGCTGGCAGGACAGGAGCTTTCTGGGGGGTGGATGTGTCCACAGCAGAAACCTGGGCCCAACTCAGTCCAGCTTAAGAGGAGGTCCTAGACCACGAGATGCCCCAGGGTCTGTGCACCTCCCAGGCCCAGCAGGGAGGGAGGGGCGTGTGGTGGGTGATGGTTCAGTGGAGTGAGTGGTGGGTGCAGCCTTCCTGCTGATGAACCACCAGGCCTTCCGGCCGGCACCAGTCCATGGTCCCTGGCTCCGGCAGGCTTGTCCTCCCTGGTGTGGTGCTTTGCTAAACCTCCGCCCTCCCTCCATCTTCCTCCCACAACAGAACAGTGTTGAGGCTCTGCCAGGCGAGATCACTGCCTCGTCCTGACTCCCTGGGCCCGGGACCATCCCTGGCAGGCACTTGAGGGGGGCCAGCAGCCTGGGGCCCGGGGCTCAAGGCCCCGTGGGGTCTGGCGAGAGGCAAGGGCCCAGGCACTGATTCTCTGAGTGCTGGCAAAGGGCCTGTGGTGTCCGCTGGTGTCTGGGAATTGCTGGAGGGTCAAAAGCATTAGGCTTAGCCAGGAAAGTCATGGTTAGGGTTAAACTCATGTCTGCTGAAAATTGCCTGAATTAAAATTGAACAAATGTGCCTTAACTCGAAAGAAAAGAGCAGACATTCAGAATAACACGTTGCCAAGAACCCTGAAGGGTGGCCCCTCTGAGGCACCAGCTACCCCCAGCCGGGCTGGCGTGGAGGATGGCGGGGGTTGTCTGCTGGTTGGGTGGCATGTGGACTTGTCTTGGATGCCATGATTTATATACATATATATATATATACTTTTTTTTTTTTTTTTTTGAGACACTCTCGCTCTGTCTCAGGCTGGAGTGTAGTGATGTGATCTCGGCTCATGGCAATCTCCCCTCCCAGGTTCAAGTGATTCTTGTGCCTCTGCCTCCGGAGGAGGCTGGAATCACAGGTGTGCACCACCATGCCTGGCTAATTTTTGTATTTTTAGTAGAGAAGACGGGGTTTTGCCATCTTTTTTTTTTTTTTTTGAGACAGAGTCTCGCTCTTGTCACCCAGGCTGGAGTATAGAGGCGCAATCTCGGCTCACTGCAACCTCCACCTCCTGGGTTCAAGCTATTCTCCTGCCCCAGCCTCCTGAGCAGTGGGATTACAGGCACCCGCCACCATGCCCGGCTAATTTTTTATATTTTTAGTAAAGATGGGGTTTCACCATGTTAGCCAGGATGGTCTCGATCTCCTGACCTTGTGATCCACCCGCCTCGGCCTCCCAAAGTGCTGGGATTACAGGCGTGAGCCACTGCGCCCAGCCATAATTTTTGTACTTTAGTAGAGTCAGGGTTTTGCCATATTGGTCAGGCTGGTCTCGAACTCCTGACCTCAGATAAGCCATCCGCCTCGGCCTCCCAAAGTGGTGGGATTATAGGTGTGAGCCACCATGCCTGGCTGCAGCCTTTTTTTTTCTTTTTCTTTCTTTTTTTTTTTTGAGACAGAGTCTCGCTCTGTCCCCCAGGCTGGAGTGCGGTGGTGCGATCTTGCTCACTGCAAGCTCCGCCTCCGGGTTCACGCCATTCTCCCGCCTCAGCCTCCTGAGTAGCCGGGACTACAGGCGCCTGCCACCACGCCTGGCTAATTTTTTGTGTTTTTAGTAGAGACAGGGTTTCCCTGTGGTAGCCAGGATGGTCTCGATTTCCTGATCTTGTGATCCACCTGCCTCGGCCTCGCAAAGTTCTGGGATTACAGGCGTGAGCCACCGTGCCCGGCCCCAGGCTGGTAATTTTTTATTTTTTGTAGAGGCAGGGTTTCTTTGTTGCTCTGTGTGGACAGAAAGCTTAGTTTGTTTCTCTGATGGTTAGTCCCCCACAGAATTTTAACGTGATTCTGTGTTGATGACACTTTCTGTTGCATGAGACAATATTCCAGATCTCTCTGGGTCCCTCCTGGATTCAAGGCATCCTCCTGCCTCGGCCTCCCGAGTAGCTGGGACCACAGGTATGTGTCACAGCCCAAGGCCTCCAGCACAAGCCTTATTCTCCCATCCCCAGACTCAGGAGGCCATGCAGCCACACACCGGGGGAGGGTTCCAGACGTCACTGTGGGACGGGAGTGACACCAACAGGGCAGGGAGGGCCAGGACATTGGCTCATGCTGGCCGGTGGCCTCTCGGGATTGGCCACACGTGCTCAACCCATGGGAATCTCACTCAAGGGTCTGATGGGCCTGCTCCTCCTGTTTACGCCAAAGTCCAGAAGGCCTCCGGGGGCGAGTGGGAGGACGCAGAGTGGGTGAGCGGAGCTACCTTCCTCACCGCGGTCCATGTGGAAGCCAGGGCAGGGGAGGGGCCTGCCCACTGCACCCACCCCCAGCACCCCACCCCGTGGCTGCCACATCTCACCTCTGGACAATTTTCTTGGCCCATCCTTGGGAGTTTTTTTTTTTTTTTTTTTTTTGAGACAGAGTCTTGCTCCTGTCACCGAGGCCAGAGTGCAGTGGCATGATCTCAGCTCAGTGCAGCCTCCGCCTCCTGGCTTCAAGCAATTCTCCTGCCTCAGCCTCCAGAGTAGCTGGGACTAAGGCGCCTGCCACGACGCCTGGCTAATTTTTGTAATTTGGTATAGATGAGTTTCACCATATTGGCCAGGCTGGTCTCAAACTCCTGACCTTGTGATCCGCCTGTCTCAGCCTCCCAAAGTGCTGGGATTACAGGTGTGAGCCACCGCGCCCAGCTGGGAGTTTATTTCTTAGATGTGTGTTAACTTCAGCTGAGGCTCCTGTGTGCCTCTGTTTCATGGCCTTCGGGTGTTGGCCGCCCTCTACTGAACGTGGTCCCTGAGGCCGCAGGGACTGTGCAAAGCCGGATGTCCAGGCCCTGGGAGTCCAATGGGGGCAGTCGATTCTATGGATGGCACATCCTCTTTGCCTGCCCTGCCCTGGGCCCTCTCTTGGCCCACTTTTCTGGGTACGTTTCAGGCCCTCATGCCCAGTTGGGGCCCTAGCATGGGTCAGGCCCTCCGCCTGGTGTCGCCTTCTTGCCCGGGCTGAGTCTTTGGTTTCTTTCTTTGTGGGTTCAATGTCGAACGCTTTGCGTCAGTGGGACTTCTGCAGGACCTGGGCGGCGCAGGTGTCCGGAAGATGGGACAGGTTTCTGTTCCGATGGCGCCTCTCTCCCCTTCCTCCCGCCCGGCAGTACTTAGGTTCTTCCTTCAGAAAGGATTTCCCCATGACTTGAAGAGCAGGCTCTCGCACGCAGGCCCGAAACCTGCTCAGCCTCCCCGTGGCCCTGAGCCTGTCTATTGAAGGCCCCGCCTCACCCGCCAGCGGCTCCTGTCCTCTCGCCTTGCTCTGAGCCTTTGCCTCGTGGCACTCACTGGCACCGTGGTTTTGCTGCCGGAATTCAGGTGGGATCTTGCGTCCCTGTGAGCTCATGGCTTGGTCTGTGGTCCCTTTGGTCCTCCTCAGGTCCTCACAGCCTCTGGTGGGGCTTGCAGGTCTAGCCCTCTGGGCGGGGCCTCACCTCGCATCTCCTCGCCAGGAGATCCAGAAGGGTGGCTGCTCGCTCATCCTTGTGTAGCTGAGGAGGCTGCTGCTTTGTCCCTGAAGTAGACATTTCTCCTTAACTGAATGATTCTTAATTTATTGCCTCATCTACATAAATAGTTGAGAATGACGTAAAGGAGGAAAGGACTTAGAACTGTCCAGGCCTCAGGGAAGAGCTGGCCTTGAACGTCCATGAGCTCTGCCAGCCAGTGACACCAGTCCCATCCCCAGGAGCCCCCACGGCCTCACCCCCGGCTGTGTCTTGCTCAGGGATGTGCAGGGAGGGTGATCCCTGTGCCCACCATGAAGCTGCCACTGGACCCCTGCACCCTGACCCCGGTTCCTCTCCGTGAGCCGGTCCCTGCACCTGCCCCTCTGCATGTGGCTGCACACAACAAGGTCAGGCCGTCTTGAGCTCTTTTTTTTCTTTTCTTTTTGAGACGGTGTCTTGCTCTTGTTGCCCAGGCTGGAGTGCAGTGTCACGATCTCAGCTCACTGCAAGCTCCGCCTCCCAGGTTCAAGCTTCTCCTGCCTCAGCCTCCCGAGTAGCTGGGATTACAGGTGTGAGCCACCGCGCCCGGCCTTTTTTTTTTTTTTTTTTTTTTTTGTTGTTGTTGTTGTTTTCCAGAAGGAGTTTTACTCTGTCGCCCAGGCCGAAGTGCCGTGGTGTGATCTCGGCTCACTGCAACCTCCGCCGCCCGGGTTGAAGCAACTCTCGTGCCTCAGCCTCCTGAGTAGCTGTAGCTGAGATTACAGGTGTGTGCCGCCCCACCTGGCTAACTTTTGTATTTTTAGTAGAGACGGGGTTTCACCATCTTGGCCAGGCTGGTCTCAAACACCTGACCTCAGGTGATCCACCCGCCTCGGCCTCTCGATGTGCTGGGATGACAGGTGTGAGTCGCCACGCCCGGCCTCCTAGAATGCTGGGATGACAGGCGTGAGCCGCCGCACCCGGCCTCGAGCTCTTCTTTCCGCAGACTTTGATTCTCAGCGGCTGAAGGACTAAGTTCCCCAGAGATGGACCCGGGTGTCATAGCTGCTTCCAGGGGCCTCGGGGACACAGGCGGGACTCCAATGTGCAGGAGGAGACACACGTCAGGGGTGGGTGTGTGACTTCCACGCTGCTGACAGTGACCCAAGGATGCAGCTCAGGGTCAGATGCCGTTAGATCAACCACTTCAATGTATTATAAAACTATTATAAAAACTATTTTTGCTACCCAGGAAGGTAGCTGAGTTCACTTAGAATTCCTGTCAGCTAGGCTGTTTATCTGAAAGTGGTTACTTGTCCCTGACCATCTGGAATGGCTCAAATGAGCTCCTGCAGACCACAGAGCTCATCTTTGGGAACCCAGTCTCTCTTTTTGGGGAAGTGAGCCCCTTCCTTGGGAACCCCTGAGGCCAGGCATGGCCACTGTGGATGGTGGGAGGATGCCCCACCCTGAGGACCCCAGAGGCTCCTGTGGCCCCTTCCTGGGACTGCTGGGGCCGGTGTGTGTCAGCGTTCACCCCAAGGCCCCCTTTCAGCTGGGCTGGACGCCAAGTGCCTTCAGGCCTCATCCTGCCCTCCACCATCCCATAGTCAGTGAGGCTGTGGCATCTCCCTCCTCGACTGTCTTGCCCTCTTGGTTTTTGTATCAGCGTTTTCCAGGCTGATTGCTGCTGAACCTTCTGTTTTTTTTTCTTTTTCTTTTTGAGACAGTCTTGCTCTGTTGACCAGGCTGGAGTGCAGTGGCATGATCTTGGCTCACTGCAACCTCAGCCTCCCGATTAGCTGGGATTGCAGGCATGTGCCACTATGTCCGTCTAATTTTTGTATTTTTAGTAGAGACGGGGTTTTACCGTGTTAGCCAGGATGGTCTCGGTCTCCTGACCTCGTGATCCGCCCACCTCGGCCTCCGAAAGTGCTGGGATTACAGGCATAAGCCACTGCGCCCGGCCTGGAGCTTCCTTTCTTTGGGTTTTCCGATGTTCTTGACTCTGTTGTAGCTGAGCTAGACTGGGGACTGGGTTTCCGGGTTTGCTTTGTCTCTGCTGAAGGGCTGAGGTTTCAGAGCCAGCATGCACTGCACAGGGAGCAGAGGGAGGAAGAAGGATCCGACTGCGGAGACACAGTGACTGAGGCCAAGGGCAGCTTGGGCCGGGCCAGCAGTGAGGGGAGAGGTCTGGGTAGAAGGTGTCATGCTGGGCGGGGGCGGGGGGTGTCCTGCGGGCCTTGGGTCTTTTTGCCGAGTTGGGGGACAGCGAGGAGCAAGCACCTGCCATCGCCCACTTTGTTTTCTGTGGGACCTCCTAGGACAGTGAGGCCCCTGCCTCACCAGGGCATGGCCCACTCCGCTGTCCAGGCCTTCGTCCCGGCTGCCTCTGCTGTGGGGCAGGGAAGGGGCTGGGTGTCCAGGACACAGGCGCTTCCAGGCTTCATACACAGATGCCTTTTCTCTGACGTTCCTTAACTCCCATGTGTAGCTATACACAGAATGGGATTTTACATATGCTGGACAGAAATAAGAGAATCAAGCCCCGGCCAGAAAGATTCCAGAACTGCAAAGACCTGTTTGATCTGATCCTCACTTGCGAAGAGAGAGTGTATGACCAGGTGGTGGAAGGTGAGGAGGCGGCTGCGTGCTGGGCTGGGCTCCAGCAGCTCTCACAGGGTCTGGGGATGCCTGCAGGGCCCCACCATGACCAGTACAGCCCGTCTAGAGTGGCGGGGGCCGGGGAGCAGACCTGAGTGTGAAGCACCCTGGAAGGCAGGCAGGGCCGCTGGTCGCTGAACCACCCATGTGCTGGCTGCAGCCTCATGGGCTTCAAGGGGCCTCTTTTCTCCTTGGTGTTTTTTTGTTTTGTTTTTTGAGACAGAGTCGTGCTCTGTCGCCAGGCTGGAGTGCAGTGGTACAATCTAGGCTCACTGCAACCTCTGCCTCCCGGGTTCAAGTGATTCTCCTGCCTCAGCCTCCCGAGTAGCTGGGACTACAGGCGTGTGCCACCACACCCAGCTGATTTTTGTATTTTTAGTAGAGACGGGGTTTCACCATGTTGGCCAGGCTGGTCTTGAACTCCTGTCCTCAAGTGATCCGCCCGCCTCAGCCTCCCAAAGTGCTGGGATCACAGGCGAGAGCCACCGCGCCAGGCCCATTTTTCAAGCGGATGGACCCTGTGTGGAGCTGGCGGTGGAGCAGGGAGGGCTGGTCTTTAGTGACGGGGAAGGGTCGCAATGCCAGTCACGGTTCACCCCAGGACTGGCTGGTGGGTGGGGAGTCCCAGACCAGCTTGTGCTGAGTTGGAGATTTGCTCAGGTTTCCTCGAACCATCAGCCGCCTTCGGTTTGAGGCTCATTCATTGTGCTCCCCAAACTGCAGAGTCCAGAAACCACTGGGGCTGGGCTGGGCCTGCAGCCGGCAGAGCTGGGGACTCAGCCACATTGACTGCCTGTTCCCTGGTTTTGGAGCCTCTGACGTCTGTGTCACCTTGTCCCAATCAGATCTGAATTCCAGAGAACAGGAGACCTGCCAGCCTGTGCACGTGGTCAATGTGGACATCCAGGACAACCACGAGGAGGCCACCCTGGGGGCGTTTCTCATCTGTGAGCTCTGCCAGTGTGTAAGTACCCGGCTGGGCGCCGCGCTGGGCAGAGGTTGTGACAGAGGGGAGTGACCGAGGCCGTGACAGAGGGGAGTGGCCGAGGCCGTGACAGAGGGGGTGGCCGAGGCCGTGACAGAGGGGAGTGGCCGAGGCCGTGACAGGGGAGTGGCCGAGGCCGTGACAGTGGGGAGTGGCCGAGGCCGTGACAGTGGGGAGTGGCCGAGGCCGTGACAGAGGGGAGTGGCCGAGGCCGTGACAGTGGGGAGTGGCCGAGGCCGTGACAGAGGGGAGTGGCCGAGACCTGAGGCCGGCCCTGCTGCTTGGGGCAAGGTCTGCTCAGCTCGCCTGTGTCGGGGGCGCCTGCTGGTAGTTCAGTGAGTCACTCCACAGCTTTGGCACAGGAGGCCCCCCTGCAATGCCCTTTGCTCAGCTGAGAGACGCTGCACAGGGACCTCCCCAACACAGGCTTAGTCCCTCTCCCAGGACACGGCTCCAGGGAACGCCTGGTACCTTGTCTCTTCCCCGTGGCGGACACAGCCCCACCTCAGTGAGCAGAGCATGCAGCTCTCCGGGATGCGGTGCAGTCGGAGGTGTGCCCCACGTGAGCCTGGAGGCTGCCAAGGGCTCTGTGTCCGCCGTCCACCCCTGGACTTGGCCTTCTGCACACCTGCCTTCCCCAGTGGGCCCTGCATGTCTCCCTTGCACAGAGGGGCCGGGGCACCCCAAGGCTTCTGTAGCCACCCTGCTGCGGCGTGGAGGTGCTGGGCTGTGACGAAAGGACCTGCCTGAGGAGAGCCCCACGCACCGTCCCGCCTCTGCCTCTGCCTCTGCCTCTGTGATTTGATGAATGTCTGTGAAAGACAGAAAAACAGAACAGCTTCACCAAGAAAGAAGATGGTGTGTTTGGAAAGCCCGGGAGCCAGGCGGGCGGGCGCTGGGAGAAGCTGCTGTGTGGCCGCAGAGGCTCCTGCGCTCCGCCTGGCCCACCCAGCATGGCTTCTGGTCCCCACGTGCCTCACGGTCCAGTGTGGCTGCTGAAGCGCCAGGGACGGTCTTCATGATCGCCTGGCAGGAGAAAAGGTCATAAGAAAATGTCGTCCCAGAAGTTATTGCACGATTTCTGCTTGGGTCACGTTGGCCAGAGCTGAGTCACAGACAGGCCGCTCCTTGCTTAGAGGCACTGGGTGCTGGCCAAGGCTGGGGACCAGGGGACAGTGGAGATGGCGAGTAACGAGCTGCCGGTGCCAGGGCAGGTGTGCCTAGGAGCCGGGCCTGCTCACTCTGGGGCAGCGGCCCTCTGCCAGGGGCTCTGGTGGATGGAGGCCAGGATGCTCCGATGACCAGGCTGCCCCCGCTCGCTTGTTGGTGGTGTGGAAGCGCTGGCGGTGAGGGTTGGTCGGCCCCGCTGTGCATGTGTGGGTCTGAGCCCTGGCCGCCAGGTCTCCGTGCTGGGCCCCTCTCAGAATCCAGCTCCAGGCTCCTCCCAGCTCCTCCCAGCTTCAGGTCCTGTGAGGGTCGGTGGGGAGGTGGGGGCTGCCCGGGACGCTCTCCCCCTGCAGCCTCCGGCCGTCCTTGTGAGGCAGCAGCGGTGGGGTGAGGGCCTGCCTGCTGCGCTGGTTTCTGCTGGCTCAGGCCTGGCGTTTCCCTGGCGATCCAGGTGTTAGGGGGAGCAGACAGGCAGGAGTGGGCAAGGCCCTCACCACGGTCCTGTCCTTGCAGATCCAGCACACGGAAGACATGGAGAACGAGATCGACGAGCTGCTGCAGGAGTTCGAGGAGAAGAGTGGCCGCACCTTTCTGCACACCGTCTGCTTCTACTGAGCCCAGCGCCCGCATGGAGCCGCCTCTGGAGCTTCCTGTTGTTCATACTTTTTCCTTCCTGACATTTGTTTTTACTTACAGGTGTTCTGCTGGTGACGGTAGCATTACCCAAATAAACTGTGCATATGAAATGGGAGAGGAGATGCCAAAACGCCAGATGAAAGCAATCAAGTTTCTTCTTTTCCACTTTTACTTATGAGCAGGATATTGATTACAAAGTTTTTCTTCTTTAACCAAAAAGGAAAGACAACGGTTTGTGTGCACTTCCCGACATACCTGTGTCTTCGTGTGCCTGCCTTCCCTCCCTCCTCCCCACCGGGCCGGACTGTACAGAGCCCTGCTGCGGCGTGTTAGGAATGACCTGGAATTGTCAATAAACAGATGCTGCTGTCATTGTGCCTGGTCCTGAATTCCTGGCCCGACCCTCGCCCCTGAGGAGGTGGCAGAGGCCTAGCCCTGCCGCCCTCAGTGACCTCCGACCACTGCTTGGGAGGAGTAGCTCAGACCTGGTGGTGCTGACAGGGTCTGGGCCTACCCGTGCCTGTGCTGCCTGAAGCGGAAGCCGCCTGCTCCTGCCACAACTGCTGCCTGTGGTGGAGCGGCGTCCCCTCTCCATGTGGAACCCCCCCGGGCGGGGATCCCCCAAGGCCAGCTACGGGGGAGGCTGAGCCGGGAGGATCGCCTGAGCCCAGGAGTGGAGGCTGCAGTGAGCCTGGATGGCGCCACGACCCAGGCTGGGTCCCAGGCATAGCTTCCCGCTGACTTCCTGCTGAGGCCGGGGGTCGGCTCCCGGGCCTGAGACATGGTCACCGGTCGTGGATGAGAGTTTGGCCTCAGGACCCCGAGCCAGGGACAGCCACAGCGGAGTGGTGGCCACTGGGCCTCTGAATGGCCGGCGTCCCGACCCATGGGCCTGGGCTGACCCCCTCGTCCCCGCCCTAAGGGAAGCCTGTGCGGGGCGGCCCTGCCCTCGGCTCCTGTGCCACATCCCTCCGTTGAGGATTCCAGGGGTCATCCCGTCCCTGACCTGTGGCCCCCACGGCCGTGGGGCTGTCGCGACCTTGCGGACCCCACCCTGGAGGCACGTGCGTGCCGAGCGGACTGGGGCAGTCCCGCACCCGGCGACCTGGGAGTCCAGGACGTAGGGCGGAGCAGTGGGGCGGGAAGGGCCTCGGCGCCCCTCCAGGACCGGAGGACTGGCGTCCAGGGTCACCGGACAGGCCACCGGGGCTGGGTCTGACCAGACTGGGGCGGGACGCGAAGCCGAGGCTCCCGGGGAGGGGTCCCGGCCGGCGTCCGGGGGATGGCGGTCTCCTCCCGGCGCTGGCACGGGGCGGCCTGCGGTCTGCGCGGTCCCTCCCGAGAGGCGGAGGAAGGCGGCGGGGAGGGAGGGGGGAGGAGGGAGGAGGAGGCAGGGAGGGGGCCGGAGCCGAGCGGAGCCGAGTCGAGCCGAGCCGAGCGCATCGCAGGGAGGACCCGAGGGCGGAGCGGAGCGCGGCGGGCCGGGCCGAGAGACCCCAGAAAGGCCCCGCGTCCCTCCCCGGCGCCCCCCCCCCCGCGCCTCCTCCCCCCGGCCGGTGCCGGGGTTGCAGCGAGCGGCGGCGGACGATCCAGGGAAGCGCTGACCTCTGCGGAGGCGGCGGGGGCTCAGCATCGGGCCGGGGCCGGGGGGGCGCCGGGGCCGGGGGGCGGCGCTCCGGCCCGGCCCGGCCCCGCCCGATGTCCATGAGCGCGAACACCATGATCTTCATGATTCTGGGGGCGTCGGTCGTGATGGTGAGCGGAGGGGCTTCCCGCGCGCGCCCCCTGCTCCCCGCCCGCGCGCGCCGCCTGGCCCACCTCCCGCGCCTTGTTTACCGCCCGTGCGGCCTGCGCTCCCCTCCCCGGCCTGCGCTCCCCTCCCCGGCCTGCGCTCCCCTCCCCGGCCTGCGCTCCCCCACCCCGGCCTCCGCTCCCCTCCCCAACCTGCGATCCC
The DNA here is from genome assembly GCF_000001405.40 of Homo sapiens. Lineage (NCBI taxonomy): Eukaryota > Metazoa > Chordata > Mammalia > Primates > Hominidae > Homo > Homo sapiens. Next base: position 1,540,090 of record NC_000001.11, on the reverse strand, counting down.
CACACTCCCTACGCTCCTCTCTCCGGCCTACGCTCCCCCCACCCCGGCCTGCGCTTCCCCCTCCCCGGCCCGCGGTCCCCTCCCGGGCCTGCGCTCCCCCCACCCCGGCCTGCGCTCCCCTCCCCAGCCTGCGATCCCCATACCCGCTGCGCTCCCCCTACCAAGGCCTACGCTCCCCTCACCCCGGCCTGCGCTCTCGCTCCCCGCTTGCGCTGCCCCGACCCCGGCCTGCGCTCCCCACCCCCAGCCCCGCTTCGTCCCGCCCGCTCCTTGGCGCTGACCGGTCATGAGCTCTTCCAGGCCATCGCGTGCTTGATGGACATGAACGCGCTGCTGGACCGATTCCACAACTACATCCTCCCGCACCTGCGGGGCGAGGACCGCGTCTGCCACTGCAACTGTGGCCGGTGAGTCCACAACCGGCGCCGGCTCGACACGCGTGAGCGCACATGTGTGGCGGGGCCCACTCGGGGCGCGGGGGAACCAGCCCCACGCAGGCCGCGAGCCGCCTTCCACCCTTGAGGGCTGCCAGGTGCGCAGGGGGAGGAGCTGTCTCAAGGTGGGCGGGGGTCTCCTGGGGGCGCATGGCTTTAGGACGCCGTTCCTAGAGGCCTCCAGGGTGATGGCGGAATGGGTCACGGGGCCTCCTGGTCCAGCCTGGAGGCCGGAAAGCCGCAGCCCAGTGTGATGTCCACAGTGGAGACCCAAGCCAGCCTCATCAGGGCTGGGGCAGGAAGCGCCTGCTGGCACAGGGCTGGGCCCTGCACTGAGTCCCTGGGCAGGGGAATGCAGGTCAAGGCGGGAAGGGCCTGCCTTGAGGGGCACTGGGCACCACCCCCGGGCTGGAGAGGAGCTGAGGGATGGGCTGGGGGGGCAGCGGGGAGGTGGAGCTTCCTCAAGGTCATTCAGATTGAGGGGAGCGCCCAGACCCCCCGCACCCACCGTGTGACCCCCTCTGTGCACGTGTAGCGATGGGATCCTCTTGGCCATGCATGTTTGTACGTCCATGTACGAAATAAACATCTTCTCATGAGACGCGCATGTGTGTGGCGTCTGTGCATATACATGTGCGTACACACAGCCCCCGCGCACGCACGCATGCACTTCCACCCCTCAGGACACCCTCACGCAGTGGCCGCTGTTAACCCTGCTGAACAGATGAGGAAGTGGACGGAGGATTTAGAGGACAGGCTTTTCCAAGGTCACACAGCTAGTGAAGGACAAAGGGGGCACCAGCCCAGAACCCGTGTTCGTCATCTCTGCTGCCTCCTGCTCCGGGGGTCTCTGTGCATACGTGTGGGTGTGGGGCATGTGTGTTCAGGACAGCTGCATGTGTTGCTAAGCGTGTGACATGCCTATGGGTGCAGCAGGCGTGTCGATGAAGAACACGGGTGTTAGAGAAGGCAGAGATCGGGGTGTCTGTGACCCTCACGTGTGCTGGGCACAGGGTAGGGGGTAAGAGCTTGTGGGGTGGCCACATGCTACCAGAGAGCCCCGTGTCCCTGGCTGGCAGGTCCGACTGCTGAGCAAAGGCCTGAGGTCGGCTCCACTGCCTCCCGGAGGCTGGGCCCAGACCCGAGCTCCAGAGCATCAGAAAGGTGCGGCCTCCACGCACGTGGGCTGGGGCCGTGTGCATCCGCCTGTGGCAGCACACTGAGGGCTCCGCGGGGCAGGCAGAGGCGCCTTAGAGTATTTGCACAGGGCATGTAGGGCGGCTCATGCCGTGTCCAGAGCACGCGTGGACTCGGGTGGGTGCACGCTGAAGGCAGCCGTGTGTGGGAAGCAGAGCCACAGCCTGCTGTAGACGGTATTGCTGCGTGTGTGTCCATGTATCTATGCTCTGTTCACATCTCTACATACAGGATATGTACGTTCAGCGTACAGAGTGCCCTTGTATATTGACAACATATATGTGTATGCAAAGTACATGTATGTCACAATATACAGTGCCGTGTGCTCAGGGACATGTCAAGATGTCTCCGTGTAGCTGCAGCCAGTGTGTGTGCAGACAGCAGTCTTGCACATGCGGTATCTGCGTATCCACCATGCCCGTGCACTGCCATGAGAGGCTCCCTGTGTGTACACGCTGGTGTTCAGAACGAGTGTGTGTACATGTGTAGGCCTCATACGTGCCTATACGTAGACGTTGACGTGGAGAACGTGTATGGAAATCAATGCTCCAAAGTCTGTTGGCAGGCAGCGTCCAAACTAGACATCCGTCCATGCACGTGACGTGGCGCCCCGTGGAGAGGGTGGCTGCGTTTTGCAAAGCCAAGCGAACATGCACTCGCGTGACACACCGTGCACAGGGCGGGGGTGTGGCGCTCCCGGGGCCCATGTCCACAGTATCACGCCATGTCCCGTGCATGTGGCTGGTGTGTATACGTGATGTACACTGGGCCTCAGGTGGACACACCTGGTGTGTGTGGTGCAGGCAGGACACACGTATGTACATGTCACAGACATACGTGTGCAGATAGCATATCTCTGCCCAGGCCTATCTCCTGCTTTCACTTGGGAGACCTGAGCCCTCCAGGAAGGAGGGCCAGGTGCAGGGAGAGGAGCTACAGGTACCCAGGCCAGCCATGGTGGGGGACACAGGCTGTGACCTCTGACCCCCAAAGTTACTGAGCCCCTGGGGTGGGTGAGGACTCTCTAAGGGGTCAGGAACAGCTTCCTCCCCTGAGGGCCTCTGGCAGCTGCACATTCTGGGCAGTGGTCAGCAGCTGCCCATTGGTGACGATGGACGATGGCTGTGGACAGGCTCGTCACCAGGTGATCGGTGGCCACCAGGAATCAGCCACGGTCATGGTCACTCCTCACCGAGAGCCCTGCCACTGAAAGCGGCCACTTTCCGGATATGCTGAGGGGACTGACCTCCGGGAACCCCAGAAGAGCAGGAGGGCTTCAAGGGGAGCGTGGGGCAGGGGACACCTCCTCCCTGTTCCTGGGCTCGGGCCCCAGGACCCCCCAGATCTCACTGAGGGAAGGCACCTGTGTGGTCCCCGCTGGGCACAGGGATGGCCTGGAGAGGGCTGCAAGACCCTGGGTTGGACGGACAGGCTGGGCTTTCAGTGTGGGAAGTACTTCTGGTTGGGGTGTGGAGGGTGGGGTGGTCTCTGGGTCTCGGCTGAAAACCAGGCTGAGGCGCTGCTACGTCACCGAGGGGAAGGTGGGGGAGAAGCAGGTCTGGGGAGAGAGGAGCTATTTTTAGGCACAAGTTTAAGGTGTCTGCGGATCCCACGTGGAGACACAGGCAGCTGGAGCTCGGCGGAGATGTGGGAGGCAGCCAGGAGTGTGGACCGCAAGGCGCGTGGGGCCCGCGGGCTCCACTCCCAGGCCCTCCTGTTGGACTAGGGATCCCAGAGTTGACTGTCTGGGATGCCAGTCCGATCGGCAGAGTCAAGGCCCGGAGACCTTCCTGGGACAGGGTGAGCTGCTGGGGCGAGCTCCTTGGGGAGCTTGTGTTGCCCCAGCAGCAAGAGGCCAGAGGCTGTTGTGGCCTGAGCCTGGGCAGTTCCCCCAAGAGCCCGGGGAGGGGAGGCCGAGGGACATGGAGGCGCGCAGGCACTGAGGACGAAAGGGCCCTGGAGCCTGGACGCCGTCCATCCTGAGAGGAGCGGGGCGGGTCTGTGCCAGGCAAGGGCAAGGGGGCGTCCCCCAGGAAGGGGAGAGGATGGGGTGCTGGGTAGAGCCCCCGTGGCCTCCGACAGCACCTCCCAGGGATAGAGGAGCAGAAGAAACACCAGGGGCAGTGGGCCTGGCAGGCGCGGTGGCAGCCGTGGAGGAAAGGGCACAGCAGCGGGGGGAAGGGTGCATGGGAGTGGCTGGTCTGGGGCCAGCAGGGCTCCCTGTGTCCAGCTCTGCTCCAAGTGGCCTCCGCGGCCCCGGGGCGGGCGGGTGAGCTGTGACCCTGGCCGTGGGGACCGCCGTCCTGAGCCCCCTCCGGGGGAGGCCTCTTCCACCTGCAGCACCTTCCCGTGAGCTCCAGGCCTCAGGGAGGAGGTGCTGAGTGAGGGCCGACACCCTCGCCGGCAGCTGGTCCCGCTGTCTGCCCGGACTTCACGCTCGGCCTCCACAGCCCATGGCCACTGACCTCCCACTCCCTCTGGCCTGTGACCTGGGCCTCGTTGAGTCTGGTGCCCCCTTCCCGACCCGCCCGCCCAAGAGGCTGCTTCAGAGAACCCCCAGGGCGGCCTGACGCGGTCACACCCCCACCACGGGGTAGGCGCCCCGGGGGAAGGCCAGGCCGGGGGTGGCGGGAGAGGTGCCAGCCCGCCCTGCCGCCCCCAGGCACCATATCCACTACGTGATCCCGTACGACGGGGACCAGTCGGTGGTGGACGCCTCCGAGAACTACTTTGTGACGGACAGTGTGACCAAGCAGGAGATCGACCTCATGCTGGGGCTGCTGCTGGGCTTTTGCATCAGCTGGTTCCTGGTGTGGATGGACGGCGTCCTGCACTGCGCCGTGCGCGCCTGGAGAGCCGGACGGCGCTACGGTGAGTGCCTCGTGCCCGCCGCCCGGGAGTGCTGCCGCCCTGGCCGGCCCCAGCCGCCTGACCGCCCCTGTCCCCCCGCAGATGGCTCGTGGACCTGGCTGCCCAAGCTGTGCAGCCTGCGGGAGCTGGGCCGGCGGCCGCACAGGCCCTTCGAGGAGGCCGCCGGGAACATGGTACACGTGAAGCAGAAACTCTACCACAATGGCCACCCCAGCCCGCGGCACCTGTGAGCCGCACGGGGACTTACCGGGGCCACCGAGCCAACCGGCTGCTGTACAGATGTAAAAGGGACCTCGTGGACGCCCGGGCCGGCGGGACTGGACAGCAGCCCTGGGCCCAGGTTGTCCGGGGCTGTGGCCGGCCGGGAGAGTCCAGTGGAAGGTGCTGTCTCTTCTTTTTATAAAGGGGGTTGGGGTGTGGGCTAGGGTGGGGGTTGGGTTAGGGGAGACCCTGCAGTTGGGGGGCAGGACACAAGGGCGGACTCATCCCCAGCGGTGCTGGGGGGCAGGGAGGGTCCTGGGGGGCAGGGAGGGTCCTGGGGGGCAGGTGGGGGCAGGGGCGGCGAGGCGCGCGGCCCGGGCCAGCATCTGTTTGAAGGCGCTGTTTCCCGTGCGCTGCGTCCACCGTCTGTCTGGCCCCAGCCAGCTTGGGCGGAGGGGAGGGGGGCGAGGGGAGCACCCGCGTGTGCACAGCCACAGGGTGGGGTGCAGGTGGCTGGGCCCAGGCAGCATTCAGGCCCCTGGCCCCGCAGTGGCGGGCACTCATGTGAAGCCCACCCCTCTGTGGTCAGTAAATTCTCCAGAAAGCGCCAGCCTCCGCCTCTTCTGTCACCTTTGACCCCAGGGGGACGCTAGGAGGCCCCCAAAACCCCACCCCGTGCCAGCCAAGAGACAGACAGGGCAATGAGGCACCTGTGGGACTTTATTAGGTAAACAGACCCCAGCTCCAGCCACAGGCTTGGACCGGCCAGCTGACAGTGCGGCCTCAGACACCCCCGCCAGGTTCCCTCCTCCCTCCTCTCTCAGGGTCACCAGTGTGTGAAAGATCGGGGCATGCCGGCCACAGGGGGAAGCAGGGTTCAGGCTGCCCCACCTGGGTCTGGCCCTGGCAGGCGCCCCCTCACCTGGCTCTGCTGTGGGAGCCGAGAACAAAGACATCACCTGCCTGGCTCCTGCTGCCCCGGGGGCTCAGCCAGCACCCACCCTCACAGTGGCCTGGGCAGGGGCTGGGGTGCAAAGCCTCACCCTCCCCCTGTGAGCCAGACGGAAAATGCATCTCCCAAGAGTGTCTCGAGGGGCAGGAAGGAGGCCTGCCCCTCCCTAGCCAGTGCCTACAACAGGGGGTGCCCTGGGGGGCAGAACGGCCGACCCGCACCACAAGACATCCTGGGGGACAGAGGCCCTGGGCACAGCCCAGTCCCCACCCAGGAGCATATCCTAAATGTGCAGGGGCCGGCAAGGCAGGGGTGGGAGGGGTCCGCGGCCAGGCTCCGTGAGCTGTGGATCTCCCTGTGGACTCAGGATGGGGAGGGCTCGTCCCCACGCCCAGGCCCTTCCGCCTTCAGCCAGCACATCTTCTGCTGGTGCTGCTGGACAGCATCTTGCACGCGGGTGTCCATCATGGCCTCGGTCAGGACCCCGTCCTCGGAGGCATACGCCGTGGCCTAGTGGGGAGAGAGGCAGCTGAGGGAGGCCGCCATGGGAACCCCCCACCCCAAATGCACGCCAGGGCCCCGAGGTGGGGAGGGACCAAACCAGGGGCTCCAGGATGGCCTGAGCGTGAAACACAGGCTTCCCGCACCTCGGCAGAGCCCAGCACGTGTGTGGACACCGGGAGCAGCCCCTGCAGTGCCCACAGCCCTGCCTGCGTCCTCAGCACTGCTGTTGCTCAATGACTTTCTAATAATAGAAAGCCCAAGGCGGAGCCTCACTGACCGCCGACCCAGGGCAGCTTCCGAGAGGCAGGTGGGAACTGCAGACCCTCTGCGAGTCTCAGCCGTGGCCAGGCAGTGCCCCCGGGTCATAGTGCACCTCAGACCCTCAGACCCTGACCCTCACAGGCCTCCAGGGCAGAGGCAGCCACTGCCCACCTTGAGGCACATGAGTGGTGGCACCAAGGCCACCTCTGCCCCCACCTCCCTGTCCTCCTGAGCACAGGGCTTGGCATCTGGCACGTGAAGGCTGGAGCTGCTGGGGCTGTGGCCCTTGGTGTGGCTTCAGGCAGCCTCAGGTCCAGCCCTTCTGCAATGAACGGGTCACTCTCCATCCCAATGCCAGCGAAGGGCGTGGAGTCCCCAAGGGGAGGCACCCGTGGGTCAGGGTCAGGGTCAGGGTGTGGGGACCCCCACTGGGCACCGTGCTCAGGAGCGCACCAGGACACCTGGAGGAAGCACAGGGCAGGGGACCCTTCCTGGACAGCTGAGTGGGTCCCTCGCCCCGTCCCAGCTGTACCTCCCAGAGGCAGGATTCATCTCACGGGGTGCAGGGGCAGCAGCACACCATCCTCCCACAACACCGTCGCCACGACGGAACCTGCCATGGGGATGACCACGTGGTGCCCGTCCCCTCTGCAAGCGCCCACCCCTCACCAAGAGCCACTGTGTGGGGAGACACTGACCGGAGCCGGACCACCACTGTGGGTCGGGGGCCCGGGAGCGCAGGAGACACTGACCGGAGCCGCACCGCCACTGTGGGTCAGGGGCCCCGGAGTGCAGGAGACACTGACCAGAGCCGCACCGCCACTGTGGGTCAGGGGCCTGGGAGCGCAGGAGACACTGACCAGAGCCGCACCACCACTGTGGGTCCGGGGCCCAGGACTGCTCAACATCATTTTTGGTCTTGAGCGCACCCAAGAGAGGGCAAACAGGTGCAGGGACCCTCAGGGTCCACCCGAGTGGCTGCACCCCACCCAGGGCCCAGCAGAGGAAAGGGGCTATGCAGATGCTCACGGGGCCACCCCTCCAGGAAGCACGGGACCTGGCAGGAGCCCACCAGAAGTGACAGCTAAATGTCACGTGGCGTCCTGGGTGGGATTCTGGGGCAAAACCCAGTCACAGGTGGGTCCAACAGTGACACATGATGTTCACCACGTGGCAAGGTCCCAGGCCCAGGAAGTCTCTGTGCTACTCTTGCAACTTTTCTGGGAACCTAAAATCTTCAAACTATAAAAGTTGAAAGACAAGACCTGGACCTGATGTCTTCACATGTGAATTCACAAAACATTAAGAAGAATCAGTATCACTCCTCAAACTCTTGGACAAATTGAAGAACATTTCCTCACTCATCCTAAGAGGCCAGCATTACCCTCATATCAAAGCCAGACAAAGACACCACAAGAAAAATGACATGCCAATATCCCTGATAAGCATCGTTGGAAAAGTCCTCAACAAAATGCCAGCAAAACCAATTCAGGAGTATAATAAAAAAATTATACACCCTGACCAAGCAGGATTTATTCCTGGAATGCAAGGATAGTTCAACGTACAAAAATCAATCAATGTTCCACATAAAAAATGTTCAACATACAAAAATCAATCAATATTAGCCGAGTGGAGGAAGGAAACTACATGACCCTCTCATCTGATGCAGGAAAAGCATTCGACCAAATTCAAAACCCTTTTATGAGAAAAGAATTCAAGATGCCGTGCATGGTGGCTCACACCTGTAATCCCAGCACTTTGGGAGGACAAAGGGGGCAGATCACCTGAACTCAAGGAGATCCACTGCCTCAGCCTCCCAAAGTGCTGTGGTTACAGGTGTGAGCCACCGTGCCCAGCCCAAATTATTATTTTATTTTTTATTTTTTTATTTTTGAGACAGAGTCTTGCTCTGTCGCCCAGGCTGGAGTGCAGTGGTGCGATCTCGGCTCACTGCAAGCTCTGCCTCCCGGGTTCATGCCATTCTCCTGCCTCAGCCTCCCAAGTAGCTGGGACTACAGGCACCCGCCACCACATCTGGCTAATTTTTTTTTTGTATTTTTTATTAGAGATGGGGTTCCACCGTGTTAGCCAGGATGGTCTTGATTTCCTGACTTCATGATCCGCCCATCTCGGCCTCCCAAAGTGCTGGGATTACAGGCATGAGCCACCGCGCCCGTCCAGCCCCAGTTATTATTATTTTTAGTTTTCGTTTTCGTTTTTTGGGATGGAGTCTCACTGTGTTGCCAGGCTGGAGTGCAGTGGTGCAATCTCGGCTCTTTGCAACCTCCGCCTCCCGGGTTCAAGTGATTCTCCTGCCTCATTCTCCCAAGTAGCTGGGATTACAGGCATGCGCCACCACACCCAGCTAATTTTTGTATTTTTAGTAGAGATGGGGTTTCACCATTTGGCCAGATGGTCTCCATCTCTTGACCTCGTGATCTGCCCGCCTTGGCCTCCCAAAGTGCTAGGATTACAGGTGTGAGCCACTGCACCTGGCCTATTACTATTTTTTTAAGATGGAGTCTCACGCTATTGCTCAGGCTGGAGGGCAGTGGCACCATCTCAGCTCACCGCATCCTCCGCCTCCTGGATTCAAGAGATTCTCCTGGCTCAGCCTCCTGAGTAGCTGGGACTACAGGCATACACCACAAATGTGCCGGGGTAATTTTTGTATTTTTAGTGGAGGTGAGATTGGCCTTGTTGGCCAGGCTGCTCTCAAACTCCTGACCTCAGGTGTATGATATTCTCACTTCAGCCTCCCAACGTGCTGGGATTACAGGAGTGAGCCACCGCACTCGTTCCAAATTATTCTTAGTTTTTTTTTTTTTTTTTTTTTTTTTTTGAGACGGAGTCTCGCTCTGTCGCCCAGGCTGGAGTGCAGTGGCGGGATCTCGGCTCACTGCAAGCTCCGCCTCCCGGGTTCATGCCATTCTCCTGCCTCAGCCTCCCAAGTAGCTGGGACTACAGGCGCCCGCCACTACGCCCGGCTAATTTTTTGTATTTTTAGTAGAGACGGGGTTTCACCGTTTTAGCCGGGATGGTCTCGATCTCCTGACCTCGTGATCCGCCCGCCTCGGCCTCCCAAAGTGCTGGGATTACAGGCGTGAGCCACCGCGCCCGGCCATTATTCTTAGTTTTTAAGACAGGGTCTTGCTCTGTAATCCAGGCTGGAGTGCAGTGGCAATCACAGCTCACTGCAGCCTCCACCTCCTGGACTCAAGTGATCCTCCCACCTCAGCCTCCCAAGCAGCTGGCATTACAGGCATGTGCCACCAGGTCCAGCTAATTTTTTCATTTTTTGTAGAGATGGGGTCTTGCCTTGCTTTCCAGGCTGGTCCTAAACCCCTGGCTTCAAATAATCTAACTTGGCCTCCCCAAATGCTGGGAATACAAGCGTCAGCCACCACCATACCCGGCCTCTGCTTTCTTAGTTGTGGAAACAGACCTGGTTCCAAGTGGGGATGGCCTGGAACAGAGACCTCAGCTGACCCACAAGGACGGGGTTTGAGATCTGGGGCTCTTTGTCACAGTGGCATAACCCAGCCTGTACTGACTAATACAGCCCCCTGTGAACCCCGGCTCCAACATTCAAATCAAGGTACTCGGCTGCTTCATTAAGCTGTCACACGTTCATTCAAAAGCACTGCTAGATTGAGGAACCAGGTTGTTACACAGACTCTGCGGACCCCAGAGGTGGTGATGCCTGTGCGTGGCCAGGGTGCCTTCTGCCCCACCAACCTGGTTTTGCTTTTCCAGCAACCCCCAAAGACCAAAGCTTTCTGGATGGCCACGCCCACACTCCTGTGAGTCCTGGCTCCTCAGCCCTGGAGCAGCCACGGAGCTGCAGGAGGGGTGTCCCCGAAGAACAACTGGCTGTGGGACAACCAGAGGCCACTCCCACCCATGTGTCAAGCAGGACCAAGCCCACAGACTTGGTCCAGAAAACACAATGTCCCTCCACCCCGAACCCCCAACTCACATGGGGCCTGTCCTAACGACCATTTACACAGGGAGGTGCCTATTGGCCAAGGTGAGAGTCAGAAGCCTCCAGCCCCACCTGGCAAAGCTCGGGCTACGGCGATGCCAGACTGGCCTCCAGAGAGCCCCGGGTGACTGTCAGCCACCGACATGGCTCCACCCTCCTGAGGGCACGAGCAGGTGCGCGATGCCTCGTGGAGTGGCCTGACTGGGGCAGGGGGCCCTGTGTCACCTCTGTGCACTGAAAACCCCTCAACAGAAGCTCCCGCGTGACACCGGTGCTGGGACAGGCCTGGCGCAACTGAGCATCTCCACAGCAGCTGGGGTCCCGTCTGGGTGGACGTGCCGGAGCCTGACTCACCTGCCAGGACACGGCCAGCTGAGCGATCTCCCGGCCCGACATGCCCTCCGTCAGCCGAGCGACCTCCGAGCACTTCCTCCCGTAGTCAAACTGGGCCAGCTTCAGGCGCCTGGGGAAGGAGTTCCCAAGTGGGCCGGCCAAGGCAGCAGCTCCCACAACACGAGGTGGAGGCCGGAAGACAGGCAGCGAGGCCGACACCCACGCCAAACATCCTCTTTGGAGGGGCTCTCTACTTCTGACAGCCCAGCTCCACATCCTCCCTGCTGCAGGCCAGGCCCGGACTGAGCAGGGAGTGGCTGCAGGGCCTGGAGATGGCCCCAACCACTCCTCACACCAGCCCTGCCCACAGCTGCTCACTCAGCACCCGCAGGGCAGGTGGCCTTTATGCTGGCAGTGGCGGAGCCCCGACTTCTAGCAAAAGCGTCTGCCTGGAGGCCACAGAAGCCAAGTCATGGTGCCAGGGCTACGAGCAGCCATGGGGGTGGGGGAGCCCAGGGAAGGGGAGGGCATAGGGAAACTGAGGCCCGGAAAGCTGGGCTGGCATGGAGCAGGCGGCAGCGGCAACCAGGCTCTCTTTTGTCATCACTGGCGACAGCAGGGATTTGGGTCAGGTGCACAGAAGGACTCAGAAACCGGGGCCCGGGGGACGCCAAGAAGTGGAGCAGCCTCTGCTCATCTGGAGTGTTCCCGAGGCAGCCGGTGTGTGGTGCCAGGGCCCCTCATCACCTGGAGGGCTCTGCCCACCGTGCCTGCTGCACCCACCGCCAGCAACAGGGAGCCTGACAGCCTCAAGGCACGTGAGCAGCAAGAGCCGTGCCCCACACCACGAGGCTCCAGGGCCGGGTGTGGCAGCTGGAGGGAGGCCAGGCCAGAAGCCAGCAGTGGACCATGAGGAGCCTCTCCCTCCAGTCCCGACACGGGGGTCTCATGAGGAGAGACTCCTTCGAATCCCGACACGGGGGTCTCAGAGCAACACTCCGTATCACCTCCCCTCACAGCCAGGGCCTGGGGGTGGCCGAGCACAAGATTTCCTCACAGCCCTCCTCGTAGTGAAGAGGAATGGAAAAGACGCCGGGCGCGGTGGCTCACATCTGTAATCCCTGCACTTTGGGAGGCTGAGGAGAGTGAATCACTTGAGGTCAGGAGTTTGAGACGAACCTGGCCAACATGGTAAAACCCCATTTCTACTAAAAATTAAAAAAAAATTAGCCAGGCATGGTGGTGGGCGCCTGTAATCTCAGCTACTCAGGAGGCTGAGGCAAGAGGATTGTTTGAACCCGGGAGGCAGAGGTTGCAGTCAGCTGAGATCGTGTCACTGCACTCCAGCCTGGGCGACAAGAATGAGACTTTGTCTCAAAAAAAAAAAAAAAAAAGGAATGTTAAAGGTTTGTAAGTGATGGTGGACTGTGGGTCGGGGTGGACCCTGAGCGAGGGCCCCTGGACGGGGGCTGGTGGGGCGGGACACTTACTGCTTTCCTTCTGTGGCCGGCTTAAGAACATACTTGTCAAAATACATTCTCACCAGGCGCTCCCGTTCCTCCTGCCCTGGCAGGTCGAAGTGGACCATCTCATTGATGCGGTCATTGATGGCCCAGTCGAACTGCTCTGGTTGGTTGCTGGCCAGGACCAGCATGAACCTGCGGGGCGGGGATGAGGATGAGGATGCTGGGGCTGCCGGCCGAGCTGCACCAAGGGGAACGGGGCCTCCTCAGCCCCCACAGGGAGAACCTAAAGTGGCGGGAAACACGAGGACACGGGCACAGCCCTGGTCGGCCACCTGCCCCACTGCACCCAGCTGTCCCCCGGCCTGGCTTCCTGGGCCTCTGTTCTCCCTCCATATAGTGCTTTCCCGCTGACCCTCGCCCAGCCTGATAGGCAGTGCCGGGAACACCACTCTCTCCTGCTGCCTGACCCCTGCTGTGCTGGGAGCAGGGATTCGGGACCCGGAGTCCATGTCGAGAAGTCGCCCACACGTGCCAGGAGCAGGACCTCAGGGGCCCGGGTTCACTGGAGGCTCAGCAGGGCCCCAGCCTTGCCTCTCTGGGAAGGACCCGAGTCAGGGCTCCAGGGAGCATCCACCGGCAGCAGCTGACCTGGGAGCCCAACGTGCCTGAGGAGTCAGCCACGGCCGACCAGCAGGACTTGATCCTCCGTGTGACACGTGACTGGGGCTGGAGGGGCCCAGGAGACCAAGAAAACTCAAAATTAGGGGACTTGGGAGGGACTAGGGAGCCTGGCCATGGGGCGGTCACCCTATGGGGGACCTCTGGGCGGCAGCCCACAGAGGCCACACAAAGTCGGGTGGGCCCCAAGCCTGGAGGGTGCACCCTTGGCCAGCATCCGGGCGGGGGACCAAGGTCCCAGGTTCCGCCCCGACACACAGGACCTGCTGGTGTCCAACTTCCCGTGGGAGCAAACTTGTCTCCATCTCCCACCCCAGGGCACACACACCCTCCAAGGGAGACCCAGCAGAGCCTCACACGATGAGACCACCTCCCTTGCAGGCACAGGACCGCAGAAACCTAGGGGCAGAGGGACCTGCAAGCTGGGGCGGCGGCGCACAGGGCCGTGAGGACAGGACTGACCCCAGCTCTGCCCGGGAGGCCCCCGCATGTTCCTCAGTGACACCCCGTGCTGTCCCGAGCTGGGCCGTTCCCAGGGGACATCCGAGGTGGGCATGTTGAGGCCACGGCAGCTGCCCAGCACTGTGAGCCAGGGCCCCTCAGGTCCCTCGGTGGGAACCAAGGGCGACGGCTGCACAGCCCTGCCCGGGGGCCCAGGACCCGAGGGGCTCCCTCACTTGTTGCTGTGCTGGCCCGTGCGGTACAGGAAGGCGTTCAGTGTGGCCCTGAGGTCCTCGCTTATCTTCTCCTGCAGAGAGAAGGTTCCAGCCTTAGGCACCAGGAGCAAAGCCTTGTAAACAGCCACAGCAGAAAGTCCCACAGGCCTCCCTCCTGCAGGGAGCAGGGACATGGCGACACTTTCATGGATCTACTCTCAAAAGCCTGACCAGGGCCAGGGGCGGTGGCTCACGAATGTAACCTGGATTTTGGGAGGCTGAGGCGGGCAGATCACACGAGGTAAGGAGTTTGAGACCATCCTGGCCAACATGGTGAGACCCCGTCTCTACTAAAAATACAAAAATTAGCCAGGCGTGGTGGCGCACCTGTAGTCCCAGCTACGTGGGAGGCTGAGGCACGAGAATCACTGAAACCTGGGAGGCAGAGGTTGTAGTGAGCTGAAATTGCACCGCTGCACTCCAGCGTGGGCAACAGAGTAAAATTCTGCCTTAAAAAAAAAAAAAAGAAAAAGAAAAGAAAGCCTGACCGGGCACGGGGGCTCACATCTGTAATCCCAGCACTTCAGAACGTCAAGGGAGGCAAATCTCTTTAGCTCAGAAGTTTGAGCCCAGTCTGGGCAACGTGAGGAAACTCCATCTCTACTAAAATTACAAAAAAATTAGACAGGTATTCCACTGTGCCCCTGCAGTCCCAGCTACTCAGGCGGCTGAGGCAGGAGGATTGCTTGAGCTCCAGAGGTCGAGGCAACAGTGAGCTGTGATCGCCCCTGCACTCCAGCCTGGGCGACAGAGACCCTGTCTTAGAATGATAATTAAAAGGCTGGGCGTGGTGGCTCACGCCTGTAATCCCAGCACTTTGGGAGGCCAAGGCGGGAGGATCACGAGGTCAGGAGATCGAGACCATCCTGGCTAACACGGTGAAACCCCGTCTCTGCTAAAAACACAAAAAATTAGCCAGGTGTGGTGGCGGGAGCCTGTAGTCCCAGCTACTTGGGAGGCTGAGGCGGGAGAATGGCGTGAACCTGGGAGGTGGAGCTTGCAGTGAGCCGAGATGGGGCCATTGCACTCCAGCCTGGGTGATAGAGCGAGATTTCTTCTCAAAAAAAAAAAAAAAAAAAGCTGTTTTTCACACAAAGCTTACAGAGAAAAAGAAACTGAACAGAGGGCTGCAGCCTGGCCCAGGCAGACGGCTGTGCCCACCCCACCACCCCATTGTGGCCAGAGGCTTAGTGACACTCACGGTGGCTCGCTTCCGAAGGAAGGCGTCCGCTTCATCCACAAAGAGCAGGAGGCTGTGAACGAGAGGGAGGCCAAGCAGGGCGAGAGTGACACCAGGAGCAGCCCACAGCAGCGTCCGGCCGCGGCAGGAGCAGGCCAAGCAGGCAGATCCCCACGGGGTCAGGCTCTGCCCCATCAGCAGCCCTAAGTCCTGGACTCGACAGAAGCCGATCAGCCTGGCCTCTGGGCAGCTGACCACGGCCCAGCCTCAGAAGGCCGTGGGAAACCAACCACACACGGGGGCGACGAACTCCGCCCCACAGGCTTCACCCCCACCCGGCCCAGTGCAGCACTGGTGGCCGCTTAGAGTCCACGACAGGGACAGGTCTTCTAAAGTGAAAGGTCAAAGGCCAGAGGGGAGGGTGCCAACCATGAGCATCGTGGTTCCAACGAGGACAGCCGAGGCCACAAGGGTGCCCGGGCTGTGCCCTGCGCGGGGTCACTGTGGGACCTATTGAAGGGAGTGTGCCATGCTGTCTTCAGCTAACTTTCAAATGGTTCTAGAAAAGGCAACCAGTGCCCACGCCCACCTGCAGGCGTGTTGGGGGGAGGGCGGCTGTGGAGGAGCCTCCCCTGCAGCTGTGAAGACTCCTCTCCCCCTGCACCCACCCACCTCCCTTCTGCCCTGAGCCAAGTATCCCACTGGCAGCCTCCACACGCTGGGGGCCTCGTGTCCACCAGGGTCCACACTCAGGGGACTTTCCCTCCGAGGGACCCTCCACTGGGCCTCCTGCGTGGCCACAAGGACAGAGCTGCAGAAAGACAGGGTCCCCAAGAGACACCTGGACCCCCTTCCCAGAAGGCAGCCTGCTGGGCCGCAGCCAAGGGCCTGGTGCATGCTGTGGGGACGTCTCACCCGCGCCGGCTGGTATTGGCCCAGTCAAAGAGCTTGTGCATGGCGGTCACGCCTTCCCGCCCCATGGGGGCCACGTCCCCGCCTGTCATGATGGCGTAGTCCATGCCTGAGTGCAGGGCGAGTTTCTGGACAGGAAGAGTGAGGGGAGACAGAGCAGATGTTCCCTCCGCCTCTGCAAAGCCTGCACACTCCACCCGGAGTGTGGAGGCTCTGCCCAGCGTCCCTGCCTGGAAGCCACAGCCTGCCAGACAGGAGACGTCCCCCGCCTGGAAGATGGGAGGCGCTGCTGCCCACACCAGCACCCTGAGCCTACACGAGGGTGGGCAAAGGCCTAAGGGGGGTCCATTCCCCAGGCAGCTGAGCCCCCCAGACACCTGCAGGCAGGTGAGACCCCAGCGGCCCCTGGCCCACCTGTTCAGCCAGGCGCTCTCACCTTGGCAAACAGCGTCTTCCCGGTGCCTGGTGGCCCGTACATCAGGATGTTCCTGTACAGGCTGCGGTTCTTCTTGGTGTTCCTTGTTGCTATGGCGATGTCGCGCACCCGTGCTTCCAGGCTGGGCTGCCGGGGAAGACGGGGGTTTGGAGGAGACACTGTGCACCCATGGAAGCCTCAGGGGAAGGGGCTGCGGGAATGCCTGGGTGCAGACTCGGCTCCTCGGGAAGCCTCCCACCTCAGGGGCAGCCTATCTATCCCCAGCACGGTCCAAGCAGTCGCATCTCAGGACCCAAAAGCTCCTGGGTGCCACCACGAGCGCCAGCAAGGGCCACAGCCCGGCCCAGCTCCAGGGTCCCCTCCCTGCGCCTCCCCGGTCCCAGGCACACCGACTTACACTGAGCACAACACCCTCCAGCGCGTCCTGGGGTCGACTGAGGAGCCGCCGGCTGACCTGCCGGAGGGGAAGGGGAAGCGCCATCGGGTCACCTGCCACAGCCACGGAACAGCCACCAACGCGCACACACACGCTCGGTAACACGCAGAAACGGAGCTGCCCCAAAGCACAGCCAGGACCGGCCCGGAGCTGGAACCCTGCCCCGCCCGGAGACCAGGCGGCTATTGCTGGGATTAGGGGCATTTTCCGGTTCCTTATTGGCTTTTATTTTCTTAACCACCTACCCAGTGACCTGTGGAGAGCAGGCACCTCGGGGGCGGCGAGCGGCGCGGCTCCCCAGGGAGGCCACCAGACGCCGTGGCCTGTAGCAGCTTCCCTGATAGACGGCCGCACACCCAAGTCCCGGGTCTTGCAAGGACCCCGATGTGCTCCCAGGCCCCATCAAGAGCCCTGAGCAGGGGACACCGAGGCAGACAGGGGAAGGGTCTCACTGATGCAGACCCCTAAGGTACAGCGCCAGACAGGAAAACCCACCCGTGAAGCAGTGTGCGGGTGCCCGTTATCCGGGGAAAGGGAAGGGACGGGAGGGTGTGCGTGGGCTGTGCTCGTGGGGCAGAAGGGACTCAGCCAGGAACTGCACTCAGGGAGGGCCAGGCCTGCGCTGCTACCTGGATGGGGTGCCGCAGCGCCTCAAGCACCGTGATGCGGGACGTCTCCCTCACTAGGGACGGCTTCCCCAGCCGAGCCTCGATGAAGCGGCCGGCGACAAGCGTGGCATTCTTGGCTGAGTAGACCCCAACAGCCAGCAGCGTCAGCCCAGCCACCTGCAGCAGAGACACCGCACTGGCGCACCGGCCCCCACCGTCCCTCCCTCTTAGAGCAGGAGACGCACGGGGCTGCCCCCACCCTCTCTCCGCCCGAGGGAGAAGCACAGGGCCGTGCACTGGCCCCACAGGAACGCGAATTCCCGGCCCCGAATCCCACAGCCACGCGGTTACAGGAGGCAGGTGGGGCAGTCACAGCGCCCTCACTCAGGGCCATTTTCTCTGCAACTGGCAGCATAAATCCTAGAAAGCCTCGGTCGCTGAGCGGGGCCCTGGACAGACCCAGCCGGATGTCACAGGGCCACACCCTCTGGTACATTCTTGGCCACTAAAAATGGTACTTTATTCCTGGAAAACAAGACTAACCCAAAATCTCTAACTCGTTTTAAAAATCAATTAGGCTGGCTGGGCACAGTAGCTCAGGTCTGTAATCCCAGCACTTTGGGAGGCTGAGGCAGGTGGATCACCTGAGGTCAAGAGTTCAAGACCAGCCTAACCCACATGGAGAAACCCCGTCTCTACTAAAAATACAAAAAATTAGCTGGCCATGGTGGCACATGCCTGTAATCCCATCTACTTGGGAGGCTGAGGCAGGAGAATCTCTTGAACCCGGAAGGCAAAGGTTGCAATGAGCTGGACCCGCGCCACTACACTCCAGCCTATGCAACAAGAGCAAAACTCTGTCTCAAAAAACAAACAAACAAAAAATGAATTAGGCCAGGCCCGGTGGCTCACCCGTGTAATCCCAGCACTTTGGGAGGCCAAGACGGCTGGATCACTTAAGGTCAGAAGTTCGTGACCAGCCTGGCCAACATGGTGAAAACCCATCTCTACTAAAAATACAAAAATTGGCCGGGCCTGGTGGCACAGGCCTATATTAGCTGAGTGTGGTGACGTGAGCCTGTAATCCCAGTCACTTGGGAGGCTGAGGCAGGAGAACTGCTTGAACTGGGGAGGTGGAGGTTGCAGTGAGCCGAGATGGCACCATTGCACTCCAGTCTGACCACAGAGCAAGACCCTGTCTCTAAAAACAAACAAACAAAAGTCATCGGCGCATTAAGCAGCTCCGTCATGTCCTCACGTGACACGGTCTCACCAACATGGTGGCAACACCACCTGCAACATTCACCGTCACACTGACCAGGCCACCGGCAGGCGCTGCAGTCACAGCTCTGGGCGCCGGCACCACGGCAGAGCAAGTGCCCACTCAGTGCCGGGCACCTACCGTGTGCTGGGCGGGGTGGGGACGGAGGACACAGCCATGTGGGACGTGGGGCGCCACCACAGCAGGCCGGAGGCTGGGCACAAAAGAGTGAGGCTTTAAACGAGAGAAGAATCTGTGAACTTCAAACTCTCAGGGTTTTATAAGGAATAAAGAAGGTTTTTGCAAAATGGAGTCAGGGTTGCCTTCTGGTTTTTTTTTTTTTTTTTTTTTTTTTTTTTTTGAGAAGAAGCCTCACTATGTGGCCCAGGCTGGAGTGCAGTAGCGTGATCTCGACTCACTGCAAGCTCCGCCTCCCGGGTTCAGGTGATTCTCCTGCCTCAGCCTCTTGAGTAGCTGGGACTATAGGCGCCCGCCACTGCGCCCGGCTAATTTTTTGTATTTTTTTAGTAGAGACGGGGTTTCACCGTGTTAGCCAGGATGGTCTCGATCCCGATATCGTGATCCGCCCGCCTCTGCCTCTGCCTCCCAAAGTGCTGGGATTACAGGTGTGAGCCACGACTATCGACAATTTTTTTCTTGAGACAAGGACTTTGTCGCCCAGGATGGAGTGCAGTGCTGCGATCTCAGCTCAGTGCAGCTGCAACCTCCCTGGGCTTAAGTGATCCTCCTACCTCAGCCTCTTGAGTAGTGGGACCACAGGGGCTGCCACCACACCCAGCTAATATTTGATTTTTTGTAGAGATGGGGTCTCACTGTGTGGCCCAGGCTGGCAACTGCGTTTTCTTCTCCCAGCTTGAGAAGGGAGGAGAAGCCGAGGCCAGCAGGTACAACGTGGGCTTCCTCCCTGCTGGGAGAGCTACAGGGCTGTGCAGAGCCGGCAGGGACAGGACCTGGGGCTCCAGGAGGCCCCCACATGCTGCCCCTCAGCCACCTGCCAGCCCTGTTTTATGAGTATGTTTACCGTGGCTGTCACTTTGTCCCAGTCTGTCACAAAGGCACGGAATCCTTCCCCAAACAAGGTGCCAGCCGTCCTGCGGGGAAAGCAGTGGTGTGACCAGGAAGGACACGAAGATCCGTGCCACGCAGCGAGAGCAGGTTGAGGGTGAGGCCCTGACATGGCGGCACGGCCTTGCCAGGACAGAGGGGCAGTGCCCCCACCAAGGAGTCAGCCTACGGCGGCAAGGCCTGGAAGAGCTGGAGAGCGCCCTGGGACCAGCGACTCACACCTGCGGGGCTCCATCTGTGGCCGGCCCGGGCCTCGGCAGTGCTCACCTGATGGACTCCAAGACGGTCTGACGGTGCTCGGCCGCCTTCAGGCGGATCTGCTCGCGGATGATGTCTGCATTCTCCCGCTCGGCCTTGGCGCGCGCCCGGGCCTCGGCCTCCACTCGCAGCATCTCATTCTTGTGCCGCAGCTCCATCTCCCGCTCCACGGTGGCTGCCCCAGAGAGGCAGGGCAGCTCAGCACCATGCAGTGCAGCGCGTCCACCTCCACCCACACTGTGGACCGGCCCACGCCACGGACCGGCCCACGCCACGGACAGACCAACGCCACAGACAGGCCCATGCCACGGACCGGCCCACGCCATGGACAGGCCCACACTGCTGACAGGCTAAGGCCACGGACAGGCCCACGCCACAGACAGGCCCACGCCGCCAATAGGCTAAGGCCACGGACAGGTCCATGCCACAGACACACACAGACCTTGGTAGGGACAGCGCCACAGGCCGGCCCTGCCCATGGATTAGGGCAGAAATCCGACCCAGAGGCCTAGGCAACTTCTCAGGACGAGCTCTTTGAAGCAAAAAACCAGAACGCGGAGTTCTGAAGGAAGCCCCCCTCACACAGAAACACAGCTGTCAGAACTCAGACACGCGTGACGTGCCACGTGCCTGGCTACTGAACATTAAACGCACACACCTCGCCACAAGCC
Organism: Homo sapiens; assembly: GCF_000001405.40. Classification (NCBI taxonomy): domain Eukaryota; kingdom Metazoa; phylum Chordata; class Mammalia; order Primates; family Hominidae; genus Homo; species Homo sapiens. Next base: position 1,519,644 of record NC_000001.11, on the reverse strand, counting down.
CACCCACGGTGAAGAGTGGTGACAGACGTTTGCCTGGAGCACTCGCCAACAAATGCCACATGGCACCAAATACCTGTGATCCCCACTGAAACCAGGACAGTAAAGACCCATGTTCTAGGCAGAACGCAGAGGCTCACGCCTGTAATCCCAGCACTGTGGAAGGCCAAGGCAGGCGGATAATGAGATCAAGAAGTTCAAGACCAGCCTGGCCAACACAGTGAAACCCTTTCTCTACTGAAGATACAAAAAAATTAGCTGGGCGTGGTGGCGGGAGCCTATAATCCCAGCTACTCGGGAGGCTGAGGCAGGAGAATTGCTTAAACCTGGGAGGCAGAGGTTGCAGTGAGCTGAGATCGTGCTATTGCACTCCTGCCTGGGTGACAGAGCGAGACTCCGTCTCAAAAAAAAAAAAAAGGCCCCTGTACTTCCCATGAAGTGAAGCAGCTCCTGCCCTCCCTGAACAGATCCTGGCGTCCACTCGCAGACAGAGGTGTCTTCCGAGAGGCAGCCCCACCCCGCGGAGCCCCAGCAGGCCTCGCCCACTGCACTGGTAGCTATGAGGGGCCGGGCGGCAGAACTCAGGCTCAGAGTGCACGCCGGGTCCACAAGCAGCCCCCGCCACCTCCGCCCCAGCCAGGAGAGCAGACAGCCTACCTCGCCGCATGGCTTCCTGCTTCTGCACGGACTCCTCCTGCTTCCGTAAATTCTCCTCATTGAGAAGTTGCTGAGAAGAAGCCGCAGAAAAAGAGAAAAGCCTTTAAAACCTGTGACTGTGCCCATGTGTGCGGGGGATGACTGTGCCCGAGTGTGCAGGGGGGTGAGTGTGCCCGTTTGCGGGGTGTGACGGTGCCCGTTTGCGGGGGGTGACGGTGCCCGAATGTGCAGGCGGGTGACTGTGCCCATGTGTGTGGGGGTGATTGTGCCCATGTGTGGGTGGGTTGTGCACCCGTTTGGGTGTGTGTGTGTGTGTGTGTGTGTACCCGTGCGGGGGGTGGGGGGGTTGTGCGTGCCTGTGGGGGGGGGTGTGTACGCCCGTGTGTGGGTGTGTGCCCATGTGCGGGTGTGTGTGTGTGTCCCTGTGACGGGAAGGCGTGTGTGCCCGTATGTGTGTGTGGGGTCTGTGCGCCCATGTGGGGGGGTTGTGTGCGTGCCCATGTGTGCGGGGGGGCTGTGCCCATGTGTATAGGGGGGTGTACGCGCGCCCATGTGTGTGGGTGTGTGTGTGTCCGTCTATGGGGGGGCATGCCCATGTGTGTGTGGGTGTGCGCCTGTGTGTGTGGGGCTGTGTGTGTGCCCGAGTGCGCGGGTGCCAGTGAGCCTGTGGGGGGTATGTGTGCGCCTGTGTGTGTGTGGGGGGGTACGTACCTGTGTGTGGTGTGTGTGTGCGTATCTGTGTGTGTGTGTGCGGGGTGTATGTGCGTACCTGTCTGTATGGGGGTGTGTTTACAGGTGTGAGTGTCCATGTGGGTGTGTGCCTGCCCGTGTTGTGTGGGGGTATGTTTGCGGGTGTGTGAGTGCAGGCCTCTGTGTGGGGGTGTCTGTGTGTGGGCCCGTGTGTGCAGGGGTGTGTGTGTGCCCGTGTGTGCAGAAGTGGGTGCACCTGTCTGTGTGTGCTGGGAGTGTGTGTGCGAGGAGTGTGTGTCCGTGTGGGTAGGTGCCTGTGTCTCCATGTACATGTGTGCACACGTCTGCATGTGTGCCTGTACACGTGTGCTGGTGCGTGTCTGTCCGAGTAGTTTCCCCTGCTCTAGCACCCACCGTCAGCAACCCCAGCGTTCTTGCCCCGTGGCCTCTGACCCACTGACTGGTCCCACAAAGCCACCTACGTTCTCAGGGACGCAGGCGCCTCGCAGGGGAGGCTGAGCTCACCTGCTGCTTCAGTTGGTCCTCGTAGCGCTGCCGGGCCAGCTTGTCTTGATACTGGGCCCTCTGGGGGAGAAGAGGGCGGCAAAGACACATCTCAGCCGGGAGCTGCAGTCTGGGCCGACTGGGCGGAGCGCCGGGGACTCCGACGCGCCATCAGCCTCACACAAACGTGGGGAGGCGCGGGGACCTCCCGTCCGGCTCAGCAGTGAGGGACCTTACAGGTCTTAGGCGTTTGTGCAAGGCCGTTCCGAGGGCAGCTCTAATGGCTGACTCCAGAGTGCCCCGGGACCACACCCAGCTCCCAGTCCTGCCCCAGGCCGCTCCCCGCAGCCGGGCGGCCTCCCTCGCGGCCTCTTGCGCTCTTACGGCCTGGTGCTGCCGGGTCTCCTCGCTCAGGGTCTTCCTCCTCTCCTCAGCCTGCGCCCGGATCTGCTCGCTCTTGAGCTGCTCCACGGCGGCCTCATACTCCTGCAGAGCACAGCACTCACCAGCTGGCACTTGCTCAGGGCTGGCACTGCCTGACAGCCGCTCCTGTGTCTGCACGGCTCCGGCACGGCAGAGACTCCATGCCCAGACTAGTGTGTGCAGCAGGCTCAGGGCTTCCAGCCGCATCTGCACCCAGGATCAGGCCCTGGAGGAATCCAGACCCACAGGCACAGAAGCACCAGCAGAAGCCCGCGAAGGCCCCCCGGGAGGGAGGCCGGACACCCCCTTTTGGACTGCACTGAGGGCAGAGCTCATGCTTATTTTAGGAATCCTGCTGAGTGGACCGGGTGCGACGGCTCTCGCTTATAATCCCAGCACTTTGGGAGGCCAAAGTGGGTGGATCAACTGAGGTTAGTAGTTCGAGACCAGCCTGAACAACATGGTGAAACCCCATCTCTACTAAAAATACAAAAATTAGCCAGATGTGGTGGCGGGCTCTTGTAGTCCCAGCTGCTCGGAGGCTGAGGAAAGAGGTTGAACCCGGGAGGTAGAGGTTGCGGTGAGCTGAGATCACGCCACTGCACACCGGCCTGGAAGACAGACTAAGACTCTGTCTATAAAAAAATAATAATATGAAACAAGGCAGGCACAGTGGCACAAGCCTGTAATCCCAGCACTTTGGGAGGCCGAGGCAGGTGGATCACTTGAAGTCAGGAGTTCAAGACCAGGCTGGCCAACATGGTGAAACCCCGACTCTACTAAAAATATAAAAATTAGCCAGGTGTGGTGGCGGGTGCCTGTAATCCCAGCTATTCAGGAGGCTGAGGCAGGAGAATTGCTTGAACCCAGGAGCGGAGGTTGCAGTGAGCCCAGATGGCACCACAGAACTCCAGCCTGGGAAACAGAGACTCCGTTTCAAAATAAATAAATAAAACGAAATAAAACAAAAAAATCCTGCTGAGTGTAATGAAATGAGAAGATCCAGGCCATCCGGACGACCAGACGCCCTCACCAACACCGGCCCTCCCTCCGGACGACCAGACGCCCTCACCAACACCAGCCCTCCCTCTCGGGCGGCTCTGCGGCAGCGTCTCTCACCTCCCTTTGTTTCCTTCTGTGAAATGAGGCGCCCAAGCTTGGCCCTGGGCCCCACTGCTGCCCATGTACACACCCCCGGCCCTACCCACCGGCAGTAGCCCTACCAATCTCCATGCCCGAACCCCATGTGCGCCCCGGCCTCCCCACCCACACCGGCCCCACTCACTTTGAGCTTGGACTGTTGCTCCAACTGCAGCGTCTGCTCCTGCATCTGTGCCAGATTCAGGGCGTCCTTGGCATAACCTGCAGACGCAAGGACACGGAGGGCAGGTGTTAGGATACACGGATGCCGCTGGGCAGGCACGCACACCAGCCAAGGGGCTTTCTGGAATCCACGGCCACGCCTCGACCTCAAAGCCCCCAGCCCTGCCTCCCCATCCTCCTTCCTAGTCAGACCTGGCGTGACGATGCACCATCCCCAGCACACGGCCTGATGCATTTGTGAGGTTTTATCCCCCCAGGGATGGTCTTGGAGAGCCACATCAGGAAGGCCATCCCACGTGGACGGGAGGAGGCTCTTTCCCAATTCAACAGAAAGTCAGGCGATGGCTAAAGTGTCCTCTATTTTTTCACGTTACATTCGCTTTTCCTAAGCTTCCAATGGCTGTTGTCATTGATCTGCTATCAAGCACATGCAGGCAAGAAAGGGAATGAATAAGAATAGGATACCAGCCAACAAGCTCAGGGTGACGAGGACAAGCATCTGACAACGTCCTCAGTTACGTTTTGTTCCTAGAGGGGAACTGACACAGGTCGATGTTTGGGTGTCGTGGGACAGAAGTACGTATTCTCTGAGCTGCTGAGGCCTCAGCATCAGGTCTCAAAATTTTCTGGGATGACAGTTTTCCCATCATAAAACTTTACCATAAAAATCTTTTGGCTGGGCGCGGTGGCTCACTACTGTACTCCCAGCACTTTGAGAGGCTGAGACGGGTGGATCACTTGAGTCCAGGAGTTAGAGACCGGCCTGACCAATGTGGTGAAACCCCATCTCTACTAAATATACAAAAATTAGCTGGGCGCAGTGGCGGACGCCTGTAATCCCAGCTACTCTGAGGCTGAGGTGGGAGGATGGCTTGAACCCCGGAGACAGAGGCTGCAGTGAACCCAGATCGCACCGCTGCACTCCAGCTAGACAGAGAGAGACTTAAAAAAGAAAAATCTCCATCCGGGCCAACATGGCGAAACCCTGTCTCCACTAAAAAGACAAAAAAAGAGCAGGGCACAGTGGTGCACGCCTGTGATCTCAGCTACTTGGGAGGCCAAGGCTGGAGAACTGCTTGAACCCAGGAGGTGGATGTTGCGATGAACCGAGGTTGCACCACTGCACTCCAGCCTGGGCGACGGACGGCAACTCCATCTCAAATAAATAAATAAACATATAAATCTGCTAACACAGAAAGACACGTAAAGTAGGCAGGGACCCCCGATGCTCCTGGGTTGGTGCGTTGTTCCCGTCTCTCTTCCTCCCGCAGCCCGTCTCACTTTTTTAAGCCTTCAGAGTCAACTGCAGCAAACACGTCACTAACTAGAGCCCAGCGTCTGTTCTCAGCTCAGGTGTAATTTTTGGAGGTGACTGACGCAGGGGGAAGTGCCGTGGGGAGCACTCGTTGCATTTAGACAGAGGCAGCGACGCTTTGGTGTTGGGGTGGGTCTGCTTGGGCCTGTGGTTAGGCACGAACTGGGCTGACGGGCATCAGTGTCAGATTTCAGGAAGCGCCTTGGTAGCTAACCTCGGGGGCCCCAGTGAACAGAGCACAGATGAGACCGGGACCTGCCTCTCAGGGAAGACAGTGCCAGGTCAACGGGTTTGGCTGCTAAGCTCGGGAAGCCAAGGGCTGAAGCGACCCCGGGCTCTCAACCACTCTCACTCTGACCCCGAGGGGACTGAGGGTGTGTCAGTCACCCAGGGTCCTGCCACAGAGCAGTGACAGGAACGTGGGTGTCACGGTGAGGAGCTCTGCCTGTTTCCTCCCGAGGGGACCTTTGGCTGGATTAAGCTGAGGCCACTCCCTCCCCTGAAAATGGCTCATTGACAGTTCCTACCCCCAGTGACTCTGGGGAGGAGGAGAGGGGAAAGAGCAGGTCAGGTGCCCGTGTGGCCTCTCGGTTATTAGAGTGAGAACAATCATTCACCACTTTGGTGTGACCCTGTGCCAGGGACGTGCGTCCCAGCGCGTGAATTCACACCCACAGGGCACGAGGCTCTCCTCCAGGCACCCCCTCTGTGGAGTGCAGGGCGAGCGCTGGTGCTCACAGACAGTTCTGGGATAATGTACTGCTGTGACTTCCAAGGACAGGCCGGAGGAGGGGTCAGGGCACTCTGGGAACCAGGCGGCATGGGGCTATAGCCTCAAGGGACAGAGGAGGCAGTCGGTGAGGAGGAGCCGCCCGTTTGCCTGGAGAGCAGCAAGGACAAAGCAATGGGCTCCGGCCGAATCTCGGCGACCCGCTGCCAGGAAAGGGGCACGGAGGAAGCCAGGAGCGTCGGGAGGGGCCGGGCTTGCAGAGGGGCTACCAGGCAGAGGGGCAGGGCAGGGGGCACCCGGGGAAAGGGGGCAGTCAACTCTGGAGAAACCTCTCTCACCTGCCAGCAGTGAGGCCAGGAAGGAGGGAAGGGATCAGAATGAAAGAGCCCACACCTGGAACACAATCCACAGGAAACAAAAGCCTGATGGAGGGCTCCCCACGGTGCACCTGGAGACCCTGCCCCGGGCCCCGCTCCACCACAGAGAGGGCAGACCAAGGCACTGGCAACGCCGGCAGAGCGGACTGCGGGTCAGGAGCTCCGGGGCCGCCAGGACTGGAGCAACTCAGAGGCACAGGTCTGCACTATGGGGAGGCGGCCTGAGGCTGCTCAACCAGGCCTGTACCACTGCAGGGGGCCGCAGGCTGATCACTACGATTCAGCTTCTGGAAGTGGGAGAAGTTTCAATCTCTAAGTGAAGTTAGCGGGTGAAAACCCCCAGGAACTAGGACACAAAGGAACCCTCCAAATAAGCCTGCAGCAAGAAAGTCAGTCACCAACATCCGCTGTCCTCCGAGGTGCCCTGAAGTCCAGCCCTTGATTCCCATCCTAACCTGATGGTTAAAATTACCGAGGAAGGCCATGAGCAGCGGCTCACGCCTGTCATCCCAGCGCTTTGGGAGGCCGAGGTGGGCGAATCACCTGAGGCCAGAATTCAAGACCAGCCTGAACAACATGGTGAGTGCTCACACCCTGAGGGCCTTGGGTCAGGGGTTTACTCAAGCTGAGCAGCACGGCCTGGCCTGTGGCTTCACAGACCTCGCCGTGCAAATGCTAACGTCTTCCAACAAGAAGTGCAAATCTGCTAGTCTCGTTAGAATCAAGTAACTCTCAAATACGCTTCCCTTGTTACGTGGAAACTGCTAGCAACCACCCAACAAACCCATCTACCCATCTGGCCACGCCTTGGCCTGTGCCACGTGGAGGCGGCAAGCGCAGAAGGATCCCGCACGCTCGGCGGTAACTGAAGACCACGGCCAGCCCCAGACCCTGACCCCTGTAACCTATGAGCGCCACCTCCGCACCGCTTTCCGCACCTGACCCGCTCCTGACAGCTGCAGAGGTGCAAACGGGTGACGGAAAGAGTCCGATCCTCCCGGCACGCGACACGGCTCCGGCCGGGGGTGCTCCGGGGGCGCAGTCTCGCCCGGGAAGTGGCTGCCGACAGCGGCGAGGAGCGGCAAGGGCCAGGGCTCCCGCTTCCCCGGCCCGTCCCGCCCGCCCGCCCGCGCCGCCCCGCCCCGCCGCACTCACGCGAGTGCTCCAGCTCGCGCGCCGCCTTGGCGGCGCGCTCCAGGCCGGTGGGGTCGAAGTTGCTCCATTTGTCCTTGGGCGCCGGCCGGTCTCCCAACCCGCGGTCCCCGCCGCCCTCGGCCCCGGGCTGCGCGGGCGGCAAAGGCGGCGGCGGCCCCGCGCCTTCACCCTTGGGGCCCTTGTTAATGCCGAAGAGCCACGACATGCTCGCACCGCCGCCGCCGCTACCGCCGCCGGGACCCCCACCCGAGTCTGACTCGCGCGCGGCTGGGAGCAGCCTCCACGCGCCGCGAGCCGGTGGTCACCGCCACTGCGCAGGCGCCACACACACCCCTTCCTCCCGGCGATAGAAGCGCGTAAGGGACACGCGCGCAGCCCTTGGATTGGCCCCGAGGACAGTGACGCCATAGCGACGGCGCCGCGACTGCCGAACAGGCTTTGGGAGCCAGCGGGGCGGGAGCGGCGAAGCATCTGGCTACGGGAGCCACGCCGGGACAAAATTCCCGAGGGACGTAGGCGAACCCAAGGCAGCGTCAGCCCCGCGCCGCATCCGCGTGGGCTCCGTTGCTAGGGGCTCCGTTGCTAGGGGCTCCGAGGAGTTCCGGCCTTGGCGGCAGCGGGTGGCAAGTTTCCAGGGAGCCCCAAGGTTCTCGATCCGTGCGGCGGGGCGCCCTGCGGTGAGTCCAGGACGCAGAGAAGAGTCTCGCGGGAACCTCACCCGAGGCGGCACCGGCGCCCGGGCAAGCCGAGCCCTTCCGCGATGAGTCGGCGCCCTGGGGTCGCTGCGCCAAGAGCTCAGGAGAGGCGCCTCCCCTCCTCGGTGTCTCCGCAGCCCGCACGGCCCTCCCGCCCAAGACCCCGGGGCGACCCCTTCCCGCGTGGCGGGGCCAGCGAGCTCCTCTTGCGGGGCGTGGACGGGGCCGGGGTGCCCGGGCAGGCGCCGCCCCGGAGCCCACGGTCCACGCGCTCCCAGCGGCCCTGACTTTCTCCTTGATGGAACTGGTTGACTTCACGGAATATATGGAGTGACTTTTCCCACTGGATTGGAAACTGTTTTAAGCCTGAATAATGTTAGATACAATGAGTTCTAAACTTCCCTTCAAAGAATCAGTATATCAGTATGTTCAGTCTTTGTCCTGCATTTTAAAGTCTACCTTCCTCGCAGTTTCAGTAAACAACCTTTTCCACCAGTTCTAGTCAGTAGTTGACATCTGTTGCCCTGGTCACCTGCTCCGTCCTAACTAATCCCGGTCTCCTGCTTTGACCTGAGTCACCTTTAGTTACCTGTCCCATAACCATTTTTCCCGCCAAACCACTCACCCCGCCACTCTGGCCCATACTCCTGCTCCCTTTAAAATAGCCAATGGGCACTAGTTTAGACTGTGCATTCTAACCCTAGCCAATAGGGGAACCACACAGCAGTAGGGGCTACCCGCGTCAGGAATAAGAACCCCTTCCCCTCCCTTGTCCAAGCGCTCGCCATTGCTCCATCTATGAGATGTCCCCTTCTATAGAAGTAAATTATCTAGCTGAGAAAAATTTATATTCGAGTTCTACTTCTTTGGCGGCACAGAAAATTTACATATAACACAGTGAGCTGCCGAGATCTCGTCACTGCACTCCAGTCTGGGCGACTGAGTCAGACTCTGTCAAAAAAAAAAAAAAAAGCCAGAAAATGCCGGCCAGGCGCGGTGGCTCACACCCGTAATCCCAGCACTTTGGGAGGCCGAGGTGGGCAGATCACCTGAAAACAGGAGTTTGAGACCAGCCGGGCCAACATGGTGAAACCCCTGTCAAAAATACAAAAATTAACCTGGGCATGGTGGCGTGCGCCTGTAATCCCAGCTACTCCGGAGGCTTAGGCGGGAAAACTGCTTGAACCCTGGAGGTGGAGGTTGAAGTGAGCCGAGATCAGGCCACTGCACTCCACCCTGGGCGAGCACGACTCCATCGCCAAAAAAAAAAGAAAAGAAAAAAAAAAGAAAAAGAAAACAGGGCAGGCGCGGTGGCTCACGCCTGTAACCCCGCCAGTTTGGGAGGCCGAGGCAGGAGGATTGCTTGAGCCCAGGAGTTGGAGACCAGCCTGGGCAACAAAGAGAGACCCCGTCTGTACCAAAAAAATAGGAGAGGAGGAGAAAAACCAAATGACTTCCCCAGCAATAGCCAGACGTCCCCCCACCCCCACCCCATGGCTGTAATCAAGGTTTTGGTTATTTATTTATTGAGAGGGTCTCACTCTGTCACCCAGGCTGGAGTGCAATGGTGCGATCTCAGCTCACTGCAACCTCTGCCTCCCATGCTCAGGCGATCCTCCTACCTCAGCCTCCAAGCCAAGAAGCTGGGACCACCGGCATGTGCCACCTGGCCCTTTTTTTTTTTTTTTTTTTTTTTAGAGGGAGTTTGACTCTTGTTGCCCATGCTGCAGTGCAATTCCATGGTCTCAGCTCAGTGCAACCTCCACTTCCCAGGCTCAAGTGATTCTCCTGCCTCAGCCTCCTGAGTACCTGGGATTTCAGGCACTTGCCACCACGGCCGGCTAATTTTTTTTTTTTTTTTTTTAGGAGAGATGGGGTTTCACCATGTTGGCCAGGCTGGTCTGGAACTCCTGACCTCAGGTGATCCACTCTCCTTGGCCTCACTGAGATTCCAGGCGTGAGCCACCGCGCCCAGCCCCATCATCAAGGTTTGCAGGGACTAGCTGCAAAGCGCGGGCAGGGGCGGCATCTATTTGAAGCCGCTGTGTCTGTTTCGCGTGCACTTCCCTCCACCGTGTGTCTGGCCACAGGCAGCTCTGGCGGAGGGGAGGGAGGCGAAGGGCACCCGCGTATGCACGGCCTCAGGATGGGGCACGGGCACCCGGCCCTGCCGTGGCAGGCACCTCCTGTGCAGCCCACCCCTCTGTGGTTAAATCCTCCAGAAAGCCCCAGCTTCTGCCTTTTCTGTCACCTTTGACCCCAGGGGGACGTTAGGGGGCCCCAAACCCCGCCCCAGCCAATAGACACAGCGGTGCGGCCCCCGTGGGACTTTATTACGGGGAGTATTTCCTAAATGTGCGGGGCCGCAAAGGCAGGGGTGGGAGGGGTCCGCGGCCAGGCTCCGTGAGGTGTGGTCTCCCCATGGACTCAGGATGAGGGTTGCTCGTCCTCGGGCCCAGGCCTCCCCCTCTTCAGCCAGCGCATCATCTGCTGGTGCTGCTGGACAGCATCTTGCACGCGGGTGTCCATCATGGCCTCGGTCAGGACCCCGTCCTCGGAGGCATACGCCGTGGCCTAGTGGGGAGAGAGGGAGCTGAGGGAGGCCGCCATGGGAACCCCCCACCCCAAATGCACGCCAGGGCCCCGAGGTGGGGAGGGACCAAACCAGGGGCTCCAGGATGGCCTGAGCGTGAAACACAGGCTTCCCGCACCTCGGCAGAGCCCAGCACGTGTGTGGACACCGGGGGCAGCCCCTGCAGTGCCCACAGCCCTGCCTGCGTCCTCAGCACTGCTGTTGCTCAATGACTTTCTAATAATAGAAAGCCCAAGGCGGAGCCTCACTGACGGCCGACCCAGGGCAGCTTCCGAGAGGCAGGTGGGAACTGCAGACCCTCTGCGTGTCTCAGCCGTGGCCAGGCAGTGCCCCCGGGTCATAGTGCACCTCAGACCCTCAGACCCTGACCCTCACAGGCCTCCAGGGCAGAGGCAGCCACTGCCCACCTTGAGGCACGTGGCTGGTGGCACCAAGGCCACCCCTGCCCCACCTTCCTGTCCTCCTGGGCACAGGGCTTGGCATCTAGCATGTGAAGGCTGGAGCTGCTGGGGCTGTGGCCCTCGGTGTCGCTTCAGGCAGCCTCAGGTCCAGCCTTTCTGCCAGACAGGTCACTCTCCATCCTAATGCCAGAAAAGGGCATGGAGTCCCCAAAGGGAGTCACCCGTGGGTCAGGGTCAGGGTGTGGGGACCCCCACTGGGCGCCGTGCTCAGGAGGGCACCAGGACGCCTGGAGGAAGCACAGGGCAGGGGACCCTTCCCGGACAGCTGAGCGGGTCCCTAGCCCCATCCCAGCTATGCCTCCCAGAGGCAGGATTCATCTCACGGGGTGCAGGGGCAGCAGCACACCATCCTCCCACAACACCGTCGCCACGATAGAACCTGCCATGGGGATGACCACGTGGTGCCCGTCCCCTCTGCCAGCGCCCATCCCTCGCCAAGAGCCACTGTGTGGGGAGACACTGACCGGAGCTGGACCACCACTGTGGGTCAGGGGCCCAGGAGCGCAGGAGACACTGACTGGAGCCGTACCGCCACTGTGGCTCAGGGGCCCAGGACTGCTCAACATCATTTTTGGTCTTGAGCCCACCCAAGAGAGGGCAAACAGGTGCAGGGACCCTCAGGGTCCACCCGAGTGGCTGCACCTCACCCAGGGCCCAGCAGAGGAAAGGGGCTACGCAGATGCTCACGGGGCCACCCCTCTGGGAAGCACGGGACCTGGCAGGAGCCCACCAGAAGTGACAGCTAAATGTCACGTGGCCTCCTGGGTGGGATTCTGGGGCAAGACCCAGTCGCGGGTGGGGCCAACAGTGACACATGACGTTCACCACGTGGCGAGGCCCCAGGCCCGGGAGCTCTCTGTGCTACCCTTGCAATTTTTCTGGGAACCTAAAATCTCCAAGCTGTAAAAGTTGAAAGAGAAGACCTGGACCTGATTTCTTCACATGTGAATTCACAAAACATTAAGAATCAGAGCACTCCTCAAACTCCTGGACAAATTGAAGAACATTTCCTCACTCATCCTAGGAAGCCAGCAGTACCCTGATATCAAACCCAGATGAAGATGCCACAAGAAAAATGACAGGCCAATATCCTTGATGAGCATCACTGGGAAAGTCCTCAACAAAATGCCAGCAAAGTGAATTCAGCAGTATAATAAAAAAATTATACACCCTGACCAAGCAGGATTTATTCCTGGAATGCAAGGATAGTTCATACGAAAATCATGTTCCACATACGAAATGTTCAACATACAAAAAGCAATCAATATTAGCAGAGTGGAAGAAGGAAACCACATGACCCTCTCAACTGACGCAGGAAAAGCATTTGACCAAATTCAACACCCTTTTATGAGAAAAACACTCAACAAGCCAGGAATTGAAACACACGCCCTAAACATAATGAAGGCCATATATCACAAGCCCACAGGTGACATACTCAGTGGTGAAAAACTGGAAGCTTTTCCTCTGAGTAAGGAACCAGGCAAGAATGCTTTACTGCTTCTATTCCACATACCACTGGAAGTTGTGGCCAGGGCCATTAGAGAAGAAAAAGAAGTCATCCAAACTGAAAAGGGAGAGGTAAAATCACCTGTTCTCAGATGATATAATCTTATATGTAGAAAATCCTAGAATCCTGCTGGGCGCGGGCGGTGGCTCACGCCTGTAATCCCAGCACTTTGGGAGGCTGAAGCGGGCAGATCACGAAGTCAGGGGATCGAGACCATCCTGGCTAATATAGTGAAACCTCATCTCTACTAAAAATACAAAAAATTAGCTGGGCATGGTGGCAGGCGCCTGTATTCCCAGCTACTCAGGAGGCTGAGGCAGGAGAATGGCGTGAACCCAAGAGGCGGAGCTTGCAGTGAGCCGAGATTGTGCCACTGCACTCCAGCCTGGGTGACGGAGCGAGACTCCATATCAAAAAAAAAAAAAAAAAAGAAAAAAGAAAATCCTAGAATCCATATTGGAAAAAACAACCCCGTGACATCAGCAAAGTTACAGGAAACAAAATCAACAGCAGAAACAGCTGCAATTCTACATACTAACAATGAATAATCTGAAAGGGAAATTATGAAACCATTTCCATTTACAATAGCATCTGAAAGAATAAAATACTTGGAAATTCACTTAACCAAGAAGGTGAAAGACTTGTACAATGAAAACTGGCCGGGCGCCGTGGCCCACGCCGGTAATCCCAGCACTTTGGGAGCCAAGGCAGACAGATCACCTGACGTCATGAGTTTGGGACCATCCTGGCCGACGACTGCACTCCAGCCTGGGTGACAGAGTGAGACTCCATCTCAAGAAAAAAAAAAAAAGAAAACCAGACAACATTGCTAAGAGACGTCAAGGCAATATAGAGACTGGATGCAATCCCTGTAAAACCCGAATTATTTTTTACAAAAATAGAAAAAGCATTAATACGTTGATATGGAACCTCTAGGGATCTTGAATTGCCAAAGGGAAAAAAAAAACTTATTTTATTTTTTTGCGAGGGAGTCTCACTCTGTCACCCAGGCTGCAAGACAGTGACACGATCTCAGATCACTGCAACCTCCACCTCCTGGGTTCAAGTGATTCTCCTGCCTCTCAGCCTCCCAGGTAGGTAGGATTACAGGCACACACCACCATGCCTGGCTGATTTTTGTATTTTTAGTAGAGACAGCGTTTCACCATTTAGGCCAGGCTGGTGTCGAACTCCTGACCTCAGGTGCTCCACCCACCTTGGCATCCCAAAGTGCTGGGATTACAGCCATGAGCCACTGTGTGTGGGTGGCAAGCCAACCAGGTGCTGAGGCAAGAGACCGAGGGCACGAGCTGTTCCAGTGTAATAAAATATATAAAATAGGAATAGTTATACCAGATATAGATCTTAGATATGATTATATATGAATATCATTCATCATTAGTTTGTAGCAATTGCTCTTTATTCCAATATTATAATAATCCTCGCTCTATAATCATAATCTAGGAAAAACCAGGCCATACCGAGATAGGAGCTGAAGGGACATAGTGAGAAGCGACCGGAAGACAAGAGTGCGAGCCTTCCGTTACGCCCGGACAGGGCCACCAGAGGGCTCCTTGGTCTAGCAGTAACGCCAGCGCCTGGGAAGGCACCCGTGACCTAAGCAGACCGTGGTCTAGCGGTAGCGTCAGTGTCAAGGGAAAACACCCGCTACTTAGCAGACTGGGAAGGGGAGTCTCCCTTTCCCCGGGGGAGTTTAGAGAAGACTCTACTCCTCCACCTCTTGTGGAGGGTCAGGCCCGCCCACAGTTATCCGAAGGCCTAACCGTCTCCCTGTGATGCTGTGCTTCAGCGGTCACACTCCTAGTCCGCCTTCACGTTCCATCCTGTACACCTGGCTTTGCCTTTTAGATAACAGTAGCAAAATTAGTGAAAGTACTAAAAGTCTCTGATAAGCAGAAATAATGGCGTAAGCTGTCTCTCTCTCTCCCTCCCTCCCTCTCTCTGCCTCGGCTGCCAGGCAGGGAAGGGCCCCCGTCCAGTGGACACGTGACCCACGTGACCTTACCTATCACTGGAGATGGCTCACACTCCTTATCCTGCCCCTTTGTCTTGTATCCAATAAATAACAGCGCAGCCTGGCACTCGGGGCCACTACCGGTCTCCACGTCTAGGTGGCAGTGGTTCCCCGGGCCCAGCTGTCTTTTATCTCTGTCTTGTGTCTTTATTTCTACACTCTCTTGTCTCTGCACACAAAGAGAAAACCCACCGAACCTGTGGAGCTGGATCCTACAACTGTGCCTGGCGCGCACACACACACACACACACACAAACTGTTGAAGGACAAAGTTGGCACTGGGCGCGGTGGCTTACCACCACCACTGTGAGCAGTGCAGGATGAGCATCCTTGTAAGGGACACCAGAGTGAGAGCTCAGTCACTCTCTCCGCCACATGAGGACCCAGCAAAGAACACTCCACAGGGAGGGACTGAGCTGGCACCCTGACCTTGGGCCTGTAGTCTTCAGAGCTGTGGGCACACACGCCCCAGTGGTTATGGCAGGCCCAGCAGTCGACCACACTCCTGTTCTCTCTTTTTTTTTTTGTTTTTGAGACAGAGTTTCCCTCTTGTTGCTGAGGCTTCAGTGCAATGACGTGGTCTCGGCTCACCGCAACCTCCGCCTCCCAGGTTCAAGTGATTCTCCTGCCTCAGCCTCCTGAGTAGCTGGGATTACAGGCGCCCGCCACCACGCCCGGCTAATTTTGTATTTTTAGTAGAGATGGGGTTTCTCCATGTTGGGTCAGGCTGGTCTCGAACTCCCAACCTCAGATGATTCGCCCACCTCGGCCTCCCAAAGAGCTGAGATTACAGGTGTGAGCCACCGCACCTGGCCTTGCCAATTAAATTTTTAAGCTACAATGCCCACAACAGGCAACATGTGAACCCCGCCTGTGAACTCAGGACTGAAAGTGAGGGACCAGGCACTGTGGCTCACGCCTGTAATCTCAACATTTTGGGAGGCCGAGGCAGGTAGATCCCTTGAGGTCAGGAGTTCAAGACCAGCCTGGCCAACATGGTGAACCCGTCTCTACTAAAAATCCAAAAATTAGCCGGGTGTGGTGGTCGGTGCCTGTAATCCCAGCTACTTGGGAGGCTGAGGCAGGAGAATCACTTGAACCTGGAAGGCAGAGATTGCAGTGAGCCGAGAACGCACCACGACACTCAAGCCCGGGCAACAGAGCAAGATTCCGTTTCAAAATAAATACATAAAATAATTAAAATGCAATGCAATGCAATGCAATGCAAAAAAAATTCTGCTGAGTGAAAAGAAATGAGGTGAGAATGTCAAGAAGATCCCCATCCTCCGGACAACCAGACGCCCTCACCAACACTGGCCCTCCCTCTCGGGAGGCTCTGCGGCACTGTCTCTCACCTCCCCTTGTTTCCTTCTGTGAAATGAGGCGCCCAAGCTCGGCCCTGCACCCCACTGCTGCCCATGTACATGCCACCAGCCCTACCCACCGGCAGTAGCCCTACCAATCTCCATGCCCGAACCCCATGTGCGCCCCGGCCTCCCCACCCACACCGGCCCCACTCACTTTGAGCTTGGACTGTTGCTCCAACTGCAGCGTCTGCTCCTGCATCTGTGCCACATTCAGGGCGTCCTTTGATGTGGCCTGCAGGCACAGGGGCACAGAGGGCGGGTGTTAGGATACACGGATGCCGCTGGGCAGGCACCACACCAGCCAAGGGGCTTTCTGGAATCCACGGCCACGCCTCGACCTCAAAGCCCCCAGCCCTGCCTCCCCATCCTCCTTCCTAGTCAGACCTGGCGTGACGATGCCCCATCCCCAGCACACGGCCTGATGCATTTGTGAGGTTTTATGCCCTCCAGGGATGGTCTTGGAGAGCCACATCAGGAAGGCCATCCCACGTGGACGGGAGGAGGCTCTTGCCCAATTCAACACAAAGTCAGGCGATGGGTAAAGTGTCCATTTTATCATGATACATATGCTTTTACTTTTTTTTTTTTTTTTGAGACGGAATCTCGCTCTGTCGCCCAGGCTGGAGTGCAGTGGCGCTATCTCGGCTCATTGCAAGCTCCACCTCTCGGGTTCGTGCCATTTCTCCTGCCTCAGCCTCTGGAGTAGCTGGGACTACAGGTGCCCGCCACCACGCCCAGCTACTTTTTGTATTTTTAGTAGAGACAGGGTTTCACCCTGTTAGCCAGGATGGTCTCGATCTCCTGACCTCGTGATTCACCTGCCTCGGCCTCCCAAAGTGCTGGGATTACAGGCATGAGCCACTGTGCCCGGCCTGATGTGGCTTATACATTTATATATATATATATTAGACTGAATGAAGTCTTATTAATAGCAAAGGATAATGAAAATCCCAAACTCGCAAGGTTTTCAACAAAAGTAAAGTTTGCTATAAGTTATCAGTGTAGGCCGGGTGCGGTGGCTCATGCCTGTAATCCCAGCACTTTGGGAGGCCGAGGCGGGTGGATCGCCTGAGCTCAGGAGTTCGCGACCAGCCTTGGCAACATGGTGAAACCCGGTCTCTACTAAAATACAAAAAAT
Organism: Homo sapiens; assembly: GCF_000001405.40. NCBI lineage: Eukaryota > Metazoa > Chordata > Mammalia > Primates > Hominidae > Homo > Homo sapiens. The sequence goes on along the minus strand of NC_000001.11, from coordinate 1,502,677 downwards.
TAGCCGGGCATGTCGGCCTGTGCCTGTAGTCCCAGCTACTTGGGAGGCTGAGGCTGGAGAATCACTTGAACCCGGGAGGCGGAGGTTGCAGTGAGACAAGATCGTGCCACTGGACTCCAGCCTCAGCGACAGAGCATGACTCTGTCTCAAAAAAAAAAAAAAAAAAAAAATGCTGGGCACGGTGGCTCATGCCTGTAATCCCAGCACTTTGGGAGGCCGAGACGGGTGGATCACGAGGTCAGGAGATCATCCTGGCTAACATGGTGAAACCCCGTCCCTACTAAAAATACAAAAAATTAGCCAGGCGCGGTGGTGGGCGCCTGTAGTCCCAGCTACTAAGGAGGCTGAAGCAGGAGAATGGCGTGAACCCGGGAGGCGGAGGTTGTAGTGAGCCGAGGTTATGCCACTGCACTCCAGCCTGGGCGACAGAGCGAGACTCTATCTCCAAAAAAAAAAAGAGAGAGAAAAAAAAAGCCAGAGTAAATTTAAAACCTATACTAGAGGCCAGCGGTGGCTCATGCCTATAATCCCAGCACTTTGGGAGACCGAGGCAGGCGGATCACCTGAGGTCAGGAGTTCAAGACCAGCCTGGCCAACATGGTGAAATCCCATCTCTACTAAAAACATAAAAACTAGCTGGGCATGGTGGTGGACGCCTGTAATCCTAGCTACACGGGAGGCTGAGCCAGGAGAATTGCTTGAACCCAGGAGATGGAGGTTGCGGTGAGCCAACACAGTGACACTATACTCCAGCCTCGGCGACGAGTGAGACTCCATCTCAAAAAAAACAAACAAAACAAAACAAAACAAAAACAAAAAAAAACTTACCCAAAGGCATGGAGGCCACTGACAACTATCCTTAATGTAGTAACCCACGGACTGCCGTAGTGCATTACGGGATGACACTTATTTGAAGATAGTTACTTCCAGGTGATTCAAGGAAAAAGACAATGAGTAACTAACAGGAAAAACTCTTGTGGAAATAGAGGCCAGGCTCTGTGGCTCACACCTGTAATCCCTGCACTCTGGGAGGCTGAGGCAGGTGCATCATCTGAGGTCAGGAGTTCAGGAGCAGCCTGGTCAACATGGTGAAACCCTGCCTCTACTAAAAATACAAAAATTAGGCCGGGCACGGTGGCTCACGCCTGTAATTCCAGCACTTTGGGAGGCCGAGGCGGGCGGATCACGAAGTCAGGAGATCGAGACCATCCTGGATAACACGGTGAAACCCCGTCTCTACTAAAAATATAAAAAAATTAGCTGGGCGTGGTGGCAGGCGCCTGTAGTCCCAGCTACTCAGGAGGCTGAGGCAGGAGAATGGCGTGAACCCGGGAGGCAGAGCTTGCAGTGAGCCGAGATCGTGCCATTGCACTCCAGCCTCGGTGACAGAGCGAGACTCCGTCTCAAAAAAAAAAAATACAAAAATTAGCTGGGCGTAGTGGCGAGTATCTGTAATTACTACTCAGGACGCTGAGGCAGGAGAATCGCTTAAACTCAGGAGGTGGAGGTTGCACTGAGCCGAGATCACGCCATTGCACTCCAGCCTGGGCGACAGAGTAAGACTCCATCTCAAAAAATAAAAAAATAGAGTTAATAAAGTTTCCTAATAATTGGTCTGCTCAAGCATGTGAGCTGTTTGCACTCAGCCAAGCCTTCAAGTACTTACAGAACCAGGAAGGAACCATCTATACCAATTCTAAGTATGCCTTTGGAGTGGCTTTTGAGAGGAGTCTCACTCTGTCGCCCAGGCTGCAGTGCAGTGCCGCAATCTCGGCTCACTGTAAGCTCCGCCTCCCGGGTTCATGCCATTCTCCTGCCTCAGCCTCCCAAGTAGCTGGGACTACAGGCACCTGCTACCACGCCCGGCTAATTTTTTTTTTGTATTTTTAGTAGAGACGGGGTTTCACCCTGTTAGCCAGGATGGTCTCGATCTCCTGACCTCGTGATCCGCCCGCCTCGGCCTCCCAAAGTGCTGGGATTACAGGCATGAGCCACTGCGCCCTGCCTGAAGTGGCTGATACATTTATATATATATACACATTTATATATACATTTATACATATATATATATATTAGACTGAATGAAGTCTTATTAATAGCACAGGATAATTTTTTTTTTTTTTTGAGACGGAGTCTCGCTCTGTCCCCCAGAGACTGGAGGGCAGTGGCGCAATCTCGACTCACTGCAAGCTCCGCCTCCTGGGTTCACGCCATTCTCCTGCCTCAGCCTCCTGAGTAGCTGGGACTACAGGTGCCCGCCACCACGCCCGGCTATTTTTTTGTATTTTTAGTAGAGACGGGGTTTCACCGTGTTATCCAGGATGGTCTCCATCTCCTGACCTCGTGATCTGCCCGCCTCGGCCTCCCAAAGTGCTGGGATTACAGGCGTGAGCCACCGCACCCGGCCACAAAGGATAATTAAAATCCCAAACTCCCAAGGTTTTCAACAAAAGTAAAGTTTGCTATAAGTTATCAGTGTAGGCCGGGTGCGGTGGCTCACGCCTGTAATCCCAGCACTTTGGGAGGCTGAGGCGGGTGGATCGCCTGAGCTCAGGAGTTTGCAACCAGCCTTGGTAACATGGTGAAACCCCGTCTCTACTAAAATACAAAAACTTAGCCGGGCGTGTCCACCTGTGCCTATAGTCCCAGCTACTTGGGAGGCTGAGGCAAGAGAATGGCTTGAACCCGGGAGGCGGAGGTTGCAGTGAGACAAGATCGTGCCACTGGACGACTCCAGCCTGGGCAACAGAGCAAGACTCTGTCTCAAAAAGAAAAAAAAAAAAAGGCTGGGCACGGTGGCTCACGCCTGTAATCCCGGCACTTCGGGAGGCCGAGGTGGGTGGATCACCTGACGTCGGGAGTTCGAGACCAGCCTGACCAACCTGGTGAAACCCCATCTCTACTAAAAATACAAAATTAGCCGGGCTTGGTGGCGCATGCCTATAATCCCAGCTACTTGGGAAGGCTGAGGAAGGAGAATCGCTTGAACCCGGCAGGCGGAGGTTGCAGTGACCAGAGATTGCGCCACTGCACTCCAGCCTGGGCTACAAGGCAAAACTCCATCTCAAAAAAAAAAAAAAAAAAAAAAAAAGAGCTGTTTGGAACCAACCCCACCAGGGTGAATAGAAGACATAATATCTATCTATGGCTGGGCACGGTGGCTCACGCCTGTAATCCCAGCACTTTGGGAGGCCGAGTGCGGATCATGAGGTCAGGAGTTTAAGACCATCCTGGCTAACATGGTATAACCCCCTCTCTACTAAAAATACAAAAAGTAGCTGGGCGTGGTGGCACGTGCCTGTAATCCCAGCTACTTGGGAGGCTGAGGCAGAAGAATCACTTGAACCCAAGAGGCAGAAGTTACAGTAAGCCGAGACCAAAAAAAAAAAAAAAAAAAAGGTATTCCAGGCCGGGCGCACTGGCTCACGCCTGTAATCCCAGCACTTTGGGAGGTCGAGGCGGGCGGATCACGAGGTCAGGAGATCGAGACCATCCTGGCTAACACGGTGAAACCCTGTCTCTACTAAAAATACAAAAAATTAGCTGGGCGTGGTGGCGGGCACCTGTGGTCCCAGCTACTCAGGAGGCTGAGGCAGGAGAATGGCGTGAACCCGGGAGGTGGAGCTTGCAGTGAGCTGAGATCGCGCCACTGCACTCCAGCCTAGGCGACAGCATGAGACTCTGTCTCAAAAAGAAAAAAAAAAAAAAAGAGGAACCACACAGCAGTAGGGGCTACCTGTGTCAGGAATAAGAACCCCTTCCCCTCCCTTGTCCAGGCGCTCGCCATTGCTCCAGCTATGAGACGCCCCCTTCTATAGAAGTAAATTTCGCAGCTGAGAAAAGTTAACATTCGAGTGCTACTTCTTTTGCGACACCGAAAATTTACATAAAACACAGTGAGCCGCCGAGATCTCACCACTGCACTCCAGCCTGGGCGACGGAGTGAGACTCCGTCTGAAAAAAACAAACAGGCCGGGCGCGGTGCCTCAGGCCTGTAACCCCAACACTTTGGGAGGCCGAGGCAGGAGGATCGCTTGAGCCCAGGAGTTGGAGACCAGCCTAGGCAACAAAGAGAGACCCCGTCTGTACCAAAAAATAGGAGAGGAGAAAAACCCAATGAGTTCCCCAGCTGTACCCCCACCCACCGACCCCATCCCCACCCCTCGCCATGGCCATCATCAAGGGTTTGGTTTTATTTTTATTTTTTAATTTATTTTGAGACAGGGTCTCACTCTGTCACCCAGGCTGGAGTGCAGTGGTGCGATCTCGGCTGTCACCTCTGCCTCCCATGCTCAGGCGATCCTCCTAGCTAAGCCAACAAGCTGGGACCACAGGCACATGCCACCAGGCACCGCTAATTTTTATTTTATATTTGAGACGGAGTTTCACTCTTGCTGCCCAGGCTGGAGTGCAATGGCGGGGTCTTGGCTCACTGCTACCTCTGCCTCCTGGGTTCAAGTGATTTTCCTGCCTCGGCCTCCCGAGTAGCTGGGATTACAGTCACCTACCACCATGCCGGCTAACTTTCGTATTTTTAATAGAGATGGGGGTTTCACCACATTGGCCGGGCTGGTCTCGAACTCCTGACCTCAGGTGATCCACCCGCCTCAGCCTCCCAAAGTGCTGGGATTACAGGAGTGAGCCACGGCACCTGGATTTTTCTTTTGTATTTTTTGTAGAGATGGGGTTTCACCATGTTGGCCATGCTGTTCTCAAACTCATGAGCTCAGGAGATCCACCCGCCCAGGCCTCGGAAAGTGTTAGGATTCCAGGCGTGAGCTGCTGTGCTGGGCTCCATCAGGGCTTTTTTTTTTTTTTTTAAACAGTTCTGTTGCCCAGGCCGGAGTGCAGTGGCGTGATCTCGGCTCACTGCAACCTCTCCCTCCCAGGTCCAAGCGAGTCTCCTGCCTCAGCCTCCCGAGTAGCTGGGATTACAGTCACCTACCACCATGCCGGCTAATTTTTTTGTATTTTTAGTAGAGACGGGGTTTTGCCACGTTAGCCAGGATGGTCTCAAACTCCTGACCTCATGATTCACCCGCCTTGGCCTCCCAAAGTGCTGGGATTACAGGCGTGAGCCACCTAGCCCAGTCTAACCTGGCTTAATTTTAAATACAAAGTATTGATTGCTGGTTTAAGATTTAGGCAATTCCTTTAAAGAGGAATTGAGGCCAGGCTTGGTGGCTCATCCTGTAGAGGCGGGAGGATCTCCTGAGGCCAAGAGTTGGAGACCAGCCTGGGCATTATAGCAAGACTCGGTCTCTACAACAAATTTTTAGCATTAGCGGGCGTGGTGGTGCACGCCTCTGGGGCTAATTAGGGCCTAGTAGGGTATGGCTACTGGACAGGCTGAGGCAGGAGGATCACTTGAGCCTGGGAGGTCGAGGCTGCAGTGAGCTATAATCACACCACTGCACTCCAGCCTGGGCTCAGAGTAAGAACCCATCTCTAAAAGGAAAAAGAGAGAAATGGAGAGAGCGAGCAGAGGTAGAGAGAGAAATGGAGAGAGCGAGCAGAGGTAGACCGCCCCCCTCCAAGCACTGCAGCTCCGAGGGGTCTGCTCTCCGATGGGACCGTTGCGTGCCCAGGCTCCTCTTCTGTTTCCTACTTCAACCAACAGCCTACACCCTTCCTAAGGACACAAAGTTCAGAAAGCATTGTTTCATCGACCAATATGAGGCTCTGCGCCATGGCACTGTGCTGTCTCGTTGCTGTGATTCCCCCAACCACCCCTGCACCCCACCCTGCCCCCAAAGCAAAGGTTTCCTGTCTGAGAGTCCTCCAGCAGCGAGGACCTGGAGGAGTGACTGTGCAGGTTCCAGATGCAGGTGGACAGCCTGGCCTCCGGCCTGACCTTGAGCCAAGACAGGGACGCAGCTGCCTCCGGAAGCCTGGGCCAGCGGGGACAGGGGCTGCAGTCCCAGAGTAGGCCCCAGCCAGGCAGTGGGTACCACGCTCTGCTCCCAGAATTCAGGCAGCGAGTGTGGTTCCTGAGCTCTCTGCATCTGAGCAGACCTCTGGGGACAGGGAGCTGCATGGCATGCCAGGACTGTGGTCTCCCAGTGTGGCCTGTGGCCCCCAGTGACCCAGCCCCAGGGCACCCAGGACCGAGGCTGCAGTGGCCGACTGCGTGTCTTCCATGGACGATGCCTGGGCAGAAGCGTGCCCTCTTACACCTGGGCGCAGTGTGGTCATGAAGTCACCGCTGGCCCCCACATCACTCTGCAGCCTCATTCTTCTCGGGGTGCCCCTCCTTCAGGAGGGAGGGGCTGGTGGGGCGCAGGCGGCAGTCCCGGGCAGCATTCAGACCCCAACTCGGATGTGGCGCGAGGCTGATGTGAAGCACACCGCTCTGTGATCAGTAAATTCTCCAGAAAGCTCCAGCCTCTGCCTCTTATGTCACCTTTGACCCCAGGAGGACGCTAGGGCGCCCCTGAAACCCCGAGCAGTGTCAGTCAATAGAGAGACACGGCGGTGAGGCACCTGTGGGACTTTATTAGATAAACACACACCAGCTCCAGCCACAGGCTTGGACCGGCCAGCTGACAGGGCGGCCTCAGACACCCCTGCCGGGTTCCGTGGCCCCTGGCCATGGCTGGAAGCAGGGTTCAGGCCGCCCCACTTCTGTCTAGTCCTGGCAGGCCCCCCCTCACCTGGCTCTGCTGTGGGAGCCGAGAACAAAGACCCCGCCTGCCCCACTCCTTCTGCCCCAGGGGCTCAGCCAGCACCCACCCTCACAGTGGCCTGGGCAGGGGCTGGGGTACAAAGCCTCACCCTCCCCCTGTGAGCCAGACGGAAAATGCATCTCCCAAGAGTGTCTCGAGGGGCAGGAAGGAGGCCTGCCCCTCCCTAGCCAGTGCCTACAACAGGGGGTGCCCTGGGGGGCAGAACGGCCGACCGCCACCACAAGACATCCTGGGGGACAGAGGCCCTGGGCACAGCCCAGTCCCCATCCAGGAGCATATCCTAAATGTGCAGGGGCCGGCAAGGCAGGGGTAGGAGGGGTCCGTGGCCAGGCTCCATGAGGTGAGGGTCTCGCCTTGGACTCCGGATAGGGGGTGCTCGACCCCGCGCCCAGGCCCCTCCGCCTTCAGCCAGCGCATCTTCTGTCGGTACTGCTGGACAGCATCTTGCACACAGGCGTCCATCATGGCCTCAGTGAGGACCCCGTCCTTGGAGGCATATGCCGTGGCCTAGTGAAGAGAGAGGGAGCTGAGGGAGGCCGCTATGGGAACCCGCCACCCTTAATGCACGCCAGGGCCCCGAGGTGGGGAGGGGCCAAACCAGGGGCACCAGGACAACCTCAGGGTGAAACACAGGCTTCCCACACCTTGGCAGAGCCCAGCACGCGTGTGGACACTGGGAGCGGCCCCTGCAGTGCCCACAGCCCTGCCTGCGTCCTCAGCACTGCTGTTGCTCAATGACTTTCTGATAATAGAAAACCCAAGGCGGAGCACCACTGACGGCTGACCCAGGGCAGCTTCCGAGAGGCAGGTGGGAACTGCAGACCCTCTGCGAGTCTCAGCCGTGGCCAGGCAGTGCCCCCGGGTCATAGTGCACCTCAGACCCTCAGACCCTGACCCTCACAGGCCTCCAGGGCAGAGGCAGCCACTGCCCACCTTGGGACATCAAGGCCACCTCTGCCTCCATTTCCCTGTCCTCCTGGGCACAGGGCTTGGCATTGAGCACACGGAGGCTGGAGCTACTGGGGCTGTGGCCCTTGGTGTCGCCTTAGGCACCTCAGGTGCAGCAGCCCTTCTGCCACGGACAGGTCGCTCTCCATCTCAGTGCCAGCGAAGGGCGTGGAGTCCCCAAGGGGAGGCACCCATGGGTCAGGGTGAGGGTGTGGGGACCCCCACTAGGTGCCGTGCTCAGGAGTGCACCAGGACACCTGGAGGAAGCACAGGGCAGGGGACCCTTCCTGGACAGCTGAGTGGGTCCCTCGCCCCGTCCCAGCTGTACCTCCCAGAGGCAGGATTCATCTCACGGGGTGCAGGGGCAGCAGCACACCATCCTCCCACAACACTGTCACCATGACAGAACCTGTCATGGGGATGACCACGTGGTGCCCGTCCCCTCTGCCAGCGCCCACCCCTCGCCAAGAGCCACTGTGTGGGGAGACACCGACCGGAGCCGGACCGCCACTGTGGGTCGGGGGCCCGGGAGCGCAGGAGACACTGACCAGAGCCGGACCGCCACTGTGGGTCGGGGGCCCGGGAGCGCAGGAGACACTGACCGGAGCCGCACCGCCACTGTGGCTCAGGGGCCCAGGACTGCTCAACATCATTTTTGGTCTTGAGCCCACCCAAGAGAGGGCAAACAGGTGCAGGGACCCTCAGGGTCCACCCGAGTGGCTGCACGTCACCCAGGGCCCAGCAGAGGAGAGGGGCTACGCAGATGCTCACAGGGCCACCCCTCCAGGAAGCACGGGACCTGGCAGGAGCCCACCAGAAGTGACAGCTAAATGTCACGTGGCCTCCTGGGTGGGATTCTGGGGCAAAACCTGGTCGCGGGTGGGTCCAACAGTGACACATGATGTTCACCATGTGGGAAGGCCCCGGGCCCGGGAGCTCTCTGTGCTACCCTTGCAATTTTTCTGGGAACCTAAGATCTTCAAGCTATAAAAGGTCAAAGAGAAGACCTGGACCTGATTTCTTCACATGTGAATTCACAAAACATTAAGAAGAATCAGTACCACTCCTCAAACTCTTGGACAAATTGAAGAACATTTCCTCACTCATCCTAGGAAGCCAGCATTACCCTCATATTAAAGCCAGACAAACACACCACAAGAGAAATGGCAGGCCAATATCCCTGATGAGCCTCACTGGGAAAGTCCTCAACAAAATGCCAGCAAAACGAATTTAGCAGTATAGTTAAAGGACTCTACACCCTAACCAAGCAGGATTCATTCCTGGAATGCAAGGATAGTTCAATATATGAAAATCAATCAATATTAGCAGAGTGGAGGAAGGAAACCACATGACCCTCTCATCTCATGCAGGAAAAGCATTTGACAAAATTCAACACACTTTTATGATTAAAAAAAAAAAATTCAACTGGTCGGTTGCAGTGGCTCACACCTGTAATCCCAGCACTTTGGGAGGCTGAGGTGGGCAGGTCACCTGACGTCAGGAGTTCGAGACCAGCCTGGCCAACATGGTGAAACCCTGTCTCTACTGCACTCCAGCCTGGGCGGCAAAAGCGAGACTGGTCCCCCCACCAAAAGAAAAGAAAAGAAACAAAAAAAATTAACAAACCAGGATTGAAGAACATGCCCTAAACACAAAGAAGGCCAGCGATCACAAGTCCACAGCTAACATACTCAGTGGTGAAAAACTGAAAGCTTCCTCTGAGAAAGAACCAAGCAAGAATTCTGACCACTTCTATTCCACATATCGCTGGAAGCTCTGGCCAGAGATATGGGACAAGAAAAAGAAAAGTCATCCAAACTGAAAAGGGAGAGGTAAAATCACCTGTTCTCAGGTGACATAATCTTATGTGTAGAAAATGCTACATGTAAGAGCCACCGTGCCAAGCCAAATTATTACTGTTATCATTTATATTTTGAGACAGTTTCGCTCTGTCGCCCAGACTGGAGTGCTGTGGCGTGATCTTAGCTCACTGCAACCTCTGCCTCCTGAGTTCCAGCAATTCTCCTGACTCAGCCTCCCGAGCAGCTGGGATTACAGGTGCCTGCTACCACACCAGGTTAATTTCTTTCTTTTTTTTTTTTTTGGAGATGGAGTATCGCTCTGACACCCAGGATGGAGTGCAGTGGCACCATCTCAGCTCACTGCAACCTCCACCTCCCGGGTTCAAGCGATCCTCCTGCCTCAGCCTCCTGAGTAGCTGGGACTACAGGCGCCAGCCACCACGCCTGGATAATTTTTTTATTTTTTAGTAGAGATGGGGTTTCACCATGTTGTCCAGGCTGGTCTTGAACTCCTGACCCCGTGATCCGCCCACCTCGGCCTCCCAAAGTGCTGGGATTAGAGGCATAAGTCACCACACCCGGCCCCGTCCAGTTAATTTTTGTATTTTTAGTAGAGGTGGGGTCTCGGCACACTGGCCAGGCTGGCCTCGAACTCCTGACCTCAAGTGATCCAACACCTCGGCCTCCCAAAGTGCTGGGATTACAGGCATGTGCCACTGTGCCCAGCCCAAATTATTATTCTTCTTATTATTATTTTTGAGACAGTCTCACTCTGTCCCTCAGGCTACAGTGCAGTGGCATGATCTCAGCTCACCGCATCCTCTGCCTCGTGGGTTCAAGCAATTCTCCTGCCTCAGCCTCCTGAGTAGCTGGGATTACAGGCACCCACCACCACACCCAGCTAATTTTCGTATTTTTTGTAGAGGTGGGGTTCATCATGTTGGCCAGGGTGGTCTTGAACTCCTGACCTCAAGTGATCTTCTCTCCTTGGCCTCCCAACATGCTGGGATTACAGGAGTGAGCCACCGGGCTTGTTCCAAATTATTCTCAGTTTTTAAGACAGGGTCTTGCTCTGTAACCCAGGCTGGAGTGCAGTGGCACAATCACAGCTCACTGCAGCCTCCGCCTCCTGGACTCAAGTGACCCTCCCACCTCAGCCTCCCAAGCAGCTGGCATTACAGGCATGTGCCACTAGGTCCGGCCAATTTTTTCATTTTTTGTAGAGATGGGGTCTCACCTTGCTTTCCAGGCTGGTCCTGAACCCCTGGCTTCAAATAATCTGACTGACTTGGCCTCCCCAAATGCTGGGAATACAAGCGTCAGCCACCACCATACCCAGCCTCCACTTTCTGAGTTGTGGAAACAGACCTGGTTCCAAGTGGGGACGGCCTGGAACAGAGACCTCAGCTGACCCACAAGGACGGGGTTTGAGATCTGGGACTCTTTGTCACAGCGGCATAACCCAGCCTGTACTGACTAATACAGCTCCCTACATACCCCGGCTCCTACGTTCAAATCAAGGTACTTGGCTACTTCATTAAGCTGTCACTCATTCATTCAAATACGCTGCTAGATCGAGTGACCAGGTTGTCACACAGACTCTGCGGACCCCAGAGGCGGCAATGCCTGTGTGTGGCCAGGGCGCCTTCTACCCCACAGACCTGGTTTTGCTTTTTCAGCAACCCCCAAAGACCAAAGCTTTCTTTTATTTTGAGATGGAGTCTCAATCTTTGGCCAGGCTGGAGTGCGGTGGTGCGATCTTGGCTCATTGCAACCTCCAACTCCCCGGGTCAAGCAATTCTTCTGCCTCAGCCTCCCGTGTGGCTGGGATAACAGGCATGCACCACCAAACTCAGCTAATTTTTGTATTTTTAGTAGAGACGGGGTTTCGACATATTGGCCAGGATGGTCTCAATCTGACCCCGTGATATGCCTGCCTCAGCCTCCCAAAGTGCTGGGATTGCAGGCGTGAGCCACCGCGCCCGGCCTGATCAGAGCTCTCTGGATGGCCATGCCCACACTCCAGTGAGTCTCGGCTCCTCGGCCCTGGAGTATCCAAGGAGCAGCAGGAGGGGTGCCTCCGAGGAACAACTAACTGTGGGACAATCGGAGGCCAGTCCCACCGTGTGTCTGAACCCGTCAAACAGGACCAAGCCAAGGGACCTGGTCCAGGAAACACAACGTCCCTCCACCCCCACCACCCAACTCACACGGGGCCTGTCCTGACGACCATTCCCTCTAGGAGGTGCCTGTTGGCCAAGATGAGAGCCAGAAACCTCCCACCACACCCAGCAGAGCCCGGGCACCTGGGATGCTGGACTGGCTTCCAGAGAGCCCCGTGTGACTGTCAGCAACCAACATGGCCCCACCCTCCTGAGGGCACGAGCAGGTGCACGCTGCTGCGTGGAGTGGCCCGACTGAGGCAGGGGGCCCTGTGTCACGTCTGTGCACTGAAAACCCCTCAACAGAAGCTCCCACATGACACCGGTGCTGGGACAGGCCTGGCGCAACTGAGCATCTCCACAGCAGCTGGGGTCCCGTCTGGGTGGACGTGCCGGAGCCTGACTCACCTGCCAGGACACGGCCAGCTGAGCGATCTCCCGGCCCGACATGCCCTCCGTCAGCCGAGCGACCTCCGAGCACTTCCTCCCGTAGTCAAACTGGGCCAGCTTCAGGCGCCTGGGGAAGGAGTTCCCAAGTGAGGCAGCCAAGGCCGCGGACCCCACACCATGAGGTGGAGGCCGGAAGACAGGCAGCTGGCCTACACCCATGCCATATGGTGCCTGGATTGGGGGCCGGGTGAGGCGGGACACTCACCGTTTTCCTTCTGTGGCCGGCTTAAGAACACAGTTGTCAAAATGCAGTCTCACCAGGCGCTCCCGCTCCTCCTGCTGCGGCAGGTCGAAGTGGACCATCACGTCAATGCGGCTGTTGATGGCACAGTCGAACTGCTCAGGCAGATTGCTGGCCAGGACCAGCATGAATCTGTAGGACAGGGATGGGGAAGGAAACGCTGGGGCTGCCAGCTGAGATGCCCCGAGGGCAACGGGGGCTCCTCAGCCCCCTCGGGGAGACTTTTTGGGAGAATCTAAAGCGGCAGCTTGTGAGCACAGGAAACATGGGGAGAACGCAGCCACAGCCCTGGTCACCCGCCTGCCTGCCCCACCACGCCCAGCTGCCCCCCGCCCGGCTTCTCGGGCCTCTGTTCTTGCCCTGTGTGGTACTTCCCCGCTGACCCTCGCCCAGCCTGATAGGCAGTGCCGGGAACACCACTCCCTCCTGCTACCTGAGCCCCGCTGTGCTGGGAGCAGGGATGCGGGACCCAGAGTCCCTGTCAAGATTATGGCCATGCGAGCCAGAAGCAGGACCTCGGGGGCCCGGGTTCAGCAGAGGCTCAGCAGGGCCCCAGCCTTGCCTCTCTGGGAAGGACCTGAGTCAGGGCTCCAGGGAGCGTCGAACGGCAGCAGCTGACCCAGGAGCCCAACGTGCCTGAAGAGTCAGCCACGGCCGACCAGCAGGACTTGATCCTCCGTGTGACACGTGACTGGGGCTGGAGGGGCCCAGGAGACCAAGAAAACTCAAAATTAAGGGATTTGGGAGGGAAGAGGGAGCCTGGACATAGGGCCGGTCACCCTACTGGGGACCTCTGGGCGGCAGCAATCAGACCACCTCCCTTGCAGGCACAGGACCGCAGAAATCTAGGGGCAGAGGGACCTGCAAGCTGGGGCGGCGGCGCACAGGGCCGTGAAGACAGGACTGACCCCAGCTCTGCCCGGGAGGCCCCTGCATGTTCCTCAATGACACCCCGTGCTGTCCCGAGCTGGGCCGTTCCCAGGGGACATCTGAGGTGGGCACACTGAGGCCACAGCTGGTGCCCAGCACTGTGAGCCAGGGACCCTCAGTGGGAACCAAGGGCGACGGCTGCACAGCCCTGCCCGGGGGCTCAGGACCCGAGGGGCTCCCTCACTTGTTGCTGTGTTGGCCCATGTGGTACAGGAAGGCGTTCAGTGTGGCTCTGAGGTCCTTGCTTATCTCCTCCTGCAGAGAGAAGGTTCCAGCCTTAGGCACCAGAAGCAAAGCCTTGTAAACAGCCAGAGCAGAAAGTCCCACAGGCCTCCCTCCTGCAGGGAGCAGGGACGTGGCGACACTTTCATGGATCTAAACTCAAAATCCTGACCAGGGCCAGGGGCGGTGGCTCAAGCATGTAACCCAGCATTTTGGGAGGCTGAGGCAGGCGGATCACCTGAGGTAGGGAGTTTGAGACCAGCCTGGCCAACATGGTGAGACCCCATCTGTACTAGAAATACAAAAATTAGCCATGCATGGTGGCACACCTGTAATCTCAAGCCACTTGGGAGGCTGAGGCATGAGAATTGCTAAAAAATAAAAAATACATTTAAAAAAAAAGCCTGACTGAGGGCTCACATCTTTAATCCTAGCACTTCAGAAGGTCAAGGCGATCAAATCTCTCGCTTTTTTTTTTGAGACGAAGTCTTGTTCTGTCTCTCAGTCTGGAGTGCAGTGGCACGATCTCAGCTCACTGCAACCTCTGCCTCCTGGGTTCAAGCGATTCTCCTGCATCAGCATCCTGAGCAGCTGGGATTACATGCGTGCCCCACGACGCCCGGCTAATTTTTGTATTTTTACTATAGACGGGGTTTCACCATATTGACCAAGCTGGTCTTGAACTCCTGACCTCGTCATCCACCTGCCTTGGCCTCCCAAAGTGCTGGGATTACACACGTGAGCCACTGTGCCAGGCCAAGGCCGGTGAATTTCTTTAGTTCAGAAGTTTGAGCCCTGCCTGGACAATGTGGGAAACTCCATCTCTACTAACGTTACAAAAAAATTAGCCGGGCGTGTTAGTGTGCCTCTGCAATCCCAGCTTCTCGGGAGGCTGAGGCAGGAGGACTGCTTGAGCTGGAGATGTCGCCCCTGCACTCCAGCCTGGGCGACAGACACCCTGTATTAAAATAATAACTGTATGGCTGGGCGTGGTGGATCACGCATGTAATCCCAGCATTTTGGGAGGCCAGGTGGGCAGATCATTTGAGATCAGGAGTTCTTGACCAACTTGACCAACATGGTGAAACCCCATCTCTACTAAAAATACAAAAAACTTAACTAGGTGTGGTGGCAAACACCTGTAATCCCAGCTACTCAGGGGGCTGAGGCAGGAGAGCAGCTTGAACCCAGGAGGCAGAGGTTGCAGCGAGCCAAGATTGCGCCACTGCAAGCCAGCTTAAGGGCTGCAGCCTGGCCCAGGATGACAGCCGCGCCCACCCGACCACCCTCCTGTGGCCAGACAGAGGCTTAGTGACACTCACAGTGGCTCGCTTCCGAAGGAAGGCGTCTGCTTCATCCATGAAGAGCAGGAGGCTGTGAACGAGAGAGAGGCCAAGCAAGGCGAGAGTGACGCCAGGAGCAGCCCACAGCAGCGTCCGGCCGCGGCAGGAGCAGGCCAGGCAGGCAGATCCCCACGGGGTCAGGCTCTGCCCCATCAGGAGCCCTAAGTCCTGGACTCGACAGAAGCCGATCAGCCTGGCCTCTGGGCAGCTGACCACGTCTCAGCCTCAGAAGGCAGTGGGAAACCAACTACACAGGGGGCAACAGACTCTGCCCTGCAGGTTTCACCCACACACCAGCCAACCACACATGGGGCAACAGCCTCCGCCCTGCAGGTTTCACCCACACAGCGACCCAGTGCAGTGCTCAAGAGTCCACGCAAGGAGCAGGGTCTTTTTTTTTTTTTTTGAGACAGAGTCTCGCTCTGTCTCCCAGGCTGGAGTGCAGTGGCGCAATCTCGGCTCACTGCAGGCTCTGCCTCCCGGGTTCACGCCATTCTCCTGCCTCAGCCTCCTGAGTAGCTGGGACTACAGGTGCCCACCACCATGCCTGGCTAATTTTTTGTATTTTTAGTAGAGACGGGGTTTCACCAAGTTAGCCAGGATGGTCTCAATCTCCTGGCCTCGTATCTGCCTGCCTCCGCCTCCGAAAGTCTGGGATTACAGCCGTGAGCCACCACGCCTGGCGCAGGGACAGGTCTTCTAAAGTGAAAGGTCAAAGGCCAGAGGGGAGGGTGCCAACCATGAGGATCGTGGTTCCAACGAGGACAGCCGAGGCCACAAGGGTGCCCGGGCTGTGCCCTGCGCGGGGTCACTGTGGGACCTATTGAAGGGAGTGTGCCATGCTGTCTTCAGCTAACTTTCAAATGGTTCTAGAAAAGGCAACCAGTGCCCACGCCCACCTGCAGGCGTGTTGGGGGGAGGGCGGCTGTGGAGGAGCCTCCCCTGCAGCTGTGAAGACCCCTCTCCCCCTGCACCCACCCACCTCCCTTCTGCCCTGAGCCAAGTATCCCACTGGCAGCCTCCACACGCTGGGGACCTCGTGTCCACCAGGGTCCACACTCAGGGGACTTTCCCTCCGAGGGACCCTCCATTGGGCCTCCTGCGTGGCCACAAGGACAGAGCTGCAGAAAGACAGGGTCCCCAAGAGACACCTGGACCCCCTTCCCAGAAGGCAGCCTGCTGGGCCGCAGCCAAGGGCCTGGTGCATGCTGTGGGGACGTCTCACCCGCGCCGGCTGGTATTGGCCCAGTCAAAGAGCTTGTGCATGGCGGTCACGCCTTCCCGCCCCATGGGGGCCACGTCCCCGCCTGTCATGATGGCGTAGTCCATGCCTGAGTGCAGGGCGAGTTTCTGGACAAGAAGAGTGAGGGGAGACAGAACAGATGTTCCCTCTGCCTCTGCAAAGCCTGCACACTCCACCTGGAGTGTGGAGCCCCTGCCGGGTGTCCCTGTCTGGAAGCCACAGCCTGCCAGACAGGAGACGTCCCCCGCCTGGAAGATGGGAGGCGCTGCTGCCCACACCAGCACCCTGAGCCTACACGAGGGTAGGCAAAGGCCTAAGGGGGGTCCATTCCCCAGGCGGCTGAGGCCCCCAGACACCTGCAGGCAGGTGAGACCCCAGCGGCCCCTGGCCCACCTGTTCAGCCAGGCGCTCTCACCTTGGCAAACAGCGTCTTCCCGGTGCCTGGTGGCCCATACAGCAGGATGTGCCTGTACAGGCCCCGGTTCTTCTTGGTGTTCCTGGTTGCTATGGCGATGTCGCGCACCCGTGCTTCCAGGCTGGGCTGCCGGGGAAGACGGGGGTTTGGGGGAGACACTCTGCACCCACGGAAGCCTCGGTGACAGGGGCTGCGGGAATGCCCGGGTGCGGACTCTGCTCCTCAGGAAGCCGCCCAGCTCGTGGGCAGCCTATCTATCCCCGGCACAGTCCAAGCAGTTGCATCTCAGGACCCAAAAGCTCCTGGGCGCCACCACGAGCGCTAGCAAGGGCCACAGCCCAGCCCAGCTCCGGGGTCCCCTCCCTGCACCTCCCCGGTCCCAGGCACACCGACTTACACTAAGCACAACACCCTCCAGCACGTCCTGGGGTCGACTGAGGAGCCGCCGGCTGACCTGCCGGAGGGGAAGGGGAAGCACCATTGGGTCACCTGCCACAGCCACGGAACAGCCACCAACGCACACACATGCTCGGTAACACACAGAAACGGAGCTGCCCCAAAGCACAGCCAGGACCGGCCCGGAGCTGGAACCCTGCCCCGCCGGGAGACCAGGAGGCTATTGCTGGGATTAGGGGCATTTTCCGGTTCCTTATTGGCTTTTATTTTCTTAACCACCTACCCAGTGACCTGTGGAGAGCAGGCACCTCAGGGGCTGGCAAGCGGCGCGGCTCCCCAGGGAGGCCACCAGACGCCATGGCCTGTAGCAGCTTCCCCGACAGACGGCCGCACACCCAAGTCCCGGGTCTTGCAAGGACCCCGATGTGCTCCCAGGCCCCATCAAGAGCCCTGAGCAAGGGACACCGAGGCAGACAGGGGAAGGGTCTCACTGATGCAGACCCCTAAGGTACAGCGCCAGACAGGAAAACCCACCCGTGAAGCAGCGTGCGGGTGCCTGTTATCCGGGGAAAGGGAAGGGACGGGAGGGTGTGCGTGGGCTGTGCTCGTGGGGCAGAAGGGACTCAGCCAGGAACTGCACTCAGGGAGGGCCAGGCCTGCGCCGCTACCTGGATGGGGTGCCGCAGCGCCTCCAGCACCGTGATGCGGGACGTCTCCCTCACTAGGGACGGCTTCCCCAGCCGAGCCTCGATGAAGCGGCCAGTGACGGCTGTCGCATTCTTGGCTGAGTAGACCCCGACAGCCAGCAGCGTCAGCCCAGCCACCTGCAGCAGAGACACCGCACTGGCGCACCGGCCCCCACCGTCCCTCCCTCCTAGAGCAGGAGACGCACGGGGCTGCCCCCACCCTCTCTCCGCCTGAGGGAGAAGCACAGGGCCGTGTGCTGGCCCCACAGGAACCCGAATTCCCAGCCCCGAATCCCACAGCCACGCGGTTACAGGAGGCAGGTGGGGCAGTCATAACGCCCTCACTCAGGGCCATTTTCTCTGCAACTGGCAGCATAAATCCTAGAAAGCCTCGGTCGCTGAGCGGGGCCCTGGGCAGACCCAGCTGGATGTCACAGGGCCACACCCTCTGGTACATCCTTGGCCACTAAAAATGGTACTTTATTCCTGGAAAACAAGACTAACCCAAAATCTCTAACTTGTTTTAAAAATCGTTTAGGCTGGCCAGGTCTGTAATCCCAGCACTTTGGGAGGCCAAGGCCGGCGTATCACCAGAGGTTGGAGTTCAAGACCAGCCTAACCAACCTGGAAAAACCTCGTCTCTACTAAAAACATGAAAAAATTAGCTGGCTGTGGCTGAGCACGGTGGCTCACGCCCGTAATCCCAGCACTTTGGGAGGCCCACGCGGGCGGATCACGAGGTCAGGAGATCGAAACCATCTTGGCTAACAGGATGAAACCCTCTCTCTACTAAAAATACAAAAAAATTAGCCGGGCGTGGCGACAGACACCTGTAGTCCCAGCTACTCCGGAGGCTGAGACAGGAGAATGGTGTGAACCCAAGAGGCGAAGCTGACAGTGAGTCGAGATCGCGCCACTGCACTTGAGCAGCACACTTGAAAGTGAGACTCTGTCTCAAAAAAAAAAAAATCAAAGACCCAGAAAGCGAACCCGACTCCATTTCGCAAAAACTTTCGTTATTCGGAATAAAACCCTGAGAGTTTGAAGTTCAGATTCTTCTCTCGTTTAAAGCCTCGCTCTTTTGTGCCCAGGCTCTGGCCTGCTGTGGTGGCGCCCCAGGTCGCACATGGCTGTGTCCTCCGTCCCCCCACCCCGCCCAGCACACAGTAGGTGCCCGGCACTGAGTGGGCACTTGCTCTGCCGTGGTGCCGGCGCCCACTGCTGTGACTGCAGCACCTGCCGGTGGCCTGGTCAGCGTGACGGTGAATGTTGCAGGTGGTGTTGCCATGTTGGTGAGACGGTGTCACCTGAGGACATGAAGGAGCTGCTTAATGCGCCCTTGACTTTGTTTTTAGAGAAAGGGTTTTGTTCTGTGGCCAGGCTGGAGTGCAATGGTGCCATCTTGGCTCACTGCAACCTCCGCCTTCCAGGTTCAAGCAGTTCTCCTGCCTCAGCCTCCCGAGTGACTGGGATTACAGGCTCAGGTCACCACACTCAGCTAATACAGACCTGTGCCACGAGGCCCGGCCAATTTTTGTATTTTTAGTAGAGATGGGTTTTCACCATGTTGGCCAGGCTGGTCATGAACTTCTGACCTCAAGTGATCCACCCGTCTTGGCCTCCCAAAGTGCTGGGATTACACCAGTGAGCCACCAGGCCTGGCTTATTTATTTTGTTTGTTTTTTTGAGACAGAGTTTCGCTCTTCTTCCACAGGTTGGAGTGCAATTGTGCGGTTTCAGCTCACTGCAACTTCCGCCTCCTGGGTTCAACCAATTTTCCTACCTCAGCCTCCCAAGCAGCTGGGATTCCAGGCGCACGCCACCTTGGCCTGCTAATTTTTGTATTTTTAGCAGAGATGGGGTTTCACCATGTTGGTCATGCTGGTCTTGGGGTGCAGTGGCGGGATCTCGACTCATTGCAACCTCCACCACCCGGGTTCAAGTGATTCTCCTGCCTCAGCCTCCCGAGATTACAGGCACATGTCACCACACCCAGCTAATTCTTTTCTTTTTTTTTCTTTTTTTTAGTAGAGACAGGGTTTCACTCTTACCAGGATGATCTCGATCTCCGGACCTCGTGATCCGCCCACCTCCGCCTCCGAAAATGCTGGGATTACAGGCCTGAGCCACTACCGCCTGGCCATTTTTTTCTTGAGACAAGGTCTTATTCTCTCGCCAAGAATGGAGTGCAGTGGTGCAATGTTGGCTCACTGCAGCCCAAACCTCCTGGGCTTAAGTGATCCTCCTACCTCAGCCTCTCGAGTAGCAGGACCACAGGCGCCACCATCACACCCAGCTAATGTTTTATTCTTCGTAGAGATGGGGTCTCACCGTGTGGCCCAGGCTGGCAACTGCATTTTTTTCTCCCAGCTCAAGGAGGGAGGAGCAGCCGAGCCCAGCAGGTACAACGTGGGTTTGCTCTGTGCTGGGAGAGCTACAGGGCTGTGCAGAGCCGGCAGGGACAGGACCTGGGGCTCCAGGAGGCCCCCACATGCTGCCTCTCAGCCACCTGCCAGCCCTGTTTTATGAATATGTTTACCGTGGCTGTCACTTTGTCCCGGTCTGTCACAAAGGCACGGAATCCTTCCCCAAACAAGGTGCCAGCCGTCCTGCGGGGAAAGCAGTGGTGTGACCAGGAAGGACACGAAGATCCGTACCACGCAGCGAGAGCAGGTTGAGGGTGAGGCCCTGACATGGCGGCACGGCCTTGCCAGGACAGAGGGGCAGTGCCCCCACCAAGGAGTCAGCCTATGGCGGCCAGGCCTGGAAGAGCTGGAGAGCGCCCTGGGACCAGCGACTCACACCTGCGGGGCTCCATCTGTGGCCGGCCCGGGCCTGGGCAGTGCTCACCTGATGGACTCCAAGACGGTCTGACGGTGCTCGGACGCCTTCAGGCGGATCTGCTCGCGGATGATGTCTGCATTCTCCCGCTCGGCCTTGGCGCGCGCCCGGGCCTCGGTCTCCACTCGCAGCATCTCATTCTTGTGCCGCAGCTCCATCTCCCGCTCCACGGTGGCTGCCCCAGAGAGGCAGGGCAGCTCAGCACCATGCAGTGCAGCACGTCCACCTCCACCCACACTGTGGACCGGCCCACGCCACGGACCGGCCCACGCCACGGACAGACCAACGCCACAGACAGGCCCATGCCACGGACCGGCCCACGCCACCAACAGGCTAAGGCCACGGACAGGCCCGCACCACGGACCGGCCCACGCCACAGACAGGCCCATGCCGTGGACCGGCCCACGCCACCAACAGGCTAAGGCCATGGACCGACCCACTCCACGGACAAGCCCAGTCCATGGACAGGCCCGTGCCACAGACACACACAGACCTTGGTAGGGACAGCGCCACAGGCCGGCCCTGCCCATGGATTAGGGCAGAAATCCGACCCAGAGGCCTAGGCAACTTCTCAGGACGAGCTCTTTGAAGCAAAAAACCAGAACGCGGAGTTCTGAAGGAAGCCCCCCTCACACAGAAACACAGCTGTCAGAACTCAGACACGCGTGACGTGCCACGTGCCTGGCTACTGAACATTAAACGCACACACCTCGCCACAAGCCCACCCACGGTGAAGAGTGGTGACAGACGTTTGCCTGGAGCACTCGCCAACAAATGCCACATGGCACCAAATACCTGTGATCCCCACTGAAACCAGGACAGTAAAGACCCATGTTCTAGGCAGAACGCAGAGGCTCACGCCTGTAATCCCAGCACTGTGGAAGGCCAAGGCAGGCGGATAATGAGATCAAGAAGTTCAAGACCAGCCTGGCCAACACAGTGAAACCCTTTCTCTACTGAAGATACAAAAAAATTAGCTGGGCGTGGTGGCGGGAGCCTATAATCCCAGCTACTCGGGAGGCTGAGGCAGGAGAATTGCTTAAACCTGGGAGGCAGAGGTTGCAGTGAGCTGAGATCGTGCTATTGCACTCCTGCCTGGGTGACAGAGCGAGACTCCGTCTCAAAAAAAAAAAAAAGGCCCCTGTACTTCCCATGAAGTGAAGCAGCTCCTGCCCTCCCTGAACAGATCCTGGCGTCCACTCGCAGACAGAGGTGTCTTCCGAGAGGGAGCCCCACCCCGCAGAGCCCCAGCAGGCCTCGCCCACTGCACTGGTAGCTATGAGGGGCCGGGCGGCAGAACTCAGGCTCAGAGTGCACGCCGGATCCACAAGCAGCCCCCGCCACCTCCGCCCCAGCCAGGAGAGCAGACAGCCTACCTCGCCGCATGGCTTCCTGCTTCTGCACGGACTCCTCCTGCTTCCGTAAATTCTCCTCATTGAGAAGTTGCTGAGAAGAAGCCGCAGAAAAAGAGAAAAGCCTTTAAAACCAGAAAAATGCTCAACACCAATCCAGAGGTTGCGTCCGCCCCAGGACCACAGAACTCCAAGCGTCCTGGGCACCTGGGGACCTGCAGACGCCGCACCCTGACACAGACACGGGTGACATCGGCTGGGACGGCAGTCACTGAGGGGATGGGTTCAGGGTCCCAAACTCCCCAGTGGCAGAAACAGCCCCCACTGTGGCTTCCCTGACAAGGGCCACCGCGGGCCGACCTCCCAACACCACTGCCCTGATTCAGGCTGGGCTTAAGGAAGCTTCTGTCTTCCGCCAATTAAACGTTAAAGCTACAATGCCCACAACAGGCAACATGTGAACCCCGCCTGCGAGCTCAGGACTGAAGGTGACGGTCCCTAAGGACCAGGGAACAGATGTCACCCAAGCTTTTCTCATAGACCCAGAGACCCGCCCGCCGCCACTGACCAGCCCTCCCAAGCAGAACCTCCCAGACTGCCAGCTGGGCGCCCGGGTGGGAGACAAGGAGGCTTGTCGTGCCTGGAGAGCCGCTGCTGTGGAACCCACACAAGGGGTCTGTGTGTGGGGGTGTGCAGGGCGTGTGTGTGCATGCCCTCACGTGCAGTAATGTGTGTGTGCCCATGGGTGCGGGGGTGTGTGGGGGTGGGGGGTGGGGGTGTGCCCTCGTGTGCAGGTGCGTGCCCGTATGTATGAGGCACACTGTGAGTGGGGGTGCGTACACGTGCCCGTGTGTGTGTTTGCGGCGGTGTGCGCGTGTGCCCATGTGTGGGACTGTGTGCGTGCCCGTCTGTGCAAGGGGGTGTGTGCCTGGGTTGTGTATGTGTGCCTATGTGTGAGGGGGTGTGCGTGTGTCCATGCCTGTGTGTGTGTGTGGTGGGGTGTGCCCGTGTGTGCAGGTGGGTGTTTGTGCATGTCCGGGTGTGTGCGCGCCCGTGTGTGTGGGCGTGTGCATGCCCGTGTGGGGGTGTGTGTGCAGGCCCGTGTGTGCGGGGCGGTGTGTGCCTGTGTGAAGGGGTATGTGTGTGGGCTGTGTGAGCGGGCCCACGTGTGCGGGGGGGTGTGTAAGCCCCCATGTGTGCAGAGGGGTGTGCATGCCTATGTGTGATCGGGTGTGTGTGGGAGGTGCGTGCATGCCCCATGCGGGAGTGTGTGCCTGAGGACCCATGTGTGTTTGGGTGTGTCTGCATACCTGTGTGTGTGCGGGCTGTGTGAGCATGCCCCTGTGTGGGGGTGTATGTGCAGGCCTGTGTGCAGGGGTATGTG
The DNA here is from genome assembly GCF_000001405.40 of Homo sapiens. Classification (NCBI taxonomy): domain Eukaryota; kingdom Metazoa; phylum Chordata; class Mammalia; order Primates; family Hominidae; genus Homo; species Homo sapiens. The sequence goes on along the minus strand of NC_000001.11, from coordinate 1,479,576 downwards.
TGCCTGTGTTGTGGCGGGGTGTGTGTGTGCGTGCCCGTGTTGTGTGGGGGTGTGTTTGCGGGTGTCTGTCCATGCCCCTGTGTAGGGGTGTGTGCGCACAGGGGTGTGTGTGTGTGGGCCCATGTTTCCCCATGTGTGCAGGGGAGTGTGTGGGCCCGTGTGTGCAGGGGTGTGTGTGTGCCCATGTGTGCAGGGGTGTGTGTGCCTGTCTGCCGGGAGTGTGTGTGCGAGGAGTGTGTGTCTGTGTGGGCAGGTGCCTGTGTCTCCGTGTACATGTGTGCACACATCTGCATGTGTGCCTGTACACGTGTGCTGGTGCGTGTCTGTCCGAGTAGTTTCCCCTGCTCTAGCACCCACCGTCAGCAACCCCATCGTTCTTGCCCCGTGGCCTCTGACCCACTGACTGGTCCCACAAAGCCACCTACGTTCTCAGGGACGCAGGCGCCTCGCAGGGGAGGCTGAGCTCACCTGCTGCTTCAGTTGGTCCTCGTAGCGCTGCCGGGCCAGCTTGTCTTGATACTGGGCCCTCTGGGGGAGAAGAGGGCGGCAAAGACACATCTCAGCCGGGAGCTGCAGTCTGGGCCGACTGGGCGGAGCGCCGGGGACTCCGACGCGCCATCAGCCTCACACAAACGTGGGGAGGCGCGGGGACCTCCCGTCCGGCTCAGCAGTGAGGGACCTTACAGGTCTTAGGCGTTTGTGCAAGGCCGTTCCGAGGGCAGCTCTAATGGCTGACTCCAGAGTGCCCCGGGACCACACCCAGCTCCCAGTCCTGCCCCAGGCCGCTCCCCGCAGCCGGGCGGCCTCCCTCGCGGCCTCTTGCGCTCTTACGGCCTGGTGCTGCCGGGTCTCCTCGCTCAGGGTCTTCCTCCTCTCCTCAGCCTGCGCCCGGATCTGCTCGCTCTTGAGCTGCTCCACGGCGGCCTCATACTCCTGCAGAGCACAGCACTCACCAGCTGGCACTTGCTCAGGGCTGGCACTGCCTGACAGCCGCTCCTGTGTCTGCACAGCTCCGGCACGGCAGAGACTCCGTGCCCAGACTAGTGTGTGCAGCAGGTTCAGGGCTTCCAGCTGCATCTGCACCCAGGATCAGGCCCTGGAGGAATCCAGACCCACAGGCACAGAAGCACCAGCAGAGAAGCCTGCGAAGGCCCCCGGGGAGGGAGGTCAGACACCAACCCCACCCCACAAGGCTGTTTCTGGGCAGCTCCAGGCAGGTGCTCACTTTTGGACTGTGATGAGGGCAGAGCTCGTGCCCATTCTAGGAATCCTGCTGAGTGGGCCGGGCGCCATCGCTCTTGCCTATAATCCCAGCACTTTGTGAGGCCAAAGTGGCTGGATCACCTGAGGTCAGGAGTTCAAGACCAACCTGGACAACATGCTGAACCCCCTTCTCTACTAAAAATACAAAAATTCGCCAGATGTGGTGGCAGGCTCCTGTAGTCCCAGCTGCTCGGAAGGCTGAGGCAGGAGGTTGAACCCGGGAGGTGGAGGTTGCAGTGAGCCGAGATCAAACCATTGCACGCCAGACTGGGGGACAGAGTGACACTCTGTCTCAAAATAAAATAAAATAGGCCAGGCGTGGTGGCGCGTGCCTGTAATCCCAGCAGTTTGAGAGGCCGAGGCGGGTGGATCACCTGAGGTCGGGAGTTAGAGACCAGCCTGACCAACATGGAGAAACCCCGTCTCTACTAAAATACAACATTAGCCAGGCGTGGTGGCGCGTGCCTGTAATCCCAGCTACTCCAGAGGCTGAGGCAGATGAATCGCTTGAACCCGGGAGGCGGAGGTTGCAGTGAGCCGAGATTGCGCCATTGCACTCCAGCCTAGGCAAGAGTGAGACTCCGTTTCAAAATAAATAAAATAAAATAAAATAAAATAAAATAAAATAAAATAAAAAATCCTGCTGAGTGAAAAGAAATGAGGTGAGAATGTGAAGAAGACCCCCTCCCTCAGGACGACCAGATGCCCTCACCAACACCGGCCCTCCCTCAGGACGACCAGACGCCCTCACCAACACTGACCCTCCCTCTCGGGCGGCTCTGCGGCAGCGTCTCTCACCTCCCCTTGTTTCCCTCTGTGAAATGAGGCGCCCAAGCTCGGCCCTGGCCCCACTGCTGCCCATGTACACGCCCCTGGCCCTACCCACCAGTAGCAGCCCCACCAATCTCCACGCCTGAACCCCATGTGCGCCCCGGCCTCCTCGCCCACACCGGCCCCACTCACTTTGAGCTTGGACTGTTGCTCCAACTGCAGCGTCTGCTCCTGCATCTGCGCCAGATTCAGGGCCTCCTTGGCGTAACCTGCGGGCGCATGTGGCACGGAGAGCAGGTGTAGGATACACGGATACCAAAGCCTGGCCAACATGGTGAAACCCAACCTCTACTAAAAATACAAAAACCTAGTGGGAAGCGGTGGTTCACGCCTGTAATCCCAGCAACTCTGAGGCTCAGGTGGGAGGATGGCTTGAACCCCGGAGGCAGAGGCTACAGTCACCCAGATCACACTGCTGCACTCCAGCTGGACAGAGTGAGACTTAAGAAAAATAAAATCTCCAACCTGGCCAACATGGCGAAATCCTGTCTCCACTAAAAACACAAAAAAAAGCTGGGTGTGGTGGTGCACGCCTGTGATCTCAGCTACTGGGGAGGCCAAGGCTGGAGAATTGCTGGAACCTGGGAGGCAGAGCTTGCAGCGAGCCGAGATCGCACCACCGCACTCCAGCCGGGGCAACAGAGCGCAACTCCGTCTCTAAAAAAAAATTATTCTAGCAGGGCGTGGTGGCTCACGCCTGTAATCCCAGCACTTTGGGAGGCTGAGGCGGGTGGATCATGAGGTCAGGAGATCAAGACCATCCTGGTTAACACAGTGAAACCCCGTCTCTACTAAAAATACAAAAAATTAGCCGGGCGTGGCGGCGGGCACTTGTAGTCCTAGCTACTCAGGAGGCTGAGGCAGGAGAATGGCGTGAACCTGGGAGGCAGAGCTTGCAGTGAGCAGAGATCGAAGCAATGCACTCCAGCGGGGGAGACAGCAAGAGTCCGTCTCAAAAAAAAAAAAATTATTCTAACACAGAAAGACGTGTAAAGTAGGCAGGGACCCCCGATGCTCCTGGGTTGGTGCGTTGTTCCCGTCTCTCTTCCTCCCGCAGCCCGTCTCACTTTTTTAAGCCTTCAGAGTCAACTGCAGCAAACACGTCACTAACTAGAGCCCAGCGTCTGTTCTCAGCTCAGGTGTAATTTTTGGAGGTGACTGACGCAGGGGGAAGTGCCGTGGGGAGCACTCGTTGCATTTAGACAGAGGCAGCGACACTTTGGTGTTGGGGTGGGTCTGCTTGGGCCTGTGGTTAGGCACGAACTGGGCTGACGGGCATCAGCGTCACATTTCAGGAAGCGCCTTGGTAGCTAACCTCGGGGGCCCCAGTGAACAGAGCACAGATGAGACCGGGACCTGCCTCTCAGGGAAGACAGTGCCAGGTCAACGGGTTTGGCTGCTAAACTCGGGAAGCCAAGGGCTGAAGCGACCCCGGGCTCTCAACCACTCTCACTCTGACCCCGAGGGGACTGAGGGTGTGTCAGTCCCCCAGGGTCCTGCCACAGAGCAGTGACAGGAACGTGGGTGTCACGGTGAGGAGCTCTGCCTGTTTCCTCCCGAGGGGACCTTTGGCTGGATTAAGCTGAGGCCACTCCCTCCCCTGAAAATGGCTCATTGACAGTTCCTACCCCCAGTGACTCTGGGGAGGAGGAGAGGGGAAAGAGCAGGTCAGGTGCCCGTGTGGCCTCTCGGTTATTAGAATGAGAACAATCATTCACCACTTTGGTGTGACCCTGTGCCAGGGACGTGCGTCCCAGCGCGTGAATTCACACCCACAGGGCACGAGGCTCTCCTCCAGGCACCCCCTCTGTGGAGTGCAGGGCGAGCGCTGGTGCTCACAGACAGTTCTGGGATAATGTACTGCTGTGACTTCCAAGGACAGGCCGGAGGAGGGGTCAGGGCAGACTCTGGGAACGAGGCGGCATGGGGCTATAGCCTCAAGGGACAGAGGAGGCAGTCGGTGAGGAGGAGCCGCCCGTTTGCCTGGAGAGCAGCAAGGACAAAGCAACGGGCGAATCTCGGCGACCCCGCTGCCAGGAAAGGGGCACGGAGGAAGCCAGGAGCGTCGGGAGGGGCCGGGCTTGCAGAGGGGCTACCAGGCAGAGGGGCAGGGCAGGGGGCACCCGGGGAAAGGGGGCAGTCAACTCCGGAGAAACCTCTCTCACCCGCCAGCAGTGAGGCCAGGAAGGAGAGAAGGGATCAAAATGAAAGAGCCCACACCTGGAACACAATCCACAGAAACAAAAGCCTGATGGAGGGCTCCCCACGGTGCACCTGGAGACCCTGCCCCGGGCCCCGCTCCACCACAGAGAGGGCAGACCAAGGCACTGGCAACGCCGGCAGAGCGGACTGCGGGTCAGGAGCTCCGGGGCCGCCAGGACTGGAGCAACTCAGAGGCACAGGTCTGCACTATGGGGAGGCGGCCTGAGGCTGCTCAACCAGGCCTGTACCACTGCAGGGGGCCGCAGGCTGATCACTACGATTCAGCTTCTGGAAGTGGGAGAAGTTTCAATCTCTAAGTGAAGTTAGCGGGTGAAAACCCCCAGGAACTAGGACACAAAGGAACCCTCCAAATAAGCCTGCAGCAAGAAAGTCAGTCACCAACATCCGCTGTCCTCCGAGGTGCCCTGAAGTCCAGCCCTTGATTCCCATCCTAACCTGATCGTTAAAATTACCGAGGAAGGCCATGAGCAGCGGCTCACGCCTGTCATCCCAGCGCTTTGGGAGGCCGAGGTGGGCGAATCACCTGAGGCCAGAATTCAAGACCAGCCTAAACAACATGGTGAAACCCCGTCTCTAGTAAAAAAACACAAAAATTAGCCAGGTGTGCTGGCGGGCGCCTGTGATCCCAGCTACTCGGGAGGCTGAGGCAGGAGAATCGCTTGAACCCCAAAGGCAAAGGTTGCAGTGAGCAGAGATGATGCCACTGCATTCCAGCCTGGGCGGCAGAGCCAGACTCAGTCTCAAAAACACACAGAAAAATTACGGAGCAAAGCCGGGCGCGGTGGCTCACGTCTGTAATCCCAGCACTTTGGGTGGCCGAGGCGGGTGGATCACGGGGTCAGGAGATCGAGACCATTCTGGCTAACATGGTGAAAACCGGTCTCTAAAAAAAATACAAAAAATTAGCCGGGCGTGGCGGCGGGCACTTGTAGTCCCAGCTACTCGGGAGGCTGAGGCAGGAGAATGGCGTGTACCCAGGAGGCGGAGCTTGCAGTGAGCCGTGATCACGCCACTGCACTCCAGCCTGGGCGACAGCGAGACTCCGTCAAAAAAAAAAAGAAAAAAAGAAAAGAAAAAAGAAAAATTACCGAGCAAGCCTGCAGTCCCCTCTCCTCAGGAGGCTGAGACGGTTGGACGGCTTTTACCCAGGAGGTCAAGGCCAGACTGGGCGACAAAGCAAGACCCCATCTCTTCAAAACAGAACACGCACTGTCGGTGGTGCCCAGCTAGGACTATCCATGTTAGCCTGGGCCTGGGCCCAAACCTGAATGTCCCTCTGGGGTTATGAGACCCAGCCGGGGCCAGAAACCTCAGCTCAGGATGTTCCCCAGCACCCCGGGGAAGGGCACAGGATGGAACCACAAGTACCACCAGGCCATCCCTCCTTAAACAGGGAAACTCTGTTTATATCTGCTTCACACCAGGGATTCCCTAAATGATCTTCTTTCTAAAAAGGAACCCCTGCTGGCAGGGTGCGGTGGCTCAGGACTGTAATCTCATCACTTTGGGAGGTCGAGGCGGGTGGATCACGGGGTCAGGTGGTCAAGACCACCCTGGCCAAGGTGGTGAAACCACGTCTCTACTAAAAATACAAAAATTAGCTGGGCGTGGTGGCGCGTGCCTGTAATCCCAGCTACTTGGGAGGCTGAGGCAGCAGAATTCTTTGAACCAGGGCGTTGCGGTTTGCAGTGAGACAAGATGGCGCCATTGCACTCCAGCCTGGCCAAAGAGCAAGACATCATCTTAAAAAAAAAAAGGTGGCATGCGGTGGCTCACGCCTGTAATCCCAGCACTTTGGGAGGCCGAGGCGGGTGGACCACGAGGTCAGGAGATCGAGACCACCCTGGCTAATACAGTGAAACCCCGTCTCTACTAAAAATACAAAAAATTAATCACGAGGTCAGGAGATCGAGACCATCCTGGCTAACACGGTGAAACCCCATCTCTACAAAATTAGCCGGGCGTGGTGGCGGGCGCCTGTACTCCCAGCTATTCGGGAGGCTGAGGCAGGAGAATGGTGTGAACACGGGAGGCGGAGCTTGCAGTGAGTGGAGATCACGTCACTGCACTCCAGCCTGGGCGACAGAGCGAGACTCATCTCAAAAAAAAAAAAAAAAAAAAAAAAGGAATCCCTTCTGTCTGGGCGCTGTGGCTCAGGCCTGTAATCCCAACACTTCAGGAGGACAAGGCGGGCGGATCACGAGGTCAGGAGTTGGAGAGCACCCTGGCCAACATGGTGAAACCCGTCTCTACTAAAGATACAAAAAAAATTAGCCGGGCGTGGTGCTGCGCGGCTGTAATCCCAGCTACTCGAGAGGCTGCGGCAGGAGAATCGGAGGCGGAGGTTGCAGGGAGCCGAAATCGCACCACTGCACTCCAGCCTCGGCGACAGGGCGATACTGTGTCTCAATATATAAATAAATAGAAAGAACCCCGGCTTAAACAAGAGTTGAGAACCACTGTATTCTTTCAATGAATTCAGCACCTTCTACGTTCCAGACTCCTAGCCATTTGAACTGCATCGTGCTACAAATCGTTAAAGCCACAGGGGAAAGGAAGGCTGGGGGAAGAGACCCGAGCTTAGGGAAGGTGCAGTCAGTGCTCACACCCTGAGGGCCTTGGGTCAGGGGTTTACTCAAGCTGAGCAGCACGGCCTGGCCTGTGGCTTCACAGACCTCGCCGTGCAAATGCTAACGTCTTCCAACAAGAAGTGCAAATCTGCTAGTCTCGTTAGAATCAAGTAACTCTCAAATACGCTTCCCTTGTTACGTGGAAACTGCTAGCAACCACCCAACAAACCCATCTACCCATCTGGCCACGCCTTGGCCTGTGCCACGTGGAGGCGGCAAGCGCAGAAGGATCCCGCACGCTCGGCGGTAACTGAAGACCACGGCCAGCCCCAGACCCTGACCCCTGTAACCTATGAGCGCCACCTCCGCACCGCTTTTCGCACCTGACCCGCTCCTGACAGCTGCAGAGGTGCAAACGGGTGACGGAAAGAGTCCGATCCTCCCGGCACGCGAGACGGCTCCGGCCGGGGGTGCTCCGGGGGCGCAGTCTCGCCCGGGAAGTGGCTGCCGACAGCAGCGAGGAGCGGCAAGGGCCAGGGCTCCCGCTTCCCCGGCCCGTCCCGCCCGCCCGCCCGCCCCGCCCCGCCCCGCCGCACTCACGCGAGTGCTCCAGCTCGCGCGCCGCCTTGGCGGCGCGCTCCAGGCCGGTGGGGTCGAAGTTGCTCCATTTGTCCTTGGGCGCCGGCCGGTCTCCCAAACCGCGGTCCCCGCCGCCCTCGGCCCCGGGCTGCGCGGGCGGCAAAGGCGGCGGCGGCCCCGCGCCTTCACCCTTGGGGCCCTTGTTAACGCCGAAGAGCCACGACATGCTCGCACCGCCGCCGCCGCTACCGCCGCCGGGACCCCCACCCGAGTCTGACTCGGGCGCGGCTGGGAGCAGCCTCCACGCGCCGCGAGCCGGTGGCCAGGACCACTGCGCAGGCGAAACACACACCCCTTCCTCCCGGCGACGGAAATGCGTAAGGGACACGCGCGCAGCCCTTGGATTGGCCGCGAGGGCAGTGACGCCATAGCGACGGCGCCGCAATTTAGGAGCGTGCTCCGGGGCGGCGGGAACCGGGGTGAGCGGGCGGAGGGCGGGGGGCGTGGTGAAGCGTCTGGGTACCGGAGCCGCACCGGGACAAAACTCCGGAGGGGAGTACTCGAACCCGGCGCAACGTCAGTCCCGGCCCGCAGCCGCGTCGGCACCACCCCGGAGCCCACGGTTCACGCGCTCGCGGCGGCCCCGACTCTCTCCTTGATAGGAATGGTTGACTTCACAGAATTATATGGAGTGACTCGTCCCACTGGATTGGAAACTATTTTAAGCCTGAATAATGTTATATACAATGAATTCTAAATTTCCCTTCAAAGAACCGGTATGTCAGTATGTTCAGTCTTTGTTCTGCATTTTAAAGTCTAACTTCCTCGCAGTTGCAATAAACAACTTTTTCCACCAGTTCTAATCAGTAGTTCATGTCATGTGCGTCCATGTAAAGAGTCCACCAAACAGGTTTTGTGTGAGCAGTAAGGCTGTTTATTTCACCTGGGTGCAGGCGGGCTGAGTCCCAAGAGTCGACGAAGGGAGATAGGGGTGGGGCCGTTTTCTAGGATTTGGGTGGGTAATGGAAAATGACAAAGGGCGTTTTTCTCTTGCAGGCAGGGGCGGGGGTCACAAGGTGCTCAGTTGGGGGAGCTTCTGAGCCAGGAAGTTAAGGTGGGGCAAGAACAAATCACAATGGTGGAATGCCATCACCTAAGGCAGGAACCAGCCATTTTCACTTATTTTGTGATTCTTCACTTGCTTCAGGCCATCTGGACGTATACGTGCAGGCTTGGGCTCAGAGGACTGACAGTTCACATCTGTTCCCCTGGTCATCTGCTTTGACCTGAGTCACCTTTAGTTACCCGTCCCATAACTGTTTTTCCTGCCAAACCACTCACCCCGCCACTCTGGCCCATACTCCTGCTCTCTTTAAAGCCAATGGGCATTACTTTAGACTGCGGTCTAACCCTAGCCAATAGGGGAACCACACAGCAGTAGGGGCTACCCGCGTCAGGAATAAGAACCCCTTCCCCTCCCTTGTCCAAGCGCTTGCCATTGCTCCATCTATGAGACCCCCCCTTCTATAGAAGTAAATTATCTAGCTGAGAAAACTTTATATTCGAGTTCTACTTCTTTGGTGGCACAGAAAATTTACATATAACACAGCTGCAGAGATCTCATCACTGCACTCCAGTCTGGGCGACAGTGAGACTCTGTCTCAAAAAAAAAAAAAAAAAAAAAAGCCAGAAAATGCCAGCCAGGCACAATGGCTCACACCCATAATCCCAGCACTTTGGGAGGCCGAGGTGGGCAGATCACCTGAAAACAGGAGTTTGAGACCAGCCTGGCCAACATGGTGAAACCCCCGTCTCTGCCAAAAATACAAAAATTAACCTGGGCATGGTGGCATGCGCCTGTAATCCCAGCTACTCCAGACGTTTAGGCATGAAAATTGCTTGAACCCTGTGTCATGTGCATCTGTGTGAAGAGACAACCAAACAGGCTTTGTGTGAGCAACAAGGCTGTTTATTTCACCTGGGTGCAGGCGGGCTGAGTTCAAAAAGAGAGTCAGCAAAGGGTGGTGGGATTATCACTAGTTCTTACAGGTTTTGGGATAGGCGGTGGAGTTAGGGACAATGTTTTGCGGGCAGGGGATGGATCTCACAAAGTACATTCTCAAGGGTGGGGAGAATGACAAAGAACCTTCTTAAGGGTGGGGGAGATTGCAAAGTACATTGATCAGCTAGGGTGGGGCAGAAACAAATCACAATGGTGGAATGTCATCAGTTAAGGCTCTTTTCACTTATTTTGTGGATCTTCAGTTGCTTCAGGCCATCTGGATGTATAAGTGCAGGTCACAGGAGATATGATGGCTTAGCTTGGGCCCAGAGGCCTGACACCCTGAAGGTGGAGGTTGCAGTGAGCCGAGATCACACCACTGCACTCCACCCTGGGCGAGCAAGACTCTATTGCCAAAAAAAAAAAAAAAACAGACCAGGCACGGTGGCTCAAGCCTGTAATCCCAACACTTTAGGAAGCCGAGGCAGGAGGATTGCTTGAGCCCAGGAGTTGGAGACCAGCCTGGGCAACAAAGGGACCCTGTCTCTACCCAAAAAAATAAGAGAGGAGAAAAACCAAATGAGTTCCCCAGCCATAGTCAGACGCCCCTGACCCCCACCCCCACCCCATGGCTGTAATCAAGGTTTTGGTTATTTAGAGGTACAGTCTCACTCTATCATCCAGGCTGGAGTGCAATGGTGCGATCTTGGCTCACTGCAACCTCTGCCTCCCATGCTCAGGCGATCCTCCTACCTCAGCCTCCAAGCCAAGAAGCTGGGACCACCGGCATGTGCCACCTGGCCCTTTTTTTTTTTTTTTTTTTAGAGGGAGTTTGACTCTTGTTGCCCATGCTGCAGTGCAATTCCATGGTCTCAGCTCAGTGCAACCTCCACTTCCCGGGCTCAAGTGATTCTCCTGCCTCAGCCTCCTGAGTACCTGGGATTTCAGGCACTTGCCACCACGGCCGGCTAATTTTTTTTTTTTTTTTTTTTTTTTTTTTTTTTTTTTTAGGAGAGATGGAGTTTCACCATGTTGGCCAGGCTGGTCTGGAACTCCCGACCTCAGGTGATCCACTCTCCTTGGCCTCGCTGAGATTCCAGGCGTGAGCCACCGCGCCCAGCCCCATCATCAAGGTTTGCAGGGACTAGCTGCAAAGCGCGGGCAGGGGCGGCATCTATTTGAAGCCGCTGTGTCTGTTTCGCGTGCACTTCCCTCCACCGTGTGTCTGGCCACAGGCAGCTCTGGCGGAGGGGAGGGAGGCGAAGGGGCACCCGCGTATGCACGGCCTCAGGATGGGGCACGGGCACCCGGCCCCGCCGTGGCAGCCACCTCCTGTGAAGCCCACCCCTCTGTGGTTAAATCCTCCAGAAAGCCCCAGCTTCTGCCTTTTCTGTCACCTTTGACCCCAGGGGGACGTTAGGGGGCCCCAAACCCCGCCCCGTGTCAGCCAATAGACACAGCGGTGCGGCCCCCGTGGGACTTTATTACGGGGAGTATTTCCTAAATGTGCGGGGCCGCAAAGGCAGGGGTGGGAGGGGTCCGCGGCCAGGCTCCGTGAGGTGTGGTCTCCCCATGGACTCAGGATGAGGGTTGCTCGTCCTCGGGCCCAGGCCTCTCCCCCTTCAGCCAGCGCATCATCTGCTGGTGCTGCTGGACAAAGTCTTGCACGCAGGCGTCCATCATGGCCTCGGTCAGGACCCCGTCCTTGGAGGCATACGCCGTGGCCTAGTGGGGAGAGAGGGAGCTGAGGGAGGCCGCCATGGGAACCCCCCACCCCAAATGCACGCCAGGGCCCTGAGGTGGGGAGGGACCAAACCAGGGGCTCCAGGATGGCCTGAGCGTGAAACACAGGCTACCCGCACCTCGGCAGAGCCCAGCACGTGTGTGGACACCGGGGGCAGCCCCTGCAGTGCCCACAGCCCTGCCTGCGTCCTCAGCACCAATGTTGCTCAATGACTTTCTAATAGAAAGCCCAAGGCGGAGCCTCACTGACGGCCGACCCAGGGCAGCTTCCCAGAGGCAGGTGGGAACTGCAGACCCTCTGCGTGTCTCAGCCGTGGTCAGGCAGTGCCCCCGGGTCATAGTGCACCTCAGACCCTCAGACCCTGACCCTCACAGGCCTCCAGGGCAGAGGCAGCCACTGCCCACCTTGAGGCACGTGGCTGGTGGCACCAAGGCCACCTCTGCCCCCACCTCCCTGTCCTCCTGGGCACAGGGCTTGGCATCTAGCATGTGAAGGCTGGAGCTGCTGGGGCTGTGGCCCTTGGTGTGGCTTCAGGCAGCCTCAGGTCCAGCCCTTCTGCCATGGACAGGTCACTCTCCATCCCAATGCCAGCAAAGGGCATGGAGTCCCCAAGGGGAGGCACCCATGGGTCAGGGTGAGGGTGTGGGGACCCCCACTGGGCGCCATGCTCAAGAGCGCACCAGGACGCCTGGAGGAAGCACAGGGCAGGGGACCCTTCCCGGACAGCTGAGCGGGTCCCTAGCCCCATCCCAGCTATGCCTCCCAGAGGCAGGATTCATCTCACGGGGTGCAGGGGCAGCAGCACACCATCCTCCCACAACACCGTCACCACGATAGAACCTGCCATGGGGATGACCACGTGGTGCCCGTCCCCTCTGCCAGCGCCCATCCCTCACCAAGAGCCACTGTGTGGGGAGACACTGACCGGAGCCGGACCACCACTGTGGGTCGGGGGCCCGGGAGCGCAGGAGACACTGACCGGAGCCGGACCGCCACTGTGGCTCAGGGGCCCAGGACTGCTCAACATCATTTTTGGTCTTGAGCCCACCCAAGAGAGGGCAAACAGGTGCAGGGACCCTCAGGGTCCACCCGAGTGGCTGCACCTCACCCAGGGCCCAGCAGAGGAAAGGGGGTGAGCAGATGCTCACGGAGCCACCCCTCCAGGAAGCACGGGACCTGGCAGGAGCCCACCAGAAGTGACAGCTAAATGTCACGTGGCCTCCTGGGTGGGATTCTGGGGCAAAACCTGGTCGCGGGTGGGTCCAACAGTGACACATGATGTTCACCACGTGGCAAGGTCCCAGGCCCAGGAAGTCTCTGTGCTACTCTTGCAACTTTTCTGGGAACCTAAAATCTTCAAACTATAAAAGTTGAAAGACAAGACCTGGACCTGATGTCTTCACATGTGAATTCACAAAACATTAAGAAGAATCAGTACCACTCCTCAAACTCTTGGACAAATTGAAGAACATTTCCTCACTCATCCTAAGAGGCCAGCATTACCCTCATATCAAAGCCAAAGACACCACAAGAAAAATGACATGCCAATATCCCTGATGAGCATCGTTGGAAAAGTCGTCAAGAAAATGCCAGCAAAACGAATTCAGGAGTATAATAAAAGGATTCCACACCCTGACCAAGCAGGATTTATTCCTGGAATGCAAGGACAGTTCAACATATGAAAATCAATCAATGTTCCACATACAAAATGTTCAACATACAAAAATCAGTCAATATTAGCAGAGTGGAGGAAGGAAACCACATGACCCTCTCAACTGTTGCAGGAAAAACATTTGGCCAAATACAATTTTTTTTTTTTTTTTTTTTTTGAGATGACATCTCCTTCTGTCACCCAGGCATCTCGGCTCACTGCAACCTCCACCTCCCGGGTTCACGCCATTCTCTTGCCTCAGCCACCTGAGTAGCTGGGACTACAGGCACCCGCCACCACACCCAGCTAATTTTTTATATTTTTTAGTAGAGACAGGGTTTCACCATGTTAGCCAGGCCAGGATGGTCTCAGTCTCCTGACCTCATGACCCACCCGCCTCAGCCTCCCAATATGCTGGGATTACAGGCGTGAGCCACCGCGCCCAGCCATTTTTTTTTTTTTTTTTTTTTTGAGACAGAAGTTTGCTCTTCTTGCCCAGGCTGGGGTGCAATGGCAGGATCTCGGCTCACCGCAACCTCTGCTTGCCGCATTCATGCGATTCTCCTGCCTCAGCTTCCCAAGTAGCTGGGATTATGGGTATGCACCACCACGCCCAACTAATTTTGTATTTTTAGTAGAGTCGGGGTTTCTCCATGTTGGTCAGGCTGGCCTCGAACTGCCGACCTCAGGTGATCCACCCACCTCACACTTTTATGATAAAAACACTCACCAAACCAAGAATTGAAGGACACGCCCTAAACACAATGAAGACCATATATCACAAGCCCACAGGTGACATACTCAGTGGTGAAAAACTGGCAGCTTTTCCTCTGAGTAAGGAACCAGGCAAGAATGCTTTACTGCTTCTATTCCACATACCACTGGAAGTTGTGGCCAGGGCCATTAGACAAGAAAAAGAAAAGTCATCCAAACTGAAAAGGGAGAGGTAAAATCACCTGTTCTCAGATGATATAATCTTATATGTAGAAAATCCTAGAATCCATATTGGAAAAAACAACCCTGTGACATCAGCAAAGTTACAGGATACAAAATCAACAGCAAAAACAGCTGCAATTCTACATACTAACAATGAATAATCTTTTTTTTTTTTTTTTTTTTTTTTTAAAGACAGTCTTGCTCTGTCGCCCAGGCTGGAGTGCAGTGGCACGATCTCGGCTCACTGCAAGCTCCGCCTCCAGGATTCACCCCATTCTCCTGCCTCAGCCTCCCGAGTAGCTGGGACTACAGGCACCTGCCGCCACGCCCGGCTAATTTTTTGTATTTTTAGCAGAGATGGGGTTTCACCATGTTAGCCAGGATGGTCTCAATCTCCTGACCTTGTGATCCACCCACCTCAGCCTCCCAAAGTGCTGGGATTAAAGGCATGAGCCACCGCGCCTGGCCCACAATGAATAATCTGAAAGGGAAATTATGAAACCATTTCCATTTACAATAGCATCCGAAAGAATAAAATACTTTGAAATTCACTTGACCGAGAAGGTGAAAGACTTGCACAGTGAAAACTGACCGGGCTCCGTGGCCCACACCTGAATGAATCCCAGCACTTTGGGAGGCTGAGGCGGGCAGATCACCTCATGTCAGGAGACCGAGACCAGCCTGGCCAACATGGTGAAACCCCGTCTCTACTAAAAATACAAAAATTAGCCGGGCATGTTGGCGCGTGCCTGTAATCCCAGCTACTCAGGAGGCTGAGTCAGGAGAATCACTTTAACCCGGGAGGCGGAGGTTGCAGTGAGTTAAGATCGCAACACTGCACTCCAGCCTGGGCGACAGAGCGAGACTCAGTCTCAAAAAGACAAAAAGAGAAAACCACACAATATTGCTGAGAGACATCAAAGCAACATAGAGACTAAATGCAATCCCTGTGAAAACCTCAATTATGTTTTACAAAAATAGGAAAACCATTCCTAAAATTCATATGGAATCTCAAGGGATCCTGAATAGCCCAGACTGGAGTTCAATGGCACCATCTCAGCTCACTGGAACCTCCGCCTCCAGGGTTCAAGTGATTCTCATGCCTCAGCCTCCTGAGTAGCTGGGATTACAGTCACACACCACCACGCCCAGCTAAGTTTCGTATTTTTAGTAGAGACGGGGTTTCACCATGTTGGCCAGGCTGGTCTTGAACTCCTGACCTCAGGCAATCCACCCACCTCAGCTTCCCAAAGTGCTGGGATTACAGGCGTGAGCCACCGTGCCCGGCACAAAAAGAAAAAAACTCTTGAAGGACAAAGTTGGTGCTGGGCGTGTTGGCTCACCACCACCGCTGTGAGCAGTGCAGGATGAGTGTCCTTATAAGGGACACCAGAGAGAGCTGAGTTGCTCTCTCTGCCACATGAGGACCCAGCAAAGAACACTCCACAGGGAGGGACCGAGCTGGCACCCTGACCTTGGGCCTGTAGCCTTCAGAGCTGTGGGCACACACGCCCCAGTGGTTATGGCAGGCCCAGCAGTCGACCACACTCCTGTTCTTTTTTTTTTTTTTTTTGAGACAGTCTCACTCTGTTGCTCAGGCTGAAGTACAGTGGCACGATCTCGGCTCACCACAACCTCCACCTCCTGGGTTCAAGCGATTCTCCTGCCTCAGCCTCCCGAGTAGCTGAGAATACAGGCATGCACCACCACCATGCCCGACCAATTTTTGTATTTTTAGTAGAGGTGGAGTTCGACATGTTGGCCAGGCTGGTCTCGAACTCCTGGCCTCAAGTGATTCTCTCTCCTTGGCCTCCCAGCATGCTGGGATTACAGGCATAAGCCATGACCAAATTATTCTTATTTTTTAAGACAGGGTCTCACTCTGTAACCCAGGCTGGAGTGCAGTGGCACAATCACAGCTCACTGCAGCCTCCGCCTCCTGGACTCAAGTGATCCTCCCACCTCAGCCTCCCAAGCAGCTGGCATCACAGGTATGCACCACTAGGTCTAGCTAATTTTTTTTATTTTTTGTAGAGATGGGTTCTTGACTTGCTTTCCAGGCTGGTCCTGAACTCCTGGTTTCAAATAATCTGGCTGACTTGACCTCCCCAAATGCTGGGAATACAAGCATCAGCCACCACCATGCCCGGCCTCTGCTTTCTTAGTTGTGGAAACAGACCTGGTCCCAAGTGGGGATGGCCTGGAACAGAGACCTCAGCTGACCCAGAAGGACGGGGTTTGAGATCTGGGGTTCTTTGTCACAGCGGCATAACCCAGCCTGTACTGACTAATACAGCTCCCTACATACCCCGGCTCCTACGTTCAAATCAAGGTAGTTGGCTACTTCATTAAGCTGTCACACATAATGTGCTGCTAGATCGAGTGACCAGATTGTCACACAGACTCTGTGGACCCCAGAGGCAGCGATGCCTGTGCATGGCCAGGGTGCCTTCTGCCCCACAGACCTGGTTTTGCTTTTCCAGCAACCCCCAAAGACCAAAGCTTTCTGGATGGCCGTGCCCACACTCCTGTGAGTCCCAGCTCCTTGGCCCTGGGGCAGCCATGGAGCTGCAGGAGGGGTGCCCCTGAGAAACAACTGGCTGTGGGACAATCAGAGGCCACAACTCCCACCCATGTGTCTGGGCCCGTCAAGCAGGACCAAGCCAATGGACTTGGTCCAAGAAACACAACGTCCCTCCACCCCCACCACCAAACTCACAAGGGGCCTGTCCTGATGACCATTCACACTGGGGGGTGCCTGTCTGCCAAGGTGAGCATCAGAAGCCTCCCGCCCCACCTGGCAGAGCCCGGGCTACTAGGAGGCCGCACTGGCTTCCTGACCTGTGACCGTCAGCCACTGACATGGCCCCACCCTTCTTGCTGGAGCAGGTGCACGCTGCTGCGTGGAGTGGCCCAACTGGGGCAGGGGCCCCGTGTCACATCTGTGCACTGAAAACCCCTCAACAGAAGCTCCCACGTGACACCGGTGCTGGGACAGGCCTGGCGCAACCAAGCATCTGCACAGCAGCTGGGCTTCCATCTGGGTGGGTGCACCCGAGCCTGACTCACCTGCCAGGACACGGCCAGCTGTGCGATCTTCCGGCATGACATGCCCTCTGTCAGCCGAGCGATCTCTAAGCACTTCCTCCCGTAGTCAAACTGGGCCAGCTTCAGACGCCTGGGGAAGGAGTTCCCAAGTGGGCCGGCCAAGGCAGCAGCTCCCACACCACGAGGTGGAGGCCGGAAGACAGGCAGCCAGGCGGACACCCATGCCAGATGCCCCCTTGAGAGGGACTCTCTACCTGTGACAGCCAAGTTCCGCCCCCTTCCTGACGCAAGCCAGGCCTGGGCTGAGCAGGAAGGGGGCGGCTGTGGGGCCTGGAGATGGCCGCACCCCTTCCTAACACCAGCCCTGTCCACTCAGCACCCACAGGGCGCATGGCCGTTAAACTGGCAGTGGCAGAGCCCTGAGTTCTAGCAAAAAAGCTTCTGCCTGGAGGCCACAGAAGCCAGGTCATGGTGCCAGAGCTACGAGCAGCCATGGGTGTCGGGGAGCCCAGGGAAGGGGAGGGCATAGGGAAACTGAGACCCGGAAAGCTGGTCTAGCATGGAGCAGGCGGCAGTGGAGGGGTCGGCAGGGGAGAACCAGGCTCTCTTTGGAACAGAGCAGCTTTTGTCGTCACTGGCGACAGCAGGGATTTGGGTCAGGTGCACAGAAGGACTCAGAAACCGGGGCCCTGGGGACGCCAAGAAGTAGAGCAGCCTCTGCTCATCTGGAGTGTTCCCGAGGCAGCCAGTGTGAGGCGCCAGGGCCCCTCATCACCTGGAGGGCTCTGCCCACCGTGCCTGCTGCACCCACCGCCAGCAACAGGGAGCCTGACAGCCTCAAGGCACATGTGCAGCAGGAAGCAAGAGCCGCGCCCCACACCACGAGGCTCCAGGGCCGGGTGTGGCAGCTGCAGGGAGGCCAGGCCAGAAGCCAGCAGTGGACCATGAGGAGCCTCTCCCTCTAGTCCCGACATGGGGGTCTCATGAGGAGCCTCTCCCTCCAATCCCTACATGGGGGTCTCATGAGGAGCCTCTCCCTCCAGTCCCTACATGGGGGTCTCATGAGGAGCCTCTCCCTCCAGTCCCTACATGGGGGTCTCATGAGGAGACTCTCCTTCGAATTCCGACATGGGGGTCTCAGAGCAACACTCCACGTCACCTCCCCTCACTGCCAGGGTCTGGGGGTGGCCAGGTACAGGATTTCCTCACAGCTCTCCGCGTAGTGAAGAGGAACGTAAAAGAGGCCGGGCACAGTGGCTCACATCTGTAATCCCTGCACTTTGGGAGGCTGAAGCGGGCGGATCACCTGAGGTCAGGGGTTCAAGACCAGCCTGGCCAACATGGTGAAACCGCATCTCCACAAAAAATACGAAAAGTAGCCAGACGTGGTCGTGGGCACCTATAATGCCAGCTACTCAGGAGGCTGATGCAGGAGAATCGCGTGAATCCAGGAGGCAGGGGTTGCAGTCAGCTGAGATCGTGCCACTGCACTCCAGCCTGGGGGACAAGAGCGAGACTTCGCCTCAAAAAAAAAAATGTTAAAGGTTTGTAAGTGATAGTGGACTGTGCCTCCAAACCAGAAGACACGCCACCAGGCTGTTCTCAGGTGGGGATGAGGAAAGGGTGGCAGGACCTCCCTGGATGCGGCCTCTGGGACCCTTGGGGCCCACAGGGCTCCTGCACGAAACCGCAGGGCAGGGAGGTGGTGCCCATCCTGGAGACAGGGCCTGCTGGGTGTGTCCGGAGAACAGGAGCAGGGGTGGACCCTGAGCGAGGGCCCCTGGACGGGGGCTGGTGGGGCGGGACACTTACCGCTTTCCTTCTGTGGCCGGCTTAAGAACATACTCGTTAAGATACATTCTCACCAGGCGCGCCCGCTCCTCCTGCCCTGGCAGGTCGAAGTGGACCATCACGTCGATGCAGGCATTGATGGCCCAGTCGAACTGCTCGGGGTGGCAGCTGGCCAGGATCAGCATGAATCTGCGGGGCGGGGATGGGGAAGGAAACGCTGGGGCTGCCGGCCGAGCTGTCCCCAGGGGAACAGGTGCTCCTCAGCCCCCTCAGGAAGACTTTCTGGGAGAATCTAAAGTGGCAGCTTGTGAGCACAGGAAACATGGGGAGAACGCAGCCACAGCCATGGTCACCCGCCTGCCTGCCCCACCACGCCCAGCTGTCCCCCTGCCCGGCTTCCTGGGCCTCTGTTCTTGCCCCGTGTGGTACTTCCCCGCTGACCGTCGCCCAGCCTGATAGGCAGTGCCGGGAACACCACTCCCTCCTGCTACCTGAGCCCCGCTGTGCTGGGAGCAGGGATGCGGGACCCAGAGTCCATGTCAAGATTGTGGCCACGCTGGCCAGACGCAGTGGCTCACGCCTATAATCCCAGCACTTTGGGAGGCCGAGGCGGGTGGGTCACCTGAGGTCTGGAGTTCAACACCAGCTGACTAACATGGTGAAACCCCATCTCTACTAAAAAAGAAAAAATACAAAAAATCAGCCGGGTGTGGTGGCGCACGCCTGTCATCCCAGCCACTTGGGAGGCTGAGGTAGGAGAATCGCTTGAACCCAGGAGGTGGAGGTTGCAGTGAGCCAAGATCACGCCATTGCACCTCAGCCTGGGCAGAAAAAGCAAAAACTCCATCTCAAAAAAAAAAAAAAAAAAATACTGCCACGCGAGCCAGGAGCAGGACCTCGGGGGCCCGGGTTCACTGGAGGCTCAGCAGGGCCCCAGCCTTGCCTCTCTGGGAAGGACCCGAGTCAGGGCTCCAGGGAGCGTCTACCGGCAGCAGCTGACCCAGGAGCCCAACGTGCCTGAGGAGTCAGCCACGGCCGACCAGCAGGACTTGATCCTCCATGTGACACGTGACTGGGGCTGGAGGGACCCAGGAGACCAAGAAAACTCAAAATTAGGGGACTTGGGAGGGACTAGGGAGACTGGCCATGGGGCGGTCACCCTATGGGGGACATCTGGGCGGCAGCCCACAGAGGCCACACAAAGTCGGGTGGGCCCCAAGCCTGGAGGGTGCACCCTTGGCCAGCATCCGGGCGGGGGACCAAGGTCCCAGGTTCCGCCCCGACACACAGGACCTGCTGGTGTCCAACTTCCCGTGGGAGCAAACTTGTCTCCATCTCCCACCCCAGGGCACACACACCCTCCAAGGGAGACCCAGCAGAGCCTCACACGATGAGACCACCTCCCTTGCAGGCACAGGACCGCAGAAACCTAGGGGCAGAGGGACCTGCAAGCTGGGGCGGCGGTGCACAGGGCCGTGAGGACAGGACTGACCCCAGCTCTGCCCGGGAGGCCCCCGCATGTTCCTCAGTGACACCCCGTGCTGTCCTGAGCTGGGCCGTTCCCAGGGGACATCCAAGGTGGGCACGTTGAGGCCACGGCAGCTGCCCAGCACTGTGAGCCAGGGCCCCTCAGGTCCCTCGGTGGGAACCAAGGGTGACGGCTGCACAGCCCTGCCCGGGGGCCCAGGACCCGAGGGGCTCCCTCACTTGTTGCTGTGCTGGCCCGTGCGGTACAGGAAGGCGTTCAGTGTGGCCCTGAGGTCCTCGCTTATCTTCTCCTGCAGAGAGAAGGTTCCAGCCTTAGGCACCAGGAGCAAAGCCTTGTAAACAGCCACAGCAGAAAGTCCCACAGGCCTCCCTCCTGCAGGGAGCAGGGACATGGCGACACTTTCACGGATCTAGACTCAAAAGCCTGACCAGGGCCAGGGGCGGTGACTCACGAATGTAACCTGGATTTTGGGAGGCTGAGGCAGGCAGATCACACGAGGTTGGGAGTTTGAGACCATCCTGGCCAACATGGTGAGACCCCGTCTCTACTAAAAATACAAAAATTAGCCAGGCGTGGTGGCACACCTGTGGTCCCAGCTACGTGGGAGGCTGAGGCACGAGAATCACTTAAACCTGGGAGGCAGAGGTTGCAGCGAGCTGAAATGGCACCGCTGCACTCCAGCATGGGCGACAGAGTGAGACTGTCTCAAAAAAAAAAAACAAACCCTGACTGGGCGTGGGGGCTCATGACTGTAATCCCAGAACTTCAGAAGGTCAAGGCAAGAGCATCTCTTTAGCTCAGAAGTTCGAGCCCAGCCTGGGCAACAAGGGGAAACTCCATCTCTACTAACATTACAAAAAAGTTAGCTGGGGCCTGGCGCGGTGGCTCACGCCTGTAATCCTAGCACTTTGGGAGGCCGAGGTAGGCAGATCACCTGAGGTCGGGAGTTCGGGACTAGCCTGACCGGCATGGAGAAACCCAGTCTCTAGTAAAAAAAAAAAGACAAAATGAGCTGGGTGTGGTGGTACATGACTGTAATCCCAGCTACTTGGGAGGCCGAGGCAGGGGAACTGCTTGAACCCAGGGGGCGGAGGTTGCGGTGAGCCAAGATCGCGCCATTGCACTCCAGCCTGGGCGACAGAGACCCTGTCTTAAAATAATAACTGTATGGCTGGGGGTGGTGGATCACGCATGTAATCCCAGCATTTTGGGAGGCAGCAGCGGGCAGATTATTTGAGGTCAGGAGTTCTCAACCAGCCTGACCAACATGGTGAAACCCCATCTCTACTAAAAATACAAAAAACTTATCTGGATGTGGTGGCACACACCTGTAATCCCAGCTACTCAGGGGGCTGAGGCAGGAGACCAGCTTGAACCCAGGAGGCGGAGGTTGCAGCGAGCCAAGATTGCGCCACTGCAAGCCAGCTTAAGGGATAGAGTGAGACTTTGTCTCAAATAAATAAAAATAAAAATAGACCGGGTGCAGTGGCTCACACCTATAATACCAGCACTTTGAGAGGCTGAGGCAGGGGCATTACAAGGTCAAGAGATCTAGACCATCATGGCCAACGTGGTGAAACCCCATCTCTACTAAAAATACAAAAATTAGCTGGGTGTGGTGGCGGATGCCTATAATCCCAGCTACTTGGGAGGATGAAGCAGGAGAATCGCTTGCACTGGGAGGCGGAGGTTGCAGTGAGCCGAGATCACGCCACTGAACTCCACTCTGGCAACAAAGCAAGACACCATCTCAAAAACAAAACAAAACAAAACAAAAAACACTCAAAAGCCAAACCTTAACTTTAAGCTGACCTAAAAAAATGCTGTTTTTTTTGTTTTTTTTTTTTTTTTTTTGAGATGAAGTCTCGCTGTGTCGCCCAGGCTGGAGTGCAGCAGCACGATCTCGGCTCACTGCAAGCTTCGCCTCCCGGGTTCACGCCATTCTCCTGCCTCAGCCTCCCGAGTAGCTGGGACTACGGGCGCCCGCCACCACGCACAGCTAATTTTTTTTGTATTTTTAGTAGAGACGGGGTTTCACCGTGTTAGCCAGGATGGTCTTGATCTCCTGACCTCGTGATCCACTTGCCTCGGCCTCCCAAAGTGCTGGTATTACAGGCGTGAGCCTCCACACCTGGCCAAAAATGCTGTGTTTTTCACACAAAACTTAGAGAAAAAGAAATTGAGCAGTGGGCTGCGGCCTGGCCCAGGATGACAGCCGCACACACCCCACCACCCTCCTGTGGCCAGACAGAGGCTTAGTGACACTCACAGTGGCTCGCTTCCGAAGGAAGGCGTCCGCTTCATCCACAAAGAGCAGGAGGCTGTGGACGAGAGGGAGGCCAAGCTGGGTGAGAGTGATGCCAGGAGCAGCCCACAGCGGCGTCCGGCCATGGCAGGAGCAGGCCAAGCAGGCAGATCCCCACGGGGTCAGGCTCTGCCCCACGGAGCCCTAAGTCCTGGACCTGACAGAAGCTGATCCACCGACAGAAGCAGACTCTGCCCCGCAGGCTTCACCCCCACTCAGCCCAGTGCAGCGCTGGTGGCCGCTTAGAGTCCACACCAGGGACAGGTCTTCTAAAGTGAAAGGTCAAAGGCCAGAGGGGAGGGTGCCAACCATGAGCATCGTGGTTCCAACGAGGACAGCCGAGGCCACAAGGGTGCCCGGGCTGTGCCCTGCGCGGGGTCACTGTGGGACCTATTGAAGGGAGTGTGCCATGCTGTCTTCAGCTAACTTTCAAATGGTTCTAGAAAAGGCAACCAGTGCCCACGCCCACCTGCAGGCGTGTTGGGGGGAGGGCGGCTGTGGAGGAGCCTCCCCTGCAGCTGTGAAGACCCCTCTCCCCCTGCACCCACCCACCTCCCTTCTGCCCTGAGCCAAGTATCCCACTGGCAGCCTCCACACGCTGGGGGCCTCGTGTCCACCAGGGTCCACACTCAGGGGACTTTCCCTCCGAGGGACCCTCCACTGGGCCTCCTGCGTGGCCACAAGGACAGAGCTGCAGAAAGACAGGGTCCCCAAGAGACACCTGGACCCCCTTCCCAGAAGGCAGCCTGCTGGGCCGCAGCCAAGGGCCTGGTGCATGCTGTGGGGACGTCTCACCCGCGCCGGCTGGTATTGGCCCAGTCAAAGAGCTTGTGCATGGCGGTCACGCCTTCCCGCCCCATGGGGGCCACGTCCCCGCCTGTCATGATGGCGTAGTCCATGCCTGAGTGCAGGGCGAGTTTCTGGACAAGAAGAGTGAGGGGAGACAGAACAGATGTTCCCTCCGCCTCTGCAAAGCCTGCACACTCCACCCGGAGTGTGGAGGCTCTGCCCAGCGTCCCTGCCTGGAAGCCACAGCCTGCCAGACAGGAGACGTCCCCCGCCTGGAAGATGGGAGGCGCTGCTGCCCACACCAGCACCCTGAGCCTACACGAGGGTGGGCAAAGGCCTAAGGGGGGTCCATTCCCCAGGCAGCTGAGCCCCCCAGACACCTGCAGGCAGGTGAGACCCCAGCGGCCCCTGGCCCACCTGTTCAGCTAGGCACTCTCACCTTGGCAAACAGCGTCTTCCCGGTGCCTGGTGGCCCGTACAGCAGGATGTGCCTGTACAGGCCCCGGTTCTTCTTGATGTTCCTTGTCATTATGGCGATGTCGCGCACCCGTGCTTCCAGGCTGGGCTGCCGAGGAAGACAGGGGCTTGGAGGACACAGTCTGCACCCACAGAAGCCTCGGGGGCAGGGGCTGCGAGAATGCCTGGGTGTGGACTCCGCTCTCCGGGGAGCCACCCAGCTCGTGGGCAGCCTATCTATCCCCGGCACGGTCCAAGCAGTCGCATCTCAGGACCCAAAAGATCCTGGGCGCCACCAGGAGCGCCAGCAAGGGCCACAGCCCAGCCCAGCTCCGGGGTCCCCTCCCTGCGCCTCCCCGGTCCCAGGCACACCGACTTACACTAAGCACAACACCCTCCAGCACGTCCTGGGGTCGACTGAGGAGCCGCCGGCTGACCTGCTGGAGGGGAAGGGGAAGCACCATTGGGTCACCTGCCACAGCCACGGAACAGCCACCAACGCACACACAAGCTCGGTAACACGCAGAAACGGAGCTGCCCCGAATCACAGCCAGGACCGGCCTGGAGCTGGAACCCCGCCCCGCCGGGAGACTGGGTGTCTGTTGCAGGGATTGGGGGCATTTTCCGGTTTCTTATCGGCTTCTCTTTTTTCTGGGTTTTTTTTTTTTTTTTTTTTTTTTTTTGAGACGGAGTCTCACTCTGTCGCCCAGGCTGGAGTGCAGTGGCGTGATCTCTGCTTACTGCAAGCTCCATCTCCCAGGTTCAAGCCATTCTTCTGCCTCAGCCTCCCGAGTAGCTGGGACTACAGGCGCCCGCCACCACGCCCGGCTAATTTTTTGTATTTTTTTAGTAGAGATGGGGTTTCACTGTGTTAGCCAGGATGGTCTCGATGTCCTGACCTCATGATCCACCTGTCTTGGCCTCCCAAAGTGCTGGGATTACAAGTGTGAGCCACCACGCCCGGCCAGCTTTTATTTTCTTAACCACCCACCGAGTGACCTGTGGAGACACTGCCACCCCCGTGTGGAGAGCAGGCACCTTGGGGGCTGGCAAACGGCGCGGCTCCCCAGGGAGGCCGCCAGACACTGTGGCCTGTAGCAGCTTCCCCGACAGACGGCCGCACACCCAAATCCCGGGTCTTGCAAGGACCCCGATGTGCTCCCAGGCCCCATCAAGAGCCCTGAGCAGGGGACACCGAGGCAGACAGGGGAAGGGTCTCACTGATGCAGACCCCTAAGGTACAGCGCCAGACAGGAAAACCCACCCGTGAAGCAGCGTGCGGGTGCCTGTTATCCGGGGAAAGGGAAGGGACAGGAGTATATGCGTGGGCTGTGCTCGTGGGGCAGAAGGGACTCAGCCAGGCACTTGCACTCAGGGAGGGCCAGGCCTGCGCCGCTACCTGGATGGGGTGCCGCAGCGCCTCAAGCACCGTGATGCGGGACGTCTCCCTCACTAGGGACGGCTTCCCCAGCCGAGCCTCGATGTAGCGGCCAGTGACGGCTGTCGCATTCTTGGCTGAGTAGACCCCGACAGCCAGCAGCGTCAGCCCAGCCACCTGCAGCAGAGACACCGCACTGGCGCACCGGCCCCCACCGTCCCTCCCTCCTAGAGCAGGAGACGCACGGGGCTGCCCCCACCCTCTCTCCGCCTGAGGGAGAAGCACAGGGCCGTGTGCTGGCCCCACAGGAACCCGAATTCCCAGCCCCGAATCCCACAGCCACGCGGTTACAGGAGGCAGGTGGGGCAGTCACAGCGCCCTCACTCAGGGCCATTTTCTCTGCAACTGGTAGCATAAATCCTACAAAGCTCTGGTCGCTGAGCGGGGCCCTGGGCAGACCCAGCTGGATATGTCACAGGGCCACACCCTCGGTACATTCTTGGCCACTAAAAATGGTACTTTATTCCTGGAAAACAAGACTAACCCAAAATCTCTAACTCGTTTTAAAAATCAATTAGGCCGGCTGGGCACAGTAGCTCAGGTCTGTAATCCCAGCACTTTGGGAGGCTGAGGCAGGTGGATCACCTGAGGTCGAGAGTTGAAGACCAGCCTAACCCACATGGAGAAACCCCGTCTCTACTAAAAATACAAAAAGTTAGCTGGCCATGATGGCACATGCCTGTAATCTCAGCTACTTGGGAGGCTGAGGCAGGAGAATCACTTGAACCCGCGAGTCGGAGGTTGCAGTGAGCCCAGACTGCGCCGTCACACTCAAGCCTGGGCAACAACAGGGAAACTCCATCTCAAAAAAAAAAAAATGGTTTATGCCAGGCCTGGTGGCTCATCCCTGTAATCCCAGCACTTTGGGAGGCCAAGATGGGTGGATCACTTGAGGCCAGGAGTTCGCAACCAGCCTGGCCAACATGGTAAAACCCCACCCCTACTATAAATACAAAAATTGGCCGGGCATGGTGGTACACACCTGTAATCATAGCACTTTCTGAGGCCAAGGCAGGTGGATCACCTGAGATCAAGAGTTCGAGACCATCCTGGCCAACAGGGTGTAACCCTGTCTCCACCAAAATAGAAAAATTAGCCAGGCATGGTGACCTGCACCTGTAATCCTGGCAACACGAGAGGCTGAGGCAAGAGAATCGCTTGAACCCGGGAGGCGCAGGTTGCAGTGAGCCGAGGTGGCGCCACCGCACTCCAGCCTGGAAGACAGAGTGAGAGCCTGTCTCTAAATACAAACAAAAGTCAACAGTGCATTAAGCAGCTCTGTCATGTCCTCAGGTGACACCGTCTCACCAACATGGCGGCAACACCACCTGCAACATTCACCGTCACACTGACCAGGCCACCGGCAGGCGCTGCAGTCACAGCTCTGGGTGCTGGCACCACGGCAGAGCAAGTGCCCACTCAGTGCCGGGGACCTACTGTGTGCTGGGCGGGGTGGGGGGACGGAGGACACAGCCATGTGCGACGTGGGGCGCCACCACAGCAGGCCGGAGCCTGGGCACAAAAGAGTGAGGCTTTAAAGGAGAGAGGAATCTGTGAACTTCAAACTCTCAGGGTTTTCTGAGGAATAAAGAGGGTTTTTGCAAAATGGAGTCAGGGTCGCCTTCTGTTTTTTCTTTCTTTCTTTCTTTCTTTTTTTTTTTTTTGAGAAGGAGCCTCGCTCTGTCCCAAGGTTGGAGTGCAATGGCAGGATCTTGGCTCACTGCAACCTCTGCCTCCCGGGTTCAAGTGATTCTCTACCTCTGCCTCCTGAGTAGCTGGGACTACAAGCACGTGCCATGTGTAGAGATGGCATCTCACTGTGTGGCCCAGACTGGCAACTGCATTTTCTTCTCCCAGCTCAAGGAGGGAGGAGCGGCTCCCACCAGCAGGTCCAGTTTGGGCTTGTTCCATGCTGGGAGAGCGCCAGGACCTGTGCAGAGCCAGCAGGGATAGGACCTGTGGCTCCAGGAGGCCCCCACATGCTGCCCCTCAGCCACCTGCCAGCCCTGTTTTATGAGTATGTTTACCGTGGCTGTCACTTTGTCCCGGTCTGTCACAAAGGCACGGAATCCTTCCCCAAACAAGGTGCCAGCCGCCCTGTGGGGAAAGCAGTGGTGTGACCAGGAGGGAAACAAAGACCCACGCCACGTAGCAAGAACAGGTTGAGGGTGAGGCCTTGACACAGCAGCCTGGTCCTGCCAGGACAGGGGGGCAGTGTCCCCACCAAGGAGCCAGCCTACAGCGGCCAGACCTGGGAGAGCTGGAGAGCACCCTGGGACCAGCGACTCACACCTGTGGGGGCTCCATCTGCGGCCGGCCCGGGCCTCGGCAGCGCTCACCTGATGGACTCCAAGAAGGTCTGATGGTGCTTCTGCACGGACTCCTCCTGCTTCCGTAAATCCTCATTGACAAGTTGCTGAGAAGAAGCCGCAGAAAAAGAGAAAAGCCTTTAAAACCAGAAAAATGCTCAACACCAATCCAGAGGTTGCGTCCGCCCCAGGACCGCAGGGCTCCAAGCGTCCCGGGCACCTGGGGACCTGCAGACGCCGCACCCTGACACAGACACGGGTGACATCGGCCGGGACGGCAGTCACTGAGGGGATGGGTTCAGGGGCCCAAACTCCCCAGCGGCAGAAACAGCCCCCACTGTGGCTTCCCTGACAAGGGCCACTGCTGGCCGACCTCCCAACACCACTGCCCTGATTCAGGCTGGGCTTAAGGAAGCTTCTGTCTTCTGCCAATTAAACGTTAAAGCTACAATGCCCACAACAGGCAACACGTGAACCCCGCCTGTGAGCTCAGGACTGAAGGTGACCGGCCGGGCACCGTGGCTCACACCTGTAATCCCAGCACTTTGGGAGGCCGACGCAGGTGATCACTTGAGGTCAGGAGTTCAAAACTAGCCTGGCCAGCATGGTGAAACCCTGTCTCTAATAAAAATACAAAAATTAGCCGAGTATGGTGGTGGGTGCCTGTAATCCCAGCGACTTGGGAGGCTGAGGCAGGAGAATGGCTTGAACCCAGGAGGCAGAGGTTGCGGTGAGCTGAGATCGCACCATTGCACTCCAGCCTGGGCAACAGAGTGAGACTCCGTTTCAAAATAAATAAAATTAAAAAATCTTGCTGAGCTGGACGCGGTGGCTCACGCCTGTAATCCCAGCACTTTGGGAGGCTGAGGCAGGCGGAGATCAGGAAATCGACACCATCCTGGCTGACACGCTGAAACCCCATCTCTACTAAATATACAAAAAAAATTAGCTGGGCGTGGTGGCAGGTGCCTGTAGTCCCAGCTCCTCAGGAGGCTGAGGCAGGAGAATGGTGTGAACCCGGGAGGTGGAGCTTGCAGTGAGCCAAGGTCGCACCACTGCACTCCAGCCTGGGCGACAGAGCAAGACACCATCTCAAAAAAAAAAAAAATCCTGCTGAGTCAAAGAAATGAGGTGAGAATGTCAAGAAGATCCAGGCCCTCAGGACGACCAGACGCCCTCACCAACACCGGCCCTCCCTCTCGGGCGGCTCTGCGGCAGCGTCTCTCACCTCCCCTTGTTTCCTTCTGTGAAATGAGGCGCCCAAGCTTGGCCCTGGGCCCCACTGCTGCCCATGTACACACCCCCGGCCCTACCCACCGGCAGTAGCCCTACCAATCTCCACGCCCGAACCCCATGTGTGCCCCGGCCTCCCCGCCCACACCGGCCCCACTCACTTTGAGCTTGGACTGTTGCTCCAACTGCAGCGTCTGCTCCTGCATCTGCGCCAGATTCAGGGCGTCCTTTGACATGGCCTGCAGATGCAGGGACACGGAGGGCAGGTGTTAGGATACACGGATGCCGCTGGGCAGGCACGCACACCAGCCAAGGGGCTTTCTGGAATCCACGGCCACGCCTCGACCTCAAAGCCCCCAGCCCTGCCTCCCCATCCTCCTTCCTAGTCAGACCTGGCGTGACGATGCCCCATCCCCAGCACACGGCCTGATGCATTTGTGAGGTTTTATGCCCTCCAGGGATGGTCTTGGAGAGCCACATCAGGAAGGCCATCCCATGTGGACGGGAGGAGGCTCTTTCCCAATTCAACAGAAAGTCAGGCGATGGCTAAAGTGTCCATTTTTTCACGTTACACATGCTTTTTTTTTTTTTTTTTTTGAGACGGAGTCTCATTCTGGCCCAGGCTGGAGTGCAGTGGCATGATCTCTGCTTACTGCAAGCTCTACCTCTCGGGTTCACGTCACTCTCCTGCCTCAGCCTCCCGAGTAGCTGGGACTACAGGCGACCGCCACCACACCCGGCTAATTTTTGTAGTTTTAGTAGAGACGGTTTCACCGTGTTAGCCAGGATGGTCTCGATCTCCTGACCTCGTGATCCGCCCACCTCAGCCTCCCAAAGTGCTGGGATTACAGGTGTGAGCCACCGCGCCCGGCACATACCCTTTTCCTAAGCTTCCAATGGCTGTTGTCAGTGATCTGCTATCAAGAACGTGCGGGCAAGAAAATGAAAGAATAAGAATTAGATAGCAGCCAACAAGCTCAGGGTGACGAGGACAAGCATCTGACAACGTCCTCAGTTACATTTTGTTCCTAGTGGGGAACCGACACAGGTCAATGTTTGGGTGACCTGGGACAGAAGTACGTATTCTCTGAGCTGCTGAGGACTCAGCATCAGGTCTCAACATTTTCCGGGATGAGTTTTCCCATCACAAAATTTTACCATAAAAATCTTCTGGCCGGGCGCGGTGGCCCATTGAGAAAATATGCAGGACCTTGGGGAGTTAATCATGAAGGGGATTAAAGAATCCATGCCCGGAACCCAGAATCTTACCCGAATATTTAACATACAGCAAGGAAAAGATAAAGGGCCTGCGACATAATTTTTAGACAGATTAAAAGAACAAATGAGAAAATATGCTGGTCGAGGTGTCGAGGATCCTCTTGGGCAAGGAATTTGTCACTAACAGTTGGCCAGATATTAACCACAAATTACAAAAGAAAGAACTAGAAAAATAAGCCTGTAGAAGAGATTCTAAGAGAAAGGGAAAAAAATCTTAGAGGAAAGAGAAAGACTGACAGAAGGAACAGAGAAAGTCAGAGAGAGAGAGAGAGTCAGAGAGAGAGAGAGACAGAGTCAGAGAGACAGAGTCAAAGAGAGAGAAAGACTGACAGAGGGAACAGAGGAAGTCAGAGAGAGAGAGAGAGTCAAAGAGAGAGAGAGACAGGCAGAGACAGAGTCAGAGAGAGAGACAGAGTTAGAGAGTGAGACAGAGACAGACAGAGAGAGACAGAGTCAAAGAGACAGAGAGAGCCAGAGAGAGAGAGAGACAGAGTTAGAGAGAGAGAGAAAAGGAGAGATAGAAGTAGTCAAGAAAAAGCAATGTGCCCCATTCTTTTAAAAGCCAGAGTACGCCCGGCGTGGCAGCTCACCACGCCTGTAATCCCAGCACTTTGGGAGGCCGAGGCGGGCAGTTCAGGAGGTCAGGAGATCATCCTGGTTAACATGGTGAAACCCTGTCTCTACTAAAAATACAAAAAATTAGCCGGGTGCGGTGGTGGATGCCTGCAATCCCAGCTATGCAGGAGGCTGAGGCAGGAGAATTGCTTGAACCCAGGAAAGACAGAGGTTGCAGTGAGCCGACACAGTGCCACTGCACTCCAGCCTCGACGACGAATGAGACTCTGTCTCAAAAAAAAAAAAAAAAACAACTTACCGAAAGGCATGGAGGCCACTGACAACTATCCTTAATGTGGTAACCCACAGACGGCCGTAGTGCATTACAGGACGACACTTATTTAAAGATAGTTCCTCCCAGGTGATTCGAGGAAAAAGACACAATGGGTAATCAGTAACTAACAGGAAAAACTCTTGTGGAAATAGAGTTAAGAGGCCGGGCTCTGTGGCTCACACCTGTAATCCCTGCACTCTGGGAGGCTGAGGCGAGTGGATCACCTGAGGTCAGGATCACCTGAGGTCAGGAGTTCGACAGCAGCCTGGCCAACATGGTGAAACCCCATCTCTACTAAAAATACAAAAATTAGCTGGCCGTAGTGGCAAGCACCTGTAATCCCAACTACTCAGCATGCTGAGGCAGGAGAATCGCTTAAACTCAGGAGGTGGAGGCTGCAATGAGCCGAGATCACGCCATTGTACTCCAGCCTGGGTGACAGAGTAAGACCTCCGTGTCAAAAAATAAAAAATAAAAAAATAGAGTTAAGAAAGTTTCCTAATAACTGGTCTGCTCAAGCATGAGAGCTGTTTGCACTCAGCCAAGCCTCAAAGTACTTACAGAACCAGGAAGGAACCATCTATACCAATTCTAAGTATGCCTTTTAACTGGGCTTTTTTTTTTTTTTTTTTTTGAGACAGAGTCTCACTCTGTCGCCCAGGCTGGAGTGCAGTGGCGCTATCTCGGCTCACTGCAAGCTCCGCCTCCCGGGTTCACGCCATTCTCCTGTCTCAGCCTCCCGAATAGCTGGGACTACAGGTGCCTGCCACCACACCTGGCTAATTTTTTGTATTTTTAGTAGAGACAGGGTTTCACCATGTTAGCCAGGATGGTCTCGATCTCCTGACCTCGTGATCCACTCGCCTCGGCCTCCCAAAGTGCTGGGATTACAGGCATGAGCCACTGCGCCCGGCCTGAAGTGGCTTATACATTAAAAAATATATATATTAGACTGAATGAAGTCTTATTAATAGCAAAGGATAATTAAAATCCCAAACTCGCAAGGTTTTCAGCAAAAGTAAAGTTTGCTATAAGTTATCATCGTAGGCCAGGTGCAGTGGCTCATGCCTGTAATCCCAGCACTTTGGGAGGCCGAGGCGGGTGGATTGCCTGAGCTCAGGAGTTTGCAATCAGCCTTGGCAACATGGTGAAACCCCGTCTCTACTAAAATACACAAAATTAGCCGGGTGTGTCAGCCTGTGCCTATAGTCCCAGCTACTCGGGAGACTGAGGCAGGAGAATCACTTGAACCCAGGAGGCGGAGGTTGCAGTGAGACAAGATCGTGCCACTGGACTCCAGCCTCGGTGACAGAGCAAGACTCCGTCTCAAAAATAAAAAATAAAAAAAAAGGCTGAGCGCGGTGGCTCACGCCTGTAATCCCAGCATTTTGGGAAGCCGAGATGGGCAGATCACGAGGTCAGGAGACCATCCTGGCTAACACGGTGAAACCCTGTCTCTACTAAAAATACAAAAAATTAGCTGGGCATGGTGGCGGGCACCTGTGGTCCCAGCTACTCAGGAGGCTGAGGCAGGAGAATGGCGTGAACCCAGGAGGTGGAGCTTGCAGTGAGCCGAGATTGTGCCACTGCACTCCAGCCTGGGTGACAGAGCGAGACTCCGTCTCAAAAAGAAAAAAAAAAAAATAGGGGAACCACACAGCAGTAGGGGCTACCCGCGTCAGTAATAAGAACCCCTTCCCCTCCCTTGTCCAGGCGCTCGCCATTGCTCCAGCTATGAGACGCCCCCTTCTATAGAAGTAAATTTCGCAGCTGAGAAAAATTAACATTCGAGTGCTACTTCTTTTGCGACACCGAAAATTTACATAAAACACAGTGAGCCGCCGAGATCTCACCACTGCACTCCAGCCTGGGCGACGGAGTGAGACTCCGTCTGAAAACAACAAACAGGCCGGGCGCGGTGCCTCAGGCCTGTAACCCCAACACTTTGGGAGGCCGAGGCAGGAGGATCGCTTGAGCCCCGGAGTTGGAGACCAGCCTGGGCAACAAAGAGAGACCCCGTCTGTACCAAAAAATAGGAGAGGAGAAAAACCCAATGAGTTCCCCAGCTGTACCCCCACCCACCGACCCCATCCCCACCCCTCGCCATGGCCATCATCAAGGGTTTGGTTTTATTTTTATTCTTTAATTTATTTTGAGACAGGGTCTCACTCTGTCACCCAGGCTGGAGTGCAGTGGTGTGATCTCGGCTGTCACCTCTGCCTCCCATGCTCAGGCGATCCTCCTAGCTAAGCCAACAAGCTGGGACCACAGGCACATGCCACCAGGCACCGCTAATTTTTATTTTATATTTGAGACGGAGTTTCACTCTTGCTGCCCAGGCTGGAGTGCAATGGCGGGGTCTTGGCTCACTGCTACCTCTGCCTCCTGGGTTCAAGTGATTCTCCTGCCTCGGCCTCCGAGTACCTAGGATTACAGGCACCTGCAACCACGCCCCAGCTAATTTTTGTATTTTTAATAGAGACAGGGTTTCACCACATTGGCCGGGCTGGTCTCGAACTCCTGACCTCAGGTGATCCACCCGCCTCAGCCTCCCAAAGTGCTGGGATTACAGGAGTGAGCCACGGCACCTGGATTTTTCTTTTGTATTTTTTGTAGAGATGGGGTTTCACCATGTTGGCCATGCTGTTCTCAAACTCATGAGCTCAGGAGATCCACCTGCCCAGGCCTCCAAAAGTGGTAGGATTCCAGGCGTGAGCCACCGTGCTGGGCTCCATCAAGGTTTTTTTTTCTTTTTTTTTTTAAACAGTTCCATTGCCCAGGCCGGAGTGCAGTGGCTCCATCTCGGCTCACTGTGACCTCCGCCTCCTGGGTTCAAGCGAATCTCCTGCCTCAGCCTCCCGAGTAGCTGGGATTACAGGCACCCACCACCATGCCGGCTAATTTTTTTGTATTTTTAGTAGAGACGGGGTTTTGCCATGTTAGCCAGGTTGATCTCCAACTCTTGACCTTGTGATTCACCTGCCTCAGCCTCCCAAAGTGCTGGGATTACAGGCGTGAGCCACCTAGCCCAGTCTAACCTGGCTTAATTTTAAATACAAAGTATTGATTGCTGGTTTAAGATTTAGGCAATTCCTTTAAAGAGGAATTGAGGCCAGGCTTGGTGGCTCATCCTGTAGAGGCGGGAGGATCTCCTGAGGCCAAGAGTTGGAGACCAGCCTGGGCATTATAGCAAGACTCGGTCTCTACAACAAATTTTTAGCATTAGCGGGCGTGGTGGTGCACGCCTCTGGGGCTAATTAGGGCCTAGTAGGGTATGGCTACTGGACAGGCTGAGGCAGGAGGATCACTTGAGCCTGGGAGGTCGAGGCTGCAGTGAGCTATAATCACACCACTGCACTCCAGCCTGGGCTCAGAGTAAGAACCCATCTCTAAAAGGAAAAAGAGAGAAATGGAGAGAGCGCGCAGAGGTAGACAGCCTCCCTCCAAGCACTGCAGCTCCGAGGGGTCTGCTCTCCGATGGGCCCGTTGCATGCCCAGGCCGAGGGGTCTCGTTCTCCGATGGGCCCGTTGCGTGCCCAGGCCGAGGGGTCTGCTCTCCGATGGGACCGTTGCGTGCCCAGGCTCCTCTTCTGTTTCCTACTTCAACCAACAGCCTACACCCTTCCTAAGGACACAAAGTTCAGAAAGCATTGTTTCATCGACCAATATGAGGCTCTGCGCCATGGCACTGTGCTGTCTCGTTGCTGTGATTCCCCCGACCACCCCTGCACCCCACCCTGCCCCCAAAGCAAAGGTTTCCTGTCTGAGAGTCCTCCAGCAGCGAGGACCTGGAGGAGTGACTGTGCAGGTTCCAGATGCAGGTGGACAGCCTGGCCTCCGGCCTGACCTTGAGCCAAGACAGGGACGCAGCTGCCTCCGGAAGCCTGGGCCAGCGGGGACAGGGGCTGCAGTCCCAGAGTAGGCCCCAGCCAGGCAGTGGGTACCACGCTCTGCTCCCAGAATTCAGGCAGCGAGTGTGGTTCCTGAGCTCTCTGCATCTGAGCAGACCTCTGGGGACAGGGAGCTGCATGGCATGCCAGGACTGTGGTCTCTCAGTGTGGCCTGTGGCCCCCAGTGACCCAGCCCCAGGGCACCCAGGACCGAGGCTGCAGTGGCCGACTGCGTGTCTTCCATGGACGATGCCTGGGCAGAAGCGTGCCCTCTTACACCTGGGCGCAGTGTGGTCATGAAGTCACCGCTGGCCCCCACATCACTCTGCAGCCTCATTCTTCTCGGGGGCCCGGCCTTCAGGAGGGAGGGGCAGGTCCCATTCCTATTCCTTCTCTCCAGCTTCCAAAATGACCCAGTAGTTCTGGTCTCAACCTGGGCCAGCATGGGCCCCCTGCTCCTTCCCCACTCGTTCTGGTCTCAGCCTGGGCCAGCATGGGCCCCCTGCTCCTTCCCCAATGGGCAGGTCCTCGCACAACCAAAAGAAGAGCTGCCCAACTGGACCCTCCTGAGCCACGGCCCCCAGTGTATGGCCCTGGGCTACTGGTCCGCCCCAACCACCCACCAAAAGCAGGGCTCCCAGTTCTCCATAGGGCTCCCTGAAAGCCATCAGCCCCTGCCAGCACTCCTCAAAGTGCACTGATTCTCGAGAGGCAAACGAAAGCAGCAGTGCCAGGCCAGGCGCGGTGGCTCCTGTCTGCAGTCCCAGCACTGAGGGAGGCCAAGGCAAGAGAATCCTTTGTGGTCAGGAGTTTGAGAACAGCCTGGGTAACAGGAAGACCCTTATCCCTAAAAAAAAAAATGTTGCCAGGAGTGGTGACTTACACCTGTAATCCCAGCACTTTGGGAGGCTGAGGTGTGTGGATCACTCGTGCCCAGGAGTTCAAGACAAACATGGGCAACACGGCAAAATCCCATCTCTACTAAAAATACAAAAATTAGCTGGGCGTGGCGGGGTGCGCCTGTAGTCCCAGCTGCTCGGAGGGCTGAGGTGGATCGTTTGAGCCTGGGAGATGCAGGCTGCAGTGAGCTATGAGTACATTACTGCACTCCAGCCTAGGAGTGAGATCCTGTCTCAAAAAAAAAAAAAAAAAAAAAAAAAAAAAAAAAAAAAAAAAAAAAAAAAAAAAAGGGACCAGGCAGGGTGCTCACACCTGTAATCCATGCACTTTGGGAAGCTGAGGCGGTTGGATCACCTGAGGTCAGGAGTTCGAGACCAGCCCGGCCAACGTGGTGAAACCGTCTCTATTAAAAATACAAAAATTAGCCGGGCATGGTGGCACCTGTAATCCCAGCTACTCAGGAGGCTGAGGCAGGAGAATCGCTTGAATCTGGGAGACAGAGATTACAGTGAGCTGAGATTGCGCCGCTGCACTCCAGCCTGGGTGACAGAACAAGACTTTGTCTCCCCCCACCCCCCAAAAAAGCAGGAAACACACAGCTACTGCCCGGGAGCTGACAGTCCTAAACTGTCCTCTCTCTGGCGGGAGGCTGTCATGTGGGCTGTGCTTCGGGGAC
The DNA here is from genome assembly GCF_000001405.40 of Homo sapiens. Taxonomy (NCBI): domain Eukaryota; kingdom Metazoa; phylum Chordata; class Mammalia; order Primates; family Hominidae; genus Homo; species Homo sapiens. The sequence continues at coordinate 1,443,286 of NC_000001.11, read as the reverse complement.
TGGACTTGGTTTATTACTGTCACTATAGAAAATTGACTTGGTTTGGCCGGGCGCGGTGGCTCACCCCTGTAATCCCAGCACTTTGGGAGGCCGAGGCGGGCGGATCACCAGGTCAGGAGATCGAGACCATCCTGGCTAACACGGTGAAACCCCATCTCTACTAAAAATAGAAGAAATTAGCCGGGCGTGGTGGCAGGCGCCTGTTAGTCCCAGCTACTCGGGAGGCTGAGGCAGGAGAATGGCGTCAACCCAGGAGGCGGAGCTTGCAGTGAGCCGAGATCGTGCCACTGCACTCCAGCCTGGGCAACAAAGCCAGACTCCATCTCAAAAAAAGAAAAGAAAAGAAAAGAAAATTGACTTGGTTTATCACCGTCACTATAGAAAATTGACTTGGTTTATCACCGTCACTATAGAAAATTGACTTGGTTTATTACCGTCACTATAGAAACAGGCGACCTGCTTCCCTAGGTGGCTCCCAGCAGCGTGGCCCACGCTTGGACACCCCACTCCCCAGAAATCTGGACTGAGACCCCAGGCCTCTGTCTGGCTTCTCACGAACAGCTGTCTGGAGAGCTTCACGTGCTGGAGAGCTGTTGCTCCGTCATCGCTCACAGAGGCATGGGCCCGAATTTCAGCCCCCTCTGCCTCTCCGTCCAGTGGCCAGCAATGGGCTGTCCAGCGAAGGGCCTCGCACAACCTGTCAGGGACTGGTCTGGCACGCAGCCAGCGTGAAATCCTCAGGTTGGTTCTCTTCAGATGTGGGAGGTGACCGCAGCCCTGCTCACAGAGAGGGTGGAAACTGGCGCAGGTGTGGGAGCAGCCTCCCTTCGGGGTCTCCTCGAAGTACCCAGGGCTCTCCCCAGCGCTGCCCGCCCCCAGCCTTCTGAACACCTGCCACGTGGATCACAACCTTGTCGCTCTTCTCGTCTCAACTAGAAGCAACTGCAGCATGGCCCTTCCCGATTTCCAGGTGCATGTCGAAAAGCGTGCAGTGGCCTTGTGACGTGGCCGGGCCCTTGGCAAGGAAGTCCTGGCGGGTATCAGCCTCTGCACTGCACCCTGGGTGGACTGAGTCGGGGCCAGGATTGTGTCAGGGGAGGTGGAGGAGACGCGGGGACAGCCGGTTCACAGCGGCCTGGACGGAGCACTCCGGGGCCAGAGCTGTTCTGAGACTTGGTGCAGATTCAAAGATTTTAAAATGCCTGGGGCTACATAAGGGGCAGCACTTCTCAGACGAGGGCTTCTGAAAGGGGCATTCCTTGGCACTGAGATGGAGACGGCAGTGCCTTTTCACCCTCTCCGTGAGGCCTTGTGCTGTGCTCAGCCTTGGTGTGCAGAGATGGGCAGAGGGGAGGCAGAGCCTCTGCCAGACGGGTATGTGGGGAGCAGGGTTGTGGCCAGGGCCCCCGCTCTGCCCTCTCGGGATTGCAGAGCTGGAGCTCCTCCCAGCTTCTCATGTGAGTCTGAGTCGTCCACAGAAGCCACTGAGGCCACCAGGAATGAGCCCCTGGTGCCCCGCTGCCACCTGCAGGGTGCTCCGTGAGCTGGGCCTGGGCTCAGTGTGCAAGAGGCATCTCCTCTCACGTGACCGTGGGCTCAGATCTGCCAACACTCCGGAGAACAGGGTAGGGGGCAGGGGCTGCACGAAGGAGATCCTACCCCTCCAGAGGAGGTGGGGCCCGAGGCCCGGGCCTGCAACCCTGGCCACCTGCCGACCAGCAGTGCAGTTGTGAGCACGCCACCTGCAGTGACACACACAGCCCATGGGTCCTACTCAGGCCTCCGTGGCCTGACTTGGGGGCTAAGGGGAGCTCAGGAGAAACCCAAAGTCCAGCCAGCAGGGCCCCCCCACAGACACCCCCTGCACACACAGGCAGGGGGGCCTACTGTGTCTCATGCATCATCACACCGGAGGGCAAACTCTGCGTGGTGAGCCTGGCCCCAGCCGGCCCTCCATGAATGGTGACCACACCCAGCTGGTGGGCGGTGTGGCCTTGGGTTTCTGGTGGGGCCACGGGATGCACAGAGCTGGGTTCTTGGGAGACGGTGCCAAGGCCAGCTGTCCCGAAGGTGGCCCCTGGCACAATGCCCACCAGACCTGAGGGAGGGACTGAGACCACCTCAATGCTGCAGTTCCTGGGGTCACGCAGAGTCCACGTGGGGAAAGGGGCAGTGGACCCCATGCGGTGCAGGGTGTGGCTTTGCCAGCAGAGGGAGCCCGCGTGGCCCTGGGCCCAGGGCTCCGGGCCGTGGCAGAGACTGCGGTGGGAATGGCCCTGCAGAGGCCCCAGCCCCCTTGTCCTCTGCATTCCAGCCACCTGCCCTGGGCCCAGCTCCAAAGGAAGGGGGCCCAAGCTCTCTGAATAAAAGGTGCACATGAGGACCAAGGAGGCCTGACACTGGGAGGGGACAGCTCCACCTCCTCTCCCCGGACACCCCAAAAGGCGGAGACGTTCACAAGCTGTCCTGTCGGCGGCTGCTGTTTGTGGAGGAGTAAAGCATCCTAGCGAGACTGCAGGCTCGGTGTACATCTGATTTACTGAATTTTAAAGTCTGGGATGTTAGTGGGGAAGAGGCGAGGTGAGCATTGCGTGACGCCGAGGACTAGGCGGGGCGGGGACTGCACCTGGCTAGGCACCCCCACCCTGGGCAACTTGCCCACGGACCCCAGGGCAGTGAGTAGTGACAGGAGGTAGCCCGGGGTGAGACCTCTCACAGCAAGAAGATGGTGTGGTTGCTGGGGCCTCCCTGGAGAGTGTCGTCCCTGCGGCCCCTGGGAAGTGCTCCCTCACGACGGAAGGTTTCCTGTCAGTGCGGTCCCGGGGCCTGATAGTGGCGGTGGGCGGGTGGGGTCACGTGTCCTCAAGGTCCTGAATGCCCAGCTCTGCCCCATTCCTCTGATTCCCAGTGGCTGCTAGCTGGACCCAGCTGGTGTCCTGGGCATGAAGGCAGGGCCACCGTCCCCAGCAGGTGCTGCCCTCCTGGCCAGCTGAGCATCCTGGCCACCATCAGCGTCCAGGTGCCCCTACTCGCCCTTCCTCTTCTTCAGAAGCCTTTGCGGACCTGACCTGGGCCAGCTTCCCGCGATTCCCCTTCCGCTTCCTATCAACGTCCAGGACCCAAGCTGCCCGCCCCAGGCCAGCCCTTGCCACTTGGGGCCCGGTCTTCACACGTGGGAGTCTGACCGGGGCTCCTCCCTGAACAGTCCTGGGTCTGACGCTCTCAATTATCACCCACGGACCCACACGACGCCCGGCTCTGGGCGGGGATGGGGCCGGGGCTGCTGCGGGGTCCCGCCAGGCGAGGCCCCAGCCCTGGAGGGCAGGCGCCAGGCGGGGAAGCCCTGCGGCCGCAGGGAGAGGGCCGGGGTCGCGCGGAGTCCGCGTGGGGAAAGGCCGGGCCTGCACCCGTCTGCCGGGTTGGGCGCCTCCGCTCCGGGTTCGGGACACAGGGGCCCTCAGGTAGGCGCCGGCCCTCTCGGCTGGGCGGGGACGCCGGCTTACGGCTCACGGCTGGCGGTCCCCGGGGTCGGGGCGCGGGGCACGGGGCGTGGGCGCGGGCGCGGGCCGTCGGGCGTGCAGGCCTTGGCGGACAGCGCGCTCTCGCGGCCCGAGCGGAAGGCGGCGGTCACGGTCACCAGGTAGGCGGTGCCCGGCGCCAGGCCCTGCAGCGTGGTGCAGTTGCGGCCCGCGGGCACCTCCACCCGCTGCGCCTCCCCGCCCCGCAGCGGCCCGAACTGCACGTGGTAGCCGAGCGCCGCGGCTGAGCCCAGCGCTGGGGCCCAACTCACGCGGAGGCTGCGCGGCCGGGCGTGGGAGATGACGATGCGCTCTGGCCCGGCCTCCTCTGGGGCGGGGAGGGCGGCGAGCTGCGTGGGGGCCGGCCCAGCCCCCGACTCCGGGCCCGAAGCCCCCGGCCCTGCCTCACCGGGCCGCGTGCGCACCCGCAGGATCTGGGGCCTCAGGAGGCGCACGTTGGACTCAGGCACTAGCGCCACGTCGTAGTCCGTGTCCGGGTCGAGGCCGGCCCAGATCCAGTCCGTGGCGTTCCCTGGCAGCTGCTGGCGTCTTGCAGCCCCCGGCTGGGCGCTGGGCACCAGCTCCAGCACATAGTAGCCCGAGTCTGCGGTCAGCAGGGGTGGCCAGGCCAGGCGGAAGCCGCTGGACGTGATCTCCGTGGCATGGAGCTGCTGCGGCCGCATCGCGTCTGTGGGTGGTGCAGGGGGTCAGGGAACAGCGGTCAGTTCCTCCTCCGCTGCTGGAGGGCGGCCCTGGCTGATGGGGAAGATCTGGAGATTGGAGGCCCCACTAGGAAAGACGGGGCCCCGCGGCCAAGGAGCTGCTGGAGCCATGCCCCGCAGATGCTGGGGATTCTCAGAACGTGCCTTGGCTGGGGGAGGACGGAGGAAAGGGTGCAGCCCCCTCAGGCCCTGTCAGAAGCGCCCCTGCCTCCCTTAGCCCCAAACCCAGTCCTTTGTGGAGAGGTGCAGTGGCCAGATCAGTGACCAGGACAAAGGTCCTCAAAGACGGCAGAGTCCACGGTGGTGCCTGAGAGCAGAGGACCAGCCCCAGCCTGAGTGGCCAGGCCGGGGTCTGAGGTCAGCCCGGCTCTCTGAGCTGCAGCTAGGAGATGGGAGACCACAGGGGCAGGCCCTGGGGTTCTGGAGGCGCTGCCTGCCCTGGGTCCCCAGGAGAGTGTGGGGTGGGGTTCTCCAGAGGGGGACTCCTGGACCTGTGACACCAAGCCCCACATAGCCCTCTGAGTGACCCTGCTGTGGCGAGGCTCATAAATGTCTGCGCTGGGTTAAAGCTATCAGGATCTTCCTCCTGCAGTGCTGGGTGCCTGGGCCACTTTCTTCCCATCCCCCACCCTCAGACCCGGCCTCTTTCCCAGGAGCCCCCACCCTGCTGCCTGGCCCCTCGGCACTGCAGCCTCAGGCTTTTCCTTTGGCTGCTTAAGGCAGCCTTTCCTCCTGGTCCCCTCCAGGCGCAGCTGCACTGGGTGACCTGGGGCCACTAGGGGCCAGACGTCCCTGGGGAAACCTTGGGGAGGGCCGTCCACCCCTCTCCAACCCACAGTCCAACCCCTTCCGGCTCTGGGTGGATGATTAACCCACAGACGGAGACTTGGTGAGATCCCCAGGGTTGGCATTTTTCAGTGGCTGCAGCAGGCTGAGCCAGTGGCCGGTTCCTCATCTCCAGCCCCAGCTCCTTCAGGGCTTGGCTGGGGCAGGGAGGTCCAGAAAAAAAGCCAATGGGAGCTGCTCAGCTCCTGCCTCAGGCCTTCCCTGGTCCGGCCTCTCAGGAAACCCTCACAGTGGGCCTGCAGTCCGAACTAGTTCAAAGCCCTCGGCGGCTGTCCCCACCCAGGAGAGGTGCCCTGTGCTCTCTGGGGGGGCAGTCCCTGACCTTTCTGGCTCACCCCTCTCCAGGTATGGTGGGCATGCTCAGGAGCACATGCTGCCCATCTGCAGAGTCCCCAGACTTGGAAGCTTCTTCCTGGGCCTACACCCGGGCTCTGCACTCCCTGGGGCCTCGAGGTCTGGGCTGGACACATCAGCAGGGAGCTACACCTGGAGGTGGCTACTCAAGCCTGCCCCCGTCTCAGCAGGGTACACGGGTCGCCCAGTGAAGAGTGTGCATAGACAAGCTGCATCACTCAGCCCTGCACCCTAGGGGTACCACAGCCCCGGAGGCCCTGGCCGCTGCTCTGGGGACATGAGATCTTCCCAAAGTCTCAACCCAGCCTCTCCTTCTGCGGCTCCCAGCTAGGGCTCCCTGGGCCCTGCCTCCTCCCGCATACCGAGAATGGAGCCCCTCAGCTCTTGGACAATGATGTGCAGGTCATCCACGTCCACAAAGTGCAGGTGCTTCTCGGCAGGGGCTGAGGCAGCGGCTGACAGCTCCAGGAAGTTGCCTCGGCCGGTGCTGACAATGAACACGGTGACGCCCAGGTCCTTGAGCTCCTGCATGGGGGGGCCCACAGGGTCGCTGGAGCCGCCATCTGTCACCCACACCAGCACTTTGGGCACCCCTGGCCGGGCACCTGATGCTTCAGCAAACAGCTGTTCCTTGGCATAGACCAGCGCCAGGCCAGTGTGGGTGTCACCCATGCGCTGGGCAGAAGCACGCACCGCATCCTGGGCAGCCTCACCCGAGCTGTGCTGGCCGAAGGGGAACTCGGTGTATGGCCGACTGCCCACGTGCACCAGACTGGCACGCAGGGCCCCGGTGCCCAGGGGCAGTGGAGCCACCAGCTGCCCCACAAACTCCCGAACCCGGGAGAACTCGTAGTGAGAGACGCTGGCTGAGCTGTCCAGCAGGAACATCAGGTCCCCTCGGGGGGCTGATGCTGGTGGACCTGGGGGAAAGGAGGAATGCTCAGCCTCAGGTGTGGGCCCCCCAGACAGCCCCACAGCAAGGCAGGGTCCCCCAGGGCCCCAGCTTTCCTTAAGTGGATGCTTGCCTTCTCCCAAAGGTCCTAGGTTGGGGGAAAGAGGAACTCTAAGCAAGAGGCCTGTACTTTTGGGGGTTTCACTGCACACTGGCCATGGGATCTAGGGCTCTCTCTGGGCTTGTGTTATCCCATCTGTGAGAGGGCGACTCTCCGCTCCAAGCCCCCACACCTTCCCATTCCTCACAGACCCTGCAAGCAGGTGGAGCCAAGAGTCCTGGCCTAGGCCCCCAGGACAGGCCTGAGCCGTGGGGCTGTTCCCTCCAGGCATGGCTTTCAGAGGAGCAGCCTGAGGCTGGAGTTCAGCCACGCAGCTCAGCCTGCAGGTGAGGCACCCTGGGCATGCACACAGCAGCAGGGGAAGGTGTCGGAGGCACAGCAATGACCACGCCGGATGGCCTGGCTGGAGCCCAGACCCCGCTTACTAGATGGTGGCCCCTCCCCTGGCCTCCATCCTCCAGCCCACCTGGACTCACACAACAAGATATAACCCCCAGCAGCCTGAAAGCCGGAACAGCCCCTCGCAGGCTTCCCCCTTCCTCCGGGCACCTCCGGGGTGGAGGCTGATGCCCCCTACACCGCCCCTCCCCACCAAGCCAGGGCACCAGCGTGCCTCAATTCTAGTCCCGGCCTTGCGGTTTTCCCCAGTGCGGTGGGGCGACTCCAACTTCCCTACCATCCCTCCACTAAGGGCCCTCGCAAGGGTAGGGAAACTGAGGCAGGGGTGCCCCCTTGACAGACATCTCCCTCTTCCTGTCCAGGCCCGCGATCCCGCAGAGATGCGGGCCGGGACGGCCCCTATGCCCCGGCGCTCACGGACGGTGTCGCCTGGAGCACCTGGGCCGCCAGCCTCAGGTGAGCAGGACGCTCCGCCCGCGCCCCCGCCCGGCTCCCGCAGCCTCCCAGCCCGCCCGCCCGTCCGGAGCAGGGGACAGCGACGGCCTTGCGCGGGCAGCGGCGCAGAGCGGTCACCAGAAGCCCCAGCCCCGGCCCGGCCGCCCGCCGCACTCACCGCGCTCCGCGCCGCTCCGCGCCAGCGCCAGCCGCAAGCTCAGGGCCAGGCCGAGCGCCGTCCAGGGGAGCATCGCGCGCGAGGGACGGGGCGCGCTCGGCAACTCGCTCGCTCGCTCGCTCGCTCGGGGCTGCAGGGCGCGTCACCGCGCGGACCAGGCCGGCCCCGCCCCCGGGAGGCCCCTCCCCGAGCGGCCACACCCACGCCGAGGCCACGCCCACGCCCTCCGGCGCGAGCGGAGGGCCACGCGCACAGACCCCGGAGAGGCGCGCACGAGCGGACCCCGACACGCAGGGACACGCAGCACCAGCCGAGATACGACCGAGGCACGCACGCGCAGGCACGCACACACACACACTCCAGTCTCCCTCTCCCGGCCGAGGCTGTGCGGCCCACGCTCTCCACCCCTCTCCGACCCCCAGCCGCGGGAGCCGAGCAGGGAGGTACCAGGCTAGGCCCTCCCCATGCCCACCACTGCCGTGACTCTGGGTGCTGGGGTCCCAGCAGCCAGGCCCAAGAGAACCCCAGGGGCTGGCGGTGGCACCAAAAAAACACGTCCAGACCGTGGTTTCGCCTTGGCCTCCGCGCTGGAGGCGGATAGGTGTCTGGAGTAACAGGACATGTATCCCAGGGACTGACCAGCAGGGATGGGAAGGACCATGGGGTGGAACTTACAAGGACACAGTGGCTTGAAAGGGGACAGAAGACAGGAATTCGAGAGAGACTCGAAGCACCCACGCCACCTGGGCTTCTTGGAGGAAGAGGCATGGGAGTGGGAGATGGTTGGTTGAGGCCCTGTCCAGTGGGACCACACTGGGCCTGTTACCCATATACCCTACCCAGTGAGGGGCCCAGACTCCAGGACCCAGGACACACCCCCAGCAGGACTGGAGGGTCCCACTGGTGAGACAGGAGCTCTTGAGTCTTGGGGTCTTGGTGAGGCCCAGACGAGAGGTGGCTGGTTGCAGGGGGCGTCCTGAGGGACAGTGGCTCCCAGGGCAGATTTCCCCTGCTTGGGTGGGGCTGGGCCAGCAGTGTCCCCTGGACAGGAGAACCCTACCCCGGCCCTCCCTCGGAGTAGCCATGGCCCTCTTCCAGGGCCTCCTCAGCTCAGAGCTGGGAGGTGGGGGACGTGGGGGGGTGTCTGCCAGGATGTCTCCTCCTTCCCCACCCTCTCCTGGAGGATGCGCCGCGGGAGAACGGATGGGGCTCCACAGGCTTCCTTCCTCCCTTTCAGGCAGGTGAGACACCGCGGGGCCGTGCGGACGGCCAGCACTCGACTTTGCCTAAAAAAGGAAGCAGCAGGCTGAGGCTGAGGAGCTGGCGGCAGGAACAAGGGAGAGCTGTGTCCCCGCCGGCGCCCCCCACCCCCCCTGCCGGGGATCTTGGCAGTGGAGGTGCTGGCTGCGCTCCACAGACCTCAGACCTCGGCTGGGACCAGAAATGCCTGGTGCTTCCGCCTGGGCCCGGTGGGGGGACTTTGGGTCCCCAGAGTGCAAGCTGTACCACTTCGAGGGGCCTCGCCAGGCCCCCCAGCCCCCAGTACACAGGGGCTGCCGTGGAGATGACGCTGAAGGCCGCAGCCGCTGGAGGACCTGGGGTCTGACCGGAAGCTGGCTGCAGACCCTGCGGAGGCACGTCCAGGTAGTCAGGCAGGGAGCTGGGCCGAGGGTCCCCCACCCTGGGGAGGCTCACAGCCAGTGGCCCGCTTGTCCCCCACCCTCGCCCAGCAGGCGGGCCACAGTCACACCTCAGCCAGCCTTGCAGGGCTGACGGGGAAGTTTCCCTCACTTCTGGAAAAAGTGAGCGGGTCTTCTTGGCTGTGACTCAGGCCCTCAAGGAAGCGGCCGCCCTCCTCCCTTCAGCTCGCCATCAGCGGGAGAAGGCACAGGAGGCCTGGCCTCCACCCAGCCTGGGCCGAGCTCAGCCACCTGCCTTGCTCCCGGCTCTGCCTGGAGTCCCTCCAGCTAGGAGACCCTCCCCATCAGCTCTCCCCGTGCCCCTCAGTCTTCAGGACTCATTCTTGTGTCCTGCCCTCCCCCCGCTGTCTCCACCCCGGAGGAGGGACGTGGACAGAGGGTCCCAGAGAGCATGGGGTCAGCCAGAGGTGCAGTGTCAGGGCCCGGGCCGGACTTGAGGCAGACACCGGAGGAAGCACAAATATAACAGCCGGAACCCTCCACTCTCCAGGGAGAAGGGCCCGGGGTAAGAGGCAGAGGCAAGGACGGGTCAGGCCAGATCACAGTGGGTGCTGGCCCCGAGCCCTCTGCCTCCTGCAGGCACAGCCCCTGTCTGATCCTGGTGGCCTGGGGCCCCATGGGGTGGGGAGCAGCCTGGTTTGGCTGCGGCCACCCCGCCCCCACGGTCTGGGCCTGGGCTGTGGGAGTCCCTGTGCCTCACTTCCCGGAGCCAGCCTGCCCTGCCGGTCTGTCTGCAGGCAGGTGGAGAGAGTTCCAGGAAGCTGGGGAGGCTGCTGTCACCCGGGCACCGCCCCTGCCCCCACCCGCCTTTGGGAATGCTCCCTCCTCCGCACAATCCAGGCTTCTGCAGAAGATGAAGGGCCTTTTGTCCCCAGCTGGCTGTGGTCATGTTTGACCCTGGGTAAAAGGGCAACTCCTGAGGCCTCTGACCCCACCCCTGACCCGAGCTGAGGGCAGGACGCCCAGGCCCGCACCCGGCGCCTTTTGTTGCTGTTTTCACGTATCTCACAAACGTACTCAAGCACACACAGGAGCAGATGGACGGGGCGGTGAGGGGCAGCAGTGGTGAGGGGCAGCGGCGGTGAGGGGCAGCGGCGGTGAGGGGCAGCGGTGCGGGCCTGAGGCACTGCTCTGGGGTGTGCCTGAGCCCACCCCACAACAGTAAGTGGGGCAGAGCAGGGGTCACCAAGAGAGCAGGGCCCACGCAGCTCCTAGACTCAACCTGCTCACTGGGGTCAAGGACAGGTCTTGGGGGCCTCGGGGGTCACTTTTCACTTCCCAGGAGCCCAGGCCTGCCCCTCTGGCCCCAGAGCTGACCCCCCTCAGTCCCCCGTGCCAGCAGCAGCTGGGGTGGCGGGTAGACACCTGGCGGGTAGCAGCCTGGGTAGGGGTGGGAGCTGCACCATCTGCGTCTGTCCATCCATCCCTCGTCTGTGTGCTGGGCACAGCCGCGCCCCAGCCTCAGTGCTGGGGACACACAGGCGCCGGGCCAGCACTGCCAGGCTAGGAGGGTGGGCGGTGAACAGCTAGGAAAGATACGGTCTACTTGTTTTCCCTGTGAGAACAGGGGGTCACTGGGGACTCGCACGCAAGGGGTACCCGAGGAAGAGCCTTCCAGGCAGAGAGAAGGAACCGCGAGTGCTGAGAGCAGGGTGGGGTGGGCAGGAGGGGCCTGCGCCAGGACTGCAGGGGCAGAGCAGGCTGGGGGCCTTCGGGAGGGGTGGCCGGGTGGAGGGTGTTGCCGGCCTCGACAGGGGCAGGAGGTTCGTCACAGCGAGGACAGAGCCCGGCCCGGTGGGAGCCGGAGAGCAGCAGGCCTGAATGACCCAGGGTTTCCTAATAGCAGGGCCCCTTCCTTGTGTGGGTCCCCTCACTTTGCCTCTCTGCTGGGACATCCTTCCCTGAAAGGGAGAGGAGGACCACATGCTGCCCCTTCCCCAGACACAGTCCAGACAGGCCCAGGCCACAGCCCTGGGCAGACGCAAAACTCCCAGGGGCCTGGACTGGGATAGGGAGGAGGCAGCAGGGAGGGACTGACCTATGTCCACACACCACAAGGGACTCCCAGAGGCGGGTGGGGCGGAGCTGGGAGCAGGGGCCTTAGCCCTCAGACCAGCCCACTCACCCTGGGGAGTTCCTGCCCCACAGCCTGCCCAGCTTACAGGCCTGGGGGCAGGGGCAGGCCAGCACAGGCCGGAGGGACAGAGGGAGCCACATCTGAGGGGTCCCCCAGCTGCTCACACCGTCTGAGGCTGTGCTTGCCAACAACTCTGCTCCCAGGAAATATTTTGCAAATCAGGAAATGACACCGGGCAAGGTGGGAAGCCCACTGCATCCAGTGGGGTGGGGCCCCTTACTGCCTCCCCTGCTCCGGCATGACGTGTGACAGGGACGCAGATGGGACACACACAGCCACACACACACACTCCGGGCTCCCATTTGGGCAGGGCAGGGGCCTCAGCCACCGGGAAAGAACGCCAAGCAGAGGTCCCCACAGCCACCCTGCAGCTCGGCTGCACCCAAGGAGTTCAGGCCCCTGGGCCAGTGGAGAGCTGTGGTAGAGACTGCAGGAAGAGGGAGGCTGCTCCTGGCCCTCAGGCTGGGGGAAGGGGCTCTGGGGGAAGGGGTGTAGAGGCACCCTCAGGGTGGGGGCGGGCCTGGGGACCCAGGGTCCTGAAGTGGAGGGGTTTCGGTCAGGGACACCATGCTGGGCAAAAGTTGGGAGAGATTCATGGGGTCCAGGTGGGGTCCTGCCCCTGCAGGGGCTAGAAGGGCTGGGCAAAGGCCAACTGTATACCTGGGGCCTTGAGGAGGGGAACCCTGGCTGGGGGCCCCACCTCCCCCTCATTTCATGCCCCCCTCCTGGCTTCCCAGATGGTGGCCGATAAGGGAGCTGCTTAGGATCCATGGAAGGGGCCAGGCAAGAACCCGGGGGAAGAACCCAGGGGCCTCAACGCAGGGCCCGTTCTGTCCTAGGGGGTGGGGCCCCTGCCTTCCAACGTGGGGCCTCTTCTGTCCTGGGGGTGGGGCCCCTGCCTTCCAACGGAGGGCCTCTTCTGTCCTAGGGGGTGAGGGGGTGAGGGGGTGAGGGGGTGGGGCCCCTGCCCCGGCACTCGGGCTCTGGCCTTCCTGAATCGCCCCTTCCTTGCTTCTCTTCCGCCGGCCAGGCCTCTGCTCTCCGGGGCTACGGCCTCCCACAGGCACGTTCCTACATCCCTCTGTGAACCGCCCACAGGCCCCCCCACAGGTGTTCCTCTGTGAGCTGGTCGGGCGGCCGGGGCCGGGGCCGGGCTTCGCTGCTCCGTGCCTTCCACCTCCCTGGCGGTGCGGGGCCTCAGGGTGGGCCTGGGAAGCTGGAAACACCTTTGGAAACAGCCGCCTGAGGCAGCTGTGGACAGAAGACCCTGCCCAGCAGCCAAGGGAGCTGGCCTCTCCGCTCAGCCTCCCCACCCCCACCAGGCCCAGCTGTTGTTTTCACGGCTCCGGGACCAGGCGGATCCTCAGCCAAGAGCTTCCCAGGAGAGCCCTCATCTTCAACCCCTAGTGGCGACCAGAGCCAGCCCGGGCAGGAGGGGAAGGAAGGCGGCCGCGGCCCCGGGGAAGCCATCCTGGCAGCTTGGCCACTGGCCCGGCTCCTGTCTGACCAGGAAAGGCATCAAAGCCGGACTCGGATGGAGGCTGGAAAACCCCGAGACTTCTGCTGGACTCGACCCAGCCACACACCAGGCTGTGCTCAAGGCCACGGAATGAGCCTTGACCCTGGCCCCAGACGGAGCCCAGACCTTGCTGGTCACAGGCTGAGCCCTGCTGGCAATATGATGTACTAGATCCCTTAAAAGGCCTTCCAGCAACAACCAACTTCTGGATGAATTACTATGAGCGTACATTTTTAATAGACTGTTGTGTTTCCAAGAAAGTAAATATCTCCGAGTCTCCCCCAAAATTAAACAGCAAAAATAAATAAGGCCAGGTGGGGTGGCTCATGCCTGTAATCCCAACACTTTAGGAGGCTGAGGCGAGAGGATTGCTTGTGCCTAGGAGTTCGAGACCAGCCTGGGCAACATGATGAGACCCCGTCTCTACAAAAAAATTTAAAATTAGCTGGGTGTGGTGGTGCACTCTAGTCACAGCTACTTGGGAGGCTGAGGCAGGAGGATCACTTGAGCCTGGGAGGGCGAGGCTGCAGAGAGCTAGGAGCTCACCACTGCACTCAGACTGGGCGGCAGAGCAAGACTCTGTCTCTAAGTAAACAAACAGACAGAGTAGTGTGGAGGCCTGGATGATGAAGGGAAGTGGTTGGGAAAGCAGATAACTCCCTGGACACACACAGGGACAGAGAGCCAGCCTGCGGCCAGGGAACAAGTATGTTTCTCTGCCTAGGGGCTGCTTAAACCAGGGGTCTCAAGGGTCACTGAGGGGGCCGAGGGTGGTCTCGCCTGGAAAAGGGGAATAGTCTCTGGAGGGAAGCATCCCCAAGTTGGACCTCAGAATTGTCTCCGATAACAGCTGACAATTAAACAACCAAACGTTCAGAGAAACACCATGCTACTGATGAGAATCGGCAGAAACACCAGTCACAGATTTAGACCCCCAAAGACTAGGACACTGGAATTATTTAGTACAGAATATAAAATAACTATATATGAAATATGTTTAAGAAGTGGAAACTGTAATCTAAAAAGCAAGCATGTATCAAGAGACCATAAAAAAAATCAGACAAATCTAAAACACAATCAGATGTAACTTTTAGATATGCTAACCTTTTTTTTTTTTTGAGATGGAGTTTCACTTTGTCACCCAGGCTGGAGTGCAGTGGCACCCTCTCAGCTCACTCCAACCTCTGCCTCCAGTGTTCAAATGATTCTTGTGCCTCAGCCTCCTGAGTAGCTGGGACTACAGGTGTGCACCACCATGGCCAGCTAATTTTTTTTGTTGTTTTTTTGTTTGTTTTTAAGATGGAGTCTTGCTCTTGTTGTCCAGGCTGGAGTGCAATGGCATGATTTCGGCTCACTGCAATCTCTGCCTCCTGGGTTCAAGCGATCCTCCTGCCTCAGCCTCCCAAGTAGCTGAGGTTATAGGTGCCCACCACCACGCCCAGCTAATTTTTTTTTTTTTTTTTTTTGAGACGGAGCCTCGCTCTTTCGCCCAAGCTAGAGTGCAGTGGCGTGATCTTGGCTCACTGCAAGCTTTGCCTCCCAGGTTCACGCCATTCTCCTGCCTCAGCCTCCCGAGTAGCTGGTACTACAGGTGCCCGCCACCAAGCCCAGCTAATTTCTGTATTTTTTAGTAGAGACGGGGTTTCACCGTGTTAGCCAGGATGATCTGGATCTCCTGAGCTGGTGATCCGCCCTCCTCGGCTTCCCAAAGTGCTGGGATTACAGGCGTGAGCCACCGTGCCTGGCCTGGATATGTTAACATAATAATTTAAGATAAAATGAATGAGTTAATCAGCAGATTAGACGGAAGGGAGTAATTTGATGAGGGGGTAAAAGAAAATGGTGAGGATATGGAGAAGGAATTCGTGGTGAAACTGGACACAATTGTTGAGGGATTTCCAGAGCTGATGAACGTTGTGGACCTGTGGCTTACACCAAACAGGGTGGGTGTGAGCTCGGCACAGCTAGGACGCGCTGGTGAGACCAAGGAACACCAAAGTCAGTGAGGAGATCTTAGTGTCTCCCGGAGAGAGCCGACCGAGGCTGGCGCATGTCTGAATGCGAGCCTGGCCATAGGCTGAGCCCGGCTGCCGCCACCCCTGGGCTTCTGGAACCCTGGGCTTGGCCGAGCGTGGGTGTCTCCCCTGGGAGCCCCAGAGCCCTGGACGATGGAGGCCGGGACCTGGGCAGGCGCGGGAGGCCTTGGGCTGGGGCCTGCGCCCCTCCTCTGAGGGCTGCCTGCCGGGCTCTGCCCTGCCCTGCCCTTCCCTCCCCTCTCTTCCCCTCCCCTCTCCTCTCTTTCCCTCACCTCCCCTCTCTTTGCCTCCCCTCCCCTCCCCTCCCCTCTTCCCCTCCCCTCCCCTCTCTTCCCCTCCCCTCCCCTCTCTTCCCCTCCCCTCCCCTCTCTTCCCCTCCCCTCCCCTCTTCCCCTCCCCTCCCCTCCCCTCTCTCCCCCTCCCCTCCCCTCTCTTCCCCTCCCCTCCCCTCTCTTCCCCTCCCCTGCCCTCCGTGGCGGGGGCGGGGCTGCGGGCGGGGGAGGCCGGGGTCGTAAGCCGGGAGCGCTGCGCGCCCAGCCAGGAAGGGGCAGCGGGGGCGACCCTCAGTTTTCCGGGCCGGGCCACGCGATGGGGTCGCGCGCGAGCTCGGAGGCCTCCCGGGGTTTCGCAGCGGCCGCCGGGTCACACCCAGGCGCAGAGTTGCTCGTCCTCGTCGGGGCGCCCCGGGGGGCGGCGGGGTCCGGGGGTCCCAGCGGGCGGAGGCAGCAGCGGGCGGAGGCGCCGGGCTAGGCGGGCGCGGACGGCCGAGGCGAGCACCAGCAGCGGCGGCAGCGAGAGAAGCCCGAACACGATGAGCGCCGCGGAGCCGCGGTCTGAGAACAGCGCGCGGCACCGGGGACCCGGAGCGGGGTGGACCTGGGGGCCGGGCGGGCCGTCAGTGGGGGGCGGGGCGGGGTAATGGAGGGCTGGGGGCAGGGCAGGGTGATGGAGGGGAGGGGGCTGGGCAGGGTGATGGAGGGGAAGGGGAGGGGTGGAGAGGGGAGCGGGCGGGATGATGGAGGGAAGGGGGAGAAGAGGGGAGCAGGGCAGGGTGATGGAGGGGAAGGGGCAGGGCAGGGTGATGGAGGGGAAGGGGAGGCGCGGAGGAGAGGGTGTGGGTGGGTCAGGGTGATGAAGGGGCGGTGAGGGCCGGACGGTGAGGGATGGATGGGCGGGAGCAGGGTGGAGCGGGGAGGGGAGAGAGAGCGGGGTGGAGGAAAGGATGCAGGGCCACGGCAAAGGGAGACGGAGGGGTGCAGGGCGGGAGAGAGGAGTGGGCGATAGAGATGAAAGAGCGGGGCGGGGCGGTAGAGGGGCCGTGGCGGGCTGAGCAGGGCGGGAAGAGGGAGGGGGGAGATGGAGGGATGAAGGATTAGGGCCTGGGCGAAGGAGAGGCAGGGCGGGGAGAGGGGAGGGGGCGGGCCGCTGTGGGCCAGGCAGTGCTGAGGGGTGAACAGGAGATCCGGGACGCAGCAGGTAAAGGGCTGAGCAGGGTCCCTTGAGGGGAGGCTCAGAAAAAGCGCCCACTGCCGCGTTCTGCCCGCTTCTGCCCTCCTGCGCCCTCTCATCACCAGCTGGCGCCAGCCCCCGTGCCAGCAGAAAGGGGCCCGGGGCCCAGAGCAGGCCACAGCCCACTCTGCAGGTGGGGAAGCCCCACGCTGGCAGGAGGGCCTGGGAGGGGCCTTGTGTGTTTGGGGAGGGGCTGGGGGCTGTGGGTTAGTGAAACTTCAACGACATTTTCATCTTCTTTTCCTGGAACCCCGTTCTCTCCCCACCCCCACCCAGCTGTCCAGGCCCTGGTGGCCCCTGGTACAAGGCTGGGAGGCCTCAGGGAAGGGACAGAGCTGTCCCTTGGGTGAAAAACAAAAGCTCTTCTTTGGCTGTGGCTGGTGGGGGTGCTTGGGAGAAGGGGCTGCCAGGGAGGGGCACACGTGTCTCTGAGGACAAGGGGCAATTCTGGAAGGGGGCACAGTGCCTTCAGACCCAGGGCACGCCCACTCCCCAGGACCCCAGCTAGTCCCCCGCCCACGGGGCACAGGCTCACCCTCGAGTGGCACAGGAATCCCAGGTAGACGACGGCGGCCGCGGGCAGGAGCACCAGCAGGAAGGCTGCGGCGGGCAGCAGGAGGTGCAGCAGGAGCCCGGCCAGCAGCCGGCCGGGCAGCAGCGGGGGCCCCGACCACCCTGGGCACGTCAGGGCTGAGGCCTGGTGGTCGGGAGGTCCCCGGGGCAGCATGGGCGCTGTGTCGGAAGCACCACCTCCCCCCTCCTCCTCCTCCGTCTCCCTCCCCTGCTCACTCATGCTCCTGCCACTGCAGGCCTGTGGCCCGGGCGGTGCTCAATGCAGAGTGGTGCTCTCCAGGGCTGCCCTGGAAGACCTTTAACCCCGCCCCACGTTGCAGCCAGTCCACATCCCCCAGCCAGACCGTGGACCCTGGCTAGGGAGGTCCTGCCCTGATGTCTGTCCCAGAGCCACACCCCCACCTCAGTTTCCCCTCTGCCAGGCAGCTGCAGCTCCAGCAGCGCCAGTCTCCAGCCCCAGCCAGCTCCTGGTGCTCTGGGCAGGCCTTGCAGGGCCCTTCCCACCGGGGCCGCCTCCCTCCCTGTGCCGGGCGGGGCTGCAGCTCCCCCACACAAAGACCTCATTTCAAAGGGCTTGACTCCGGTAGCTGCCCCATCAGTAGCTGCCACCTGGAGGCCAGCCCCCCACCCCCTGTCCCAGCCCCAGCCCCGCTGCTCCCTCATCTGAACACCTTGTCGGTGTCCTCCGCCTGCGTCTCAGAGTGGATGAGAGGGGACCTGGGATGCGCGTGAGCCGCAGGGTGTGGGGCCCGTACACGGCAGGCACTCAGCAGGCTGCCAGGGACCACAGGCACCCTCGCGTCTGAACCCAGCCATCCCGAGCAGAGGAAAGGCAGATTTTCCAGGACAAGAACCTGTGTTCCATCATTTTTTTTTTTTTTTTGGAGACAGTCTCACTCTGTCACCAGGGCTGGAGTGCAGTGGCACGATCTCGGCTCACTGCAACCTCTGCATACCTGGTTCAAGTGATTGTCCTGCCTCAACTTCCCTAGTAGCTAGGACTACAGGCGCTCACCACCGCGACCAGCAAATTTTTGTATTTTTTTTTAAGTAGAGACGGGGTTTCACTGTGTTAGCCAGGATGGTCTCGATCTCTTGACCTTGTGATCCGCCCACCTTGGCCTCCCAAAGTGCTGGGATTGCAGGCGTGAGCCACGGCGCCCAGCCCATCATTTCTAGTCAGGGGCAAAACTTTTCCCATCCAAAACCCCAAGCATTTTCTCTGAACGTTACTCCCGACTCTGACTTTTTTTTGAGACAGGGTCTCACTCTGTCACGCAGGCCGCAGTACAGTGGTTCAATCACGGCTACGGCAGCCTTGACCTCCTGGACTCGATCAGTCCTCCCACTTCAGCCTCCTAAATAGCTGGGACTACAGGCACCTAACCACCGCGCCCGGCTAGTTTTGGTATTTTTTGTAGAGATGGGATCTTGTCACGTTGCCCACACTGGTCTGGAACTCCTGGTGTCAAGTGATCTGCCTGCCTGGGCCTCCCACAGTGCTGGGATGACAGGCATCAGCCCCCGCGCCCAGCACAGTCCCTGACGTCTGTCCGTCTCCCAGGGCTTTATTGCACGTCAGCAGTTCCAGCTCCATTTTCTTTTCTTTCTTTTTTTTTTGTCGAGGAGGAATTTTTTGCTCTTGTTTCCCAGGCTGGAGTGCAATGGCACGATCTCGGCTCACTGCAACCTCCATTTTCCAGGTTCAGGCAATCCTCCTGCCTCAGCCTCCCGAGTAGCTGGGATTACAGGCGCACACTACCACGCCCGGCTAATTTTTGTATTTTTAGTAGAGGTGGGGTTTCACCGTGTTAGCCAGGATGGTCTCAAACTCCTAACCTCAGGTGATCTGCCCGCCTCGGCCTCCCAAAGTGCTGGGATTACAGACGTGAGCCACTATGCCCAGCCTCCAGCTCCGTGTTCATAATTAATTGACAGGAGTAGGTGTCTGTGAGCTGAGCCGTTCCCTGTGAGGCCTTCTAGTGGGCTCCATCCCTTCCAACACCTTCCAGGCCTCTCCAGCTCACCTACTTCCTTCAGACTTGTGAACAAGAAGGAGAGTGGTACCATGTGGCGTGTGACATCTAGCAGGGCAGCAGAGGCCTCCCTGCAGTGTCCCTACAGCGCTGGGCACGGTGGCTCACACCTGTAATCCCAGCATTTTGGGAGGCTGAGGCGGGTGGATCACTTGAGGTCAGGAGCTTGAGACCAGCCTGGCCAATTTGGTGAAACCCCGTCTCTGCTACAAATACAAAAATCAGGCCGGGCACGGTGTCTCATGCCTGTAATCCCGCACTTTGGGAGGCTGAGGCGGGTGTATCACCTGATGTCAGGAGTTCGAGACCAGCCTGACCAGTATGGTGAAACCTCCTGTCTTAAAAAAAAAAAAAATACAAAACTTAGCTGGGCCTGTTGACACGTGCCTGTAGTACCTGCTACTCGGGAAGCTGAGACAGGAGAATTGTTTGAACCCGGGAGGAGGAGGTTGCAGTGAGCCGAGATCAAACCATTGCACTCCAGCCTGGGCAACAGAGCGAGAATCCATCTCAAAAAAAAAAAAAAAAAAAAAAAAGTTAGCCAGGCATGGTGGTGGGCGCCTGTAATCCCAGCATTTTGGGAACCTGTGGAAGGCGGATCACTTGAGGTCAGGAGACCAGCCTGGCCAACATGGTGAAACCCTGTCTTTACTAAAAATACAAAAATTAGCCGGTCATGGCGGTGGGTGCCTATAATCCCAGCTACTTGGGAGGCTGAGGCAGGAGAATCACTTGAAACTGGCAGATGGTGGTTCCAAGTGAGCTGAGATCACACCACTGCACTCCAGCCTGAGTGACAGAGTGAGACTCCGTCTCAAAAATACAAATAAAAAGTTTTAAAAAGTTGCAAAACCTCTGCTTTCTAAGTGCCCCCCAACCAGGTCTCTCGCTTATTCATTCAACAAACACTGCTGAACTGCTACTAAGTCCCAGGGACTGTCATCGGAAAAGGAGGTCCCGATCCAGACCCCGAGAGAGGGTTCTTGGACCCCACACAAGGAAGAATTCGGGGGAGTCCACGGAGTAAACTGAAAGCAAGTTTAATAGGAAAGTAAAGGAATAAGAGAAGGGCTGCCCCATAGGCTGAGCAGCGGCCTGGGCTACTCCGACGAGAACACTTATTGTTGTTTCTTGATATGTACTAAACATGGTGTGGATTATTCCGGACTTTTCCGGGAAAGGGGCAGGCAATTCCCGGAAGTGAGGGTTCTTCCCCCTTTTAGACCATCTAGGGTAACTTCCCGGCATTGCCATGGCAACTGTAAATGGTCCTGGTGCTGGTGGGCGTGTCTCATGCTAATGTATTATAATCAGCACATAATGAGCAGTGAGGACTGGCTGTCTTGGTTTTGGTGGTTTGGGGCCGGCTTCTTCACGGCATCCTGTTTTATCAGCGGGGTCTTTGTGATCTGTATCTTGTGCTGATCTCATCCTGTGACTAAGAATGCCTGACCTCCAGGGAATGCGGCCCAGCCGGTCTCGGCCTCATTTTACCCAGCCCCTGTTCAAGATGGAGTCGCTCTGGTTCGAACGTCTCTGCAGAATCACTCCAGGTTCTTTGGATTCATGGCAAAGGGGCTGCGGCCTCTGCCCCTCCGTGCCCCACTGTGTGTGGGTCCTACAAGCATTGCAGAGGCAGCTGTGGCTGCCCCCACTGCGGTGGAACCCGGGAGACGGGAGTCTTGGGAGGGGCCTCCTCGAGGTCCATTCTAGCCGCTGTACCCCTGGGAAGCTGGCGTGAGGTAGTTTCTGTGGCCTCCCTGGCCCTGATGAGTACGGGACTTTCCACCCAGCCCCCAGAGCTCCTCGCTTCTTTCCCGGTCAGCCTTACGGAGCTTTCCTTCTAGAAGAGGAAGGCAGACATTTAAATAAACACATAGATACTTTCCTGTAGTGATAAATGCTAAGAACAAACTAAAACAGGGTTAGAGTCGCACGTTGCCTCAGATCCACCTGTGGTCAGGATCTGGGAAGGTGACGGATGAGTAGCCTGATGAGGTTTGTAGGGCAGGGTCTGTGTGGCTTGGGGGGTGGTGGGATGGGGCCCCTGGTCCCTTGGGCCCTTGGAGAGGCAGTCCTCTAGGGAGTGGGGGAGGCCAGACCAGGGCCCTCAGGAGACCCTGTCCTTGGGGACCTGGGAGGCTGAAGGGGGCTGGGGTGGGAATGGGTAGCCCTCATTACCTTTCCCGTGCAGCCGCTGGAGGGGCCAGGCTGCTGCAGCCACCCCAAAGAGCCATGCTCCCTTCTCCTGCCTGGCCCCAGGTACTGGGAGACAGGAAGATGCCCTCAGCACCAGCCCCACCCATCCTGCCCCAGGCCCCCAGGATCCCGCTGCCCCAGGCCTTGCTGGGGCAGAGCTGCTTTTCCAGATGCAGACGCACCCTAGCAGGGATTCTCCCCACTCTCCCGCCTGCCCCCCGACCCCCGCCCCCACCTGCCCAGGCATCTGTCCCTTCCCTGGCTCCAGACTTGCCCCAGCCAGTCCCCAAAGGGTTTTCGTCCCTCCCATGCCAGCGCCACCCTCTTTTCCAGGCCACCTGCCTGGAGTCCTTGGTGAATCTTTTGTCCTGTCCAGCATTTACAGAAAGGAAGGCCAGAACCTCACCCTGCCCTCCTCCCCAGCCTGGAATCGGGAGGAGGGGCCGGCACCCACCCCTGGGTGGGCTTAGCCAGCTGGGACAGGAGTGGGTGAGGGGGCTGCCCGAGGGTGGGCCCCATGGAGAGCCCTGTGAGGCCTTCCAGGGGCACATCGGGGTACATCCAAGGCTGCGCTTCCTGGGGGAGGTGGCGTCTGAGCAACTTTCGTCCACAAGCATGTTCCTGCTTGTCCTCCCCAACCGCCTGGCCTTTGTTCCCCAGGAGGGCAGCCGAACTGGGGCCCTGGCAGCCAGCAGGGGAGGGAGTATGTTGGACAGGGGGCTGTGCCCGAAGGCAGGGCCTTCCTAAGTGGCTGAGTAAACAGCGTCAGGTGGCCTCAGCCTGGCCCAGGGGACCAGCTGTGTTCTCCCACCCCCTGCAAGGCTGAAGCTGCCACCATTCAGCTTTTCAGCAGCAGACACTCCACCCCAAAGCCTGCAGAAGGGATTTTGTGAAGAGGGTCACCAGGCTGAGCCTCGGCCAGAACCCGTCTACAGAGGACCCTCAGCCAGAGCAGAAAGCTCCTGAGCCAGCTCCCTTGGGTAACAGAGCCAAGCCCCTCTGAAGGCTAAGTGGTAACTGGAATGGGGGGCTCCAGTTGGCCTGGGACACGGCTGGGGGCAGGCCAGAGGCCTCCACAGTGGATGTAGGATCCCTGCTCCCCCCCAGATGGACTCCCAGAGGCCTGAGCCCAGAGAGGAGGAGGAGGAGGAACAGGAACTGCGGTGGATGGAGCTGGACTCCGAAGAGGCCCTGGGAACCAGGACAGAGGGGCCTAGTGTTGTCCAGGGCTGGGGGCACCTGCTCCAGGCCGTGTGGAGGGGCCCTGCAGGCCTGGTGACGCAGCTGCTGCGGCAAGGTGCCAGCGTGGAGGAGAGGTGCACCTGCGCTGGGGGGTGAAGGGGTCCCTTCTCTGGGTGGGGCAGGATGGGGGTCCCAGCACTGGGTGGGTGGAGGAGTCCCTTCTCTGGATGGGGTAGGACGGGGGTCCCAGCGCTGGGTGGGCGGCAGGACGGGGTGGGGCAGGGCGGGGTTCTGGTCAGTGGTCCACCCCCGCGCCGACGCCCTTGCCCCCTCCTCAGGGACCACGCAGGCCGGACCCCGCTCCACCTGGCCGTGCTGCGGGGCCACGCGCCCCTGGTGCGTCTCCTGCTGCAGCGAGGGGCCCCGGTGGGCGCGGTGGACCGGGCGGGGCGCACCGCGCTGCACGAGGCCGCCTGGCACGGACACTCGCGGGTGGCCGAGCTGCTGCTGCAGCGCGGGGCCTCGGCGGCGGCTCGCTCCGGGACGGGCCTCACGCCGCTGCACTGGGCCGCTGCCCTGGGCCACACGCTGCTGGCCGCGCGCCTGCTGGAGGCTCCGGGCCCGGGACCCGCGGCAGCGGAGGCGGAGGACGCGCGCGGCTGGACGGCGGCGCACTGGGCGGCCGCGGGCGGGCGGCTGGCGGTGCTGGAGCTGCTGGCGGCCGGCGGCGCGGGCCTGGACGGCGCCCTGCTCGTGGCTGCCGCTGCGGGGCGCGGGGCGGCGCTGCGCTTCCTCCTGGCGCGCGGGGCGCGGGTGGACGCCCGGGATGGCGCGGGGGCCACAGCGCTGGGTCTGGCGGCCGCCCTAGGCCGCTCCCAGGTACGTCCCGCCCTCCGCCCGGCAGTGATGGGAGGGGGCGCAGGGCCAGGATCCCCAGAGACGTGCCACCGGGGCAGCTGGAGCCAGGCTGGGGGACGGTGTCCAGGCACGAAGGCCCTGAGCGCGCCCCCGGCTGTGCCCCTCCGGTGTAGCCCCGTCCCGTGGAGACCAGGGCGGGATCCGAGGCCCGGGGCTCGGCTTCATGCTGGTGGCAGCAACAGACTCTCCGCCAGCGCCGGGCCTGTGCCTGAGACCCCCGTTCCTGGGCAGCGGGCAGGGTGTTGGCTGCAGATCCTTGGATTTGCTCTAAGGACTCTTAGGGGGAAAAGTGGACGTTTCCAAGCAGGCCAGCCTTGGGTTCGGCCTCACAACATGAGGAAGTGGTGTCAGGAGAGACAGGCCGCTGCGGGGACAGAAGAGGCCTGGGCTGGGCAAACGCCTGGTGGCTCTGCCCCTCGCCTACCGGGCTGAGGCCGGCCCCTGCTTTTCTCTCCTCTTCTAGGACATTGAGGTGCTGCTGGGCCACGGGGCAGACCCAGGCATCAGGGACAGGCATGGCCGCTCTGCGCTGCACAGGGCTGCCGCCCGAGGACACCTGCTTGCCGTCCAGTTGCTGGTCACCCAGGGGGCCGAGGTGGATGCGCGGGACACCCTGGGCCTCACACCCCTGCATCACGCCTCTCGGGAAGGCCACGTGGAGGTTGCCGGCTGCCTGCTGGACAGGGGTGCCCAGGTGGATGCTACCGGCTGGCTCCGAAAGACCCCCCTACACCTGGCTGCAGAGCGAGGGCATGGGCCTACCGTGGGGCTTCTGCTGAGCCGAGGGGCCAGCCCCACTCTGCGGACGCAGTGGGCCGAGGTGGCCCAGATGCCTGAGGGGGACCTGCCCCAGGCGCTGCCTGAACTTGGAGGGGGGGAGAAGGAGTGTGAGGGCATAGAGTCCACGGGCTGAGCCAGACAGCAGGCTCCAGGCTCCACCGCCCCAGTGATTTCCAGGCTCTCTGGCTGAGGCTGCCTGCCTGGAGGGGACATCAGGGAAGAGGCTTCCGGAGGAGGGGATGGGAGAAAGTAGGGGATGTGGCTTGAGCTGCAGTCACAGGCCTTGGCTGGACCAGGGATGGCCCCCAGCTCCCAGGAGGGCCCACTGACCCTGCAGCTCCAGCCTTCTCCATACTTCAACAAAGAATGAGTTGTGGCAATGAGGGAAGAGAGACCCTCTCATAGTGTTTTATACTCAGTACCTGTTTTAAGAAAAAACAACAAGGAAGTAAAACCAAAGACAGGCAGGCAGCCTGGCGCTAGGCCCGAAACCAGGCCTGCGCCTGCCTGGCCTAAACCCAGTAGTTGAAAATCAATTCATAACTTAGAAACCGATGTTATTCATAGATTCCAGACATTGTATAGAAGAACATTTGTGAAACTCCCTGCCGTGTTCTGTTTCTCTCTGACCGCCGGTGCATGCAGCCCCTGTCACGTACCGCCTGCTTGCTCAAATCAATGACGACCCTTTCATGTGAAATCTTCGGTGTTGTGAGCCCTTAAAAGGGACAGAAATTGTGCACTTGGGGAGCTCGGATTTTAAGGCAGTAGCTTGCCGATGCTCCCAGCTGAATAAAGCCCTTCCTTCTACAACTGGGTGTCTGAGAGGTTTTGTCTGCGGCTCGTCCTGCTACATTTCTTGGTTCCCTGACTGGGAAACGAGGTAACTGACAGACGACCGAGGCAGCCCCTTAGGCGGCTTAGGCCTGCCCCGTGGAGCATCCCTGCGGGGGACTCCGGCCAGCCTGAGTGACGTGAGCTAAAGAGCGCTCCCGGGTAGGAAATTGCCTCGGTGGAACACCTCGCCAGAGCAGCCCATAACGGGCCCCCATGGTGGATTAACACAGTGGCTGAACACCGGGAAGGAACTGGCACTTGGAGTCCGGACATCTGAAACCTGGTAAGACTAGTCTTTGGAACTTGCCCCACTCCACCTGAGTAGACGCGTGGCCTGATCGCCCACGGCGTGCCTGCATTAGCACCTTTGTTCTGGTTTTGACTTGACTGAGATCATGTGATACTTTGGTTTTGGTTTTGACCTGGCTTGGATTTCTGGATACTCTGATTTTGGTTTTGATTTTGGTTTGGTGTAAACTGCAAAAGTGTGTGTGTGCCCTTTTTACCTGTTTTTTGTTTTGTGGTGTGAGCGTGGTGTTTTGTCTTGAAGAAGCGTGGGTCAGGCACAGATAAGCCCACCCCACTAGGAACTATGTTAAAAAAAATTTTTCAAGAAAGAATTTAAGGGAGATTACGGTGTTACTCTGACACCAGGAAAACTTACAACTTTGTGTGAAATAGACTTGTCAGCATTAGAGGTGGGTTGGCCATCAGAAGGAAGCCTGGACAGGTCCCTTGTTTCAAAGGTATGACACAAGGTAACGTGTAAGCCAAGGCACCCAGGCCAGTTTCCGTACATGGACAGTTAGAGCAGGTTTTAGACCCCCTCCCCCCTACGGTAGTTAAGAGAACAGCAGCATAAGCGGCTGGCAGAGGCAAGGAAAGACCAGCAGAGAGAAAAAGAGGCCATCTATACCAATTCTAAGTTAATTTAGACTAAACAAGGTCTTATTAATAGCAAAGGATAATTGAAATCCCAAACTTCCAAGGTTTTCAACAAAAGCGAAGTTTGCTAAAAGTTAACAGTGTAACATGTTAATGGTAACTTTTAATCTTGTGGCCTCAGACAGTCTAGTCCAAAGACATAAAAAAAGTTCGCTTTAAAAAAGAAAAAAAAAGGGGAGGCTGAATTTATGTGAAAAGCATGTTATACGGTAAATTCTTGTCCTGAAATATATTAACTGGTTGTTTAAAAGTTTGTAATAAGGCAGAAAGTTGAGATATGTTGAAGAATTGTCGGCGAAAGTTGTAAAACAAAATGTTATAAAAAATTTATGCAAAAAATGTTGTATAATTTAAAAGTAATAAGGCCTCCTGAGTACTATTTTTTTTTTTTTTTTTTTTGAGACGGAGTCTCACTCTGTTGCCCAGGCTGGAGTGCAGTGGCGTGATCTCGGCTCACTGCAAGCTCCGCCTCCCGGGTTCACGCCATTCTCCTGCCTCAGCCTCCCGAGTAGCTGGGACTACAGGCGCCCGCCACCACGCCTGGCTAATTTTTTGTATTTTTAGTAGAGACGGGGTTTCACCGTGTTAGCCAAGATGGTCTCGATCTCCTGACCGCGTGATCCGCCCGCCTCGGCCCCCCAAAGTGCTGGGATTACAGGCGTGAGCCACCGCGCCTGGCCCCTGAGTACTATTAAAAAAAAAAGTTTATGTGCAAGGTGTACAAGAAAAGTAAAATATACCTTTGGTAAAAAAAATTATAAAGGGGCATAAAAATATGGATTTTTACCTACATTAAAAGGTTAAAAAAATTATTGTTTTTAAGAGTTTAAGCAAGTTTTAAAATGTAAATTGTAAAGAAAATTCTGTGTGTAAACATGTTAACTAAAGTTAAAAAGGTATCGTCCAGTTTTTCTGTGAACTGGACATTAAAGTAAAAATGCAACAGGTTTTTCTTAAAGCATCAACCTGCTCTTTAACAAAAGTTATAAAAGGTTAAAAAGAGTCTATAAAATCTTACCTTATGGTCAAACATGAAAAATTGGATAAATATGTCTACAAGGTTTTATTAAAATTAAGTTTAACATTAATAACACACTAATATAAAGGTAAAATTTAGCTTATCTGGTATAAAAATCATACAAGAAGCATTATTAAATATAAAATGGTGTTTAGCTTTCTTTGGTCTAAAAACTAATAAAAATAGGTGCTAAAGGAAACATTCATTTTACTAGAGGATCATGGAAGTTTAAGACTTAAAACAAACTTTGGCAATTAAGACAGCATACCAAGATGCAAAATGCCTGGTTGAAATGGATCAGATATTCCATCTGATGTTAAACAAAAGCAATTGTGATGCTCGTGCACATGGCAGGCCAAAGGCTCTGATTGTCCCCCTTCCACTAAGGTGGTCCTTCAGTCGACCAGGCGTGGGCTGCACGGTAGCTCTTTTCCAGGATTCTACAGCCTGGAGCAGCAAGTCATGCCAAGCTCTCCCCGCTACATTCTGCAGTCCCTGCGGGTCAGCCCCCGAGGGCCATCCAGCTTCCGTCTCCCAAAACTAAGTTCCCTTCGTGTCTCTCACGGCAGGGAGGAGACTTAGCAGTCCTTGGAGACTGGAAGGGATGCAGTGAGCTTAAGAATTTTCGAGAGCTTATCAATCAGTCAGCCCTTGTTCATCCCTGAGCGGATGTGAGCGGATGTGTGGTGGTATTGTGGTGGACCTGTACTGGGCACTCTGCCGAATAACTAGAGTGGCACTTGTGCTTTAGTCCGTTTGGCTATCCCTTTCACCCTGGCATTTCATCAACCAGAGGAGAAAAAAAAAAAAAGACATCGTAAAGCGAGAGAAGCCCCTTATGGGTCTTTCAACTCTCACATCTATTTAGACGCAATTGGAGCCCCACAAGGGACACCAGATCAATTTAAAGCTTGAAATCAAATAGTTACAGGATTTAAGTCAATATTTTGGTAGATGACAGTCAATAAAAATGTAGATTAGATAAACTACATCCATTCCAACCAACAGCAACGAGCTTTTCATGAGTCAAAAAGAAAAACTCATGTCAGCCCCAGCCCCGAGGCTACCTGACCTGACAAAACTCTTTACACTCTATGTGTCAGAAAGAGAAAAAATAGCAGTTGGAGTTTTAACCCAGACCGTAGAGCCCTGGCCAAGGCCAGTGGCCTATCTCTCAAAACAACTAGACGGGGTTTCCAAAGGCTGCCCCCCTGTCCAAGGGCCCTGGCAGCAACGGCCCTGTTAGCACAAGAAGCAGATAAGCTAACTCTTAGGCAAAACCTAAAGTCCCCCCATGCTGTGGTGACTTTAATAAATACCAAAGGACATCATTAGCTAATGAATTCTAGACTAACTAGATACCAAAGCTTGCTCTGTGAAAATCCCCACATAACCACTGAAGTTTGCAAAACCCTAAACCCTGCCACCTTGCTCCCAGTATCAGAGAGCTCAGTGAAACTTAACTGTGTAGAAGTGTTGGACTCAGTTTATTCTAGGGGGCCCAACCACCGAGACCATCTTTAAACATCAGTAGACTCGAGCTGTACGTGGACGGGAGCAGCTTCGCCAACCCCTGCAAAGTGACTCTGAAGAAGACGACAAGCCCTGCTCCAGTCACACCCGGAAGCTGACTGGTCCACGTACAGCCGAAGCATGAGGAAACTCATCGCGGGACTCATTTTCCTTAAAATTTGGACTTGTACAGTAAGGACTTCAACTGACCTTCCTCAGACTGAGAACTGTTTCCAGTATATACATCAAGTCACTGAGGTAAGACAAAAGATTGCTACAGTCCTATTATTTTATGGTTATTGTAAGTGTACCAGGATTCTAAAAGAAACTTGTTTGTATGATGCTATTCTATCCAAGGTATGCAGCCCAGGAAATAACCAAACTGATGCGTGTTATGACCCATTTTAAGCCTCCCATGATCACAGGACTGGTCCTTTTCTAGGTGACACAAGTAAGTTAATAGCTAGAACAGAAGAAAGAGGGGTCCCCAAAAATGTAACCTTAAAATTTGAGGCTGGTGCCGCTATTAATAGTTAGCAGCATGGAATAGGATGCAGTTCTCTAAATTGGAAAAAAAGTTACACAGTAAAAAAAAAATAAGTATATCTGTCAAGAATCACATTTATGTGAGATGTGTCAATACTGGTCTTGTGTCATTTGGGCTACTTGGAAAGAAGATAAAAAAGATCCTGTTTGGCTCCAAAAAGGAAAAGTCAGCCCCTCCTGCACGAGTGGGAGCTACAACCTTTTAGAATTGATAATCACAAACCCTTCAGACCCAAAGTGGAATAAAAAAAAGTGTTAACATTAGGCATTGACAGAAAAGGCTTAGATCCTAGCGTAAGCATCCTAATAGAAGGAGAGGTTCAATAACGCTCTCCACAACCATATTGCAGACTTTCTATGATGAACTAAATGTGTCAGTACCTGAGATTCCAGCAAAAACTAAAACTTTGTTTTTGCAATTAGCCGAACATGGAGCCCAGTCTCTACAAGTCACCTCTAGCTGTGTTTGCGGAGGAACCGTAACAGGAGATCAGCGGCCATGGGAAGCCCGAGAATTAGTTCCTACAGACCCAGTTCCTGATGAATTCCCAGCCCAAAAGAACCACCCTGACAATTTTTGAGTTCTAAAAGTCTCAATTATTGGACAGTATTGCATAGCTTGAGAAGGAAAAGGATTCACTCATCCTGTAGGGCGGCTTGGTTGTCTTGGGCAAAAGCTGTATAACGGTACCACAAAAACAGTTACATGGTGGAGTTCCAATTACACAGAAAGAAATCCATTCAGTAAATTTCCAAAGTTGCAGACTGTTTGGGCCTACCCAGAACTCCACCGGGACTGGACGGCCCCCACCGGGTTATACTGGATATGTGGACCCAGAGCTTATGCTAAGCTGCCTGATCAATGGACAGGTAGCTGTGTAATTGGCACCATGAAGCCATCTTTCTTCTTACTGCCCATAAAAACAGGTGAACGTCTGGGCTTCCCAGTCTATGCTTCCCGCGAAAAACGAAGCATAGCCATAAGTGATTGGAAAGATGATGAATGGCCCCCTGAAAAAATCATACAATACTACGGACCCGCCACTTGGGCAGAAGATGGCTCATGGGGATATCGAACCCCCATCTACGTGCTCAACCGAATCATACGGTTACAAGCTGTTTTAGAAATTATTACTATAAACCTGGTCAAGCCTTGACTGTTCTTGCCCGGCAAGAGACTTTGATGAGAAATGCTAGCTCTCAAAATAGACCAGCTCTTGACTACTTGCTAGCAGCTGAAGGAGGAGTTTGTGAAAAATTTAGCCTTACTAATCGTTGTCTACACATAGATGATCAGGGGCAAGTAGCTGAGAATATAGTTAAAGATATAACAAAACTGGCACACGTACCCGTGCACGTGTGGCATGGACTCAATCCAGGAGCCATGTTTAGAAATTAGTTCCCAGCAATAGGAGGATTTAAAACTCTTATAACAAGAGTAACAATAGTAATAGGAACCTGCTTACTGCTCCCTTGTCTGATACCTGTATTTCTCCAAATGATAAAAAACTTCATCACTACCTTAGTTCACCAAAATGCTTCAGCACAAGCATACTATATAAATCACTATCAATCTATTGCACAAAAAGACATAAGTAGCAAAAATGAGTGAGAACTCCCACTAATAAAAAGTGAGAGTCTCAAAGGGGGGAATGAGGGAAGAGAGAGACCGTCTCATATTGTTTTATACTCAGTACCTATTTTAAGAAAAAACAACAAGGAGGTAAAACCAAGGACAGGCAGCCCGGCGCTAGGCCCGAAACCAGGCCTGCGCCTGCCTGGCCTAAACTCAGTAGTGAAAAATCAACTCATAACTTAGAAACAGATGTTATTCATAGATTCCAGACATTGTATAGAAGAACATTTGTGAAACTCCCTGCCGTGTTGTTTCTCTCTGACTGCCAGTGCATGCAGCCTGTCACGTACCGCCTGCTTGCTCAAATCAATCACGACCCTTTCATGTGAAATGTTTAGTGTTGTGAGCCCTTAAAAGGGACAGAAATCGTGCACTCGGGGAGCTCAGATTTTAAGGCAGTAGTTTGCTGATGCTCCCAGCTGAATAAAGCCCTTCCTTCTACAACTCGGTGTCTTGAGAGATTTTGTCTGCGGCTCATCCTGCTACAGCAACTGATGTGACTTAAACCTGATGATGGATGGAGGCACAGACCTGGGACAGACGGACCTGGGACCTGGACGGACCTGGGACAGACGGACCTGGGACCTGGACAGACCTGGGACCTCGACGGACCTGGGACCTGGGACCTAGACGGACCTGGGACCTGGGACCTAGACGGACCTGGGACCTAGACGGACCTGGGACCTGGGACCTAGATGGACCTGGGACCTAGATGGACCTGGGACCTAGATGGACCTGGGACCTGGGACCTAGATGGACCTGGGACCTAGATGGACCTGGGACCTGGGACCTAGACAGACCTGGGACCTCGACGGACCTGGGACCGGGACCTAGACGGACCTGGGACAGATGGACCTGGGAACCTGGACGGACCTGGGACCTGGGACCTGGACGGCACCTCTGTCTTCCCTTCCTTCCCTCTGTGTGCACACCGCCGGGGCGCTCTTTTCAGTTGCTCTCTGTAGGCCGCGGTGTTCCAACTGTGTTTTCTTAGATTTGTATATGTCACTTTGACAACCATGAATTACATGGCCAAACTTATGGCCACGGCTGTTCTCCTCCCCACTTCCATCCAGAGCCGGTACCCTGACCCACCTCCTCATCTAACACCTGCACAAGCTGATACATCCCCTGCCCTGAGTCGCCCAGGGCCAGGAACAGGTGACCAGGACAGCCCCCATGCACCAAGGCCAGATGGCATTTTTCTTTTCTTATCCTTTTTTTTTGAGGCAGAGTCTCACTCTGTCCCCCAGGCTGGAGTGCAGTGGCGCCATCTCGGCTCACTGCAAGCTCCACCTCCTGGGTTCACATCATTCTCCTGCCTCAGCCTCCGAAGTAGCTGGGACTACAGGCGCCCGCCACCCCGCCCAGCTAATTTTTTGTATTTTTAGTAGAGACAGGGTTTCACCGTGTTATCCAAGATGGTCTCAATCTCCTGATTTCATAATCTGCCCACCTTGGCCTCCCAAAGTGCTGGGATTACAGGCATGAGCCACTGAGCCCGGCCTTTCTTTTCTTTTTTAAATGGAGTTTCGCTCTCATTGCCCAGGCTGGAGTGCAATGGCGCAATCTCGGATCACTGGCAACCTCTGCCTCCTGGGTTCAAGCAATTCTCCTGCCTCAGCCTTCGGAGTAGCTGGGATTACAGGCGCCTGCCACCACACCTAGTTAATTTTTTGTTTTTTAGTAGAGATGGGGTTTCACCATGTTGGCCAGGGTGGTCTTGAACTCCTAACCTCAGGTGATCCGCCTGCCTTGGCCTCCCAAAGTGCTGGGATTACAGGCGTGAGCCACTGCGCCCGGCCAAGATGGCATTTTTCAAGCTGGCCCATTCTGAGCTGCTCACCCCGCCCTCCCTGCCTTTCCCACAGAATCCCCAGCCAAGGCTCTGGCCTTAGCTTTCTCCCCTCTCTCTGCCTCCTGACAAAACACCGGGGCTTCTCATGTCGCCCTGCATAGTGTGAGTGTAGGGGTGGGTTGCCCCTCCACACCTGTGGGTGTTTCTCGTAAGGTGGAACGAGAGACTTAGGAAAGAAAAAGACACAGAGACAAAGTATAGAGAAAGAAATAAGGGGACCCGGGGAACCAGCGTTCAGCACATGGAGGATCCCGCCAGCCTCTGCGTTCCCTTAGTATTTATTGATCATTTGTGGGTGTTTCTCAAAGAGGGGGATGTGTCACGGTCACAAGACAATTGTGGGGAGAGGGTCAGCAGACAAACACGTGAACAAAGGTCTTTGCATCATAGACAATGTAAAGGATTAAGTGCTGTGCTTTAGATATGCATACACATAAACATCTCAATGCTTTACAAAGCAGTATTGCTGCCCGCGGGTCCCACCTCCAGCCCTAAGGCGGTTTTTCCCCATCTCAGTAGATGGAACATACAATCGGGTTTTATACTGAGACATTCCATTGCCCAGGGACAGGCAGGAGACAGATGCCTTCCTCTTGTCTCAACTGCAAGAGGCATTCCTTCCTCTTATACTAATCCTCCTCAGCACAGACCCTTTACGGGTGTCGGGCTGGGGGACGGTCAGGTCTTTCCCTTCCCACGAGGCCATATTTCAGACTATCACATGGGGAGAAACCTTGGACAATACCTGGCTTTCCTAGGCAGAGGACCCTGCGGCCTTCCGCAGTTTCTGTGTCCCTGGGTACTTGAGATTAGGGAGTGGTGATGACTCTTAAGGAGCGTGCTGCCTTCAAGCATCTGTTTAACAAAGCACATCTTGCACCGCCCTTAATCCATTTAACCCTGAGTGGACGTAGCACATGTTTCAGAGAGCACGGGGTTGGGGGTAAGGTCACAGATCAACAGGATCCCAAGGCAGAAGAATTTTTCTTAGTACAGAACAAAATGGAGTCTCCTATGTCTACTTCTTTCTACACAGACACAGTAACAATCTGATCTCTCTTGCTTTTCCCCACAGTGAGTGTCCCCATCGCTCAGGAAATGCGAGTAATAAAAATCTCCAATAACAACAGCTTCTCCATGTCTCCAGTCAGTCATGTCCATAAACTGAAAATCCTGCAGGTAGGCCAGTTGTGTCTGTAATCCCAGCACTTTGGGAGGCCAGTTTTGAGACCAGCCTGGGCAACATGGTGAAACTCCATTTCTACCAAAAATACAAAAATTGGCCAGGCATGCACTTGTGGTTCAGCTACTCAGGAGGTCGAGGTGGGAAGATCACTCAAGCCCAGGAGGCAGAGGCTGCAATGAGCTGAGATGGCGCCACTGCACTCCAGACTGGGTGAGAGTGAGACCCCATCTGAAAAAAAAAAAGTAGTTTTTCTTCTTCTTGTTTTTTGAGACAAGGTCTTGATCTGTC
Organism: Homo sapiens; assembly: GCF_000001405.40. Lineage (NCBI taxonomy): Eukaryota > Metazoa > Chordata > Mammalia > Primates > Hominidae > Homo > Homo sapiens. Next base: position 1,409,406 of record NC_000001.11, on the reverse strand, counting down.
ACCCACGCTAGAGTGCAGTGGTGCGATCTTGGCTCACTGCAGCCTTGGCCTCCCGGGTTCAAGCAATTCTCCCACCTCAGCTGGGATTACTGGGGCCCGCTACCACGCCCGGCTACTTTTTGCATTTTTAGTAGAGATGGGGTTCCACCATGTTGGCCAGGCTGGTCTCGGATTTCTGACCTCAGGTGATCCACCTGCCTCGGCCTCCCAAAGTGTTGTGCAGAGCCACTGCACCCGGCCTCCTCTTTTTTTTTAAGATGGAGTTTTGCTAGTTTCCGAGGCTGGAGTGCAATGAATGGCGGGATCTCGGCTCACCGCAAACTCTGCCTCCCGGGTTCAAGCGATTCTCCTGCCTCAGCCTCCTGAGTAGCTGACCATGTTGGTCAGCCTGGTCATTTAAGGTCGGGAGTTCGAGACCAGCCTGGCCAACATTGTGAAATCCCGTCTCTACTAAAAATACAAAAATTAGCTGGGAGTGGCGGTGTGCGCCTGTAATCCCAGATACTCGGGAGGCTGAGGCAGGAGAATCACTTGAACCGGGTAGGCAGAGGTTGCGGTCAGCCGAGATCGCACCTTTGTACTCCAGACTGGGCGACGGAGCAAAACTCCGTCTCAAAAACAGAAAAAAACAAAACAAAACAAGAAACACAACAACAAATGCAGTGCGTCATCCTAGACTGAATCCTCAACAGGGAAAAAAAGGTATAAAAGACATTTGAAGCGAGTTAAATCTGGAGTGTGGGCTGGGTCCGGATTTTGACCATTCTACGGTGTGGTTCCTAAGAGTAAATACACAGCAAAGTGTTTAGGTGTCTCCAGCGTCTCAAATGGTTTAGGAAAAAAATCCATTATGTTTATATTTACAGAGAGAATGATTCAAAAATGGAGCAAAACGTAAATAGTAGGTGAATTTGGTTCGAGAGTATTAAACAAATGGAACAAATGAAAACAGCTGGCACATTTTGGTAGTGAACACTGGGGAGTTTTCCTTGTACTTGTATTCCAACTCTTCTATGATTTAAAAAATATCCAAGTATAATAAACTGTTATAAAGAAACTGCACACCCCCAATTTTTCGATAATATAGCAGAAATATAAAATTACACATAATATAAAACTTCTTATTTTTTTGGGACAGACTCTGGCTCCGCTGCCCAGGCTGTTGTGCGGTGGTGCAATCTGAGCTCACTGCAGCCTCCACCTCCAGAGCTCAGGCGAGCCTCCCGTCTCAGCCTCCTGAGTAGCTGGGACCTCAGGCGCGCGCCACCACCGCTCCCGGCTAATTTCTTTTTGATTTTTTGTAGAGATGGGGTCTCACTATGTTGCCCAGGCTGGTATTGAACTCCTGGACTCAAGTGTTCCTCCCCCCTCGGCCTCCGAAAGTGCTGGGATTACAGGCATCAGCACCACAGCGATCACATTTACCATTTCGAAGCTGAGAATTTCCAGGCATGGCGCGGTGGCTCAGGCCTGTAATCCCAGCAGAAGCCAGCAGTCCGAGAACAGCCTGGCCAACGCGGGAAGACGCCCCCTCTACAAAAAACACAAAAAATTAGCCGGGCGTGGCGGCGCGCGCCTGACGTCCCAGCTACTAGGAAGGCAGAGGCCGCGGCGAGCCGAGGTCGGGCCGCTGCACCCCAGCCAGGGCGACCGGGCGAGACCCCGTCTCAAAATGAGTAAGTAAACAAAGTGCAAGGTTCAGAGGCAACGGGCACTTTCACACCGATGCGACCATCTCCACCTCGGTTCCTGAACATCCTCGTGGCCCCAGGGGGCGGCCTGCCCCTCCCCGCCCGCGCCGCACCCGAGCTCCCCGGCCGCGGGGCCCCCGACCCGGGTCCGCTGCCCTCACGGTGCCCTCGGAGCCACAGCTGCGGCCGGGGCCGTGCTCCGGGACGGTCCGCGTGCGCTGCTGTTTATCCATCGTCCGCGAATAGCCACGGGCGCTGCGGCCCCGTTCTCCTTTCAGTCCCCGCCGCGGCCCCACATCCGCTCCCCAACACGCACCACCACCGCGAGTTCAGGAGCACAACTGGGCACCCGCGGGCTGACGGGAGACGACCTTCGCCCCGGAAGTATCGCAGGGGCTGACCCGGAAGCGCTCGTGACCACCATTTCCGACCCGGGCAAGATGGCAGCGGCGCTGCGCGTGCGTTGTTGAGTGTTCGGGACGCCGGCCTGCAGGCGCCATGGTCTTCCTCACCGCGCAGCTCTGGCTGCGGAATCGCGTCACCGACCGCTACTTTCGGATCCAGGAGGTGCTGAAGCACGCCAGGGTGAGTGCCGCCTGCCCGGCCTGGGCACTGGGCGCCCGGGGTATCCCGCGGGCCAAGGGGCGGCCGGCGCGGGCCCCGCTGACAACCCTGGTTTCTCGTTTTCTGTCCCAGCACTTCCGGGGAAGGAAAAATCGCTGCTACAGGTTGGCGGTCAGAACCGTGATTCGAGCCTTTGTGAAATGCACCAAAGCCCGATACCTGAAGAAAAAGAACATGAGGACCGTAAGCGTGGACCCGGGACACCCGCCGGCCAGCGCACTCGCGGCCCCTGCGTTTCTGCGCCGCGACCCAGCTAGTGTGCAGCCGCCCGGCCACCCTCAGCCCCTTCCTTTCATACCTTGCTTCGAAACTCCGACAAATTATGTCGCCCCGCAGGCAAACTGTGGGACATCCGTTCTCCCGCCCCGCCGCCACCCCCACTGTCACCCCCTGCTCCAGCCCCTCGCCCGGGCCACTGCAGAGCCGCCTTGACACTCTCCCTGCGTCGCCAGCCACCGCCCTAGTCGCTGCTGCTCTCATCCCTCCGGTGGCTTCCCTTCCCTTTGGCAGCTGAAGTCAACCCAGCCCCTTGCCAACCCTCCAGGGCTACTATCTGCTGCCGTGGTGCTCCTCGAAGAGACCACGCCTGCTGCCAAGCTCTGCCCACCCGGAACCCCCCGCATTTCTGGGAGGCTGGCGCCTCCACTCTGTCCACGTGCCGCCTCATTACTGCGCCTCACCACTCCCGTCTCAGCCTCATGAACCTAGCATCTAACGTACCCCGGTTTTTTTTTCTTACCCCGAGACGGAGTCTCGCGCTGTCACCCAGGCTGGAGTGCAATGGCGCGATCTAGGCTTAATGCAACCTCGTCTCCCGGGTTCAAGCGATTTTCCCGCCCCAGTCTCCCGAGTAACTGTGACTGCAGGTGTGCGCCACCAAGCTATTTTTTGTATTTTTAGTAGAGACCGGGTTCCGCCATGTTGGTCAGGCTGGTCTCGAACTCCAGATCTGAAATGATCTGCCTGCCTTGCCCTCCCAAAGTGCTGGGATTACAGGCGTGAGACACCGTGCCCAGCTGGGTTTTTGCTGTTTTTAATTTTGAAACAGGGTCTTGATTTCGCTTAGGCCAGAGTGATGGCACCATCATAGCTCACTGATTTTGCTATTTACTTTTAGAAAAATATTCTTTAGATCAATTAGAGGCTTTGCTGGGACATAACATCCAGAAGTCATTTTTAAGTATCTTCATGTTTTCTTATTTCAGCTCTGGATTAATCGAATTACAGCTGCTAGCCAGGAACATGGACTGAAGTATCCAGCGCTCATTGGGAATTTAGTTAAGGTATGGGTGAGTATGTGGGTCCCACTGAAATTCTGGACATCTGCAGAAACCATCATGCGGGGCGTGGTGGTGCTTCCTGTAGTCCCAGCTAATCAGGAGGCTGAGGCCAGAGGATCCCTGGAGACTGACTTCTGGGCTGTAGTTTGCTATGCTGATGGGGTGTCCATGTTAAGTGTGGTATCAATATGGTGACCTCTTGGGAGCAAGGGACCACCACGTTGCCTAAGGAGGGGTGAACCAGCCCAGGCTGGAAACGGAGCAGGTCACAATTCCCATGTTGATGAGTGATGAGATTGTGCCTAGGAATAGTGCCAGCAACAGCCTGGGCAACATAGTGAGACCACTCTCTACAAAAAAATAAAATTTGCTGGGTGTGGTGGTACAGAGACATGTAATGTCAGCTACTGAGGAGTCTGAAGCAGGGGGATCACTTTGAGCCCCCAGGAGTTTGAAGCTGCAGTGAGCTATGATGGTACCACTGCACTCTAGCCTAGGTGAGAGCAGGACCCCGTCTGACAGAATAAAGAAAGCCATGGCTGGGCAGGGTGGCTCAGGCCTGTGATCCCAGCACTTTGGGAGGCTGAGGTGGGCAGGAGATGGAGACTAGCCTGGCCAACGTGGTGAAACCCTGTCTCTACTAAAAATACAAAAATTAGCCAGGTGTGGTGGCGGGCACCTAGAATTCCAGCTACTCTGGAGGCTGAGGCAGGAGAATTGCTTGAATTTGGGAGGCGGAGGCTGCAGTGAGCCGAGATCATGCCACTGCACTCCAGCCTGGGCAACAGAGCAAGACTCCATCTCTAAAAGTAAATAAATCAAACCCTCCCATCAGACCTGGCGCAGCCTGTTAGCAGTCCATGTGGCAGAGGCGAGGAGTGCCACTCCAGCTGCACCGTAGCTGCACTCTGTCTTGGTGTGGGGTTCTGGCAGGTCTGGGAGCTTACCGCACTGGTTGGCAGCAGAGCAGAATTGGAAACAGGGCACGTCTTTCTGGGATGTAAGTCCTGATGTTTCCCCATTAAGAAAAAAGGCCAGGCATCCCAACACTTTGGAAGGCTGAGGCGGACAGATCATGAGGTCAGGATATTGAGACCATCCTGGCTAACAGGTGAAACCCGGTCTCTACTAAAAATACGAAAAATTAGCTGGGCATGGTGGCCGGCACCTGTAGTCCCAGCTACTCAGGAGGCTGAGGCTGGAGAATCGCTTGAACTTGGGAGGCAGAGGCTGCAGTGAGCCGAGTTCACGCCACTGCACTGCAGCCTGGGCAACAGAGTGAGACTCTGTCTCAAAAAAAAAAAAAAGTGTAGAAAAACTTGACTTTAACTTCAAAGTTTAATTTGAAAGTTTAAACAGGCCAGGCGCGGTGGCTCACACCTGTAATCCCAGCACTTTGGGAGGCTGAGGCAGGTGGATCACAAGGTCAGGAGATCGAGACCATCCTGGCTAACATGGTGAAACCCCGACTCTACTAAAAATACAAAAAAATTAGCCAGGCGTGGTGGCGGGCATCTGTAGTCCCAGCTACTCGGGAGGCTGAGGCAGGAGAATGGCGTGAACCCGGGAGACGGAGATTGCAGTGAGCTGAGATCGCGCCACTGCACTCCAGGCTGGTCGACAGAGCGAGACTCCATCTCAAAAAAAAAAAAAAGTTAAAACAATGAGGCTGGGTGCGGTGGCTTACACTTGTAATCCCAGTATGTTGAGAGGCAGAGGCAGAGGCGGGCTGATCACCTGACATCAGGAGTTCGACAGCAGCCTGGGCAATGTGGTAAAACTCTGTCTCTATTCAAAATACAAAATGAGCCAGGCGTGGTGCTGGCATGCGCCTGTATGCTACTCGGGAGGCTGAGGCAGGAGATTGGCTTGAATCCAGAAGGCAGAAGTTGCAGTGGGCTGAGATCACACCAGTGTACTCCAGCGTGGGCGACAGTGTGTGACTGTGTCTCAACAACAACAAAAAGTTTTAATAATGAGTGATTTCTGATGACATAGCAGGTGAAATAGGAACTTACAGAAAGGAAGGGGAATGTTTTGGAGCGAACGGATGGTTTATGCAAGTGTAGCAAAATCTTGGTGATTACTGAATCTGGTCATTATGCTAGTCCCTCTGCTTGTGTACATTAAGTTTTTCCTAAAAGGTTGAGGGGGTGGGTATTTTGCAGAAGGCACTCTTTGGTGCTTTACAAAGATCTTCAGGGTAGGCTTAGGAGGTTTGACTTTCCCATTTTACTCAGGGAACTGTAGTTAAGAAAGGAGACATACTTGGCCGGGCACGGTGGCTCACGCCTGTAATCCCAGCACTTTGTGAGGCTGAGGCGGGTGGATCACGAGGTCAGGAGATCGAGACCATCCTGGCTAACATGGTGAAACACCATCTCTACTAAAAATACAAAAAGTAGCCAGGTGCGGTGGCGGGCACCTGTAGTCCCAGCTACTTGTGAGGCTGAGGCAGGAGAATGGCATGAACCTGGGAGGTGGAGCTTGCAATGAGCTGAGATCGCACCACTGCACTCCAGCTTGGGCGACACAGTGAGACTCTGTTTCAAAAAAAAGAAAGAAAGAAAGGAGACAGACTTTGCACAAAGCATACAGGTCACAGGTAGTACAGTTAGGTCACAGGTAGTAGGCCACTTTGTCCTCGGTAGCCGAATTTTGTGTTTTTGTTCCTTTTTTTTTTTGGATACAATCTCACTCTGTTGCTCAGGCTGGAGTGAAGTGGCGCGATCTTGGCTCACTGAAAGCTCCAATTCCCGGGTTCACACCATTCTCCTGCCTCAGCCTCCTGAGTAGCTGAGACTACAGGTGACTACCACCATGCCCAGCTCATTTTTTTGTATTTTTGGTAGAGACAGGGTTTCACCGTGTTAGCCAGGATGGTCTTGATCTCCTGACCTGGTGATCCGCCTGCCTCAGCCTCCCAAAGTGCTCAGATTACAGGCATGAGCCACCGCGCCTGGCCTTGTGGTTTTTTTTCTTGTATTTTTTAGTACAGACAGGGTTTCTCCATGTTGGTCAGACTAGTCTCGAACTTCCGACCTCAGGTGACCTGCCTGCCTTGGCCTCCCAAAGTGCTGGGATTACAGGCGAGACACCGTGCCCTGCCTTGGTAGCTGAATTTAATGCTCAAAGAGACGGCCCCCCTTTTCTACTCCTTAAACTCTGGCATTGTTCACTAGCTTCTGAAATCCTCTGTGGTTCTTGCAGGCACTTCCAGGTTGGCTTAAAGGGTTACCCTAGGCCAGCAGTCAGCTCAGTCAGGGTGGTGACCAAGGACCCTGAACAAGGTGTTTGGTTCCCCGGGCCGACATCAGGACTGGAGTCCAGCCTCCCTGCAGATTCCACAGGTGCTTCCCTCACCCGTGTCCACATTTATCCTTCAGCATCCTGCCTGGAAGTCCTCTGCTGTGCCACCCAGATAGGATTCTCCTAGGCCTTCCCTCCCCCCAGGCGAGTGTGCAGCTGGGTTCTTCCTGAGCCAGCGCCGCAACCACGCGGAGCCGGAGTGTGTGTCTCACACTGACAGCAGGTTCTGATTCATTCTTTTTTCAGTGCCAGGTGGAGCTCAACAGGAAAGTCCTAGCGGATCTGGCCATCTACGAGCCAAAGACTTTCAAATCTTTGGCTGCCTTGGCCAGTAGGAGGCGACACGAAGGATTTGCTGCTGCCTTGGGGGATGGGAAGGAACCTGAAGGCATTTTTTCCAGAGTGGTGCAGTACCACTGAGGACTGTTGCTGTATTGATTAGGAAAAGAGACAGAGTAATTTGCAGTTTGTTTGATTTATACTTTTGTTTATCTACAACCCAATAACAGACATGAGGGATGGCCCTGTCTCTCTGGGACAGAGCCTCACAGATGATGTCCATGTTTTGTGTGAATGAAACTCAAACACTCTTCAGTTTTTAGAGTCATTTTCTGGTATCGAGCGACCACACCGAGGAGCACACCCTGCTTCCAAGGCTGCTGCCTTCTGCACACAGTGGGGGATCCCCACCCACCCTGGCTCCCCTCAAGGGCTGCGTGCACAGTGCCCGCTTTCCAGTTACCTGACCCACCCTGAGTCCCTATTCCATTTTGCTCGGGGCTGACCTCAGACATGCCCTGTGGCTCAGCTCTGCCACTACTCAGAACACCAGCCTCAGCTTCCCTATGTCCCCCAGATTCAGCAGCCCAGCAGGGATTGGGGGAAATGCTCCCACATCAGGTGGGTGGTGGCCTGGTCCCTGCAGACTGGACTGGCTTTTCAGCCATCTCCAGGAAGCAACACCTAGCAGACAACTGTCCCTTAACCCCAAGGGTGATGCACACTTCTCCCCTGGTCTTTCTGCCCCCCGATGCCCCTACATTTACACAGCAGTGCGCAGACCCTTGCCGCAACCTGCTTGTCTTGCTGACCCTGCTGTAGGAGCGCCTAAACTGAGTGCCCGTCTCCCCTCCAAAGGCAGCTGGCTTGAATCCTGTGGGAACGTGCCCTTCACCCTTTGCCAGCAGTTGCTGGGGAGTCTTTCCGGCCCCTTTCTCAGACTCACCACCTACCTCCAACCTGCGCAGAACAATCAGCGTCCTGACCACTTGCTAGAGATGGCTTCAGGCCGACCACTCCATCCTCACTGCAGGCCTTCATTCCTTCTGGCTTCCATCACTGCATGGCCCCCTAAGAGGTCCCCCTCCTGGCCCTTGTCACTGTGCCTCATGACAGCCACTACGCCCTAAGCCTTTGGAGGCCAGGGACAAAGTCTCGTTCACTGTCCTTTCCGCTGCATGAGTGCAGTGTCTGGCCAGGTGCACGGGGCACTCAGTGCCTGTCAGCCCTTGGTAAACAGTCCTGGACAACAGGGTCAAGGACAGAGCCCTGGGCGGCCACATTCGGTGCGTGCTCCTGTGTTGTGGCAAAGCTGCCTTTTCTGCGTTTCATGTCAGTGAAGGAAGACAGGGATGTGGCAGAGCCCTGCGGGTTGCTCCCATCACTCACTCGGTTTGTGCCATAGTCCTCCTGTTCCCAGGCGGTCCCAGGGCCTGCCCCTGATGGGCTGGAGGCACCACCAACCTCCCACTCCTCTGGCAGTCACAGCTCAGGGAATGGGCAAGCAGCACCAATGAGAAACCAGCTGTGTGGTGGGGTTTCCAGAGAAGAGGAAATTCCTTCTTTCCTGGAGAGCGTGCAGCTGTAACTCACAGACGAGACATCCCTGAGCTACCAGCCTGGGGAAAGAGGACATGAGTAAAGCTGTAACCATACCGTGTTACCCATAACAGGCGGTGAGGAGAGTGGGTTTTGGTTGGCACTGTTTGAGCTGCAGTATCAAGTCATGGCAGAGCTAGTGGACAGCTGACCTGGGGGTGGGGGTGAGGAGCAATGGTGGCTTCTGAATTTGAGCCCGTCTGAGCTGGGCAGTTACTGGCAGCTCAGTGTGTGAACCTGCAACCACTCAGGCCTCTGCTGCCCTTCCCTCTTCCTGCCTCACCGTTCCCTGCCCCACGCAGGCTTCCCCACCATCCTCACCCGTGGTCCTGTACTAGTCCTGGCAAAGGTTCCGGTAACTGCAGCAACAGATACCTCCTGCCCCTCCTGCACAGCTGTGGTCGATCGCAGGACAGCCGCAGGTGATGAAAAACCGTGAACCCAGGACGGGCAGGGCGTGAGACCGCCTGCGGGAGGATCAGCGATGTCAAGACGTTACAAACGCACGAACCCCCTCGCCGTCTCCCTGGCGTTTGTGAGGTCCTGTCCAAGCTCCTTCACACGTAGATCACCGGGCCTCGCTCCCCCGACTCCTTCCGTGGGCCTGAACCTTGAGGTACTTAGGCCTCCCCACGCTGGAGGGGCTCTGTAGGGACGTCGAGGCCACGTTTCCAGTCATCCCTCCACCCGTCTCTCCCCAGGGGCTGAGTGTTGAAGGCAAGACTTTGCAGGAGTCTGGCGTTAATACGCATCCCCAAAGTCTGGAGTCGATAAGGACTGAAGACACGACGCCGACGGCGGCCGGGGGACACCGGGCATGCGCGTCTCATCCAGGGGGAGGCCGAGCGGAGCCTCTGACCCTGCCCCGCGCCCAGGGTTCAGCAGTGGGGGTCGTCCCGCCCCAGATCCCACCGAGATGGCCCCCCTTGACCCACAGGCCTTTCGAGACGCGAGCTTCCGCGATCCGGGGTCTCTGTGCGAACGTGGGCATCTTGGAAGAGTCCCAGCCCCGCTCGGGGCGCACAGGCAGGCGCTCTCAGCACGGCACCCGCGCCTCCGCTAGGGACAGACATGCTTCCGGGTCGGCCGGCACCGCGGAGTCCCCTGGGTAACGAGCCCGCCCCACCCGCGCCAGGTTCCGGCGTCGGCGTTAGGCGCGTTGCTGACGGGCAGGTTATGTAGCCAATTGCGGCTAGGCGGCGTCGCGCTGGTCGCGGGCCGAACCAATGGCACGCGACGGGGCGGGGCGGTGGCGGCCGTGGAGCTTCGCGAGGAGCCGCCCTGAGGGAAGAAGCCGAAGGGGAGTCGGCGGCACAAAATGGCGGCGGCGGCGGCGGCGGCTGGTGCTGCAGGGTCGGCAGCTCCCGCGGCAGCGGCCGGCGCCCCGGGATCTGGGGGCGCACCCTCAGGGTCGCAGGGGGTGCTGATCGGGGACAGGCTGTACTCCGGGGTGCTCATCACCTTGGAGAACTGCCTCCTGCCTGACGACAAGCTCCGTTTCACGCCGTCCATGTCGAGCGGCCTCGACACCGACACAGAGACCGACCTCCGCGTGGTGGGCTGCGAGCTCATCCAGGCGGCCGGTATCCTGCTCCGCCTGCCGCAGGTGAGGGCGCGGCCGCGAGCCTCCGGCCCAGGTAACCGCTGGGGCGGCAGCCGCCTTTGTTGGCGGCGAGTCGGGCCCGCACCGCCCCCGCCTAGACCCCGACCCCAGCCCCTGCCCCGACCCCAGCCTCGGCGCCATTCCCTAGCCAGCCCATGCCCCTGACCCGGGGCCTCCCCGCCCGCCAGTGCGCTGGATCCCGAGACGGCGGGACGCGAAGAGCCTTTGTGGACGTGGGAAGCGTTTCAGTGTTTGGTTCTGCGTGGGGAGTCCCACGTTACTCGATGACTTTCGGCCGCGAAGGCTTTGAATGGTGCGTTTGAAAATACGGAAACTTTCTTCTACTCTAGGTGGCCATGGCTACCGGGCAGGTGTTGTTCCAGCGGTTCTTTTATACCAAGTCCTTCGTGAAGCACTCCATGGAGGTAAGGCTTCCTCCTGCACTTCATTCCCAGCGAAGTATGTTGAGGGTAAAACGGTTTGTTACTTTGCCCGGTTACTAAGGGAGTGAGTACTTGCCCCCCAGTCTGAGCTCTGTGCCGGAGGGTTCTGTTTCTTGACTTTTTTTTTCCCCTGGGTGCACCTCCCTTTTGGTCTGAATAGCCCTCAAGCCTTTGGCGGCCGTCAGGACGCCGTGGCTGGGGACAAACATGGGCGTGTTGCAATGCTTCCGCTTCAGCATGTGTCAATGGCCTGTGTCCACCTGGCTTCCAAGATAGAAGAGGCCCCAAGACGCATACGGGACGTCATCAATGTGTTTCACCGCCTTCGACAGCTGAGAGACAAAAAGTGAGTCAGTCAGAGCTGTCTAGTCTATCATAGATGCCTATTTTCTTTATTTCTGATTAAGTTACAGTAAGGCTTGTATAACACAATACAGGCCTGAGGCTCTAAACCTGTGGGATATTCATGAGCGCAGTCTCAAGCTCCACCAACAGAGCCTGCTCAGAGGCATCAGTAGATGCGGTTTAGTAAGGGCAGGGGCTCCAGTGAGGACAGTGCGCTGTGGCGGGTCGCGCTGGGGCTGGCTTCCTGCTTTACCCATGTCAGTGCACGGCCCTGCTGCTGCTTCTGTCCCACAAGTTTCTGAGTGCTCTGGAGCAGGGAATCTTAATCTCAGCACTATTGACATTCAGGCTGGATAATCTTTTTTTTCCTCCTGAGACAGGTTTCCTGTTGTCCAGGGCAGAGTGCGGTGGTATGATCATGGCTCACTACAGCCTCAACCTCCTAGGCTCAAGAGTTTCTCCTGCCTCAGCCTCCTGAGTAGCTGGGACTATAGGAGCACGCCAACCATGCCAGCTAATTTTTATTTTTTATTTGGTAAAGATGGGGTCATGCTGTGTTGCCCAGGCTGGTCTCAAATTCCTGGGCTCCAAGGATTTGCTGGCCTTAGCCTCCCAAAGCACTGGGATTACAGATTTCAGCCACCGCATCTGGCTGGGTAATCTTTAGTTGTAGGGGATTCTCCTGTGTGCTGCAGGATTCAGCAACATCCCTGGTCTCGACTCACTGGATGACAGGAGTACCCCACCTTAGATGTGACAGCCAGAAATTCTCTCATACCAGATGTGGGAGCTCACACCTGTCATCTCAGCACTTGGGAGACTGAAAAAGGAGGTTTGCTTGAGGCCAGGAGATTGAGGCTGCAGTGAGCTGTGATGTCACCACTGCACTCCAGCCTGGACAACAGGGTGAGGCCCTGTTTCCAAAAAAAACGAAAGTCTGTTGATGTTGCTTCATGGCCCTGGAATAGTAAAATTTCTCCAGCAGAGAACCGCTGCCTCTGACCTTAGCCCAGGGTTTATGCACCTGAAGTTAATTGAAGTCCTTTAGAAAACACAGCCTCTGGCCGGGCTGGCCTGTAATCCCAGCACGTTGGGAGGCCTAGGCAGGTGGATCACCTAAGGTCAGGAGTTCGAGACCAGCCTAACCAATATGGTGAAACCCTGTCCCTATTAAGAACACAAAAATTGGCCAGGTGCAGTGGCTCACGCCTGTAATCCCAGCACTTTGGGAGGCCGAGGCGGGTGGATCACGAGGTCAGGAGATCGAGACCATCCTGGCTAACACGGTGAAACCCCGTCTACTAAAAATACAAAAAAGTTAGCCAGGCGTGGTGGCGGGTGCCTGTGGTCCCAGCTACTTGGGAGGCTGAGGCAGGAGAATGGCGTGAACCCGGGAGGTGGAGCTTGCAGTGAGCTGAGATCGGGCCACTGCACTCCAGCCTGGGCGACAGAGCAAGACTCCGTCTCAAAAAAAAATAAAAAAAAAATTAGCCGGGTGTGGTTGCGGGTGCCTGTAATCCCAGCTATTCGGGAGGGTGAGGCAGGAGAATCGCTGGAACCGGGGAGTTAGAGGTGCAGTGAGCTGAGATTGTGCCATTGCACTCCAGCCTGGGCAACAAAAGTGAAACTCTGTCTCAAAAAAAAAAAAAAAAAAAAAAAAAACAGCCTTGCCGAGCGCAGTGGCTCACGCCTATAGTCCCAGCACTTTGGGAGGCCAAGGCGGGTGGATCATCTGAGGTCGGGAGTTCGAGACCAGCCTGACCAACATGTAGAAACCCCATCTCTACTACAAATATAAAATTAGCTGGTCGTGGTGGTGCATGCCTGTAATACCAGCTACTTGGGAGGCTGAGGCAGGAGAATTGCTTGAACCTGGGAGGTGGAGGTTATAGTGAGCCAAGAGCGCGCCACTGCACTCCAGCCTGGGCAACAGAGTGAGACTCCATCTCAAAAAAAGAAAAAACATGGCCTCATCGGCCTCCCAAAGTGCTGGGGTTACAGGTGTGAGCCACTGCACCCAGCCCTTTTTTTTTTTTTTTTTTTCTGAGACGGACTCTCACTGTGTCTCACCGTGTCACCCAGGCTGGAGTGCAGTGATGCGATCTCGGCTCACTGAAACCTCCGCCTCCTGGGTTCAAGTGAATCTCCTGCCTCAGCCTCCTGAGTAGCTGGGATTACAAGCACCCGCCACCACGCCCGGCTAATTTTTGCATTTTTTTAGTAGAGACAGGGTTTCACCATGTTGGTCAGACTGGTCTTGAACTCCTGAGCTCAGGCAGTCTGCCTGCCTCGCCTCCCAAAGTGCTGGGATTACAGGCAGAGCCACTGCACCTGGCCCATCTGTATTTAAATAATTGTGCTTTCATTGGTTCTGTGGTTATTGAACTGTGAATATGTACCTTCCTATCGTGAGTCACATAAAGTGCTTTAGCATTTGTGCCACGAGATCCTAAAACTTGCTATGTTCGGTCTATGCTTGTGCACCAGAAGCTGTTGATCTATAAGGAAAAGCAGGGAGGGATCGTTGGGAAGGGATGAGGAGGTTGGCACTGGGCTGTGGGGAGCGGTGTGCAGTTTTGTTCATCAGAGGATGTGGACTTCATAGCGATGTTGTGTTGTGGGGTTTGTGTTAGGTGCTCATAGTTGGAGGTAACGACGGGATCTCAGAAGCCTTGCTCTGCTTGACTGTGGTGCAGACCCTGTGCTCTCTCTCTGGCAGGAAGCCCGTGCCTCTACTACTGGATCAAGATTATGTTAATTTAAAGAACCAAATTATAAAGGCGGAAAGACGAGTTCTCAAAGAGTTGGGTTTCTGCGTCCATGTGAAGCATCCTCATAAGGTGGGTGTGCGGCTCCTGCCCTGCGAGCCCGCCTAGGCCGCTGCTCCTGCCTGGCCGCCTCTCTCCACCTCAGTGCAGTTGAAGGCTCTGAAGAGGACTGAGTGCATCCCTGACTTGGCTTTCCAGTTTCTATTTATAATCTCAAGAATAGTTCCTGACGTATTCGTCTTCTAGTGTCAGCTGTTTATTTTAGTAACACATTTTTAAGTGTTTTGGAAATGGTATTATTTAAGTTTGGGCTTTCAAAAATAGTGGTGAGTTTATAAATGTTGAATTTTAGTTTATGTTTTCCTTTCTCTACAGTTAATTTTTTTTTGTTTTCTTTTTTTTTGAGATGGAGTTTCGCTCTATCGCCAGGCTGGAGTGCAGTGGCATGGTGGCAGTGGCAGTGGAGGCACAACCTCCACCTCCCGGCTTCAAGCCATTCTCCTGCCTCAGCCTCCTGAGTAGCTGGCACTACAGGCACGTGCCACCACGCCGAGCTGATTTTTGTATTTTTAGTAGAGACGGGGTTTCACCATGTTGGCCAGAATGGTCTTCATCTCTTGCCCTCGTGATCCTCCCACCTTGGCCTCCCAAAGTGCTGGGATTACAGGCATAAGCCACTGTGCCTGGCCTTTTTTTTTTTTTTTTTTTTTTTTCTTGAGACGGAGTCTTACTCTGTCATGCAGGCTGGAGTGCAGTGGTGCAATCTTGGCTCACTGCAACCTCTGCCTCCCAGGTTCAAGTGATTCTTGTGCCTCAGCCTCCCAAGTAGCTGGGATTACAGGCATGCGCCACCACACCTGGGTAATTTTTGTATCTTTAGTAGAGATGGGGTTTCGTCATGTTGGCCGGGCTGGTCTCAAACTCCTGATCTCAGGTGATGCACCTGCCTCGGCCTCCCAAAGTTCTGGGATTACAAGTGTGAGCCACTGCACCCAGCCTCAACAGTTAATTTTCTACATTTGCTTTAGTGATAGCTTTACTTTCTCTTATGGAGAAATTAGGGGAATTCTGGCCCCTTTAGTCTGAAATGACTGGCGAGTTTTGCGGCATGTACTGACTGAGGACCATGGCCGTGACACGGTCCCTCACTCCCAGCGTTGTGGGTGCCTTCTGTGTCACATGGAAACAAAGCACTTGTTTTCCCAAAAAATTGTTTCCATCTTTGGTTCCATCTCCTTTTTATTGGTGGGTTTCCTCATCTGCTTGTTCGGCTTTCTGCCATCTGTTCAAATTATCCACAAATTGCCCACCACAGATTGAAGTGCTTTTTTTTTTTTTTTGGAGACGGAATCTCGCTCTGTTGTCCAGGCTGGAGTGCAATGGCGCAACCTCAGCTCATGCAGCCTCCGCCTCCTGGTTTCAAGCGATTCTCCTGCCTCAGCCTCCTGAGTACCTGGGATTACAGGCGTGCACCACCATGCCTGACTAATTTTGTATTTTTAGTAGAGACTGGGTTTCTCCATATTGGTCAGGCTGTTCTCGAACTCCTGACCTCAGGTGATCTGCCCGCCTCAGCCTCCCAAAGTGCTGGGATTATAGGCATGAGCCAGTGTGCCTGGCCTGAAGTGTTCTTCTCTGTTTGCTGAAAGTATGTTCATATTGTGTTTTGGTGAGTTGTTAACTGGGATACAGAGACGTGTAGGACAGGCCAACCTCACTGGTGGAAAGGCATTGAAGACTAGAATGAAACCAGCCCCATGAAGAACGAGGCCTGTGCCGTGGGTTGTGTGGCTGGGCTCACGGGCATGCGTCCTGCCTGGCTGCCAAGGCAGACAGCAGGTGCAATCGCAAAGCTCCCTCCAGCTGAGCCGTCCGCCAGACGTGTGGCCAGGAGCCACTCCTGGGATCTAGCTTGAGGCTCTTGTTTGCTGCATGGACACCCACAAGATCTGAATTCTGGGCTCTTAAGGTTCTTGGTAATAACTGCCTGACCCGTATCTTCCAGATAATCGTTATGTACCTTCAGGTGTTAGAGTGTGAGCGTAACCAACACCTGGTCCAGACCTCATGGTGAGTTGAGCTTCCTTGTTTTATGAGACCAGCAAGGGCAGTGCAGGAATGTGTTGACTTGAGGCACTTGGGCAGTGGGTAGGCAGCCCAGTGACTTGGTTGTGGGCTGGAGTTGTCCGAGTGCCCAGTGCTCCTGCTGTATAAATTCCAATCAGACTCCCAAAATGGGCACTGGCAGTCACGGTAGGTGGCCCGTCCCCTCCCTGCAAGCCTGGACTTCCTGTGTCCCCCACCCTGAAGAGAGCAGTCAGTGGGCTTCCTCTGGGAGCTGTTGACTTGGCGCAGGGGGACCTTTTCCTGGGGAGGGTGGAGGGACAGGCTAGTGCAGACTTGGTCTGTTTCTCCACTGACATTGCATCCCATGGGAGAGGGGCAGAGAAGGTTCTGGGGCCGATTTTAGCAATGCATGTGCTAGAAAGGAACCCTAAAGTGCAATGTAGTATTTGGGGGATTCTGGGGATTCTGGTGAATTTTTTCCCATGGAGTTAAGTCTGTAAGGGTCATATTTTTGCTGACTGAATTGTCTGGTGCTATGACATGTTTAATAGAGAACCTATTTTGACTTTTCTTTTCTGTACTCTTTCAATCAAAGGGTAGCCTCTGAGGGTAAGTGACTAAGACTTCTCCTCTGCTGTCCAAGCGCTTTGGTGCAGGGACAGCGGCATCTTCAGCCAATCCAGTGCAGGCTCTCCACCGAAGGCTGGCTCTAGACTGGTGGTACGCACATAGCATAGCCATGGCCGACTCCTGCTGTGGTTCTCTGACGATTGTGCTTCTTGTTAATCCTCTGTCGTGCTTTGGTAATCGTATTGATTAGAGTTGGTAACTGTCTTGACTTGAATTTTGTCCCTTTAAAACTGCTGTACCTGTATGATAAAGATGCAGTACCTTTCTCTTAAAAAAAAATGCTATGGAAAGCTGTGAGAATTGAAGAGACAAATTGGCTGTGTCAGTGTGGGGTTATGTCATGATTTCTAGAAGCCCTGAAGTTGCTCTTTTGAGCAGCTTTGCATGACACGCTCTGGTAAAAGGTGTGCATCTTTAAATTATTTCATGGATACTTTGAAAAATATTGTATCACTTCAAATACAGCAATAAGTTTATATGTTCTCAAGATTTCATTTGTTTTTAAGAATTTTAAGTTCGTGGATTAATATCACTACTTGAATACTGACAGTTGTTGATTAGACACCGAAAGGTTACTGATTGTTGAATGTATCTGTGTTAGAGCTGTGCACTGGCACGCTTGCATCAGGGGCTGGGGCCACACGGCCGCCACACAGATTCCCCCGTGATGCCTGGAGCTGCTTCCAGAGCCGGGTGTCTCCAAGAGGCACCTGTAGGACTTCCCATTTAGAAATCTCTTGAGTGGGTTTGTATGTTACCTTCTCCAAGGTTTATTTAGGACAGAGATATTGCTGGAAGGTCATGGGTCAGATTCCCTCACAACCCACCTCGTCTGCGGGTGCAGCCCCACTCCAAGGCTCCCCGTTATTGGGGTATGTGAGGAGCAGTAAATATAAAACCAGTTCAACTGTCCTCATGGAATCACCCTTTCTGTTTTTGCAGTATTCATAAAGCTAGTGTAAGGTCTGGTTTTAGTCTATTAAATCTTAGAGATCTAAAGGAAATGCTCAAAATGTAGCCAGGTTTTAAATGCTTTAACTTTTAAAAAATGTAAATTTTTGTATGTTTATAGCTTCTAAATATGAAAGTTAAAGAATGTACTGTGATGAAATGTTCAGTATTATGTTGCTTCTCAGTATCATGTTGCTTCTCAGTATTGTGTTGCTTCTGATTCTATGAATGTTCATTTTAAGACCCCTTGTTGAAATGGGACAGTTGGCAGCGGCTCTGATGAGCCCGAGAAGAGGCCTGCCCTTGGGTGCGGAGTCTCCCTCCGCACGATGCTCCCACGCGTCCAACTTGCACCCAAGGGGCTTTTCCCTCTTCCAAGTGGACTCCTTCAAGGAAGCTGCAGCTCGGTCAGCAGAGAAGGGGCCTGCCGCCAGCGCCCTGGAGGAAGAGGAAGAGGAACCCAAGAGGATGGCTTGTCTCCCAGCAGCCACACCGGCTTTGTGCTCAGCCAGTTCATTTGAGTTTGCATGTTTCTCTGCACTATGGATTTTGAGCATTTAGATTTCTTTAATCAAAAGCGTTTTAGTGACTCCAGTAGACATTTTCTTTCTGAGGCATCGTGCTTTGCATGAGAGCAGGCCAAGGTTGAGGGGAAAAGTAAAGTTAAAGTCGGTTCTCTTTCATAGCAACACGTATTGTCTGACATTCAGCCAGCTTTTTTTTTTTCTAATAATTTCTGTGCCTTTCTGTCCTGTATTTACTGTATTTAGAAAAAGCAGCTAGAATATTTCTCCATTAACTCTTGAGATTCACAGGACTGTCTAGCTCTGAGTCCTAGCAATAGACTCCTTAGAGGAGTAGTACGTTTATCTAGATTTTCTCTAGATAATGCAGGCGGAAGACCTGGGTTCCCGGGTGGGGCATTGCAGTTCTTCCTGTGTTTGGCTTCCAGGAATTACATGAACGACAGCCTTCGCACCGACGTCTTCGTGCGGTTCCAGCCAGAGAGCATCGCCTGTGCCTGCATTTATCTTGCTGCCCGGACGCTGGAGGTCAGTGTGTTGCTACTATGGAGAGATTCTAGTCTGATTTTTTTTTCTCCAGCCTCCAGTAAACTTTACTGTGTTATTCTTCAAATTACTCTAATCTGGGCCAAAGCATTTTCGTGACCAACAGGCTGTTTTTTAATTGTCCTGAGTCTTGCTGGCCGTGAAGTTGAGGAAAGTGTAATGATGATAGTGTTTGTTTTTACAGATCCCTTTGCCCAATCGTCCCCATTGGTTTCTTTTGTTTGGAGCAACTGAAGAAGAAATTCAGGAAATCTGCTTAAAGATCTTGCAGCTTTATGCTCGGAAAAAGGTTCTTCGGCATTTTTTCATGTAACGTATGCGTTTGTGTTTGGCCAGAAACACCTGGTTCTGAACGGACACCTTCTGGCTTTTGCAGGTTGATCTCACACACCTGGAGGGTGAAGTGGAAAAAAGAAAGCACGCTATCGAAGAGGCAAAGGCCCAAGCCCGGGGCCTGTTGCCTGGGGGCACACAGGTGCTGGATGGTACCTCGGGGTTCTCTCCTGCCCCCAAGCTGGGTGAGTCTGTTAGAGTGCAGGAATCCACTCCCCACAAAGGCAAAGACTGGTGACTCTCCCCCGCCTCCATTCTGGGGTATGTGCTCCTTCCAGACATTTTTTTTTTTTTTTTTTTTGAGACAGGGTCTCTGTCACCCAGGCTGGAGTATGGTGGTGTGATCGCAGCTCACTGCAGCTTCCAACTCCTGGATTCAAGTGATCCTCCCACCTCAGCTTTCTGCATAGCTAGGACTACAGGCACATGCCACCATGCTTGGCTAATTCTTTTTGTTTGAGACAGAGTCTTGCTCCAGCCCAGGCTGGAGTGCAGTGGCGCAATTTCCTCTCACTGCAAGCTCCGCCTCCTGAGTTCACACCATTCTCCTGCCTCAGCCTCCTGAGTAGCTGGGACTGCAGGTGGCCGCCACCACGCCTGGCTAATTTTTTGAATTTTTAGTAGAGACGGGGTTTCACCAGGTTAGCCAGGATGGTCTCGATCTCCTGACCTCGTGATCTGCCCACCTCAGCCTCCCAAAGTGCTGGGATTACAGGCGTGAGCCACCGTGCCCAGCTGTGCTTAGCTAATTCTTTATCTTTTTAGTTGAGTCTGGGTCTTGCTATGTTGGCCGGGCTGCTCTTGAATTTCCTGGCCTCAAGTGATTGTCCTGCCTCAGCGTCCCAGAGTGCTAGGAGCATAGGCACCTGGCCTTTCTGTTGATTAGCAGGGAGTATGACAGGTTGTCTGAAATGCTTTTGTTTATCCTGCTGCCCAGGTAGCTTGTCATCTGATGAAGGTGTTATAGTGTGGGGCCATAGATGATACACGTCATCAGACCTAGAGTTCAGTGTGATGCAAAGGGCCTGTCTGCAGTTCTTTTTTTTGAGATGGAGTCTCGCTCTGTCGTCCAGGCTGGAGTGCAGTGGTGCGATCTCAGCTCATTGCAAGCTCCACCTCCCGGGTTCATGCCATTCTCCTGCCTCAGCCTCCTGAGTAGCTGGGACTACAGGTGGCCGCCACCACGCCTGGCTAATTTTTTGTATTTTTAGTAGATATGGTGTTTCACCGTGTTAGCCAGGATGGTCTCAATCTGGCTTCGTGATCCACCCGCCTCGGCCTCCCAAAGTGCTGGGATTACAGGCATGAGCCACTGCACCCGGCCTGCATTTCTTTTTTTGAGACAGAGTTTCTGTCTTGTTACCCAGGCTGGAGTGCAATGGCGCTGTCTCAGCTCACTGTAACCTCTGCCTCCCGGGTTCAAGCGATTCTCCTGCCTCAGCCTCCCAAGTAGCTGGGATTGCAGGTACCCGCCACCACACTGAGCTAATTTTGTATTTTTAGTAGAGATGGGGTTTCTCCATTTTGGTCAGACTGGTCTTGAACTCCTGATCTCAGTTGATCTGCCCGCCTTGGCCTCCCAAAGTGCTGGGATTACAGGTGGGAGCCACTATACCCAGCTTTTTTTTTTTTTTTTTTTTTTCTGAGACGGAGTCTTACTCTGTTGCCCAGCCTGGAGTGCAGTGGCGCTATCTGGGATCACTGCAAGCTCCGCCTACCAGATTCTGGTGATTCTTGTGCCTCAGCCTCCCAAGTAGCTGGGATTGCAGGCGCCCACCACCACGCTCAGGTAATTTGTGTGTGAGTGTGTGTCTATGTATATATATATATAGAGAGAGAGAGAGAGAGACACACACTCACATGTTTTGGGGTTTTTTTGTTTTGTTTTGTTTTTCTTGAGACAGAGTCTCGCTGTGTTGCCAGGTGAGTACTGTGGCGTGATCTCGGCTCACTGTAACCTCCGCCTCCTGGGTCCAAGCGATTCTTCTGCTTCAGCCTCTGGAGTAGCTGGGACTACAGGCGCGTGCCACCAAGCCCAGCTAATTTTTGTAGTTTTAGTAGAGATGGGGTTTCACCATGTTGGGCAGGATGGTCTCAATGTATTGACTTTGTGATCCGCCCTCCTCGGCCTCCCGAAGTGCTGGGCTCACAGGCGTGAGCCCCCGCGTCCAGCCCCATCTGCATTTCTGTGATGTCTGTGTAAGTTCTGGGTCCCAGCTGGGAGCCGGAAGTTACAGTCTGCTTGCGTCGCTGTTTGACCTGTAGAGGGGCCTTATCTCGCTCTACGAACTTGTTTCTTATTGGGAGAGTGTTTTGTGGTTGGCTTTTAACCTCTTGTTCTGATTCTAGTGGAATCCCCCAAAGAAGGTAAAGGGAGCAAGCCTTCCCCACTGTCTGTGAAGAACACCAAGAGGAGGCTGGAGGGCGCCAAGAAAGCCAAGGCGGACAGCCCCGTGAACGGGTAGGACCCCAGGGCTGCCCAGGTGGCTGTCAGGGTTGGCTGGAGGGACTTCTGCTTTGTAACTGGCTCCTGTCCTGTTCACAGCTTGCCAAAGGGGCGAGAGAGTCGGAGTCGGAGCCGGAGCCGTGAGCAGAGCTACTCGAGGTCCCCATCCCGATCAGCGTCTCCTAAGAGGAGGTGTGTGCCTCAGGGCGCACCCAGGAGGCCGATACCGGGGTGGGGCTGTCCCTCGGGGTAATCATTCTCACCCTGAGGTGGTTTCTTGTTTCTCTAAACCTGGAGCTTGTGTGTCTTGTCTGAGCTCCTGTGGGTGTGTGGGGCCTGGCCGGGCCAGATGGTCACACGTGTGGTGGTGCTGTTCTTCCTCCCAGGAAAAGTGACAGCGGCTCCACATCTGGTGGGTCCAAGTCGCAGAGCCGCTCCCGGAGCAGGAGTGACTCCCCACCGAGACAGGCCCCCCGCAGCGCTCCCTACAAAGGCTCTGAGATTCGGGGCTCCCGGAAGTCCAAGGACTGCAAGTACCCCCAGAAGCCACACAAGTCTCGGAGCCGGAGTTCTTCCCGTTCTCGAAGCAGGTCACGGGAGCGGGCGGATAATCCGGGAAAATACAAGAAGAAAAGTCATTACTACAGAGATCAGCGACGAGAGCGCTCGAGGTCGTATGAACGCACAGGCCGTCGCTATGAGCGGGACCACCCTGGGCACAGCAGGCATCGGAGGTGAGGCGGGGTTGCAGTGACTGGTGGCCGCAAGCCCTTCCCTGGGGAGTACCTGATGGCTGCCCTTTGACCCCCGGTGGCTGCCCTTTGACCCCCGGGTGTGCTCTCAGCGCAAGTGGTCCTAGAACAGGATTCTTTTTGGAAATGTCTGTCGACTGGACCTTGGTGGATTTGGAAATGGAACTGAGGGACCGGTGACACGTGCTTCAGACCGGTCTGGGGTGCGGCGCACACCTGGGCCCGTGCAGGGCTCAGCTCGGCAGCAGCTCTGAGGGCAGCTCAATGAAAAAGTGAATGCACACGCCCTTGTTGGCGTGGCCTGGCATGGCCTGGTGCTATCGGCAGCCGCTCTCCACTCCCCGACTGATACTCAATTACGTGAAGCCAAGAAAGATGATTTTTAGAACCTTTGCCTATATTAGGTTGTACTTATGTACATATTTTGCAGTGTTTCACAGGAGAAAGTGGCCTTAACTGCCCCTTATTCTCTCTCCACGTTGTAAATAAACATGTGTTTAATACAAGTTAAAGCTATGTATGAAAACTCAGAACTTGAATCCCGTCAGCTTAAAACTTGTGTAGGGAATCCTGACTTTTAAAATGTGAGGGTATTTGGATCTGTGTTGAAAGTCGTATATTTTTATCTGTGCGGTGCTGAGTGCAGGCCACCAGCTCCTAAATAGAGGTTCCCTATATGCGCGTATGACATGGTGAATAAACACAACTCTCTCCACTCAGGACATCCGGAGCGTTATGGACGTGGTAGGTGGTCGTTCTGTGTGCTTGTGAAAGTGTCCAGGCGTGTGCACAGCCAGTGCGCCCACTTCCGGGCTCCTTGCTCCCTGCTGTACTGAAGTTTTGGATTTTGCATCCAATCCTGTGTGCCTGCCCTTCTGCCGAAGGCTTGTGAGGGGCCTGAGTCCTCTGCCCATCAGGATGACAGGCTCCTTCCTGCAGGGCCATAGGAGGGAAGTTTTGGAAACACAGAATGATTCCAAGGTGCTCTCGTTCCTGAGGGGGACTGGTTTGTAACCCATGACATCTGTGGGCGAGAGAGGCAGCTGGGAGCAGGACACTTGGAGGGTCACCCCACGGGGGTGGCACCTGCACTCTGAGTGCCCCCCACTGTCATCAGCTGCCTCTTACCGTGGACACAGTTTTGGTTTTGGGGACTAGGGGGCCCCACTCCTGGTGGTACCGTTTGGACTTACTAGGGCAGTGGGACATATAGGCCGGGGCTAGTGGGATAACGGGGAGTTACGCCTGATGACTTTTTTGATGGAATCCTGCATTAGATAGCTGGTGGGACCCCCCCTCAGAATTGGGGAACTGAGGAGACTCCAGGGAGGGTGTCCTTCCAGGGAGAGCAGCTATGAGGGGCCCCCTAGCTTCCTGTGCCTGGAAGTAAGAGAACCAGTAAAGGGCCATACACACCTGTACCCAAGAGACCGCTCTCCATTTGCTTTCTTTTTTTACTAAATAATTGTAAAATATTATTATGACATAAAGAACCATTTAAGGCCAGATTTTATGTTCTCCTAATTTGCATTGCGCCCAAATGGTGTTGCAGTAGAAAATGAGTTTTGGCCGCGTGGTGGGAGGCCGGGCGCGGTGGCTCAGGCCTGTAATCCCAGCGCCGTGGGAGGCCGGGCGCGGTGGCTCAGGCCTGTAATCCCAGCGCCGTGGGAGGCCGGGCGCGGTGGCTCACGCCTGTAATCCCAGCGCTGTGGGAGGCCGGGCGAGGTGGCTCACGCCTGTAATCCCAGCGCTGTGGGAGGCCGGGCGCGGTGGCTCATGCCTGTAATCCCAGTGCTGTTGGGAGACCGGGTGCTGTGGCTTACGCCTGTAATCCCAGCACTGTGGGAGGCTGAGGCAGGCGGATCACGAAGTCAGGAGATTGAAACCATCCTGGCCAACATGGTGAAACACTGTCTCTACTAAAAATACAAAAATTAGCTGGGTGTGGTGCTGCGTCCCTGTAATCCCAGCTACTCAGGAGGCTGAGGCAGGAGAATCACTTGAACCCGGGAGGCAGAGATTGCAATGAGTTGAGTTGGCGCCATTGCACTCCAGTCTGGCGACAGAGCAAGACTCCATCTCAAAAAAAGAAAAAGCTGTTACCAAAAGCTATAATTTTAGGTTTTAGGGCAGTAAGCAAGAAAAGGCAAGACCAAGAGTCCGCTAGGGTGGGCCTCCAACCTACAATCTTAGAAGAAATGTCAGTGCCAAAACCGTGGGCCATCCAGAGGGTGACCAATAGCACCAAATGCCAAAACCCTGGGGTTCCCAAGTGTTGGCCAATGAGGGTGCACACAACAAATGCCAGAAACCCCAGAGCAGGTGGAAGGCAGCCAACAGTGTACCCCAAAGGCCAAGCTGGGGCCACAGAACGTGACTCTGGCATCTCAGGGTCAACACAACAGGACCTCTCACGGCCAAGTGTCCTGCCTTAAACAGTTGCCCTAATGCAGTTACTGGGGAGTAAGAGCAAAAACCATGAATGAAGCATACATTTCAGGACAGAAAATAAAATGGGCTGGGCACGGTGGCTCACACCTGTAATCCCAGCACTGTGGGAGGCTGAGGTGGGTGGATTGCTTGAGCTCAGGAGTTTGAGACCAGTCTGGGCAAAATAGTGAAACCCCATCTCTACTAAAGATGCCAAAAAAAAAAAAAAAAGGGCTGGGTGCAGTGGCACACTGACGCCTGTAATCCCAACACTGTGGGAGGCCAAGGTGGGTAGATCATGAGGTCAGGAGATCGAGACCATCCTGGCCAATGCGGTGAAACCCCGTCTCTACTTAAAATACAAAAATTAGCCGGGTGTGGTGGCACATGCCTGTAGTCTCAGCAACTCAGGAGGCTGAGGCAGGAGAATCGCTTGAACCCAGAAGGCAGAGCTTGCAGTGAGACGAGATTGCGCCACTGCACTCCAGCCTGGGCAACGGAGCGAGACTCCGTCTCAAAAAAAAAAAAAAAAAAAAACAAGGGAGTGAGCAAGAGGCAGGGAGATGGGAGAATGGAGGCGACTGGCAGTGGAGGCAACATGAGACAGCAAGACGTGCCGCGGTGGGCGATCAACGCTGCCACACGAACCAGAGGCTCTTTTCAGAACCATCCTCTTTTCTGGCCTGTGGTGGAGCCGAGCAGTGGGCGACGGCCACAGCACCGCCACCTCCTGTGAGATCTGTGCTCCGGCCAGGTCCCAAGTCCAAGGGCCTGTTCCCTCACGGCAGCCAAGCAGTGGATTTGGATACCCCATTGCTTGGCCACCCTGGACAGAACCACATCCTTCTCCCCTTCTCTTGGTTGATTCTCCTCTAACCCCAATTTATTTTTGTCAGCCATTTTACTTTATTTCTGAGACAGTCTCACTCTTATCATCCAGGCTGGAGTGCAATGGCACTCCCGAGTAGCTGGGACTACAGGCACCTGCTACCACACCCAGCTAATTTTTTGTATTTTCAGTAGAGACAGGGTTTCGCTGTGTTAGCCAGGATGGTCTCCATCTCCTGACCTCGCGATCCTCCCGCCTCAGCCTCCCAAAGTGCTGGGATTACAGGCGTCAGCCACTGCGCCCGGCCTCCTTGCTATCTTTGTCCTTTCATGACCACCAGATGATCCGTGGCCAGCAAGCCCCCAAATTAGGGCTTAGCCCATGAGGGTTCTTGTCTTCACCCAGGGAAGAATGCAGGTGGTAGTAGACAGCAATCTTTTTTTTTTTCTTTTTTTTAATCGGAGATGGAGTCTCACTTTGTTACACAGGCTGGAGTGCAGTGGCACAATCACAGTTCACTGCAACCTCTGTCTCCCAGGCTCAAACAGTCCTCCCTCCTCACCCTCCCTCTTGCTGGTGGACATTGTGGGTGTCCACTACTGCACCTGGCCCACAGCAATCCAACAGTCTTGCTCTGTCGCCTGGGCTGGAGTGCAGTGCTGCAATCTCAGCTGATTGCAACTTCCTCCTCCTGGGTTCAAGAGATTCTCCTGCCTCAGCCTCCCGAGTAGCTGGGATTACAGGCGTCTGCCACCATGCCTGGCTAATTTTGGTATTTTTAGTAGAGATGGGGTTTCACCATGTTGGCCAGGCTGATCTTGAATTCCTGACCTCAGGTGATCCGCCCACTTTGGCCTGTGCTGGGATTACAGGCGTGAGCAACTGCACCTGGCCCTCAGCATTCCTTTTATTGAACTGGAGCTGGTTCTCATGGGGCAAGGATAATGCCTAGACAGGGGGCCCAGAGCTGCACTTGAGGGCTGTTGACAACTGTATTTATATGCACATTTACTTACATTAAATTAAGGGGTGAGTTACAGGACTTTCTGCGAAAGAGGTGGTAACGTCTGGATTGTTACTGGATTGTTTTGAAAGGGGTGGTAACGTCTGGATTGTTACTGGATTGTTGGAAAAGTGTGGTGACCTCTGGATTGTTACCAGATTGTTTGGAAAGGGGTGGTGACCTCTGGATTGTTACTGGATTGTTGGGAAGGGGTGGTGACCTCTGGATTGTTACTGGATTGTTGGGAAGGGGTGGTGACCTCTGGATTGTTACTGGATTGTTGGGAAGGGGTGGTGACCTCTGGATTGTTAGTGGATTGTTGGAAAGGGTGGTGACCTCTGGATTGTTACTGGATTGTTGGGAAGGGTGGTGACCTCTGGATTGTTACTGGATTGTTGGGAAGGGTGGTGACCTCTGGATTGTTAGTGGATTGTTGGGAAGGGTGGTGACCTCTGGATTGTTAGTGGATTGTTGGGAAGGGGTGGTGGCCTCTGGATTGTTACTGGATTGTTGGGAAGGGTGGTGACCTCTGGATTGTTACTGGATTGTTGGGAAGGGGTGGTGACCTCTGGATTGTTAGTGGATTGTTGGGAAGGGGTGGTGGCCTCTGGATTGTTAGTGGATTGTTGGGAAGGGTGGTGACCTCTGGATTGTTACTGGATTGTTGGGAAGGGGTGGTGGCCTCTGGATTGTTAGTGGATTGTGGGAAGGGGTGGTGACCTCTCGGTCGTTGCCGTGGACTCTCTAAACTGTCAAGGCACGGGGGGACGGCTTACACCAGTGCGCAATGAGGTCCCCCAGGGATCACCTTCCTGGCCATCTGCCCCTTCCTTCTGGTTTCTTTGCTTCATTCTGTCTGGACCAGGAAGACTGTCCTGCAGGTCTCTCATCTCCCTGCTGCAGTGTGCCGATGGGACCAGGGTATCCTGGTGGTCCCCAGCTGGAGACTGGCTGGCTTAGGAGAGGGCACGTGGTGGCTGCCTCCAGTGGTTCCCCAGGAGCCCCAGCATGGTGGGCATCTACTTGCAGTCACCGCTGCAGAGACGTCCAAAGCACTGACCTGCCCTGCCCTGTGTGAAGGGTCATTCCTGCCCATCCACGAGATGACTGGCCCTGCAAGGCTGCCAAGAGAGGAAGTGCAGGCATCAGGGTAGCCCATCCCTGGGACTCCATGCTGCCTGTGTCTCAGCTTCTGGGCCACCATCTGGAGGAAACTGATGGGAGCTCAGGGGGCTCAGGCTAGGGGGAACGTGGCGGGGGTCTGAGAGCTCAGGACACTGCTTAGCACGCTGAGTGCCCAGAACAGTTCCCAGGCGTCAGCTGTGCCAAGGTGGAGAAATGTGTGTGGGACACGCCCCAGAGGACACAGACAGGGCCCATTGTCCCCAGAGCCTCCAGTCCCACCACTCTGGCAGTGTCCAGCTTCCACACAGGGCGCCTCTACTGCCTGAGGCTTTCCAGAGCCCATTCTGCAGAAAACCAGATGGGGGGCCAAAGTGAGGGTCTGCCCCAGGTCCTTTGAGGGTCCACGCTAGCTGCAGGGCCCCACAGGCTCATTTCTGCCTAGGGACACAGCAAGGGGCATGGCGCCAGCTCCTGGCATGGGTGCCCTGGAGCTCTGGCAACTGGAGCCTGGTTCAGCATCCGGAAAGTGAGGGTCGCCAGCCACAAGGTGGGGGTGGGTTCGGCCTCTGCTCCGAAGTGGCTCAGGTCCCGGCCTCGATCCAAGAGCATTGACCTGAGGGTAGGGGTCCTTGCCCACCAGACCAGGGGCTCCCCCGTGCCACAGAAGCCATGGCTCTCCCCTGCCTGCAGCAAGGCCAGGCCCAGGGGTGACTCCAGCCCCAGGAGTACCTGCAGGAGGAATCCACATGGGGAGGCGTCTGGTGCGGTGGGTGGGTATCTCCCTGGCAGCCCCCAAGGTCGCCCTGGCACTTGGGGCGACTGCAGGTCTTGCCCCATATCTCGTCTTCCCAGGGGAGGCAGGCAGTGGGGTGCTGCCCAGCATCCACGAGGCCACCGTCCCCGCCTCCTTGAGATTTGCCCTCTGCGGGGACCAAAGGAAGGAGGAGCACGTGCCACTGTCATCCCGCGTACGCCCCGCTCCACCTCCTCAGGCCCAGCCCCTGGGGGCTGCTTCCATCCTGCCGGCACCTTCACGGCTCCACAGGCAGCTGCATGAACAGGGGGACTGGGCACAGGCAGGGCTGGGGCCCTGCATGGGGTGCACCCCAAGTTCCTCGCAGGGCAGGGCACCCACACAGAGCAGCTGCTGTGTCATGGAGCTGCTGGGCTGGCTTCGCTGGTGGTAGCCTGACTGGAGTGTCACAGCCCAGGGCACCCTGACCCTGAGAGGACACACCTGGCAGAGAGGCCATTTTGCCATCAGCAGGGGGTGCAGGCCCTACCACCTGGGACAGCTCACAGTGGTGCCCGTGCCCGGGCATCTAGAGCCAGATGCACTGCTCCTGTTCCCTTAGCCTTATGTGAGGGTGCCTGTCTCCTGGGAAGCCCTGTGCCTGGAGCACTGGTGAGCATTTTAATTAGCACCTCTGAAAAAAGGGTAGGCCTTCGTATTTCAACTTTTGGGGTGTAAATACTTCCTTGATGGCCAATTTATCTGAGACAGAGTCTCGCTCTGTTGCCCAGGCTGGACTGCAGTGGTGCGATTTTGGCTCACTGCAACCTCCACCTCCCAAGTTCAAGCAGTTCTCCTGCCTCAGCCTCCCAAGTAGCTGCGATTACAGGCGCCCGGCTAATTTTTGTATTTTTATTAGAGGTGGGGTTTCACCATGTTGGCCAGGCTGGTCTCGAACTCCTGATCTCAGGTGATCTGCCCGCCTTGGCCTCCCAGAGTGCTGGGATTACAGGCGTGAGCCACTCCACCCAGCCCAGCCAATTATATTTTGTTGTCTCTGTCACCCAGGCTGGAGTGCAGTGGTGTGATCTCATGTGCTCAAGCGATCCTCTCACCTCAGCCTCCCAAGTAGCCGAGACCACAAGCTCACGCCTCCATGCCTGGCTAATTTGTTTTTAAAATTTTTTTCTTTTTTTTTTTTTGAGACGGAGTCTCGCTCTGTCGCCCAGGCTGGAGTGCAGTGGCACAATCTCGGCTCACTGCAAGCTCCGTCTCCTGGGTTCACGCCATTCTCCTGCCTCAGCCTCCCGAGTAGCTGGGACTACAGGCGCCCGCCACCACGCCCGGCTAATTTTTTTGTGTATTTTTAGTAGAGACGGGGTTTCACCGTGTTAGTCAGGATGGTCTCGATCTCCTGACCTCGTGATCTACCCGCCTCTGCCTCCCAAAGTACTGGGATTATAGGCGTGAGCCACCGCGCCCGGCCTTCTTAATTTTTTGTAGAGATGGGGCCTCACTATGTTGCAGGCTGGTCTTCAACTCCTGGGCTCAAGTGATCCTCCCACCTCAGTCTCCTGAGTAGCTGGGACTACAGGTGTGAGTCACCACGCCCGGCTAATTTTTGTGTTTTTTGAAGAGACGGTCTCGCCATGTTGCCCAGGCTGGATATGGCCAATTTCAAGTACCAACAACTTCATTCCATGCAGTAGCCATTATACAGCTTTTCCTTCATCACTCACCGTGGCATGGCCTTGGCTCACTCTGCCTCCTGTGTTTAAGTGATCCTCCTGTCTCAGCCTCCTGAGCAGCTGGGATTACAGGCATGCGCCACCACGCCCGGCTAATTTTTGTATTTTGCGTAGAGACGGGGTTTCGCCATGTTGGCCAGGCTGGTCTCGAACTGACCTCAAGTGATCTGCCTGCCTTGGCCTCCCAAAGTGCCGGGATTACAGGCGTGAGTCACTGTACCCGGCCCACAATCCTTAAAAAACAACAACAACAACAAAAAAAAAATTGATAGACCGTTTATTTAAGCAAGAATACATGCAGTTGTCATTGCCAGATTTAATATGAGATGTTAAACGTTTGATCCAATTTTCCTTCTTGGATAAGTTTTTTGAAAACATAATACCAGAGGAAGAGGGTCCCCATTCCAAACATAGCTCCCAAGAGTGAGTTTTTAGGAGTGGGTCTAAAATTAGGGTAGACATTTGCTAATCTTGCACAGATCCGATGAATCAAGGCAGGATCTTGATGAGCCCTTGGCGGTTAGGGACGTCGTACTGAAGCAGGTGCTCCCATTTAGGCTGCGCTCTGAATGGCCAACAGCTGGGCTTGTGCCCTCCGGGTTTCTGGAGATATGTCCTGTTTGGCTGCGCTGAGGGCCGAGGGCAGAGGCCAGGTGCGACGGAGTATATACTTGGGGAGCGACATCTCGGCGACCCAGCACACACCTGCCTATGATGTTCAGTCATCTTAAGATCATTCTCCAGAGGCAGGAGAATCGCTTGAGACTGGGAAGTGGAGGTTGCAGTGAGCTGAGATCGCGCCATTGCACTCCAGCCTGGGTGACAGAGCGAGACTCCCTCTCAAAAAAAAAAAAAAAAAAAAAATGTCGGGCGTGGTGGCTCATGCCTGTAATCCTAGCACTTGGAAAGGCCGAGGCAGGTGGATTGCCTGAACTCAAGAGCTCGAGACCAGCCTGGGCAACACAGTGAAACCGTCTCTACTAAAATACAAAAAATTAGCCGGGTGTGGCGGCGTGCGCCTGTATTCCTAGCTACTCTGGAGGCTGAGGAAGGAGAATTGCTAGAACCCGGGAGGCAGAAGTTGCAGAAGTTACAGTGAGCCGAGATCACGGCACTCCAGGCTGGGTGACAGAGCAAGACGACTCTGTCTGTTTAAAAAAAAAAAAAGAAATAGAAACTTCAGAATTTTTAGGAATGTTGTATCTGTGGCCCGGAGGTTGGAGGAGCATTAAAGGCGGCGTGGCCGAGGGTGGACCCAGGCTGGAGCTCAGGCTCTGCCCTGAGCTGAGGAGCCCCAAAGTCTTGGGGCAAAAGCTGCAGACAGGCAGGGCCCTGATGCCTTGTCAGAGCCTGGCAGTAGCTTGTGGGAGCCAGTGTGGGCCAGGGTGCAGCGGGACCGCTAGCTGTTAAGCTTTCAGGAGTTTTGTACACCAACTGCTACACAGCCATTATTTATAAATCAGATACATTTATGGTTAAATTATGCTAATAAAAGGAAATACTGAAAACCCATAGTTTCATATTTTAATAAGATCACTATTATCCACGATCTTAAGATTATTTAAGTATTATAGGCAGATGTGCGCTGGGTCGCCAATATGTCTTTCCCCCAGTATACGCTGTCGCGTCTGGCCACTCTGCCCTCGACCCAGTCCTGAGGAGCTGGGACTACAGGTCTGTGCCACCATGCCCACCTTTTTTTTGAGTCAGAGTCTCGCTCTATCACTCAGGCTGGAGTGCATTGGCACGATCTCGGCTCACTGCAACCTCCACCTCACAGGTTCAAAAGATTCTCCTGCCTCAGCTTCCGGAGTAGCTGGGACTACAGGTGTGCACCACCACACCCAACTAATTTTTTTTTTTTTTTTGGTATTTTTGGTAGAGATGGGGTTTCGCCATGTTGGCCAGGCTGGTCTCGAACTCCTGACTTCAGACAGTATGCCCGCCTCGACCTCTCAGAGTGCTGGGATTACAGGCAGGTGTGAACCACTCTGCCCGACCAAAATTCTGAAGTTTCTAAAGAAAAACTTTCCTGAAGACAAATGGGTATTTTGGGGAAAACAGGTATGTGCAGCAACTGTGTACTTCCCTTGAGAGACTAGAGTTCCTTTGTTTAAAAATTAGGAATCATAACCCATGCACCCTCCCCGATTCTTCCACTGCATTTTTTCTTCCTCAGATGTTTGTAAAGGATTGATCTTCCTAGTCTAGTTCCAGCTCATCTAGCTTGGCAGCTCTGCTCACACAAGCATCTGGCGCTTCCAACAAGTGTTCCTGCCACTCCTGTGGGCGGCAGCCAGTCAGGTCTGGCCCGGGCATTCATCGGGGTGGCCACTGTCTGCAAGCCTCCCGGGCCGGCTCCATGCAGCTCCTGTAGCTGAATGATAATTCCCCAGCCTTGTAGCAGCTGGGTCCTGCTCTAGCTGGGACCTTTCCCTTTTGGCCTGGAGCCTATTGGGTACAGGGACCCCAACAGAGTGGTCTTCCTCACTTCACCTCCCTGAAATTACTTCCTGAGAGGGGGAAGGACACCCTGGTTCATCCTGCTCCTCAAGACTTTCTCAGACTGAAATGTCCACATCCCGTTTCTTCTACCAGTCCCTAACTCAGGGGAGGTACTTATATCTGCACGTCAATGCCTCAGAAGCCTGAAGGCCAAGGTTGCCAGCCCAGGTTATTTCTGGTTCTCTGGTTCTTCTCAACATGCTCACCTGTTCTCTGATGGATTCTTTGCATCTCCCTGGACCCCAGCCGGGTGAAGACAAACACAGGGGCACCAAGGTGAGGGCTGCTCTGGAGGCACCAGTCTGCTCATTTACGGCCAAATCCACTAGGGGAAGCTGTGCAGCAGGGGTGAAGGGCGGGCCCGCAAATAACGTTCGTAAACCTTCCTGCTTGGAGTCCCAAGTAGCCCCTCTGAGGGGTAACGTAGAGTCATCTGGGGACCTCAGTTGTAGAGGTGGGCCTGGAGCCTGAACTTTATGTCCTCACACTGGCCTATCCTACCTGTCACTCACTGCTTAGCCAGGCTGGGCCCGGCAGATGACCTGGCCTTTCCACTTCCTGCTAAGCGTCCCTGGAAGACCCTCCTGCAAGGCAAGTCTCCGAGCAGGCCCAGCAGGCTCTGCTCCACACCCCTCTCCCACCAGGCGCCCCTGCAAGTCCATGCTGGGGTCTCTATATTAGCCAACCTCACGGAGGTCAAAGGGGCCTGTCTGGAGTAGAAAGGTGAAGCTACACGTTGGCAGCGCCTACTCTGGGGAGCATCATTAGGGGCTCAGCCAAACCCAATCCACCAGAGAGGCTGCTTTTAGTTCTCAGACAAAAAGTGTGAGTCTGATTTTTATTTTATTTATTTATTTATTTTTTTGAGACAGGATCTATGTCACCCAGACTGGAGTGCAGTGGTGCGATCTCGGCTCACCGCAACCTCTGCCTCCTGGGCGCAAGCGATTCTCTTGCCTCAGCCTCCCGAGTAGCTGGGATTACAGGCGCCTGCCACCACGCTAGGCTAATTTTTGTAGTTTTAGTAGAGACGGGGTTTCACCATGTTGGCCATGCTGGTCTCGAACTCCTGACCTCAGGTGATCCACCAGCCTCGGCCTCCCAAAGTGCTGGGATTACAGGCCTGAGCCACCGCGCCCAGCCTGCGTCTTATTTTTTTTTTTTTAACCCCAGGAATGAGGAGTCGGGGAGGCCCGGTACCGCAGGCTCAGTGCTTATTCCGGGTCCTTGGTCTCTAGCAAAAACGGGGGAAATAGCTCTAGACGCTTCCGCCTTCCACGTAACTCCACTTCCGTTGCCAGATACGTCACTTCCGTAGTCTTGAGCCCGCACTTCCGTCGGCCCGTTGGGAATCCGGCCCCTGGGTGGTCCGGAAACGATTCTGGACCTGCGGGTATATCCAGGGCCCGCACCCCCTGGGATTGTGGGAAATGTAGTTTTTTGCCTCCGTAAGGGACCAGGCGGAGCTGAGGAACCGCGCGAGGACTGGGACCGTGATTCCACTAACCGGAAACCGTCGCCTTTCGGGCCCGGCGGGGCCTGAGCCAATGCAGAATCGGGGGCCGCGAGGACGCCAGCGGGCGCTGTGCGTAGGAACCGCCGGGTGGCCGCTGCCGATCGGGGCCGACTTGGGGACGGACCGGAAGTGCCCGAGGGCGGCCGCAGAACGGTCAATTTGAGCCGCGTCGAGGTCGGGCTTGGGAAGGGTCAGCGGGAGGCCTGAGGGCGCCGGGCGCTGCGGCAGGCGGGCCCGGGGTCCAGCCGAGAGGGTCCGGGCGCCAGGCAACGCGATTCGCGCGGGGGTGAACCCGGGGAGGGGGCCGGCCTCCCCGTTCTGGGACCTTTCGGTGCGTCCGAGCGCGACACCGCCCGCGTCGGGGGCTTGGGAGCCTCGGGGCGCGAGCTGTGTTGGAAGCAAAGTCCTCCTTGTGGGTTGGGGTGGCGGAGGGAGAAGGGAAGCGAGGGTCGCGGCGGGACCAGACGCCCCAGTCCCGGCCCGCCCGCGACTACTGAAGGCGCTGCCGCCTGACCTGAACGGGCACTTGTGTTCCAGCTCCCCTGGGACCTGTGGCCGCCGCCCACAGACCATGCTCCTGGGGCGCCTGACTTCCCAGCTGTTGAGGGCCGTTCCTTGGGCAGGTAGGAAGCCGCGCGGGGGCGGATGGGAGGATGCACACCTGGTTAGGAGTGCGGGTCTCAGCAGCTCCGCTGGGGCAGGGCCGGTGGCCACACACACACTCTTTCCCCTCTAAGCTTCCGATGCTCACAGAGGGAACCTCAGGGGTTCAGGCCAGGAATGAGGTGCGGGGGATCCTCGCTGGGACGAACCTGCTGCTCCTCAACCCGACGGGCCTGTGTGGTCTCGCGAGCGGTGACCGTGGCGTCTGGTTTTCTGCAGGCGGCCGCCCGCCTTGGCCCGTCTCTGGAGTGCTGGGCAGCCGGGTCTGCGGGCCCCTTTACAGCACATCGCCGGCCGGCCCAGGTAGGGCGGCCTCTCTCCCTCGCAAGGGGGCCCAGCTGGAGCTGGAGGAGATGCTGGTCCCCAGGAAGATGTCCGTCAGCCCCCTGGAGAGCTGGCTCACGGCCCGCTGCTTCCTGCCCAGACTGGATACCGGGACCGCAGGGACTGTGGCTCCACCGCAATCCTACCAGTGTCCGCCCAGCCAGATAGGGGAAGGGGCCGAGCAGGGGGATGAAGGCGTCGCGGATGCGCCTCAAATTCAGTGCAAAAACGTGCTGAAGATCCGCCGGCGGAAGATGAACCACCACAAGTACCGGAAGCTGGTGAAGAAGACGCGGTTCCTGCGGAGGAAGGTCCAGGAGGGACGCCTGAGACGCAAGCAGGTGAGTGGCCCCCTGCTTGGCCCTGGGAGGGCAAAGTGCTGAGAACACGTTTCTTTGCCACGAATTACTTGGCGGTCCCTCTCTCTGCGTCTTGCAGATCAAGTTCGAGAAAGACCTGAGGCGCATCTGGCTGAAGGCGGGGCTAAAGGAAGCCCCCGAAGGCTGGCAGACCCCCAAGATCTACCTGCGGGGCAAATGAGTCTGGCGCCGCCCTTCCCGCCCGTTGCTGCTGTGATCCGTAGTAATAAATTCTCAGAGGACTCAGCCTTTCCTGCGGGTCTGGAGCTCCATTTGCCGGGTGTGAGGTCTCTCAGGATTGAGGCTGCTGCCAGTCCCAGGTGTTGCAGAAGACCCGGGCAGCAGGGTGGCAGATTGGCCGTCCCTCTCTCTAGCTGGCTCTTGGCCGCCGTCCAGAGGGTGCTGGGCCTGTAGGAGCCCCAGCCTCGCTGTGAGCAAATGTGTGCTGTGTGCAGTTCAGGCTAGGTGCTGTGGGATCACTGTGAACAGATCCCACAGCCCCTCCCTGAGCACCACATTCCCTGGGGAGGCCGACCCGGATGGCAGAAGTACAGGGGGACAGGACTGGGGTTTAGGGAGCACCCGGAATGCACGGGGTGATTCAGGTGTATTTCATGAGTGGAGGGTCGGGGAGGGCCTCATTGGGAAGGCAGGAAAGGTTCTGGTACCACTGGCAGTGGTGGATGGTGCCCGCCAGGCTCCGTGGACGTGATCCTCCAGTGGCCCTCCAAGCTTTCCGGCTACAGGGCCAGGGTGTTGGCCTTCCCAGGCATGTCTGCCATCTCCTGGGGCCCTGAGTGGACGTGGGGACTAAGCAGGAAGAGTTGTCCCAGAAGGGGTTCGGGGCTGGGGGGTGGCTGAGGAAAGGGTCTCGTTTACAGGGCCGAAGAATCCCTGAGGCTTAGGTTGAGCCAGAGGCCCCTGGTGTCTCCACGTTCCTCTGGGTGAAGAGGAGGAACGCATTATTCCCCCCCCCTTTTTTTTTGAGGAAGAGTCTCATTCCATCACCCAGGCTGGAGTGCAGTGGTGCGATCTCAGCTCACTGCAGCCTCTCCCTCCCAGGTTCCAGTGACTCTCCTGCCTCAGCCTCCTGAATAGCTGGGATTACAGGTGCCCGCCACCAAGCCCGGCTAATTTTTGTATTTTTGTTAGAGACAGGGTTTCACCATGTTGGCCAGGATGGTCTCGATTTCCTGACCTCAAGTGATCTGCCCGCCTCAGCCTCCCAAAGTGCTGGGATTACAGGCGTGAGCCCCTGCGCCTGGCTGGAACATGGTATTCCTAAGAGCAGGGATGTGCAGGGGCCCTTGGACTTGGGTAGCAGGGCATGGGTGGGCACTGGGAAGCTGCTGCCCCCAACAGCTCAGCGACAGGAGAGGGGCCTTTGCGTCCGCCCCAGGCGGTTGAGTGGAGGCTCTGGAGCCGCAGCCTCTCCCCCACCGTGTGTGAAGGCTGAAGGCTGGGCTGCCTCTCACCAGAGACGTGGGGGCCTCTTGTCTTTTGTCACAGAAATGTGTCTGAGACTCAAGCTTGAGTTCCTTGCCCATCAGACCTTGGGGAGGACTTGAGCGCTATTCCCAGCAGTTTCTCTAGAACAGGACGAACTTGTGGGTCACACATTGTCCTGGGAGTTGGGCCCTGGACGTGCCAGCCAGCGAGGTCAGTAGGCCTTGGCTGTGGGTCCCTGAGTGCACGGAGGGGTCTGGAGGCTGTAGCGGGTGGAAGTGCGCTTCCCCAGACCACCACAGGGGGGCAGCAGCCGGGCTCCTGGGTCCAGGGCTGGGGACCAGGACAGGTGGCAGGAAGCGTCTTGTGGGGCCCCAGCTGGGGTCACAGGCATCATTCCTGGGTCTGTTTTCCCAGCTGTGAGTGGGGCAGGGCTCCCAGGGCCGAAACTCTCCCAGGTGAAGTGGAGCCCGCTCAGTGCCAAGCCTGGCCCTGCCCCAGCCTCCCGGTGCTCTTGGCCACCACTGGCACCCTCTGTAGTGCTGCTGCCCCCCCGCGTTTCCTTCCATCCCGGGCTCACCTCCCCCTTCCCTGTATGAGGGAGGAGATGTGGGAAGCTGAGTGGACCTGTCCAGAGTCCTAGCCTGCAGAGCTCAGCTGGGCAGCCCGTGGTGGGGAGCAGCCCTACCCAGCTCAGGCACAGCCCTGGGACCCCCCTTGGCCCCGGCCTCCTCCACCCCTGCGTGGGGGCCGGCTTGGGGTGCTCCTGGGAGGCAGGTCAACCATGGCTTTGAGCCGCATCTGGAGACATCTGTGGTTGTCAGTGGGAGGTGCTACTGGCATGGGTGGGTGGAGGCCAGGGATGCTGCCACACACCCTGCACCATGAGGACATCCCCACGACGAACCCATCAGCTCACGTCAGCAGCGGTGGGTACCCCTGCTCCAGACGTCACCATCCCGGCGAGGCGGTGCCTCAGCTGTCCACTCCAGCTCCCGCAACCCAGGCCCCTCCTGCAGACCCACATCCTGCCCAGCCTGCAGAGCTCACCCTGCCTTGGCTTGGAAGCCTTTGTTGCCCAACCACAACCTTGGGAAGCAATTTTGGGGTTTTATTTTTATCTCTGCGGTTGCTCCCAGGCCACAAGAGGCCGTCCCTCCCCTCTTCTCTGTGGGGCCTCCACCCTGCCCCTGCCTGTGAGACATGCACCCCCCTCTCTCTGTTGCCTCTCCCCTGTTCTGGCCCTGGGCATCACCTGGGTGAGGGGCCAGAGGTGGGGTGGGCTGGGCTGGGGGCCTGTGGAGCTGCCAGCGACCTGCCCCTCACCACAGCGTGTCCTGGTGGTGTTCAGAGCTCCAGTTCCAACCAGGACTTGGCTCTGCTGGGGATGGTCCTGGTCAGTGGGGATGGTGCCCCAACCTCACGCCCAGTGGTGGCATTCATCAGTGGCCTCCATAATGGGGCACGTTGGTGAACTCAGCCCCACGCCTCTTCCTCTGGCTGCTGCGTCCCTGGCAAGCTGGTGTCTTCTGCGCCTTCCGCGGGGGCCGAGCCTGGGGCCTGGGGCCTGACCAGCCGCAGAGCTATGGCTTCAGAGCTTTCATGGACCATGGGCAAGGCCCTCAGCTCCCACCCCCGGTGCCCACCCAGGGCCCTGCCTGCTTCAGATGTGTGTGTGTTGGGGGGCAGGGAGGCAGCACACGTGTGTGCCAAGCCCAGAACCTCCAGGGAGCCGAGCTGAGCACTCACTGAACACGCCGTCTGAGAAGCACGCAGGTTGGCGGTGGCAACAGAGACCCTCGGCGTGGAGTGGAGTCTGGGAGGAAAGCTGGCTTCCCTGGGCTGGACCCCCCGAGCCTCCCGGGAAGGGCACTGGGAGGGGGGAAAGAACATTCCTATTTCAGGCTGGAGGAGTCTGGGTCCTGTTTCTGAATGCCATGTTTCTCTCATTCTTAGGTTACTACTTTTTTTTTTTTTTTTTTGAGATGGAGTCTTTCTCTGTCGCCAGGCTGAAGTGCAGTGGTGCAATCTCGGCTCACTGCAGTCTCCACCTCCCAGGCTCAAGCGATTCTCCTGCCTCAGCCTCCTGAGCAGCTTGGACTACAAGTGTGTGCCACTGTGCCCAGCTAATGTTTGTATTTTTAGTAGAGATGGAGTTTCACCATGTTGGTTAGGCTGGTCTCGAACTCCTGACCTCGTGATCTGCCCGCCTCGGTCTCCCACAGTGCTGGGATTACAGGCGTGAGCCGCTGCGCCCGGC
The DNA here is from genome assembly GCF_000001405.40 of Homo sapiens. Taxonomy (NCBI): domain Eukaryota; kingdom Metazoa; phylum Chordata; class Mammalia; order Primates; family Hominidae; genus Homo; species Homo sapiens. The sequence continues at coordinate 1,370,275 of NC_000001.11, read as the reverse complement.
CCGATAAGTTCTTTAGAGGAGTTACTTCATTGCACCACTGATTAGAATTAGCCATTTCATACGCGCCGAGCCTAAGTACAGAGTTTAACTTGCCGGGAAGCCATGAGCCAGCCCTGAGTCTGTGTGATTCCTAAGCTTAATTGTAAAAGTAAATTATTTTTATAAAAGTTATGCTTGTGGGCCAGGCGCGGTGGCTGTCGCCTGTAATCCCAGAACTTTGGGAGGCGGAGGCGGGCGGATCACGAGGTCAGGACATCGAGACCATCCTGGCTAACATGGTGAAACCCCGTCTCTACTAAAAATACAAAAAATTAGCCAGGCATGGTCGCAGGCGCCTGTAGTCCCAGCTACTCGGGAGGCTGAGGCAGGAGAATGGCGTGAACCTGGAGGTGGAGCTTGCAGTGAGCTGAGATCATGCCACTGCACTCCAGCCTGGGCGACAGAGCAAGACTTCGTCTCAAAAAAAAAAAAAGTTATGCTTGTACGTGGCTAGTTTAATTGTTTAAGAAGTCACCAGCAGGCGCAGTGGCTCACGCCTGTCATCCCAGCACTTTGGGAGCTGGGAGCATCGCATGAAGCCAGGACTCCAAGAGCAGCCTGGGCAACATAGTGAAACCCTGTCTTTACAAAATAAAAAATCAGCTGGGCATGGTGGTGTGTACCTGTAGTCCCAGCTACTCCAGAGGCCGAGGTGACAGGATGCATGAACCCAGGAGTTCGAGGCTGCGGTGAGCTGCCGTTGTGCTAGTGCCCTCCAGCCTGGGTGACAGAGCGAGACCCTGTCTCCAAAAAGAAAAAAGATTCCTTTAAGAAAAACAGTTGGCTGGGTGCGGTGGCTCACGCCTGTAATCCCAGCACTTTGGGAGGCCGAGGTGGGTGGATCACCTGAGGTCAGGAGATCGAGACCATCCTGGACAACATGGTGAAACCCCATCTCTACTAAAAATACAAAAAACTAGCCAGGTGTGATGGGCGGCTGTAGTCCCAGCTACTCGGGAGGCTGAGGCATGAGAATGGCGTGAACCCGGGAGGTGGTGCTTGCAGTGAGCCGAGATCGCACCACTGCAGTCCAGCCTGAGGGATAGAGTGAGACTCCATCTCAAAAATAAAGGAAAACAGTATCTCTTCCCCCATCCCCACACCACCTTTCCCAGAGGCAATTTTAGTCCTTTTAAATGATTCTTGCGGTAGTACCATGTTTTAAAGTTGGTGACTTTCAGACCTTTTTTTTTTTTTTTTTGAGACAGTATCTCACTCTGTCCCGAGACTGGAGTGCGGTGGCGCGATTTCAGCTCACTGCAACCTCCACCTCCCAGGTTCAAGCAATTCTCCTGCCTCAGCCTCCCTGCTAGCTGGGACTACAGGCATGCACCACCACGCCCGGCTAATTTTTGTGTTTTTATTAGAGACAGGGTTTCACCATGTTGGCCAGGCTGGTCTCAAATGCCTGACCTCAGGTGATCTGCCCGCCTCGGCCTCCCAAAGTGCTGGGATTACAGGCGTGAGCCACCACGCCCAGCCAGACCTATTTTTATTTTTTAAGAGGCAGGGTCTCCCTCTGTCGCCCAGGCTGCAGTGCAGTGGTGCCATTATAGCTCACTGCAGCCTGTAACTCCTGGGCTCAAGCCAGCCTCCCAAGTAGCTGGGGCTACAGGCATACACCACCAGGCCCAGCTAATGTTTTTTTCCAGCAGAGATGGAGTCTCACTAAGTTGCCCAGCCTGGTCTCAAACTCCTGGCCTCAAATGATCCTCCTGCCTTGGCCTCCCAAAGTGTTGGGATTATAGGTGTGAGATACCACACCCAGCCTACTTTCAGACTTTTTTGATCAAGATACAAAATAAGAAATATCTTTTTACACCGCTATCTGATGAACACACCCACCATTGAAAGTTGTACAGAATAGTATCTCTCATAAGTACAATAAACTGAGATATTGCCTATTCTAGTCTTGCTGCACCTTCCTGCCTGTAATCCCGCACTTCAGGAGGCTGAAACAGGTGCATTACTTGAGCCTGGTAGGTCAAAGCCAGCCTAGGCAATGGAGCAAGACCCCATCTCTACAAAAAAAAAAAAAAAAAAAAAAAAAAAAAAAAAGCCAGGTGTGGTTGTGCCCACCTATGGTCCCAGCTACTCAGAAGGCTGAGGTAGGAGGATCACTTGAGCCTGGGAGGTTGACCTGCAGTGAGCCAAGATCGCACCACTGCACTCCAGCCTGGGCAACAGAGTGAGACTGTCTCAAAAATAAAAATGAAAAAGACCGGGCGTGGTGGCTCACGCCGGTAATCCTAGTACTTTGGGGCACAGAGGTGGGCGGATCATGAGGTCAGGAGATCGAGACCATCCTGCCTAACACGGTGAAACCCCATCTCTACCAAAAATACAAAAAATTAGCCAGGCGTGGTCGCAGGCGCCTGTAGTCCCAGCTACTCGGGAGGCTGAGGCAGGAGAATGGTGTGAACCCAGGAGGCGGAGCTTGCAGTGAGCCGAGATGGTGCCACTGCACTCCAGCCTGGGGGACAGAGTGAGACCCCGTCTCAAAAAATAAATAAAAAATAAGTTGCTCCTGATCCACTGAACTGAATTTACACTAATTCACACTCACCAGTTCACATTCACCAATTCATACGTGCCAATCCACACCCATCCACACTCATTCATACACTCACTCAACAATTCACACCTATCGACATTCACCAATTCACACTCATCCACACTACACACACCAGTTCAACTCACCAATTCACTCACCAATCCACACTCATTCACACTCGCCAATCCACACTCATTCATACACCAAGTCACACTCATCCACGCTCTAACAGTCACCAATTCACACTCATCCACTCATTCACACTACACACAATTCAACTCACCAATTCACTCAATTCACACATCCACAACCAATTCACACTCATCCACACAGTCACCAATTCACTCATCCACTCATTCGCACTACACACACCAATCCACACATTCACACTCACCAATTCACACATTCACTCTCACCAATTCACACATCCACACTCAACAGTCACCAATTCACACTCATCCACACATCCACACTCATCCACACTACACACACCAATTCAACTCACCAGTTCACTCACCAATCCACATTCACACACTCACCAATTCACACTCATCCACACTCGCCAATTCACACTCATCCACACTACACACACCAATTCAACTCACCAATTCACTCACCAATCCACACATTCACACTCACCAATTCACACATCCATACTCGCCAATTCACATTCATCCACACTCATCCACTACACACACCAATTCAACTCACCAATTCACTCACCAATCCACTCATTCACACAATTCAATTCACACCAACTCACCAATTCACTCACCAATTCACACTCACCAATTCACACCAACTCACCAATTCACACTCACCAATCCATTCAGACACCAATTCACACCCACGCTTTAACACAGTCACCAATTAACACTCATCCACACTACTTCACACCAATTCACTCAGTCACCTGTTTACTCTCATCCACACGCTTATTCACACTACACACACCAATTTACACTCACCAATTTAATTCACCCATCCACACATTCACACTCACCAATTAACACCCATCCACACTCATCCACACTTCACACCAATTCACTAATTCCCACTCATTTACACTCATTTCACACTCGTTCTCACACTAATTCATATTCCTTCACACCCATCCACACTCACCCACATTCACACTCACCAATCCTCACTAATCAATTCACTCACTCACCCTTTCACACCCATCCACACTAATCCACTCATTCACACATTCACACTCGCCCATTCACCCTAATTCACACTCATTCAATCACACTCATTCACATTTATTCACATTCACAGTCACCAATCCAGTCATTCACCCATTCACACCAATCCACTCATTCACACCCATTCACACATTCACACACCCATTTACACACACCAATCCACATTCGTTCACACTCATTCACGCACACCAATCCATTCACACTCATTTACATTCACACTCGCCCATTCACACATTCACACTCGCCCATTCACACTCATCAGTTCACACTCATCCACTCATTCATTCTCTCACCCATTCACATCCATCCACTCATCCACACCACTTCACACTCACCAATTCACTAATTTACACACCCGTTTACACTCATCCACACCACACAATTCACACCAATTCACAAATGCACAATCACCAGTTCACACCCATCCACACTCATTCACACACAGTCTCACGAATTCACACCCATCTGCACTACTTCACACTCACCAATTCACTAATTCACACTCAATTTATAGTCATCCTTTCACAATCATTCTCACGCTCATACTCGTCCTCCCCTCCCAGGCTCAGGCCATCCTGTCACAGCCTTTCCTAGCTGGGATCACAAGTGTGCACCACTACACCTGGCCTAATTTTTATTTTTATTTATTTTTTTTGAGACAAAGTCTTGCTTTGTCACCCAGGCTGGAGTGCAATGGTGCAATCTCAGCTCACTGCAACCTCTGCCTCCTGGGTTCAGGCGATTCTCCTGCCTCAGCCTCCAGAGTAGCTGGGACTTCAGGCGTGCACCATCATGCCCAGCTAATTTTTTTATTTTTATTTTTATTTATTTATTTATTTTTGAGAGGGAGTTTTGCTCTTGTTGCCCAGGCTGAATACAATGGCACGATCTCAGCTCATCGCAACCTCCGCCCCCTGGGTTCAAGTGATTCTCCTGCCTCAGCCTCCAGAGTAGCTGGGAGTTCAGGTGCCCACCACCATGCCCGGCTAATTTTGTATTTTTAGTAGAGCTGGGGTTTCTCCATGTTGGTCAGGCTGGTCTTGAACTCCCGACCTCAGGTCATCTGCCCACCTCAGCCTCCCAAAGTGGTAGGATTACAGGCATGAGCCACCATGCCCAGCCTTATTTTTGTTTTTTATTTTGTTTTTGAGACAGAGTTTCACTCTTGTTCCCCAGGCTGGAGTGCAATGCTGCAATCTTGGCTCACCTCAACCTCCATCTCCCAGGTTCAAGCGATTCTCCTGCCTCAGCCTCCCGAGTAGCTGGGATTACAGGCGTGCACCACCATACCCGGCTAATTTTTGTATTTTTAGATGGGATTTCTCCATGTTGGCCAGGCTGGTCTTGAACTCTCGACCTCAGGTAATCCGCCCCCACTCAGTGTCCCAAAGTGCTGGGATTACAGGGGTGAGCCACCACGCCTGGCTTTTTTTTTTTTAATATAGAGTCTCACTCTGTCACCCAGGCTAGAGTGCAGTGGTGTGATCTTGGCTCACTGCAACCTCTGCCTCCTAGGTTCAAGAGATTATCCTGCCTCAGTCTCTTGAATAGGTGGGATTACAGGCATATGCCACCATCCCCAGCTAATTTTTGTATTTTTAGTAGAGATGGGGGTTTCACCATGTTGGCCAGACTGGTCTCGAACTCCTGACCTCAGGTGATTTGCCTGCCTTGGCCTCCCAAAATGCTGGGATTATAGGGGTGAGCCTGGCCTTATTTTTTTATTTTTGACTGGGTCTTGCTATATTGTCCCGCCTGGTCTCCATAATCCTGGGCTTAAACCTCCTGCCTCCACCTCCCAAAGTGCTGGGATTATAGGAGTGAGCCACCGCACCCAGCCGATTTTTCTATCATAATTGCGTACATCAAATTTGTAATTATAACCAAGGTAGAAATGTTACATGTAACAGCCGACCTCCCTTGGTGAGGAGGGAGAAGCCACCACGGAGGATCCAGGATGTGCATTCCATGTGGCAGCCGTGGCCTGGCCCTCGCCTGAGGCTGGTGTGACAGCTGCCCTAAGACGTGCCCAGCCGGGAAGGGAGGCGGATGCAGAGTCCCAGAGGTGGAGTCTGACCCTGCAGGTGGAGCCACCGCAGGTAACTGGCAGCACTCAGTGTTCTTTGTTCCCGATTTTAAAATTGATCAGGCATGGTGTCTCACACCTCTAATCCCAGAACTTTGGGAGGCCGAGGTGGGTGGCTCACGAGGTCAGCAGTTCGAGACTAGCCTGGCCAACACATTGAAACCCCGTCTGTACTAAAAATACAAAAATTCGCCGGGCGTGGTGGCTCATGCCTGTAATCCCAGCACTTTGGGAGGCTGAGGCAGGTGGATCACAAGGTCAGGAGTTTGAGACCAGCCTGACCAACATGGTGAAACCCTGTCTCTACTAAAAATACAAAAATTAGCTGGGTGTGGTGGTGCACACCTGTAATCCCAGCTACTCCAGAGGCCGAGGCAGGAGAACTGCTTGAACCCGGGAGGCGGAGGTTGCAGTGAGTCGAGATTGCGCCACTGCACTCCAGCCTGGGCGACAGAACGAGACTTCATCTCAAAAAAAGAGAAAAAAAGCCGGGTGCAGTGGCTCACGCTTGTAATCCCAGCACTTTGGGAGGCTGAGGCGGGTGGATCATGAGGTCAGGAGATCAAGACCGTCGTGGCTAACACGGCGAAACCCCGTCTCTACTAAAAAAAATACAAAAAATTAGCCAGATGTGGTGGCGGGCGCCTGTAGTCCCAGCTACTCGGGAGGCTGAGGCAGGAGAATGGCATGAACCCAGAAGGTGGAGCTTGCAGTGAGCAGAGATTGCGCCACTGCTCTCCAGCCTGGGCAACAGATCGAGACTCCATCTCAAAAAAAAAAAAAAAAATTAGCCAGGCGTGGTGGCGGGCACCTGTAATCCCAGCTACTCGGGAGGCTGAGGCAGGAGAATAGCTTGAAACTGGAAGGCAGAGGTTGCGGTGATTCTGAGATTGCACCACTGCTCTCCATCCTGAGCAAAAGAACAAAACTCTGTCTCAAAAAAAAAAAAAGAAAAAACTGATGGATCTCGCCTGTAATCCCATTGCTTTGAGAGGCCGAGGATCGCTTGAGGCCAGGAATTTGAGGCTGCAGTGGGCCAAGATGTTTGCACCACTGCCCTTCAGCCTGGGTGACACAGTGAGACCCTGTCCTTTTGTTTTGTTTTTGAGACCGAGTCTCACTCTGTCGCCCAGGCTGGAGTGCAATGGCACAATCTCGGCTCACTGCAACCTTTGCCTCCCAGGTTCAAGCAGTTCTTCTGCCTCAGCCCTTGGAGTAGCTCGGACTACAGGTGCACACCACCACACCCGGATAATTTTTGTATTTTTAGTAGAGATGGGGTTTCACTCCTTTCTTTTTTTTTTTTTGAGACGGAGTCTCGCCCTATCACCAGGCTGGAGTGCAGTGGTGCAATCTCGGCTGACTGCAACCTCCATCCCCCAGGTTCAAGTGATTCTCCTGCCTCAGCCTCCCAAGTAGCTGGAACTACAGGCACCTGCCACCACGCCTGGCTAATTTTTTGTATTTTTAGTAGAGACGGGGTTTCACCATGTTGGCCAGGATGGTCTCCATCTCTTGACCTTGTGATCCACCCACCTCGGCCTCCCAAGGTGCTGGGATTACCGATGTGAGCCACCGCGCCCAACCCTTTTTTTTTTTTTTTTTTTTGAGATGGAGTCTCACTCTGTTTCCCAGGCTGGAATGCAACGGCACGATCTCGGCTCACTGCAACCTCCACCTCCCGGGTTCAAGTAATTCTCTTGCCTCAGCCTCCCAAGTAGCTGGGACTACAGGCACCTGCCACCACGCCTGGCTAATTTTTTGTATTTTTAGTAGAGACAGGGTTTCACCATGTTGGCCAGGATGGTCTTGAACTCCTGACCTCAGGTGATCTGCCCACCTTGGCCTCCCAAAGTGCTGGGATTACAGGCGTGAACCATCTTGCCTGGCCGAGACTTTGTGGCTTAAAAAAAAAAAATTACAGAAGGTGGCCCTGGGGCCTAAGGTCATGATTCCGGGGCGATGTGTGTGTACCAGGCAGCCCGTCTCACTGCATTTGCATGTTTAGAACAAGCCAGATACTACTCGAGAGGAGGCAGATGATTTGTGAAATGTTTCTGTATTTTCAAACCTTCTTGCCTGTAGTTTTGAGTCTCAGTGCAACAATTATGCTTCACCCCATCTCAGCAGTGTCCTGACTCTGTTGTCCAGGAGGAGGAGACAGTGGTGGTGGAGGGCAGCTCTCCTCTTCCGGGCCTTCCGACAACCGATCTGGGATCCACAGACAGCCCTGCCTCCTCGGGGCTGCAGGAGGAGGGACCAACACGAATGCAGGCCATGGCTGCCGGGGACGCTGGTCAGGATCAGCAGGAAAACAGTCAGCCAGGGACATGGCCGGGAACAGTCGCCACAAGCGGCTATAACGGATTAACACATTTTCTTTTGTTTTTGATAAACAAGTTTACTTGTAAATTTAGTCAGCATACATAACTAACCAAAACTTCAATATATCTTGAGACCCCCTTGGGGGGCTGTCTCCATAAAAGTGACTTTCCCAGGAGAGTGACTGGATGTGATTGGCCAACACCGTCTTAGCCCGCAGGGGTTCCTGGTGCCGAAGCCTCACGTCCCTCCCCACAGCGAGTTTTCAGAATCCAAAGGCCGTAGGAGAAAGAAGGCTGGCGGTGTTTCCTCTTAGAGGGGAGAAACTCAGCCTGGGTAGGAGACCCAGCCCCACGCAGGGAAAACTGTGCTAACGCTTCCGATGTGCGTGGCAGGTGCGGCGGCGGCGAATACGGTTTGTCCTCGAGCCTAACCCTGTCTGTGTTGGTGTCAGCAGTGGCCCCCCTACCACACACACAGGGTCCCTGGCGTCCCAAGACCACTCCTGGCAGCCCCGCCACTGGCTGCGCCTGGAAGCCGCGTCCTCAGGCCTCGCCTGGCATTTGCTGTCACAGAGGTTGCTTCCTTGGGTCCGTCCGTCCTCGCCCCTCCAGCCTGGGCGCCCCCCGACCCCTGTCTCATTCCCTCCACCACATGCAGCACAGTCCAGGAGGCTGGGGTCCAAGAGGGCCATGGCTGGCACCCGGCTTAGTGCTGAGTCCCCAGTGCCCAGCAAGCCTGGCACCCAGGAGGTGGTCAGCAAACGCTTCTGAACGACAGGAAGTGGGACTCTTCAGCCATCGATGATCCGCTGTGCGGCCACAGGTCCGTGTCTCTGTGTGTGTCTTTCCATGTGTGTCTGTGTGTGTCTCTGTTTCTGTGTGTGGACCTGTGTCTGTGTGTTTGTGTTTCCGTGTATCTTCTCTGTGTGTCCGTGTGTCTTCATGTGCATGCATGCGTGTCTCCATGTGTGTCGTGTGTGCGCATGTCTGTGTTCGTGTTTCCATGTATCTGTGTCTCCGTGTCTTCATGTGCATGCATGTGTATGTGTCTGTGTCTTCGCGTGTGTGCATGTGTCTGTGTTTCCGTGTATCTCTGTGTGTCTCCGTGTCTTCATGTGCATGCGTGTCTGTGTCTCCATGTGTCTTCGTGTGCATGCGTGTGTATCTCTGTGTGTCTCCATGTGTGTCTTTGTGTGTGTGTGCATGTGTCTGTGCACACTCATGGGAGTGAATATGGGCTTGGCTGTGCTGCTTGTGGCTCTGAGTGCCTGTGGTTTTTCTTCCCAATGAGACGGGCTGCCTGGAATGTCCGAGTCACCAGGAATGGCAGCCAAGATCAGATCCTCAGTGCGGGCCGTGGGGCCAGCTGACCCCTCTTGCTCCACCCCAACCCCCAGAGGTGGGGCTAGGAGGACGGTCCAGGGCGCTGGTTTGGCTGGGGGCTTAGCCAGAGCACAGTGATGCCAGTGGCTTTGTCCTGGTTTGTCCTCTTCCCAGAGGGAGAAAAATGCCAGGCCAGGCTGGGAATTAAGTCACACACCCACAGCTCTGCAGACCACCCCCCAGCGAGCAGAGGCTCCACAGTCCCAGCCCAGGAAGGTGCAGAAGAGGCACAGGTCACTGGCCCTGGGAGGAGCAGGTGACCTGGTCACTACCAGGCCTGCTCTTCTCTGTGGCTGTTTCCCACTGAGGGCCGGACAGGGAGGGTCAGGGAAGGGGCCTGATGGCCTCATCAGCCTTTTGTTCCTTGCCCAGGGCCCCATGGGGGTCAGCTGCCCCCAGGTGGCCCTCTCAGAGGTCAGGGCCCTCTCAGACGACAGCCTCTGGCCTGCATCTCCGCTGGCTGGGTCCCCGAAAGTGTGGCTGGAGGCCACTGCCCGGAGAGGGACGGCCCTGCAGAGTGAGGCGAGCCCTGGCCTGAGGCTGTCGTGCGGACCAGGCGCCCCTCTCAGCCCTGCACCCAGAGCCGGGCCCTCCCAGACCCGAGGGCCAACCCTGTCCCCCCACCAAACTGCTGTCCGTCCTCCCTCCATGGGGAGAGAGGGAACAGGGAGAGTGACGGAAGGAGACAGAGACTGCAGAGGCCAAGGCCCCAGAGTGTGCGACGGAGACAGACATGGGCGGGCGGGCAGCTGCCAGCACTAATACAAACCAGTTGGAAAAACAGGAGGAGAGGCCAGCAGAGGCCTCGAGGCCAGCCAGGTGGGGCTTGTTTTTCCAGAATGAAAGGCCCAGGGAGGGAGTGGGGGTGGCGGGATGTGTTCAGCCCTGAAGCCAGTTTGGAAAGGTCGCCGCCCGGGCCAGGACCCTGCTGAGGAAATGGGTCTGACCGGGCTGGGGTGGGGTGGGGTCTTCTGTCCTTACGCCGGTCCGTGTCCTGCCCGTTCCTCTCACTGGAGCAGCCGCAGGTTCCCCTCCCCTCGCCCTGAGACCACCACTCTGATCTGCACTGGGCTTCCCACTGTCTGAGGACTTGGGCACCAGAGCAGGGTTCAGGGGTGAGCCCCCCACCCAGCTGGGGCCCTCGGGGCCTGTAAGGAGAGCTCACTCCAAGTGGGCGGGCGGAACTATGCACTGAGGGTTTCTAGTGGTTGTGGTTGTTCAGATTGTTTTTTCTTGAGGTTTGCTTGATTAGAAGGAGTTGGGTTTGCTACACAGTGCAGGCTGTTATTTCGCATTTGTTTATGTGACTTTGTAAGTTTTCCCACAGTTTCAAATTTGTGCCTTCCATGGCAGGGGTCCCACTCTCCCCTTTCTCCAGGAGGCTTGTAATCCAGCACCTGGTTTCAGGGACACCAGGCTGCACCCTAAAGGCGGGCAGCCCCAGGGGACGGGGCCAGCAGGGAGAGGTCTGCTCACCCCAGCACCCCCAGGCCTCCCAGTGCTCAGGGTCCCCTGTCCCTGGCTGACTCTCCAGGTTGTAAAGGGGACTAGTGACTGGCAGCGTCCATCATCCTGGCCCAAGGGAGCCCACCGTGGCCCCCAGAGGAGACGGGTACCAAGGTCATGCAGGGCCAAGGGTTGGAGCTGGAAGGGCCATCTGGTCTGAAGGAGAGCACCAGCGTGCACCGTGGGTGGGGGCGGTCTCAGCGCTGGGAGGCCTTTCTGGGGCCTGGAGCAGACTGAGGGGAGGACCCTGCCCTGAGGTGGCTCACGTGGGGGGAGGCCAGAGGTGGGGCGGAGGGGCCACTCACCCAACAGTCCCAACCCTTCACCACAGGCCCGGGAGGCTCCTAGACGTGAGACACGATCACGTGGTATCAGGGGCCCATGTCCTCGGACCTTCTTGTCCCTCCAAGGGTGCGGTCACCACCCCTCCCCAGGCCTGACCGGTGAGGGGCTGGGCCTCTGCTCCCACACTGCCCCTCCCCAGCAGGCCAGCAACGATGGGGGAGGCCAAGGGGCCCGGCAGGAGCCAGAGGGGGCGGTCCCCAGACCGTAGACAGGCCCAGGCCTCCGTGATGTCACCGCGGGTGCTAAGGAGGGGGAGGGGGTAGGGCTGTTTTTCTGGAGAGAGACTTAGAGCCGAGTGGGACAAAGCCTGGGGCTGGGCGGGGGCCATGGCGCTGCCATCCCGAATCCTGCTTTGGAAACTTGTGCTTCTGCAGAGTGAGTGTGGGGCCCTGGGAGGCGGGTGGGGGGTGGCACGTGGGGCTGTGCGAGTCCGTTTCGGACAAAACCGCCCATCTGAGCTTGGGCCAGGAGGAGTGGGAAGGTCCCACCAGGGAAGAGGACGGGTCTGGGGGCGCTCGGGAGAGCCGCTTGCCAGAGGCTGTGACGTCTTCAGTTAGACTTTGGCCAGCCTCCCCTCCTAGGGAGTTGAAGCCCAGAGGGCCAAGAAGGGCTGGGGGCCCAGGCACGGCGGCGTCTCCCTCGGGGCCCCTCCTGCAGCCCCTCTTGCTGGGGCTCTGTTTAGGGAGTGGGTCAGTGATTGAAGGGGACCTGAGAACTGTGGGGTCTGTTCCAGCCCCCGCTCCCAGGCCTGGGCTGGCTGCTGACCGGGCACATTCCTCTGGGAAGCTCCCAGGCTCTCGGCCACATCTCTGGGGCAGTTTTCACATAGGATCTATGTGAGGGAGAGCAGCCCCCAGTGATCTAGAGACACAGGATAGAAACAGCTTTTATCACCCACGGGCCCTGGGGTGCACAGACTGCTGGGAGGCCAGGGAAAGTGGAGAGAGACAGGGACCCCCAGGCCAACCCTTTATTGGGATCAGGGCGTTCTGCATACAGGTTTCCCTCAGGGAATTTTTTTGGAGGCAGTTTCTCTCTCGCCAAGGAGGCTGCAGTGCAGTGGCGTGATCTCGGCTCACTGCAACCTCCACCTCCCGGGTTCAAGTCATTTTCTTGCCTCGGCCTCCCAAGTAGCTGGGACTATAGGCGCCCACTACCACCCCGTCCGGCTAATTTTTTGTATTTTTAGTACAGATGGGGTTTTTCATATTGGCCAGGCTGGTCTTGAATTCCTGACCTCAGGTGATCCACCTGCCTTGGCCTCCCAAAGTGCTGGGATTACAGGCGTGAGCCACCATGCCTGGTGGGGGAGTTTTAACTGGTGGGTTTAAGGCAAGCGGCACGAGCCCCGTGGGGCCACGCTGACTGTGGGGGGACTCCGTGGTGCAGCTGCACAGTCCATGTGGGGCGTGGGGTCTGTGGGGACACAGGGGGTGGTCACCAGGGGACAGTGCGTAGGGCGGGCGTCTGGGTGGATCAGCTCGAGGACGGGGGATGTGAATTGGAAACTGTCCCGGGTGGCAGCCCCGCTTCCGGTCAGAGAAAGTCCAGCCTAGATTCAGAGTGGATGCCGAGGCGGCCTACGACAATGAGAGTCCCTCAAGCAGCAACGCGGGCCTGTGGGGCGGCAGCCGGGGTCACGACCCACATTCAGCCTTCAGGCCTCTGCCCTGCGGAAGCACCTCAGGGGCTGCGCTGAGCCTTAGGTGTGGTGTGGGGTCCCCAGCGTCTGAGGGTCCAAGGACCCTCGGGGGCTGGGGCACAGCCCTGGAGGGAGCGTGGGGGAACCCACAGATCCAGCCTCCTTGGTGCTCTGGGTGACTTGGGTGCAGCCAGGTGGAGTGGCCCCGGTGACAAGCACACACCCCAGAACCGGCTGGCTTGGAGCCTGGCCCTGGCCCACGCCCATGCCCTGGCTTCCCCACTCAAGGGCAGGTGCCATCCAAAGCCCAGCACGGTGGCAGGGAGGGCTATGTAGGTCTGTGTGAGAGGCGTCCTCCCTGCACTGAAGTGGGTGTCACAGCATCCACTTTGGGACTACAGGAGGGACTCTGGGGGCCAAGTGGGGGGTCTCGGGGCTGGGTGGGGCTGTGGGTGGCCTCTCCAGCTCACTCCTCTCCTTCCAGGCTCTGCTGTTCTCCTGCACTCAGGTTAGTGACCCCAGCCCCAGCTGCCCACCCCCACTCCCCCTCAGCCCCTCCTATCTTGCCAGGCCCAGCCCCCGGGGGTCCTCAGGCCCTGCCCCTCCCCCACTGATTCCCCCTTGCTCATCAGGACCCTTGGGCACCTCCCCTTGCCAATAACTCCCCCTCCCCCAATGACTCCTCTTCCCCTACCAGGGCCCTTGGGGGCCTGGCCCTCCCCCACAGACTCCCGCACACCCACCAGGGCCCTCGGGGGCCCACCCCTCCCCCACAGATGCCCCCACTGACTCCCCTTCCCCAACCAGGGCCTTCGGGGTCTGCCCCTCCCCTACTGAGTCCCCTTCCCCACCAGGGCCCTCGGGGCCCACCACTCCCCCATGGACTCCCCATCCCCCACTAGGGTCCTTGGGCCCCATGTCTCCCCGACTGACTTGCCCTCCCCCATGGACTCCCCCTCCCCTGCCAGGGCCCTCGGGGGTCCACCACTCCCCCAATGATTCCCCTTCCCCCACATGGGCCCTAGGGGGCATGCCCCTCCCCCATGGAATCTCCCCCACCACGAGGGGCCTCAGGGGCCCACACCCCCCCAAAGATGCCCCCAACCCCGCCAGAGTCCTTGGGGCACACCCCTCCCCCAGTTACTCCTCCTCCTCCACCAGGGTCCTCAGAGCCCGCCCCTCCCCCACTGATTCACCCTCCCCCATCAGGACCATCAGGGTCCGCCCCTCCCCCAGTGACTCCCCCTCCCCTATCCAGGCCCTCGGGGGTCTGCCCCACCCCACGGACTTCCCCTCCACCACCAGGGCCCTCTGGTCCTGCCCGTCCCTTACAGACATCCCTCCCCCACCAGGGCCCTGCCCCTCCCCCACTGACTCCCCCAACCAGGGCCCTAGGGGGCCCACCCCTTCCCCCACCGACTCCCCTCCCCCACCAGGGTCCTCGGTACCCGCCGCTGCTGGCAGCTCCGTGGTGTCCGAGTCCGCGGTGAGCTGGGAGGCGGGCGCCCGGGCGGTGCTGCGCTGCCAGAGCCCGCGCATGGTGTGGACCCAGGACCGGCTGCACGACCGCCAGCGCGTGCTCCACTGGGACCTGCGCGGCCCCGGGGGTGGCCCCGCGCGGCGCCTGCTGGACTTGTACTCGGCGGGCGAGCAGCGCGTGTACGAGGCGCGGGACCGCGGCCGCCTGGAGCTCTCGGCCTCGGCCTTCGACGACGGCAACTTCTCGCTGCTCATCCGCGGTGCGGGGACCGGGGACCGGGGCCGCGGGGTCGGGGCAGGGGTCCGGGGCCGCGGGGTCGGGGGCACCGCAAGGCTCACGCGCGGCTTCCTCCTGGGTGCGCAGCGGTGGAGGAGACGGACGCGGGGCTGTACACCTGCAACCTGCACCATCACTACTGCCACCTCTACGAGAGCCTGGCCGTCCGCCTGGAGGTCACCGACGGCCGTGAGTGCTTCCCCCCCGCCCCCCAGCTCCCGCCCCTCGACCCTCGACCGCCGCCCCGGCCCGCGCGCCGCTGACCGCGCCCCCTCCGCAGCCCCGGCCACCCCCGCCTACTGGGACGGCGAGAAGGAGGTGCTGGCGGTGGCGCGCGGCGCACCCGCGCTTCTGACCTGCGTGAACCGCGGGCACGTGTGGACCGACCGGCACGTGGAGGAGGCTCAACAGGTGGTGCACTGGGACCGGCAGCCGCCCGGGGTCCCGCACGACCGCGCGGACCGCCTGCTGGACCTCTACGCGTCGGGCGAGCGCCGCGCCTACGGGCCCCTTTTTCTGCGCGACCGCGTGGCTGTGGGCGCGGATGCCTTTGAGCGCGGTGACTTCTCACTGCGTATCGAGCCGCTGGAGGTCGCCGACGAGGGCACCTACTCCTGCCACCTGCACCACCATTACTGTGGCCTGCACGAACGCCGCGTCTTCCACCTGACGGTCGCCGAACCCCACGCGGAGCCGCCCCCCCGGGGCTCTCCGGGCAACGGCTCCAGCCACAGCGGCGCCCCAGGCCCAGGTGAAGGAGGCCTCCCTGGGACCCGGGAAGGCGGGAGCCCACCCCACCGGGGGTTGCTCTGCGCCCGCTGTCCCTTGCCCGAGGCCCGCGGATCCCAGCGGGGGCCGTGGCCCGGGTCGGGGCGCAGGTCTTGCTGGTACCTGACGCCGCCCCGACCCCGCGTTCCCCGCAGACCCCACACTGGCGCGCGGCCACAACGTCATCAATGTCATCGTCCCCGAGAGCCGAGCCCACTTCTTCCAGCAGCTGGGCTACGTGCTGGCCACGCTGCTGCTCTTCATCCTGCTACTGGTCACTGTCCTCCTGGCCGCCCGCAGGCGCCGCGGAGGTGAGGCTGCCCCGGCAAAGCCAGCGGCCCCAGGAGACTGAGGTGGGCGGGAGGGTGGTCCTCTGGGCTGGGGGACCTGCGGAAGGGGCGGCACTGCCCCCAATGTGAGTCTCCTTCCCAGGCTACGAATACTCGGACCAGAAGTCGGGAAAGTCAAAGGGGTGAGTGCCCCCCTCCCGGCCCTCCTGGGGACCAGGGCCCCCTTCACCCCACCCAGCTGTAACCTCCTCCCACCCTCGCCATCCAGGAAGGATGTTAACTTGGCGGAGTTCGCTGTGGCTGCAGGGGACCAGATGCTTTACAGGAGTGAGGACATCCAGCTAGGTGAGGCAGTGCTGGGACACGAGGGCACAGGCGCGGCTCCCAGTCCCGGGCTGGGAAGTGCATCCTGGGAGCGGGGACCTCAGCCTCCTCTCCTCCCACAGATTACAAAAACAACATCCTGAAGGAGAGGGCGGAGCTGGCCCACAGCCCCCTGCCTGCCAAGTACATCGACCTAGACAAAGGTGAGCGGCGGGGGCGACCTCAGCCCATCTCAGAGCCCTGCCTGTCCCCATTCCACCTCACCTGGGACCAACGATGGCAGGCACCAGCCAGGCCCGGGGCCCCTGCCACCTCAGGCTCAGAAATCCCTGGGGAGTCCTGCGGGGGGGTCTGCCCTGTGTCTCCCACTGTGATGAGGGTGGAGGACAGCCGCCAACCCGTTGGCGCCCTTGGCTTCCAGGGTTCCGGAAGGAGAACTGCAAATAGGGAGGCCCTGGGCTCCTGGCTGGGCCAGCAGCTGCACCTCTCCTGTCTGTGCTCCTCGGGGCATCTCCTGATGCTCCGGGGCTCACCCCCCTTCCAGCGGCTGGTCCCGCTTTCCTGGAATTTGGCCTGGGCGTATGCAGAGGCCGCCTCCACACCCCTCTCCCAGGGGCTTGGTGGCAGCATAGCCCCCACCCCTGCGGCCTTTGCTCACGGGTGGCCCTGCCCACCCCTGGCACAACCAAAATCCCACTGATGCCCATCATGCCCTCAGACCCTTCTGGGCTCTGCCCGCTGGGGGCCTGAAGACATTCCTGGAGGACACTCCCATCAGAACCTGGCAGCCCCAAAACTGGGGTCAGCCTCAGGGCAGGAGTCCCACTCCTCCAGGGCTCTGCTCGTCGGGGGCTGGGAGATGTTCCTGGAGGAGGACACTCCCATCAGAACTTGGCAGCCTTGAAGTTGGGGTCAGCCTCGGCAGGAGTCCCACTCCTCCTGGGGTGCTGCCTGCCACCGAGAGCTCCCCCACCTGTACCACCATGTGGGACTCCAGGCACCATCTGTTCTCCCCAGGGACCTGCTGACTTGAATGCCAGCCCTTGCTCCTCTGTGTTGCTTTGGGCCACCTGGGGCTGCACCCCTTGCCCTTTCTCTGCCCCATCCCTACCCTAGCCTTGCTCTCAGCCACCTTGATAGTCACTGGGCTCCCTGTGACTTCTGACCCTGACACCCCTCCCTTGGACTCTGCCTGGGCTGGAGTCTAGGGCTGGGGCTACATTTGGCTTCTGTACTGGCTGAGGACAGGGGAGGGAGTGAAGTTGGTTTGGGGTGGCCTGTGTTGCCACTCTCAGCACCCCACATTTGCATCTGCTGGTGGACCTGCCACCATCACAATAAAGTCCCCATCTGATTTTTAGACTTGTCCCAGGTATGCTTCTGAAACTCCGTCTCCTGGGGCTGGGCAAGGCATGAGTCTGGGCCTGGGAGTCCTCGTCTCCACCTGGAACCCCTGACATCATCCCATTCCTTGGGCTGAAAGGTCTGGGTCTGGGTCCTCTGGGAGTCGGTGTCCTGGGAAGGGGACCTTTGAGCTAGTTCTGTGTGGCTTCTGGTCGTGGAGGAGTTCAGATTCCCTTGAGGGCTGACCTGGACGTGAGGAGGGGGGACGTGGTGGTGGCTGTGAGGCCAGAGGGAAGGCCGTGGGAGCACAGCTCTTGGAGAGGCAGAGGGACGAGGAGCGGGAGTAGTGGGATGCGGGTCAGACACTTGCAAAGGGGGCGGGAGCAAAGAGGCTCCAGCAGAGACAGCCCGGGACAGCAGGGTGGTTCCAAGAGTCTTGGCCAGGCCAGCACGGATCTGGCCCTAGAATCCTTTCCCGCTCAGGCATCAGCTGGTTGGGTGCAGGATCTCAGCACAAGTTCAGGCGGTGGGAGGAGTGGCGGGAGCAGGAAGGCCCGTGGCCCGGGGTCCTGGCAGCACAGACCAGCGACTAACTGCTGCTTCTTGAAGCTGGCGTCACCACCCAACCCCATCCTCCAGTCCTCCCAGGACAGTGGGGGTGGGAAAGGGTGACAGTTGCCCACAAGGACCCCACACAAGCATGGATGGGGAGGGAGGGAGGCTGGTCTGGGGAGGTGTGGCTTGAAGATGCACCCCCCTCCCAGCCCGGTTACCTCTGGCCTCACCAGTGGCCACACCTGTCAGGGCCCCAGCTGGACCACATCCGCGTCAGCAACGGGACTGGCCTCAGGCCTCTGGCTTCCAGCCTCTCTTGAGACCTAGCCTGGGGTCAGGCCCTCAGGGCAGGGACAGGCTTCCTCCCTCCCTGGGGCCTCAACAGATAGCCCCTCTTAGGTCTTCCTGCCTGGCTTCTGACCTCTGGGGAAGAGAAGGGCTGCGGGAAGGTGGAGGGGGCTGGCGGCTAAGCTGTCCGGGCTTGGCTGAGCAAACGCCACAGTTCTCCCTCTCAGAGCCCGGGTGCAGGGTCAGGATCCCAGGCCCAAGCTGACCGTCAAGCACTGGTGCCTGCACTGATCGGTTTCTTTCCGAGCCGGTGCAGCCCCCAGCACGGTCAGGGCCCGATAGATGCCAGTTCCATCTCGCCGGCTTCCTGGGGACGGGAACCAAGGGACCCCACCGCACTCTCTTCCCCATCGCTCCAGCCCCGTCCAGGCCCCCTCCTCACTCCCCCCGTCGCTCCTGCCCCGTCCAGGCCCCCTCCTCACTCCCCCCGTCGCTCCTGCCCCGTCCAGGCCCCCTCCTCACTCCCCCCGTCGCTCCTGCCCCGTCCAGGCCCCCTCCTCACTCCCCCCGTCGCTCCTGCCCGGTCCAGGCCCCCTCCTCACTCCCCCCGTCGCTCCTGCCCCGTCCAGGCCCCCTCCTCACTCCCCCCGTCGCTCCTGCCCCGTCCAGGCCCCCTCCTCACTCCCCCCGTCGCTCCAGCCCCGTCCAGGCCCCCTCCTCACTCCCCCCGTCGCTCCTGCCCCGTCCAGGCCCCCTCCTCACTCCCCCCGTCGCTCCTGCCCCGTCCAGGCCCCCTCCTCACTCCCCCCGTCGCTCCTGCCCGGTCCAGGCCCCCTCCTCACTCCCCCCGTCGCTCCTGCCCGGTCCAGGCCCCCTCCTCACTCCCCCCGTCGCTCCTGCCCCGTCCAGGCCCCCTCCTCACTCCCCCCGTCGCTCCTGCCCCGTCCAGGCCCCCTCCTCACTCCCCCCGTCGCTCCTGCCCCGTCCAGGCCCCCTCCTCACTCCCCCCGTCGCTCCTGCCCCGTCCAGGCCCCCTCCTCACTCCCCCCGTCGCTCCTGCCCGGTCCAGGCCCCCTCCTCACTCCCCCCGTCGCTCCTGCCCCGTCCAGGCCCCCTCCTCACTCCCCCCGTCGCTCCTGCCCCGTCCAGGCCCCCTCCTCACTCCCCCCGTCGCTCCTGCCCCGTCCAGGCCCCCTCCTCACTCCCCCCGTCGCTCCTGCCCCGTCCAGGCCCCCTCCTCACTCCCCCCGTCGCTCCTGCCCCGTCCAGGCCCCCTCCTCACTCCCCCCGTCGCTCCTGCCCCGTCCAGGCCCCCTCCTCACTCCCCCCGTCGCTCCTGCCCCGTCCAGGCCCCCTCCTCACTCCCCCCGTCGCTCCTGCCCCGTCCAGGCCCCCTCCTCACTCCCCCCGTCGCTCCTGCCCGGTCCAGGCCCCCTCCTCACTCCCCCCGTCGCTCCTGCCCGGTCCAGGCCCCCTCCTCACTCCCCCCGTCGCTCCAGCCCCGTCCAGGCCCCCTCCTCACTCCCCCCGTCGCTCCTGCCCCGTCCAGGCCCCCTCCTCACTCCCCCCGTCGCTCCTGCCCCGTCCAGGCCCCCTCCTCACTCCCCCCGTCGCTCCTGCCCCGTCCAGGCCCCCTCCTCACTCCCCCCGTCGCTCCTGCCCCGTCCAGGCCCCCTCCTCACTCCCCCCGTCGCTCCTGCCCCGTCCAGGCCCCCTCCTCACTCCCCCCGTCGCTCCTGCCCCGTCCAGGCCCCCTCCTCACTCCCCCCGTCGCTCCTGCCCCGTCCAGGCCCCCTCCTCACTCCCCCCGTCGCTCCTGCCCCGTCCAGGCCCCCTCCTCACTCCCCCCGTCGCTCCTGCCCCGTCCAGGCCCCCTCCTCACTCCTCCCATCCTGGGCCGCCCTCTAGTGGCCTCCGCGCTTCCTGCTGGGGTCGGGTCGGGAAGGCCTCCAGCCCCGCGAGCCCCGGAACAGTAAGCGCGGACGCCCCGCGGCCTCAAGGGACGCCTCGGAAGTCTCCCCTGCCCTGCGGAGAACCCCAGGACTAAATCCCTCCCGCCGCCGGGCGCTCCGACGCCTCCGTGCACGCCCGCGCCCCCGCGCGCCCCGCATCCGCTCGGCCTGCTGCCTGGACCCCGTGGGACCCGGCAGAGGGCACGCGAGTCGGGAGCCTTCGCGGTGGCGCAGAGCGACCGGGCGCCACCTCAGCGCCGCGCACCCGGCGTCCCCGGGGTCCCTCCGCCCGACCCGAGCGCCCCGGCGCCCACGGGCCCACAGCCAGCGGCGCGCGTCGCATGCGCCGGATCATAATGGAGCGCGGGCCCGCGCGCGGGGGCGGGGCCGGGGCGGGGCGGGGCGAGCGATGATCGCCTGCGTCTGCGCATCCTCGCCCCGCCCCCGCCGTGCGCCCCCGTGACGTCAACGCCGCGCGCTCGGGCGCCCCCCCGCGGCCACGCTCAGGACCCCGGGCCGGGCGGTCCCTTTAACGGCGCGGCCCGAGGGGCGCAGGCGGGAGGGCGGCGGGGCTGAGCGCGCCCTCCGTGCTGCGTCCCTCGCGCCGCTCCCGGGCCGGGGGCGGATGGGCGGCCGCGGGCCGCGGGGCAGCAGTCGGGACGCGCGCGGGAGCCGGGGGCGGCGGCCGGGGCCTGGGCGGTCGGGCGGGGGCGCCCGGGGGCCTCGGAGCGTCGGGGCCGAGAGCGGTGCGGGCCGGGCGGGGCGCAGGCGGGCGGGCGGGTAGCGCCCCGCGTCCGAGCCCCGGGCCGGGCCCTGAGCGCGCGGGCTCCGCGCCGCCGCCGCGCCATGGCGGAGACCAAGATTATCTACCACATGGACGAGGAGGAGACGCCGTACCTGGTCAAGCTGCCCGTGGCCCCCGAGCGCGTCACGCTGGCCGACTTCAAGAACGTGCTCAGCAACCGGCCCGTGCACGCCTACAAATTCTTCTTTAAGTCCATGGACCAGGACTTCGGGTCAGTCGGCCGCGAGGCCTGCGCGAGCCTGGCGCGGGCTCGGGGGTCGCACCTGCCCGCGCGGGGACGGGGCGGGGGTCCTGAGCCGTTCGCGCCCCCGGGGACCTGCGACCGCGACGCGCCTCCGCTAGATGCGGCGCGGGTGGCGGCCTCGGCCCGTGTGCGGCGCGCGCCCACCTGTCCGTGGAGCGGGGCGATGGCAGGCGGGGTTCCCGGCGTCCCTGGCCCCAGCTTCCCGGCCCCGAGTCCTGCCTTGGCCCGTGTCAGACTCGGTCGGCCGCATCGCTTCCACCGGGGCTGGCCGGGAGCGCCTGCCGTTGGTGCGGGCTGGGGTCAGGGGCGTGTCAGTGGGAAGGAAGCAGGGTGGGGTTCCCTAGCTGGGATGGGGAGACATGGGGGTACAGGTTCACCAACCTGTCTGCTAGGGTTTGCAGAAGCTTCCCGAGGGTCAAGACAGGTTCTCCTGGCCCCCTTCTGCAGGGTCCTTGTGACAGGGTGGAGGTCAAGGGCCACTGGTGACCATGAAACTTTATTCGCCTACCCGTGTCCTGAGCTTCCTGTGGGCCCCGTCCCCACTGAGCCACAAAGCACTTGCGTTCCCGGAGCAGCCCAGACCATCTGCTGTTTCGGGGCAGCCTGGGTCAGCGTCTCCCTGCTGGGCCTCGGTGGTGGTGTCCCAGGCGAGGAGACCCCTGCTGTGCTGAGCTGGGCCCTCTGGGACAGGGAGCAGGAGCCTGGCGGTCTGCTTGAGGCCTGGCCTGGCCCGGCCCAGCCACCAGTAACCTGAGTCCCTAGTCCCAGCTCAACAGTGCTGGGGGCGGGCTCAGGCCTCGTGGCCCCAGGAGGTGAGCCTCCGGCAAGCGGTGTCCTTGTGTGTGGCCGCTTCTTGGGATTGTGACATTAAGGTTGTTTCTTGGATTCTGTGGTTGCAGGGTCCTCAGGCAGCCCCAGGTCCAGTCAGGCTGGGTCCGCTCTGGAGCTCTCAGGGGGGCCCAAGGGACATCTAGACAGCTGTACTTTCCTTCCCCACCCCCACGACCAGGCAAAGCAGAGAGGGCAGGGTGCGTCCTTGGCAGCCTTTGAAGGCTGGGCGCTCCCCACTCGGCTCAGCGGCCCTCCTGCCCGCTCCGGTCAGGTTGGGCAGGAGGGGGCGGTTTGTTTTCTGAGTCTGGTCCGGGCTCCTCCCCAGCTGGGGCACCTTGCAGTCCCTGCTTCTCTGGGCCTGGGCTGCTTTGGCCTTGAGCATGGGGCATGTGTCAGGTACTTTTGTTTTTGACTTAGTTTATTATTCTAACGAAAGTTACCAAAGTTACTAATGCTGTTTGTTGCAAATGTGTGCCACCAGGAAATGCGTAGTGAGGAGGTGCCCAGCCCCCAGGTTCTGCTCCTGGACCATGCTCTGGGATGAAGCCCTGGGGGAGTCCGCCTTCTGCTCCTGACACCCACCGGGGGCTGCCCAGGGCAGAGACAGCCTGACTGTTGCCCTAGTGCACTTCTAGCAGTGGCTGCACCTGCTGGGCACATTTGGAGGACGCGTGGGTGCCCGGGCCTGGGAACAGGGTGGGCAGGTCTGGGTGTCGAGGCAGGCTTGGGGATGCGGCCAGGAAAGAGACAGGGGAGCTTCAGTGTACAGCTTTGGAGGCTGCAGACTTACAGGGGGCTGGGAGTCAGTGGGGCTGCAGAGGTCAGGGCTGGGCTGGGCTGGGCTGTGGGGGTTGGAAAGAATGGACTGGGGTGATGCTGGAGGTCCAAGACGAGGGCCTTGCTCTGTAGCCTCCCAGGTCCTCTGGCTGGGATGGGGGCCTTGCTCTGTGTCCTCCCTGGTCCTCTGGCTGGTGGCCTCAGGAGCCTACGGAGGACCCTCATCAATTACTTCCTTCATCCCTTCCCCTGAGTTCTACCCGCAGACCTCTCAGCACTGTCTGTTCTGTGGAATAGAACCCCCGTGGGAGGGGCTGGTTGGTCAGTAATACTTTAGCTTAAGCGACTGCTGAACTAGACACTGACCCTGGATGCCAAGCGAATGTAGTTGGAGATGGGGGGAAGAGAAGGCAGGTCCTCGCTGGTCTGGGGTGGCCTTCATAAGAGAGGGAGCTTCAGGCTGGGGACGCTGAGGAGGCCCTGGTGAGTCGGGGGTTCCTGCGCCAGCCCCCGCTGCATTCTCAGCCCAGCCCTGGTTCCCCAGCCTCTGCTCCAGAGCATGACTGACCACCTTGCAGTGCAGGGAGCCTGTGTCATGGCCACAACCACGTGCCCTGGTCTGGACCCCACTCCCCACGCACGGCTTTGGCCCAGTGGGTGAAGGTCCCCCGCCTGTCCTCCACTTTTCATGCCCTGGTCACAGCTATTCTGACCCAAGATCCCCAGGGCTGGGAGGAGGGCAGAATTGGGGAGGGTCTCTGCCTGGTGCTGGGTTTGGTGGTTGGCAGGGGGTCTCGCCCAGCCTTGGGCCGAGGCAGAGGAGGGAGGGTGTTTGGCTCCGGGTCCCCACTGCTGGGTGCGTGGCGGATGCTGGGCCTGCTGGACTTGGCACCGAGGCTGTCTGTTGGGCACAGCTCCCACAGTTCATCTCCGAGGTGGGGGTGACCCAGGCCTGGGACTGGGGGATGGGTGGAGGCAAGGCTGTGGGCCCAAAGCCCTGGTCCCCAGGGCCGCCTGCCATGGGCCTCGGTGTTGTGACAGCTCCTTGTGTCCTGGGTGGTGCTGTGGGGAGCTATGGAGTTGGGGAGGCTCTGCCTGGCCTGGGCTGTGGGGGGAGTTCCCACTCCGCCCTCCCTGGCTGTGCCACTTGGGGTCTGTGACTCAGCCTCTCTGTGCCCTGAGTGCCTCCCTGGTTTTGGGAGGGTCCAGGCAGTTCACCTACTGCACTCATAGCCATGGCCTAGCAGGGACACTTGAGCCTGTGTGTCCTGAACCGGGGGAGGGGCACAGAGAGATCCCAGGACTCGGCACCACCCAGGGGACAGGCTGGTGGAGAGCCCCTGGCTCTGGGGTCAGGGGTTGGGAGGCCACAGACCCCCAAGGCTGAGGGCCCTGACCTGGGGCGTGCACAGGGGGCTCTGAGGGCACAGGATGGCTCTGCACCGCCTGTCCTGGGCCAGCTACCCCTGCCAGCTTCCTGCTCCGCCTTGGGAGAATGGGGTGCATTCGGGACCACGCCACGTCTAGGGCAGCTGGCTGTGGCCTCTGGGAGTCTGGAGGGTTCTCTGCATCCTGTGTGGCCATGCTGGCTCCCAGGGCGCTGCCTCTGAGTGGATTCCTCCCCGGGGCGGGTCTGTGGGGGCAGCACACAGGTTAGCCAGGCCTCACAGGGAATCCCAAGGTGGGGGCACAGTGCCGGCAGGGGCGCCCCTGGCAGCTGCCGTGAGTTTCAGCGGAGGCTGCTACAGAGGCGCGGGGACCCCGGGTTGTGGGTACGCCCCCAATGCCTGGCCAGCCTCCAGCACCCTCCCCCATCTGGCTGGGGTGGGGACGGCAGGGCTCTGCCTGGGACCTGGGTAGCTGATCCCTGGAGCCCCAGGCAGACCCCACCCTTCCCTCTGTGCTGTTTGGGTCCTGCTCCCTTTCTCCTGGCCCAGCCAGGCTTGGGTCTGCACCCTGCCACTGGGGGCAGGGGAGGACTTGTTACACCCTGTTGGGCTGAAGAGGGCGGAGTGAGTAGGGCCTCTGGGTCCTGGCTGGACATCTGTGAGGGGGCAGGGGGCAGGGACATCCCAGGCAGCCTGGGGTCTTCGTGAGGCCCTGGCTGGGTGGGCCATGCGGGCTTGGGCCACTCTGGATGGTGGGAGGGGGCAGGGCCCTCTTCCGGTGGAGCCAGGCGGGTGCTGTACTGGGGTGCTGGGTGGCCGAGTCTCCCTCCAGTGAGTCAGAGGGTGCTGGGTGGCCGAGTCTCCCTCCGGTGAGTCAGAGGGTGCTGGGTGACTGAGTGTCTCCCTCAGGTGAGTCAGAGGGTGCTGGGGTTGGGTGTGGCAGGGGAGAAGCTGCCGGCCAGGCCACCTGGGGCCGTGTGTCAGGGACTGAGGTGGGGACCCTGCCAGGGGCTCTGCTGTGGTCAGGTCCATTAGAGACAAGGGCTCACTGTGGGCCCTGGCCCCCTGGCGGCAGCTAGTGGTGGCCTCGGTGTCCGTGGGGCCCGCCTCACCCTGGGTTGCTCCAGCCTTTCAGGTGTGACAGCCTCTCACTGTGGCGGCCTCAGCCTGGCATGGGGTCATGGTCTTACCTGGGAAGGCTCCTGTGTGGGGGCAGCAGACGTGGAGGGGTCTGAGAAGTGACCTTCTCTGCTCTTTGGGGGCGTCTACCTCATGGCCTGGCCCTGGGTGGCCTGGGGAGGCAGCTGCAGGACCCCAGAGGGCTAGGTAGGGGTCCCTGCTCCCACCTGGGCTGGCCCTGCCTGCTGTCCACTCTGCCCTGAGGCTTGGGGCCTCTTCCCAGCAAGTGGGTGGGCCAGGGCTTGGGTGAGAGTGTGGGTTTGCCACTTTGCCGGGGGCCTCCTGCTACCTACTGCTTCGGAGTCTGGCTGAGTCAAGGTGCCCCGGGGTCAGGGGACCTGGAGCGGCCAGTCGGGGTGGCTCTGTAGCTCGCAGTGGGACTAGCAGCCACAAGGCCGCTTCCTGCCAGGTGTGCGGCCAGGCCAAGCCCCGTCTCCGGGCTCCTATTTCTCCACTGGGCCCAAGTCCCGGGCGTGGAAAATGCTGCTGGGCAGGGCAGGGTGCCACGAGGCGGCGTCCAGATCCTACCCAGCCTGCTGCCTGGGCCCTCAGAGGTCACAGTGTGAGTGTCGACCACAGCCCTGCCTGCCTTGCTCCTTGGCCTGGGGACCTGCCCCTGCCCAGCCATCCCCTCTGTGCCGTGTGGGTTGCCACCCTGCCCTCTGAACTCTGAGCTCGGGTCACCCGGCCTCCTCCTGGTTCGTGTCCCCTGACCCTCTGCGGCCTGCCTGGGTGCCCTCTGCCCCGTTCCCAAGCCTATCTGACCTGGGGGTGGACTGGTGAGGCACCTGGCCAGCTTGCTCTCCTGGGGGCCCTGCCGGCTCCGCATCCCCTGCTGCCCCTCTAGGTCCTGAGGTGCAGGGAGGTTTGGTGAGTGGAGGTCTTTGTCTCCCTGGCTAGGTGGACAGGACAGGAGGGTGGTGGGCGGCCTCTGGGGACCTGTGGGCCCTCCCAGCCCACCTACGTCCGTCCGTCGGGTCTGAGAGTCCTTGTAGGTGGACTGTGAGCCTGACTAGGGGTGCAGGGCAGGGGTCAGGCAAAGCCCTGCCCTCACAGAGCCTGACCCTGGGCAGGCAGGCACAGGGCCTGGGACCTGAGGCTGCTCCTGAGACGCCAGGAGGGTGGAGTAGGGCCATAGGGCATGGCTGGCATGATGGAGAGGAGGCTGCTGGGGGATTTGGGCTCCTGGTTGGGAATGACAGGTCTGAGTGCAGGGGTGGGTGCAGGTGGCCTGATGCCCTGGCTGTTGAGGGGTGGGCGGCTGGTCTGGAGCTGGCTGGGAGGTGGAGCGGTGGACCTGAGGTCTGGGGCAAGGGACAGGGAATAGCCTGGGGAGCCTTGGGGCCCGGTAGGTGCAGCTGCTGCTGCTGAGGAGGCTGGGGCCTGGCCCTGAGGAGTCCCAGTGTGGGGGAAGCCCTGGGGGGGGGGGGCTCCAAGCCCCAGGAACAGATGAGGTGGGGGTGGTTGGAGACAGCGTCTGGGGCCACCACATACATGAACCGAGGGCAGCTGGGCACGGGGGCTTTCCCAAGGAGGCCTCACCCTAGCTGTCCTCCTACCTGGGGGCTGGGGACCAACGCTGCAGGGGACTGAGAGCCTTTGGCTGAGCTGCCCCTGTGAGGATGTCCACAGCCACTGTCCCCATGCTGGGGGGGTGGGGGCCCAGGATGTGACGGAGAGGAAGGACGGTTCCCGAGAGGAGAGTGCGTTAGCAGGGGTGTCCGCAGAGTGACTGGCCCCATGCTGGGGGGGTGGGGGCCCAGGATGTGACGGAGAGGAAGGACGGTTCCCAAGAGGAGAATGCGCTAGCAGGGGTGTCCACAGAGTGACATTGTGTGGGCAGGAGGAGCGCCTGCTCTCCAGGCCTCACCTCTAGAACCGCAGGGTTGGGCCCCCCAGGTGGGGCCTCACGGCAGCATATGCCCACAGGGTGGTGAAGGAGGAGATCTTTGATGACAATGCCAAGCTTCCCTGCTTCAACGGCCGCGTGGTCTCCTGGGTGAGCCCCTGTGTCTTGGCCCCGAAGGCTCGCCTGGGGAGCATTCCAGGGTGGGGCTCTTCCTGGGGGAGGCGGTGGGTGTGGGGAGGCCCTGGCAGGCTGGGTGCGGATAGGGCAGCTTGCTGGCCCCCTGTTCCCTGGGTGCCCTGAGGAGGCGTCCTGAAGGCGGGTGGGCTCCCCTGAGCATGCCTGCTCCCTCCACAGCTGGTCCTGGCTGAGGGTGCTCACTCGGATGCGGGGTCCCAGGGCACGGACAGCCACACAGACCTGCCCCCGCCTCTTGAGCGGACAGGCGGCATCGGGGACTCCCGGCCCCCCTCCTTCCAGTAAGGACACCGTGGGCGCTGGGCCCTGCTACCCCAAGCCTGTCATGGGGGTTGCTGGCCAACAGGGGAGGGAGGCCTGCCTGGGCCAGTAGGCGGGCGTGGCACCTGCTGGGGCTGGGGTCCCACAGGCGAGGGGAGGCTGGGCTGGGCGGCATCTGAGGGGCTGGGGCCACGGCCTCCCCACCCACCCTGCTCTTGTTGCACAGCCCAAATGTGGCCAGCAGCCGTGACGGGATGGACAACGAGACAGGCACGGAGTCCATGGTCAGTCACCGGCGGGAGCGTGCCCGACGCCGGAACCGCGAGGAGGGTACAGTGGTCATGTCTGCCCAGCTGTGGACCCCCAGCCTCCCTGGGACCCCCATGAGCCATGTTCCTACTACAGCAGTTCCTGTCCCCCAGCCAGTGGCGGTGCTTGGGTGGAGGCACAGGCCCAGCGAGCCTACAGTTGAGCTGCCAGCTCCCAGACCCACAGGCATGCAGCACTGCCCAGGCAGCCCCAAACCCATGACCTCTGGGAGACCCTGCAGTCAGTTCCCAACCTGCTGCCCCCACAGCCGCCCGGACCAATGGGCACCCAAGGGGAGACCGACGGCGGGATGTGGGGCTGCCCCCAGACAGCGCGTCCACCGCCCTCAGCAGCGAGCTTGAGTCCAGCAGCTTTGTGGACTCGGACGAGGATGGCAGCACGAGCAGGTGTGTGGGAGTGTCTGTGGGCGTGTATGCCTGTGTGCCCACTTGCAAATGTCTGTACATGATGTGCATGTGTCTGCATGAGGTGTTTTCACATTGCACGTGTGTGCGTGTGTGTGCATGTGTGTGCCTGCAAATGTCTGTGTACATGATGCACGTGTGCTTGTGCACGTGTTCCACATGAGGTGTTTTCACTGTGCACGTGTGTGCGCGCCTGTGTGTGTGCCCGCGTGCAAACGTGTACATGATGCACGTGTCTGCTTGTGCATGTGTGTCTGTGTGAGGCGTTTTCACATTGCGGATGTGTCTGTGCATGTACCTGTGTGCAAACGTTTATGTACATGATGCGCATGTCTGTGTGTGCATGTATGTGTGTGTGAGGTGCGTTTTCACAGTGTGCACGTGAGCGTTTTCACAATGCACGCGTGTGCGCAGGTGTGTGCATGTGTGCGTGTGCGTGTGTGCAGGTGTGCGTGTGCAGATGTGCGTGTGTGCAGGTGTGCTTGTACAGGTGTATGTGAAGGTGTGCGTGCAGGTGTGCATGTGCAGGCGTGCGTGTGCAGGTGTGTGCAGGTGTGCCTGTGTGCAGGGGTGCGTGTGTGCAGGTGTGCATGTGTGTGCAGGGGTGCGTGTGTGCAGGGGTGCATTGTGCAGGGGTGCGTGTGCAGGTGAGTATGCAGGTGTGCATGTGTGCCTGTGCAGGTGTGTAGTGTGCAGGGGTGCGTGTGTGCAGGTGTGCATGCGTGTGCAGGTGTGCGTGTGTTCATGCGTGCGTGTGCAGGGGTGTGCATGTGTGCCTGTGCGCAGGGGTGCATGTGTGCAGGGTTGCGTGTGTGCAGGTGTGTGTGCAGGTGTGTGCATGTGTGCCTTGTGCAGGGGTGCGTGTGTGCAGGTGTGCATGTGTGTGCAGGTGTGCATGTGTGCAGGTGTGTCAGTAGTGGATCTGGCTACATGTGTCTGTGCCCAGTTTGCCTGTCTCTGGGATTTTCGTGTGTGCTCATATGCATATCACGTGTGCAGGGCCTGGGGCGTGGACGTCAGGCACTGAGCCTGCTTTGGAACAAGCCTGGCCTAGACCCCCGATTCCCACTCAGTATTGGGGGAGCGGGTTCCCACCCCCCTACCCATGTCTCCAGCTCCTCTGAGCTCTGACAGTCTGTTCCCAGGCTCAGCAGCTCCACGGAGCAGAGCACCTCATCCAGACTCATCCGGAAGCACAAACGCCGGCGGAGGAAGCAGCGCCTTCGGCAGGCGGACCGGGTAGGCAGCCGGGTGGAGCAGGGCGGGGCTGGGGAGGCGAAGTCAGTGTCGGGCAGCCCCGTGCCTTTTACACACGCCCCCTCTCCTCCATAGGCCTCCTCCTTCAGCAGCATAACCGACTCCACCATGTCCCTCAACATCGTCACTGTCACGCTCAACATGGGTGAGGCCTCGGGGCGAGGGTTGGGGGCAGGGGCAGGGGCTTGGCCGCGGCTCATGGCTCTTCCTGCAGAAAGACATCACTTTCTGGGCATCAGCATCGTGGGGCAGAGCAACGACCGTGGAGACGGCGGCATCTACATTGGCTCCATCATGAAGGGCGGGGCTGTGGCCGCTGACGGCCGCATCGAGCCCGGCGACATGTTGCTGCAGGTGTGTCTGTGGGGGCTGCGGGGTGACATGTAGCTGCGGGTGGGTCCGTGGGGACTTTGGGGTGACGTGCGGCTGCGGGTGGGTCTGTAGGGGCTGCTGGGGGACATGCGGCTGCGGGTGGGTCTGCGGGGGCTGCTGGGGGACATGCGGCTGTGGGTGGGTCTGCGGGGGCGGTGGACTGAGCTGCACATCCTGCCTGCACCACCCTAATCCCCACCCCTGCAGGTGAATGACGTGAACTTTGAGAACATGAGCAATGACGATGCCGTGCGGGTGCTGCGGGAGATCGTTTCCCAGACGGGGTGAGGGCTGGGGGCGCTGGAGCGGGAGGGGCCAGGCAGGGAGGTGGGACCATGGGGGCCTTGCTGTGTGACCACCGTTCCTGCAGGCCCATCAGCCTCACTGTGGCCAAGTGCTGGGACCCAACGCCCCGAAGCTACTTCACCGTCCCACGGGGTGAGTGGCCCTCGGGGCACACGGGGCGGGATGGGGAGGGGGCGCCTACCTAGCCTGAAGGCCTCTCTCCTCTGTGCCCTGCACCCTGCCCTCCCACCCTGTCCATCTGTCCGCCTGTCATCGCCACGTGGCGGCCACCCAGCTGACCCGGTGCGGCCCATCGACCCCGCCGCCTGGCTGTCCCACACGGCGGCACTGACAGGAGCCCTGCCCCGCTACGGTACGAGTCCCTGCTCCAGCGCCGTCACGCGCACCAGCTCCTCCTCACTAACCAGCTCCGTGCCTGGTGCTCCACGTAAGTGGCAGCTCCTGAGGGCCCCAGCAGAAACCGAGGCTTGGAGGGGGCGTCTCTGCCAGCCTCCAGCATGGCCGCCTGTGGCCGTCATGGGGCTGTGACACGTGTGTGTTGCCTGTCCCCAACTCCCTGCACAGACGTGTGCACAGGCACCCGTGCCCACCTTGTGCAGCCCATCCTGCTCATGGTCTGTGTGTTGGGAACAGGGGATGTACGTAGGGCCCCTATGCGGGGAGCACCCACGGCGTCAGAGGCAGGGGCCAGGTCTCCATTCTGCTTCCTGCCATTAACACGACTAACAGCCTGCGCTCTCGGGTGGGGCATGCGGGGAGGGGAAGGGGCCTGCCCTGTTCTCATTACTTCCTGGTCTGCAGGGTGGGGTGTCAGCCCAGTTTGTGCCTAGGATCCTGATGAAAAGTGTCTGTAGAAGTGGGAGACTAAATGTCCAACCCCCCTGCTCACGCCCCAGCCTCACGGGGGTGCATCCTGCAGTGGGCCGGGGCCCTGCTGTCACGCACCGTCCAGCTTGCGCCCTGGCGCAGGCTCTGCCCAGAGGCTCCCCTGGGGGTGCAGGGCCCTGAGTCCCCCGCCTTCAGATGCTGGGGCTGAAGCGGGGCTGTCTGTGCTTTGCAGAGCTGGAAGAGGCGCCGCTGACGGTGAAGAGTGACATGAGCGCCGTCGTCCGGGTCATGCAGCTGCCAGACTCGGGACTGGAGATCCGCGACCGCATGTGGCTCAAGATCACCATCGCCAATGCCGTCATCGGTGAGTGGCCGTCCCCGCGGGCGGATAGTGCCAGGGGCAGGGCTGCTTGCCTCGAGGCTGCGGGCTGACCGCTGGTGCCGGCCAGGGGCGGACGTGGTGGACTGGCTGTACACACACGTGGAGGGCTTCAAGGAGCGGCGGGAGGCCCGGAAGTACGCCAGCAGCTTGCTGAAGCACGGCTTCCTGCGGCACACGGTCAACAAGATCACCTTCTCCGAGCAGTGCTACTACGTCTTCGGGGATCTCTGCAGCAGTGAGTGGGGGCTTCGGGCTTCAGGGCGGGGGGGAGGGGAACGCCGGAGGCCCCTCCGCGGCCCTCACCTACCCTCCCCCGCCAGATCTCGCCACCCTGAACCTCAACAGTGGCTCCAGTGGGACTTCGGATCAGGACACGCTGGCCCCGCTGCCCCACCCGGCTGCCCCCTGGCCTCTGGGTCAGGGCTACCCCTACCAGTACCCGGGACCCCCACCCTGCTTCCCGCCTGCCTACCAGGACCCGGGCTTTAGCTATGGCAGCGGCAGCACCGGGAGTCAGCAGAGTGAAGGTGAGAACGCCGCCCCTACCTGCCCTTCCCCGGCTCCGCCCCCAGCTCCGCCCCACTCCACTGCTGCTCCGCCCCCAGTTCCACCCCACCCCGCTGCTGCTCCACCCCCAGCTCCACCCCACCCCGCTGCTGCTCCGCCCTGCTTCTCTGCTGACCCCAATCCCATGCTCCTGCTGTGTACTTGGGCCCTGGGTGGGCTCCTTCTGGAAAAGGCAAGTGCCAGGGGGATCCAGGAGCCAGTGTGAATGGGGAGGACAGGGAAGCGTCTCACACAGGGGCAGCCTGGACCCCACCTCATCTGGGTGGGATTGGGATGAGGGGCCTCCAGGAGCCTGGCGGCCTGGGCGGCTGTGCCTGGTAGGGGTGGCGGCTGGTGGTTCTCCTATGGTAGAGGCAGGAGGCCCTGAGACCATGTGGCCATGGGCCATGTGACAAGGACAGGGCAGGGGTGGCCAAGGAGTCTGACAGGGTCACTTTCTAGGCCCCAGGACACAGGAGGGTGGCAGCTGCAGCCCGGGTAGGGAGCCTGACGTGGATGGTGCCGTGCATCCTAGCCTTGTGCCCCTGGCTGGGGTGTGTTTAGGGGCCGGGGATCCAGAGTGTTCCTGAGGTGTTGCCTGGTGGAGCAGAGGCCCCAGTGGGTGGGGTTGGTGAGGCCAGCAGGGGCGTCTGCAGGCCAGGGAGGGGTGCAGGTGGCTTCGTGGAGGGCCCAGGAAGGAGGGCGAGAGAGGAGAGGCGGCCAGAGGGTGTGGGACCGCAGAGAAGCCACGCTGGGTGTCTACTGACCCTCGACCGGCGCTTGCGCCCACTTCAGCCCCGCCCAGCCCGCGGTCAGTCCCCACTGGTGGCGGGTGGGTGCTGGGCAGGTGCCAGGCAGCCGGGCGTGTAACTCGTGCTATCCCTTGTCTTGTGCTAAACAAGCCTTAGACTGAAGGACTAGCGGAGCGGACCTTGGGCCGGTAAGCCAGGGTCCCGCCCGGGGTCCCTCAGCATGTCCCCAGCCAGCCACGCCCTCCAGCTCCCACTGCGTCTTGGGAGCCCAGGACAGGGCTGAGCTGAGTCATCCGTCGGCCAGGGTCCTGGGCCGGGGGGACAGTGGGGCCTTGGGTGGGGAATCCAGGATGGCCACGGGGGCACCGGGCATGAGGGGCCCTCGCTGGCACCTCAGTCTTTCAGCCGCAAGACCAGGCCCTCAGCTCAAGCATCGGGGTGAGGTGTGGGGGCGCCCAGCTTGCCCCAGGACCCTGCCTGCCTCCCACTGCCCCCACCAGCCCATGCCTGCCGCAGCTGCCCCTGCGACCCTGGGGGTGCCGGCCCTGTCCTCGCGCCTGCATGGCTGCCCCACCCACCCGTCCTGCACGGGCCACCGTTCCTGCCCGGTCACCTGGCGGGGGCGGTTGTTCTGGACGTGGCCGGGCCTGGTGCTGACAGGCTCCTTCCCCATCCTGTTCTCACTCCCAGGGAGCAAAAGCAGTGGGTCCACCCGGAGCAGCCGCCGGGCCCCGGGCCGTGAGAAGGAGCGTCGGGCGGCGGGAGCTGGGGGCAGTGGCAGTGAATCGGATCACACGGCACCGAGTGGGGTGGGGAGCAGCTGGCGAGAGCGTCCGGCCGGCCAGCTCAGCCGTGGCAGCAGCCCACGCAGTCAGGCCTCGGCTACCGCCCCGGGGCTCCCCCCGCCCCACCCCACGACCAAGGCCTATACAGTGGTGGGGGGGCCACCCGGGGGACCCCCTGTCCGGGAGCTGGCTGCCGTCCCCCCGGAATTGACAGGCAGCCGCCAGTCCTTCCAGAAGGCTATGGGGAACCCCTGCGAGTTCTTCGTGGACATCATGTGACTCGTGGCGCATGCCCCAGCCCTGCCTGAGGTGGGGAGCTGGCGGTCCTGCCGCATGCAGAGCTCGCGTGGGCTTGCCTTCGTGGGGGCCAGGACGGGAGGCAGGGTGGGGGGCAGGCTGGACCACCACCATCTGCCCTGGCAGCCTGGCTGCTCCAGCTCCTGACAGCACCTGTGTCTGAGCAGCCGTGTTGGGGGCGCTCCCTCTCTGCCCCTCAGCGAGAGCCTCGGACCTCCCAACCCCTTGTGTCTGGTGGGGATCCCTCCTGGGATGAGGAAGACCCCCTCGGGCTCTCGGCTGACCCCCACCTCCTGCACAGCTGTGCCCAGGCCCCCAGGGTGGTCCATGCGGGGCAACCCCCTGCGGTGCACAGGCCCCCTGTCTGGAGTAGGGATCTAATTTATTTATTTATTGCCTGGCCGGTGACTCGGGGGAGGAGGCGACCCTGTCATCTGTCCCACCTGCTGCTGCCCCTTGGAGCAGCCTGCACCTTCTCTCCTCCCATCCGGCAACAGTCTGAAAGTACGTGGAGGACGGGACCGGAAGACGAGAGAGGGCTGGACATCCTGCCCACCGTGTCCCAGCCAGGGCAGGGAGGGACCATGGCCCGCAGGGTCAAGGGGCCCCGATGTGCACAGCTGCCACAGGGAGGGAGGTCTTGGGGAGATGGGCAGTCAGGTGGCCCGTCCTTGGTGAGTGCACACACTGCGCGCACACATCGCGGCCTTCCTGGCTTCTCTGGCCCCCACGTGTCTGTGCTGTAGATACTGTATCAAAGTCCCAGCGTTTAGATGGTTAACATAGAGCTGCTTCTGTGTAAATGCTGCTTATTTTAAACACTAAAAAGCGTTTAATTTTATGGGACAGATGTGTGGCCTGTGCCCCTTCTCTCCGGCTGGGCTGCCTTGGAATGAGGCACAGGGAGCTGGTCCAGCCTCCCCTAGGCCCTGCTGGGAGCTGACCCTGGGACTCTGACCGGAGACCCTGTGTGGGCCTGGCGGCGTGCTGGCGTCAGATCCTGGTGGGCAGTTTTCTGTCCATGGTGCTGGCTCCGGGGTCCTGGTGGTCGGTGCTGGCCGTGGTGCTGGACCCCGCCCCCACCCCACCTGGGCTCTGTCCCTGGTACTGGTGACAGTCATGATGCTGTCTACCCACTGGGCAAAGGGCAGAGTAGGAAGCTGGGTGCCACCCCTACCTCGGCGGGCTCTGCCCTGGGCATATGCCTGTGTGCCCCCACCTGGCCTCCCACTGCTGTGGTGCCTGGCAGGGTGCAGGATGGGGGCCCTGGTGGGACATGGTCAGGTCGGCAGGGCCTGATTTGGGCTTCCAGCCATCTGGCCGGGGCCTCCCTGCGTCCTTTTCCTGAGCTCACGGTGTGGGTTGCGGGTACCCTGGGAGCCCTCCGGGCCTCTTTCCAGAACAGTGGGTCTGGGTTACCTGGGCAGGCCTGGTCTGGGCACAGAGGGACAGGGACACAGCTTGGCTCTGGGGCCCAGATGGTCACAGGGGTGTCCACGTGCTCCAGGCCTAGGGCTCACTGTGGGGTCAGGGTCAGGAGACAACCTGGGGTCAGAACCTAGAGCGGGAGGGTCTCTGTAGCGAGACACGGGTCATTGCTGGCTTGGGGGGGATCGCAGCTAAGTCTGGGTTCACCGGGGCTGAGATCACAGGGTTGGGTCACTCATGTTTCCCCTGATTTCCTGTGTTCCCGTCATTCTGGCCTTGGGCATCCCCAGGGCCCCCTCCCAGGAAGAACTCGGGGGTGTTGAGCCCTGGCTGCCGCATGAGCAGGTAACACCTGGGCAGGTGGAAGGCAGCCAGGATGCCCAGGACACAGAGCAGGAGGGCGCCCATCTGCACGGCGGGCCTGAGGACCACCTGCACATTGGCCAGGAGGGGCACAAAGGAGACCCAGGTGATGAAGTAGGCCAGCATGGCAAAGGTGAGGCCACGGGCACGGTTGTAGCAGCCCGGCTGGCTCCGCACCAGGAAAGTGCCCAGGAAGCAGAGAAAGGCCAGCGTGGCATTGGTGGCGTGCGCTAGGCCGAAGCTGACCCAGGAGCGTGTGCGGCAGTGCACCAGCGCCTCCGTGGGCAGCATGTGCCAGTCCGTCACCACCTCCGGCGGGAAGGCCACCAGGTACCAGGTGCACAGTGCGACCTCCACCAGCATGGCCAGCAGCACCACCAGCCAGGCCCAGGGCCCCCGCAGGCAGCCACTCAGCCGGTCTGCCCAGCTCAGAGGCAGTTCTGACTCCACGAAGATCTCGGCCGCCTGCAGGAAGAGTGTGCTCAGGCAGCCCGTGAGCGGGAGGTGGGACAAGGGCTGCTGGGCCAGGCATCGGGCAGGGCTGGGCTGGCCAGGGAACAGGAGGACGCTGAGGCAGACCAGGCCCAGGCACACCAGGCCAAAGCAGGCCAGGGGCCCCCCCGAGGCCTGAACCAGTGGGCTGTCCCGATGGTGAACGAACAGCCCCAAAGCAGCCAGCACAAGGCCCAGCGCCAGGCTCAGCAGCAGGAGCAGCAGCAGCACAGCCGGCTCGCCCCATGCCAGGAACCGAGACCTGCGGCGGAAGCAGCGTGTGCTTCGCTCCGGGGACCACTCATCCTGGCCACAAAAGGTGCAGGCGATGTCGTCTGTGAGAGAGGAGAAGGGCGCTGGGTGTTCGTCTTGTACCCTGTGGGCTCTGGTCTCAGAGTCAGGACTTGGCAGGACCCTCCCCTGCTGCGTTCCCACCCCCGCCTGCCGGGAAGGCGGCTCACCTGGGTTTTGCCGGTAGCTGCCCGCCTCGCAGTCCACACAGTCGTAGCAGCAGGAGTGGAACCCCTTGACCCGGCGCACCTGGCCCTCCTGGCACTGCCGCGAGCACCGGGACACGGGCTTCTGCGCACAGGCCTGGGGTCTGGCTCTGCTCGGCTGGGCATGCCCACGGGAGACTGGAACGGCCCCCACCCCCAGGCTGCGCCCTGCCGCGGGGGCTACCACGGGCACGCCTGGCACACCCACCCTCACCTCACCTGGTTGTCAGACGTGTGCCAGCGGATCTTCAGGCGCTCTGTCCTGAGGCTGCCGTTGAACCTGCCCACGTCGTGGAGCCTGGGCACTGAGCCCTGCCACACCCACAGCTTCAGGTCGTACTCCATGTCCACGTTTCCGCTGCTGTCGAACCGCAGCGGCAGCCCGCCCACGTGGAAGGTCAGGTTGTACATGTTCTCCAGGAGCTGCGGGCGGGGGACGGGGCTGAGCCGCCAGCCACCTCCAGCTCAGGCGTGGTGGCCGTGCCTGGTGGCCTGGGCACATGCAGAGGACAGCACACCCCCATCTCCCGGGCTCACCTGCCAGGGCTTCACGGGGTCCTGCGCGGGGCAGCCTGAGGCGTTGCACTGAAGAGTGTTGTGCAGGGCCTGGGCCACGCTATACACAGCTGCGTAGACAGAGAACGTCTGGTGGTGATTTAGCCCTGCGCTCACGTTCTGCAGCGTGATGCAGTCACACTGCGGGCAGCGCTGGCCCACCACGTCCTCCTCCAGACCCTGCTCCCTCTCGCCCAGGGCAGAGCAGAAGGCCGGGTCGGTGGCCAGGGCCAGGTGCGTCTTCACGTACTGGGGGAACTCGTGCAGCTGGGCACCCCTCTGGAGGAAGCCAAGCACCGTGCCCATCTGGGCCATGCCGGGCAGCCCCATGACCAGGTCAGAGGTCAGCCAGGCCTCGCTGGCCACCCACACCTTGGGCGAGAGCCTGCTGCTGATGCTGTAGTTGAAGAGGGCGTGGGCGGCGTGCACGGAGGCGAACAGCAGCACCACCTGCACGCTGCTCTGGTTCACCTGGTGCAGGACGTCCTGCACCTTCCCCAGCCGCGAGTCATCGGCACGGGGCAGCGGCACCAGGCCCTCGTGCGCGATGCAGATGCCGCGTGCCGCGGCCAGGGCCGAGAAGATGCTCAGGCCCTGCCGGCCGTACTCGTCGTCGCTGCCCAGGGCGGCCACCCAGTTCCAGCCGAACTCCTGCAGCAGCTCCGCGGCGGCCGTCAGCTGCACACGGTCGCTGGGCACGGTGCGGAAGAAGGAGGGGAAGGTCTCCCGGGCGCTCAGCAGCTCCATGCTAGCACCGTAGCTGACCTGCAAGGGCCAAGAGGCATCTCCTGACACAGGGGCTCCCACGGGCAGGGCTGGGTGGGGGTGGGTGATGGTGGGGGGCGCCCACCTGGGGCATGAGGAAGAAGCTGAAGAACTTGCCGGTGACCATGGCGAGCTCTGACGAGTGGGGCCCGATGACAGCCAGCACACGGGGCTGGTACTGCGTGTAGTTGCAGTAGGCGGCGATGTCGCGGCTGCCTGCCTTGGCCAGGAACATGAGGCTGGGCTTCATGGCCACCACAGGCTCCGAGCACGTATCAAAGAGGTCGTAGCCCAGGCGCAGCCCGGGCAGCAGATCCGACTTGTTGTTGATCTCCTCCACGGCCATTTTCATGGCCAGTGCCCAGAGCAGGCCGTTTGAGGAGAACCTGGGGCCACACAGAACCGCAGATGGCCACCTCGGCCCCAGCTCAGGAGCACCCCAGACCTGGTCACCCTGACCCCGACCCAGGCCGTCCCACCTCTGTACCTGGTGCACACAGGGCTGCTGGGCCGTGTCCGGCTGCGGAGGCCAGCCTCCTCGGCCTCGCCCAGGGGGAACAGCCCCCCCAGCACGTAGTCCCCCTTCATCCTAAGTTGCTGTGACAGGCACAATGGGGCCCCCGTCCCAGGGTGCAGGAGAGCCCAGAGGCTGAGGCCCAGGACAGCAGGGCCCAGCATGGCAGAGGCAACTTCCAACAGGCACGGCAGGTGGCTGCCCCGACTGGGGCCTCACATGGAGTGAGCCCGGGGCGGGGAGCGGGCAGAGGATTTGTTTAGCAAAACCCTTGCCATCCTCACTTGCCACACCCTGGGGCCCCAGTGGTGTCCTCGCTTCCTGGGCCTGAAAGTTTGTGCGCGTCAGACTCTGCCTGAGGCCACTGCCAGGCTCTATGGCCAGCGTTGACCGGCAGGCAGGCTCTGCTCAGTTGCTGGCCGTGGCCTTGTTCCCTGCCTGTGGCTGAGCCCCTTGCCACCCCCCGATTCCTGGAGTTGCCCAGCAGGCTGTGGAGAGGAGAGGGGGCAAAGGGGCCTCCAGGGCTCTGAGGTCTCAGCTGCGTGGGAGGGATGCAGAGACACCCAGCCCTGGGGCTTTTCATAAGCACAGAAATGCCTCCTACCCAGCCCCGGGAGCTTCTGGCTCCCACTCAAGGCTGTGCTGGCCGGAGCCGGGGGCAGCAGGGATGGGCCCCCTAGGCCTGCAGACCAGTCAGGCCAGTGGGCAGCCGGCCAGCCAGGCCTCCACCCTGCAGCTGGGGAGGGCCCTGGGGTGGTGGTGCTGCCCTCCCAGTCTGCTTGGGAGCAGAGTTCCTTGAGGGTCTCAGCCCTTCTGCCAGAGTCTGACGCCTGGAAGCTGTAGGAACCGCATGGCCAGCTGTACTCACACTGCTGACCCCCGTCTGGGCCACTCCTGCGTGGCAGGCACACAGGTGGCTCCTGCTGGGGGTAGAGTTTGTTTGCCAGGGGGGCACGCAAACAAGGGAGGAAGGGCCACAGGCAAATGAGCGGCAGCTGGAGCAGCACCAGGTGTGCAGGGCCGGGACTCCTCTGCCTCTGTGTTGCTTTGGGGGTGCCCTCGGGGACACAGCAGACTCCAGGCGCAGGCCCTCCCAGGGGAACTGGGGGGCACTCAGCTTCAGCTAGGGCCTGGCAGACCTAGCAGATACCAGGAGGTGTGCCCTGGCTGGTGCTTCTTCCCCATGGTGTTGTGAGGAGGACCTGTGAGGGACACACACTACCACCGCACATGCATATGGCACATGCTGAGCACACGTGAATATGGCGCACATGCGAACCTGGCACACGAGCACAGGAATGCGGCACACACACAAACGGCACATGCGCATGGTACACGCGAATGGCACATGCACGGCACACGTGCATGGGACACGCACGGCACACGCAAGGAACACATGCATGGCATGCAAACGGCACACATGCATGCCACACGTGCACAGCATACATGCAAATGGCACACGTGTACGGTGCACACGAATGGCACATGCGCATGGTACACACAAATGGCACACGCACGGCAAGTGCATGGCACACGCGCATGGCACACACAAAACGGCACATGCAAATGGCACACACACGGCACACACAATACACACGGAAACGGCACATACACAAATGCCACACATGCATGGCACGCAAGCAAACGACGTGTGGCACACGCGCATCGCACGCAAATGGCACGTGCATGACACAAATGGCACATGCAAACAGCACACACATGGTACACGCAAAGCACATGGCACGCACATGCGCACAGCATACGCTCACAGCACACACGGCATACACAAATGGCACACATGCACGTGGCACACGTGCACGGCCAACACGCAGCACATACGTGCATGGCACATACACGAAAACAGCACACGCTCACGGCCAACACGCATGGCACATGCAACTGGCACCTGCACATTGCACAGATGGCACACATGCACATGGTACATGCAAACAGCACATGCAAACGGCACACGTGCGGCACACGCAAATAGCACACTCGCACTTGGGACACGCAAACGGCACAAGCATGGCACTTGTACAGAAGGCAACACCCGGAGGGAGCCCTGCCCTGGGGCCCACGCAGACCCAGGCAGTTCTCCCGGCCCATACTGCAGTCGGCAGCCTTTGCCGGCACCATATGCAGCTCCCACAGACCCTGAGGTGGGGGTGACATCCAGGAAGACTCTGCTGAATTGCATCCCCTTTCTGTCCAGGCCACTGTTGTGGCTGGGAGTGGCCCCCACCTCCACGCACACATCCCACGCAGGCCTCTCCTCTTTTGCATGGAGAGGCGGATGTCTGCCCTCCCAACCGTCCTCCCAACCCAGCCTCTTGGTTCTGGGTGACTCTGTCTCTCTCTTGTCTCACCTGTACAACAGGCATAGTGATGGGACCTCTCTGGGAGAATGGGCACACAGCAGCCCTGCCTCCAAGGCTGGCCTTTTCTCAGGGTGTTTGTTGAGCCCTGGGGCTAACACAGCCCCCTGAGCCTGGCAGTGGGGCCTCAGCTCCCTTGGAGTTAGGTGCACCCACCTCAGCTGTGTCCCTGGGGTGAGGGCCCTCCCCACCCTCACTGGGTGCCCCTGTGTCCCCCTGCAGGAAATCAGGCACCCAGTGCACCCCAGCGTCTCCCTCCTGGGAGGCTGTGTGATTTATTAACGTTGGAAGACATCACATAGATTGCACTCTGGAAGCTCGCATGTCTGCTGGGCCGTGGGGGCCGTCCCTCTGCCACCCCGAGGTGCTGGGGTCCACTGTGAAGAGCCAGTGGCCAGGCCCCAGGCACTGGATGGTGGCTGGGCTGGTTGTGGCTGTCTGGTAGCCTTTGGCTGGGCCACAGGGTCCAGACCCTCCTGTTCCGTGCCCCACGGGTCTCCTGAGCACTGTGGGGAGGGGGCATCAAGGGGCACGGGGGAGAAGGGACACAGCATTTCACTGGGTGTAGCAGAGTCCCAGCTCCTGGGGGCCTTGGGCTGGGCTGGGCTGTGCAGACCCACGGCCGCTGCGGGAGGCGGCCTGCTGCGTCCCTCGGGGAACT
The DNA here is from genome assembly GCF_000001405.40 of Homo sapiens. Taxonomy (NCBI): domain Eukaryota; kingdom Metazoa; phylum Chordata; class Mammalia; order Primates; family Hominidae; genus Homo; species Homo sapiens. The sequence goes on along the minus strand of NC_000001.11, from coordinate 1,328,473 downwards.
GGTGCCGTGCAGGGGCTACGGAGGAGGCTGTCCCAAGGGCGGGGACTTCCTGGGCCCTTCTGTGAGGAGCCTTGGTCTCAGCTTCCGGCTGTCCTGCCCCCAGTCTGCCTGGCACGCTGAGGGGCAAACAAGGCAGGAGAGGCGGGGAGAGCCCCACAGTGCCCAGACTGCTGTTGAGGGTTTCTGCCAGCCAGGGCATGGAGGGCACTGAGTCCCCTGGGCTCAAGGCTGCCCACCTGGGCAGACACGGGGTCCCAGGCACGGGCCTGAGATGAGGACACATCGGCTGGCAGAAAGGAGAAAGGATGGAGCCTCCACACCCCGGGACCTGTGACTTCACCCTGGTTCGCAGATGCACCCCACAGGCTAGGGGGTGGCGACCTTTCGGGCTCTTGCAGGCCCGGCCCCCACCCCTGCCTGCTCTGCTCTGCACCGCACCCTGGCGAGGCCTGGCTGCGCACGCGTGTAATAGGCCGAGGGGGAGCCGTGGCCGAGGCGTCTTGTTCCGGACCGAGAGGGTGGGCCTCTTCTGGGCTGGTCGCCACCTTCTCTGTCACAGTCTGTGGTTCCTAACCAGCTCAGCTCACAGGGGCGACAGAGGATCTCCTGTTCCCGCAGCGCCCAGAAGGCTCTGCCACGGGACTCACGGCCCTGGCCACCGCAGCCCAGATCTGCAGCAGGAAAGCCGGTGCGGCCCTGGCTTCCCGCCCCTAGGGCAGGTCCAGCAGGGAGTGCTCGGCGTAGAGCTTCTGGGAGACGTTGTAGACACGCTGGATGAAGGGGAGGGCCTCGCCTAGCATCTGCACGGCCTGCTCCGGGGGCCCCACGTTCATGGCCTCCAGGAAGACCTCGCGTGTGGGCAGCGTGCAGAAGGCCACGGTGACGGCGCGGCGCACGACCCAGGGGTGGTAGGCGGCCAGCGAGGCGTTGTAGGAGTCGGCGCAGAGCGCGGAGGTGCGTGCGTCCTCGGGGCTGGTACGCAGGCCCTCCAGGAACAGCTGCAGCCAGTGCAGGGCGCGGTGCAGGCGCAGCACCGTCCGGCAGCCAGACTCCGGGTGGTGGGAGCGGCGCTCCAGGTCCACCAGCCGGTTGCTCAGCTCGTGGGCCACCATGGCCTGCAGGCTGCGGTAGTGCTCGCTCTGCGGGCCGCCCCTGAGGCGCTCCATGATCCGCAGCTTGGAGACCACGTCCTTGGAGATGAATGAGAAGATGGTGCCCAGGCTGTTCAGAAACCTGTGGAAGGGAGCGGGGCTCGAGTCCTCGCCCAGGCCTGGGGCAGCCCGCCTGGGGTGCAGGGGACGCTGCCCAGCCTGCGGGGGCTCACACCCATCTGGAAACGGGCAGCAAAGCTGGTGGGGACAGGCAGTCGGGAGGCAGATGCCACATATGGGACTCGGGCCAGGGGAGCGCCCACCTCAGGAGGCAGCCCTGGCACACGCACCTGACCAGGCCCTTCCAGCTGGCAATGTAGGGGTCCAGCAAGACCTCTTCCTTCTCATCGAGACACTGCTTGAAACTGACCAGGACGACTTTCAGATTGAAACCTGTCTCCGAGTCATCCATTTTTTGATAGGAACGGAAATACAGTAGGGCTGGGGGGCTGTGTCGCTGGGGTCAGCTTGCTCTGTGGCTCATTTTCTGTGTGTGGAGGGGAACAAAATAGCTGCGATCCCATTGCCGCTCACTGAACACTCATGCCCCTCATGGAGCTTCCTCCCAGGAGCTGCCTGGCTCTGCTCCCAGCCAAGCCGCAGGCTCTCAGGCACACCACCCTGACCCACCCTTCATCAGGATTGCGCATTCAGGGACCTTGGCACAGCCCCTCCTGTGGATCAGGCCACTGACTCCGTGTCAGTCCCTGACCCCGAGAGTGGCCCCCTCTGGCTTTATCAGACCACTAGGCCCCGCTGTCTGCAGCAGGTGTCTCTGCTGGTGCTTTCTTGTTTTTGTTTCTCTCTCTAGATGCTGTATCTGCTTTTACCAGCTGGAGAAATACTAAGCCCCTGCCGAGAGCCAAGCACCATCCTAGCCATCTATCTGGGTGCATGGGGAGTGCGAGCAGCCATCTGGGGTGGGGTCAGATGACAACAAAGACAGGAAGTTCTGAAGTCCTAGACAAGAAAACAGACACAGCAGAAAGCAGAGACAGGTGGGGCCGGGGGTGGGGGGATGCTGCCGGGCAGGCTGCCCCATCTTCCTCACTGCTACATCCCCAAAAGCAGAAAAGAGGCTGTAGGGCTGGCACTTGCTGGATGGATGGACACGTGTTTTCACTCCTGTTGCTGAAACTCCATGTCCCACACAGATGGGTTTTACCACTCAGAAGATTGCCACGAGGCTCTTGTACTAGCCCTAGGGAGCCTTCCACGAGTGGCCCAGGCCCTGCTTTGGATTCTGCTGGCATTCACATAGTCACTCCACAGATCCACAGACATCCAGGCACCCATGCTTTGTGTGAGTGTTGCCAAGCACCCTTGCCCTGTCTCCCCGGGTGCCCCACGGGCCCGCACCTGCTCTGGGGAACCTGAGAGTCAGCTGCATTCCACCTCGACCAGGAAGAGGGCCTGGGGGTTCCTAGGCCGGTTGGTGCTGGGAGCCCTGTCCTGGCCTCCCTGGCTGCAGGGACTCCATCGGTGGGGGAGGGGGAAGGGCACCCAGCCGTGGTGAGAGCTCCTGGCCAGGAGCAGGTGGGCAGGTTGCTCAGCACCCTAGGACTGGGCCCTTCATCACTAGGGATCATGGGCTGCAAGCCCTGCCCAGCCCGTGGCCCAGGCTGCTGGAGCACTGGTGCCTGCAGGGTGCTGAAGCCTGGCGTTGCAGGCCCCACAGGTTGGGTTGCATGCTTGGCACCAGGCGGAGGCCCCAGATGTGAGCTCACCGGGCTTCAGGTGTGGGGGATGGCTGCTCCTGGGCCTCAGAAAGATGCAGTCCCATAGACTTCCAGCACGCCCCTCCCCTCCTCGGGCCTTAATTTTGTCCACTGAGAAGATGGTCTCTGAGGCTCTGGGGTTTCCTTCTTGGTCACCAGATATTCTGCGGGCCTTGCCTTCCTGCCCAGATTCGAGCCAGTGGCAAACAGAAGCTGCCAGGAGCTTCTCAGAGCTGTGGCTGGTGGCTCGGTAACAACAGGAAGGGCAGTGGCTGTGCAGGAGGCAGGCAGCTTGCCAGCCCAGGAAGGTGACCCAGGACACCTCCAGGCCTTTCCCAGGGCAGCCCAACGGCCCAAGGTCAGGGCCGGGCGCGAGGGCGGCCTGAGCACAGAGCACGGGGGCTGACAGCAGGCTGGGGGGCCAGCAGGAGACGGGGCCCCACGGCGCCCCAGGCCTTGTGGGTGGGACCAGACCCTGTCGAGCGAGCGCTACGAGTCTCACCTGGGAAGGGGGCTTCAGATGGCACCGGACTGGATGGGCACCGGTTCGGGTCCCTGCTCCACCGAGAGGCCCAGGAAGGGGCGGAGGCCCGGGGTGGTGTTGGGGAGGGGCCGACCTGAGCCACGGCTCCGTCCTGCGCGGGAGCCGGGTCCTCGGCCGCCCGCCCGCTCCGGCCCTCTAGGACGACGTCCCCTCCCGCTCCCGGCCCCTCGGCGACTTCCGGACCGTGCGGGTTGGGTTGGGCAGGTGCGGCCGCCGAGTCCGAGCCGCTCACCTAGGCCGTAGCCGCCGTGCGGGCCCCGTCCCCGCCCACCGCCCCGCCCTCGCCCCGCCCTCGCCCGCCGCCCTGATTGGTTGGATGCTGCCCAATCAGGAGGCCCGGCGCCCCGACCCGCGTTTCCGGCTAGCGCACCGGAAGTTGCAGCGAGGTGGTTGCGCCTGCGCAGTGCATCACCGCAGGCGGGCCTCGCGGGTCCGGGAGCGCGGCGGAGACGATGCCTGAGATCAGAGTCACGCCCTTGGGTGAGTGGGAGCCGCCGGGAGGGCTGTGGGGTGGGCTCCGTATGCGGCTCCGGGCGGGCTGGGCGCCCCGCTCCCTCCCGTTTCTCGTGGAGCCAGGTGCGCGCCGCGGGCGTCCTCCGGTCTCCTCCCCGCGCGGGCCCTGGTGGGAGCCGAGAGGCGGCCTAGTCCCTGCACCCCGGGCCTCCGGCAGTGACGCGAGAACGCGAGCCCCGAGGTTCAGGCGGCCGTGAGGGGACGTCGCAGATGGGGCCGCGGGGCCTTCGCGCTCGCTGTGCGCTTTCGTCGGTGCCTTGACCTCCCCGTGCCGCGCGCTGCCGCCTCCAGCCCTACCAGCCCTTCAGTCCCTTAGCCCCTCAGCCCCGCAGACCCTCAGCCCCCCAGCTCCCCAGCCTCTCAGCCTCCCAGCCCCTCAGCCCCCCAGCCCCTCAGCCCCCCAGCCCCCCAGCCCCTCAGCCCCGCAGACCCTCAGCCCCCCAGCTCCCCAGCCTCTCAGCCTCCCAGCCCCTCAGCCCCTCAGTCCCTCAGCCCCCCAGCCCCCCAGCGCTCCAGTCCCCCAGACCCTCAGCCCAGCAGACCCTCAGTCCCCCAGCCCCTCAGTCCCCCAGCCCCTCAGCCCAGCAGACCCCCAGACCCTCAGCCCCCCAGCCCCTCAGCCCCCCAGTCCCCCAGCCCCCAAGCCCCTTAACCCCGCAAGCCCCTCAGCCCCCCAGCCCCGCTTCTGCCTCCTCACGTCTTGCTTTCTGTCCACCACTCTGTGTGCTCACGCCCGAGTTACAATCAACTCTCACTTTAGCTCTTGTTCTACCTGATTTCTGCAACACTGAAAAAAATAGCAAAAAACGCAAATATGTACTCCTAAAAGTCCTGACAGTCTGGGCACTGTGGCTCACGCCTGCAATCACAGCACTTTGGAAGGCAGAGGTGGGAGGATCGCTTGAGCCCAGGAGTTCAAGACCAACCTAGCCAACATGGCAAGACCCCATCACTCCAAAAAAAAAAAATGCTAAAATTGGCAGGGCGTGGTGGTGTGTGCCTGTGGTTCAAGCTACTTGGGAGGCTGAGTTGTGAGGATTGCTTGAGCCCAGGAGGTTGAGGCTGCAGTGAGCCATGATTGTGCCACTGCACTCCAGCCTGGGTGACAGCAAAACCATGTCTCAAAAGAAAGTCAAAGTCGTAACAGTATAGAACGATGTGAAGAAGGAAAAAATTAGTCAAAATCCAGGGTCTCAGAAACAGCTGGAGGGACATGGTGTTGGTGGCCAGTCATCCTGATGTCCTTAGCGTTTTCCACAGGTGCCTGCCCTGTGCTGTCCTGGAACCTGGTCCTTCCACCGGGCAGGGGGTCGAGGGCACCTTCCAGCACAGACACCAGGACGGGATTCCATGTCCTCCCCCATGGCGTGAGCGCTTCCTCGGAGGGTGCCCCCCGCCCCGGTGTGGACACTGTGCTGTGAACACCCCTGGCCTGTGCACACCCCATGGCATTTTGCAGCTGTTTGCATGGGCCCCACTGCCCTCCCCTGCTCTCTGGGTCCTCCGTGGGGTCCTCCCAGCCTGCCCCTTTCCCATTTGGCCTCTTGGCTGCCTGTTCTGCCCACTCTCTGGACATCTGATCTTTCTGATCTTTCATGTGGCTTCAATTACCCGCAATCTGTACCTGGGTATATTCTCAAGGTCACCTCAGCCAAGGTATCATCAAAGCCGAAGTCCTGTTTCACCGCTTCCCTGCACCAGGGACTGCCTCGGGCTCCGTGTCCGCGCTCACTGGACCACTGCTGTGTCCTTGGGGTCACTCCCACGCCTTGGCCTGTGTGTGGCTACCCCCCCCGCCGCCGGTCCCCCTACCCACCCTGCCCATCCCTCCCCACCGCCGGTCCCCCCACCCACCCTGCCCGTCCCTCCCCCTGCTGGTCCCTTCCCTCCCCCCTGCCTGTCCCTCCCTGCTGCCTGTCCTCCCTCCGCCCGCCCCGCTTCTTCTCCTCCCCTGGACCATCCCTTCCCCACCCCGTCCCTCCCCCTCCCCCACCCTACCCCTCCCCTCCCCTGCTCAAAAGTTGGCTTCTCGGAGCAGTCTCCTGTCATGGTTCTGGAAGTTTTGAGGCTTCCTCATTCTCTCACCTTGCTCTTTTCTGTCATAGTAACCTTCGTCTGGCGTGCTTTGGGTGTCTTGTTTGTCTGCCGTCTGTCTCCTTGCTGACAGGGATATCTCCTCCTGTCTTCTGAGCCCTGTCCCCTCGTGTATCTCCAGGCTCTATTCCCGCACCTTTCCACTTTCCTTCCTGGGATCACTGTGGGTCCTGTCGGGAGGCGGGACTGCCAGTACTTCAGGACTGGGCTTTGGAATTCAGAAAACCAGCCCGGGCCCCATGCCTCGGGGCCGTGTGCCACAAGTGCCTCTGTGGCCTTAGGTCCCTGGGCATGAAGAGGGGCGGCCCTCCCTTCCCACAGGTGCCAGAGGGCCTCTGTGAGCCTGGCGTGGCTTGGGGTAGGAGATGCAGAGGGAGGAGACAGCTGAGACCCTGCTCTCAGAGAGCTCACACCCAGCGGGGGCAGGAACAGGCCTGGAAGAGAACCTGAGATCCCCTCTCTGTGGCAGGCAGCCCCTCGGCTGTGGCCCCGTCATCCTGATGTGTGGTGCTGGCTTTGGACACTTCGAGTGGCTGGCAGGGGGAGGTGGGTGGGATTCAAGGGGAAAACTGTTCACTGCCATCAGACTCCTGCCCAGGCACAGTCTGTGCAGGGGCCGTGACCCTTTCCTCTCGGGCCCCCAGGCCACATGAGGGGGCTGAGTGTGCCTTGGCTGGCCAAGGCCTCTGGCTGGAGCAGCTGGGCAGGGCTGCTTGGCTGTCAGGAGTGTGGGAGGGCTGCAGATGAGGGTCTGTGTTGGGGGCTGCATGGTGTGCAGTGGTGTGAGGCTCGTGTTGCCACGCTGGCCACTGCTGGACCACTGGCACCGTGTTCGCTATGGCATGGCTGAGGCTGTGTGGCGCCCCTCCACAGCCGCACCACCAGAGAACACCCAGTGCCAGCACTTAGTCACTTACTGCCTTGCCTGCCTGGGGAAAGATCCTGGAGAAGGTGGCCTCATTGGTTTGCAGCTCTGCTGGGGGTCCAGCCACAGCCCAGGAGTGACTCTGACCGAGGTGTTGGCCCCACAGACCAGCCGTTGTCTCTGTTGGAGGCTGAGGGCCACAGCACAGTGCCCACTACTTAGCCAGCAGGCCGTGGCCACCTTAAGAGGCCAGGGGAAGCTGGCGGGGGAGGGCGTGTGGGCTGCCAGCCTCCACCCTGGACATGATGGTGTGGGGCATGGTCCCCTGTGTCCCCCTTCCTGTGAGTAGGGGTGGCCCTGCTTCTTGGCCCATGTGTCTGTCCACACAGCAGACTTGGTCCGGTTTCCTCAGTGCACTGGGGTCCTGCAGAGCTTGGGGAGGCAGCACAGGGGGCGGGGGGCGCAGCAGTGACTCATCTGCCCTCCCTCGAGTAGGGGCCGGCCAGGACGTGGGCCGAAGCTGCATCCTGGTCTCCATTGCGGGCAAGAATGTCATGCTGGACTGTGGAATGCACATGGGCTTCAATGACGACGTGAGTCCCTTGGGCAGGAGGCCCAGAGGCTGGGAGAGCCGGCCATCCACAGCTGGACCCTGGGCCTCAGAGCCGGGACAGTGGGGTGGTGGGCAGCAGTGGTTGTGCTTGGATGGCTGCACCCTGTGGGGAGCAGGGATGGGTGGGCCTGGCCGAGGTGAGCCCCTGCATGGTGGGGTCCCCCTGTGCTGGCGCTGAGCCCCAGCCCCGGGGTCCTGTAGGCTGGACTCCGTGAGACCCTGGGCTCAGCTTCCAGCTCACATCTGTCAGTGAGGTTGGGGGTAACCTCGGCCCCTCCGGATGCTGTGAGCAGCCAGGGGTCCTGGTGCCACCTGCGGGATGGGAGTGCCCAGCCTGAGTCTGCACATAGAACCCCCCTTCCTGGGGGCCCCTCCCTGGGGCATGGGTGGCCCCAGATGCTGCCTGGAGACCACTGTGCAACCTGAAACCCCCACATCCTTCCTAGCGACGCTTCCCTGACTTCTCCTACATCACCCAGAACGGCCGCCTAACAGACTTCCTGGACTGTGTGATCATTAGGTGGGTTCCTGTTGGGGGCCTTGAGGGTCCCATGTCTGTGCCTGTGGGGCTTGGGCCACCTTGCTTGGTCTCGGCAGCGTTTGGCAAGGGGCCTGTGCCATCCTTGATCCTCAGGGGGCTTCTAGGCCCCAGGATCTGCTCCCTGCCTGCCTTACTGGTCACACACATGGCCTGGTCTCTGTCTGTTCTTCCGGCCCTGCCCTCTGAACCCTACTTTCTGAACCCGGCCCTCCAGGCTTCACCCTCTCTGATGCCTTCACTGTCTCAGGATCTTTAAACCCCACTGTCTTGTTGGCGATTCCAGAGTCCCGAGTCTGCCCTGACCCCAGCCTTTAGGGTTCAGCAGCTCATGACCCGCTGGTCTGGGTGGCCTCGTCTGGACGGCCACAGCACTCCTGCTGGCCCCCTGCCCTTCCCTGCCCTGTCCTCCCCAGCAGCCAGGCCCGTGAAGCCTGGAGAAGCCCCTTCTCCTCTCCGGAGGCAGTGTCCTCAGCTGCCCCTGAGCCCCTCGTGGTTGTGGTTTCTTCTCAGACACGGTGGGGTCCCCAGTGCCTTCCTGGGGCTTGCCAGGCGCTGCCCTTGCCCTCAGGTCTGTGCCACCTTCACCTGCAGCTCCACTCAGCCTGTCCTGACTGCCTGAAAAGCCAGCGGCTCCCCTATGCGCGGTTCCCTCAGCAGCTTTGCATTGTCTCGCGAGCATGTCGCCGTCACCGACGTGTTCAATTTCCCGTTTGCTTATTGCCTTGCTAGACTTTGAGACTGAAAGTTCCAGGGAGACAGTTTTGTGTTTGCTCATTACTGACTCTTCGGTACTCGGGATGAGGCCTGGCGCACAGCAGGCGAATGAAGGGGCCAGTGACCCACAAGCCCAGAGCGGGGGTGAAGGCTGGGGCAGGGTGGGCCCAGGCTGACCTGTGCTGCGTCCCCCTAGCCACTTCCACCTGGACCACTGCGGGGCACTCCCCTACTTCAGCGAGATGGTGGGCTACGACGGGCCCATCTACATGACTCACCCCACCCAGGCCATCTGCCCCATCTTGCTGGAGGACTACCGCAAGATCGCCGTAGACAAGAAGGGCGAGGCCAACTTCTTCACCTCCCAGATGATCAAAGACTGCATGAAGAAGGTGGTGGCTGTCCACCTCCACCAGACGGTCCAGGTCAGGTTCCCAGGGCCACAGCTGGCACAGTCACTGCCCACCCCCACACCAACCATGCCCTCCGCCCGTTCTACACAGTTTCTGGAAGGCTGGGGCCTCAGGGTGAGCCCACCCCACCTCACTCTTGCGTCCAGCACCGTGGGGACACCAGGAGGCGTCAGCGCGAGGATGCGGGTCCCAGACCAGACTGGGCGCCGACCCGGGAGAGCACGTGCAGGGTGGGGGTATGCACCGGCTTATGAACCCACCAGGCTCTGTCCGAGCGGCATTGAAATGGCCAGAGTGGGACAGGCTGGTGCCCTCAGAGCGCTTGGAGCGGCCAGAGACTCGCTGGAGCTCCCGGGGTGTTGCCGGGCAGGGAGGCAGGGGCTGGAGGGGAGATGGGCCAGCTCTGGAGGGTGCCTGGTTCTGGGTGTGGGTCAGGGAAGAAGTGAAGGTTAAATCAGCGAGTGACAGGTGAAATTCCATTTCTGACAAAGATTATGGGTTTGTCTGTGTCTCACTCGAATCTCTGGGTATTGCTTTTATATTTCTTGAAACTATATTAGGTACCTATGTATTTTGGAACATTTAATTTTCTGATTGAACTTGTCAAAATGAAGTATGTTTATCTTTTTTGTTGTGAAACTTTAATTTTTTTTTTTTTTTGACAGTGTCTCACTTTGTTACCCAGGCTGGAGTGTGATCTTGGCTCACTGCAGCCTCGGCCTCCCGGGTTGAGGTGATCTCCCACCTCGGCCTCCCAAGTAGCTGGGACTACAAGCATGTGCCCATACGCCCAGCTAATTTATTTTGGTATTTTTTGTAGAGATGGGTATGTGTTGCTAAGGCTCTCGAACTCCTGGGCTGGGCTCCAGGGATCCTCCCACCTCAGCCTCTCAAAGTGCTCGGATTACAGGCATGAGTCACCACACCTGGCAACTCCCTCAGTACATTTTAAACCCAGAAAGACATCATTTCTAATGCCTGGTAACACCAACATTTGCTTAGTTTTATTTATATATTTATCCTTTTTGTTGGGCTTCCTGCATTTTTTCTACTTTTTACTTGGGATAATTTGCCTTCTGCCTGAAGAATATGAGTGTGGGTCTGCTGGTGCTGAATTCTGTCAATTTTTATTTGCCTTGGCCAGGCGCGGTGGCTCACGCCTGTAATCCCAGCACTTTGGGAGGCCGAGACAGGCGGATCACGAGGTCAGGAGATCGAGACCATCCTGGCTAACACGGTGAAACCCTGTCTCTACTAAACAAAATACAAAAAAATTAGCTGGGCGTGGTGCGGGCGCCTGCAGTCCCAGCTACTCGGGAGGCTGAAAGGCAGGAGAATGGCGTGAACCTGGGAGGCGGAGCTTGCAGTGAGCCAAGATCCCACCACTGCACTCCAGCCTGGGAGACAGAGCGAGACGCGAGACTCCGGCTCAAAAAAAAAAAATTTATTTGCCTGCAAATGGATTTACTTTATCCTCGTTCTTAAAGGACTTTTTTTCCCTTAGGTGTGTAAGATTTTAGGTTGACAGTATTTTGTCTCTGCACTTTGCAAACAACGTTCTGTCTCTGGGCATGGGCAGCCGTAGGGTCTGAGCAGGAGCCTTGGTTTTTGGTGCTTGTGCTCTGATGGGCTGACATGTATCCTCAGCCTGTTTAGAGTTTGAGGCCTCTTGGATCTGTGGCTTGAGGCCTTCATCATGTTTCTTCCAGTGTTGTTTCTGCCCCGTTCCTGCTCCTCCAGGGACCCCGAGAGCCTGACGTTCAACCTCTTGAAACTCCGTCATCTGTTTGTCTTTCCTGTTTCCTGATGGATATTCCCTCTGGTGTCTTTCAGTTCATGGATTCTCTTCTGGTTATGTGTCATATGGTGTTAAATTCATCTGTTGAATTCTTTTTTTTTTTCTTTTTTTTTTGAGATGGAGTTTCGCTCTCATTGCCCAGGCTGTAGTGCAGTGGTGCGATCTCAGCTCACCTTGAACCTCCGCCTTCTGGGTTCAAGCGATTCTCCTGCCTCAGCCTCCCGAGTAGCTGGGATTACAGGCGTGTGCCACCACACCCAGTTAATTTTGTATTTTTTTTTAGTAGAGACGGGGGTTTCACCATGTTGGTCAGGCTGGTCTTGAACTCCTGATCTCAGGTGATCCACCCGCCTTGGTCTCCCAGAGTGCTGGGATTACAAGAGTGAGCCACTGCGCCTGGCCAAAATTTTGTTTTTAAATTAGCCTGGCGTGGTGGGTGCGTGCCTATAGTCCCAGCTATTTGGGAGGCGGAGGTGGAGGCGGGAGGACGCTTGAGCCCAGGAGTTTGAGTGAGCCATGATTGCGCCACTGCAGCCTGGGTGACAGCCCCACCCTGTCTCTCAATTTTATTTATTTATTTTTTTTTGAGACACAGTCTCGCTCTGTCGCCCAGGCTGGAGTGCAGTGGCGCGATCTCGGCTTACTGCAACCTCCGCCTCCCGGGTTCAAGCAGTTCTCCTGCCTCAGCCTCCCGAGTAGCTGGGATTACAGGCGCACACCACCACATCCGGCTAATTTTGTATTTTTAGTAGAGACGGGCTTTTTCCGTGTTGGTCAGGCTGGTCTTGAATTCCCAACCTCAGGTGATCCACCCGCCTCAGCCTCCCAAAGTGCTGGGATTACAGGCATGAGCCACCGCACCCGGCAAGTTTTAAATGAATAAATTAAATTTAAAAGAAGTCTAGTTTTTTGCCAATTTTTGTTTTTGACACTCTCGCTCTTGTTGCCCAGGCTGGAGTGCAATGGCACAATCTCAGCTCACTGCAATCTCCGCCTCCCGGGTTCAAGTAATTCTGCCTTAGCCTACTGAGTAGCTGGGATTACAAGCACCCACCACCATGCCCAGCTAACTTTTGTATTTTTAGTAGAGACAGGGTTTCACCGTGTCGGCCAGGATGGTCTTGAACTCCTGACTTCAGATGATCTGCCCACCTTGGTCTCCCCAAGTGCTGGGATTAAAGGTGTGAGCCACTGTGCCCAGCCCAGTATTTTTTTGTTTGTTTTTACCGAGATGGAGTCCCGCCCCATTGCCCAGGCTAGAGTGCAGTGGCGTGATCTCAGTACACTGCAACCTCCACTTCCCAGGTTCAAGCGATTCTCCTGCCTCAGCCTCCTGAGCAGTTGGGATTACAGGCACGCACTTCCACACCTGGCTTACTTTTGTATTTTTAGTAGAGACGGGGTTTCACCATGTTGGCCAGGCTGGTCTCCAATTCCTGACCCCAAGGGATCCACCTTAGGCCTGGCCGCCAACATTCTGAACCTTGTCTTTTCTCTGTCATGTATTCAAAGTCCACGCTGGAAACTCCAATTTCAGGTCCCTTCAGTTTTTTGTCCGTTGTCTTTCGTTCTTTGTCCACGTTGCCCGTCCCTTGTGAACTGGATGCTGTGTGTGAGCAACAGGGACTGAAAAGCTCAGTGCAGTGCCCTCGCTCCCCGCCCCGCCTCCCTCCCTGCCCCCGCCCCCCTCACTCCCTGCCCCTGCCTCCCTCGCTGCCCGCCTCCCTCCCTCCCTCCCCGCCCCCACCTCCCTCGCTCCCGCCCCCGCCCCCTCGCTCCCCTTCCCCCACGCTCCCCACCCCCGCCTCCCGCGCTTCCCGTCCCCCGCCTCCCTCACTCCCCGCCCCTCTGCTGTGAGGACACAGCCTGAGCGCAGCCCTGTCCTCCACAGGTAGATGATGAGCTGGAGATCAAGGCCTACTATGCAGGCCACGTGCTGGGGGCAGCCATGTTCCAGATTAAAGTGGGCTCAGAGTCTGTGGTCTACACGGTCAGTGGAAGGGCTTGAGGCTTGGGAGGGGCTGCTGGGGTGGGAGGCACCCTCCTCATGGCATCCTTGATCGTTCACCAGGGTGATTATAACATGACCCCAGACCGACACTTAGGGTAAGTAGGCTGAGGTGTCTTTTTGTCCCGTGGGCCCCCCTGGAGCTCAGGACCCTTGCAGGTGTCAGGGTGCCAGCCCTTGAGTGGCCAGCCTGGCAGTGTCTCCCATGTCCTGTGCGGCCTGGAGAGCCCCCTTCGTTCTGGGCCCAAATGCGCGAAGGCACAGGGTCCAGGCAGGGGCCTCTGTCCCTCCTTCTCTCTCTTCCCAAGTCTCTGGGTGGGTGCCTCTGTCTCGCTCTTCCGAAGTGTCTGGGTGGGTGCCTCTGTCTCTCCTCTCTCTTCCCAAGTGTGCTGCCCACAGCATTTTACCAGCTGGCTCTTTCCAGCCAGAGTGACCTAGGAAGGCGGCTGGGCGTGGTACTGGGGTCCAGCTTGTCACACCCAGCCCTGCAACCGTGGGGACAGTGCATCGTGGCTCACACCCCCACCCCCGTGTTCCAGAGCTGCCTGGATTGACAAGTGCCGCCCCAACCTGCTCATCACAGAGTCCACGTACGCCACGACCATCCGTGACTCCAAGCGCTGCCGGGAGCGAGACTTCCTGAAGAAAGTCCACGAGACCGTGGAGCGTGGTGGGAAGGTAGCTGCAGCAGGGGTGGGGACATGGGCCCTCGGCCATGCTGGGCTGGTCTTTCTGGCAGGCTTGGCTGCCCTTGGCATGGGTCAGGGTCTCAGGGTGGGGGGTACTGCATTTTCAGGCAGGGAGGGAAGAAGATTTGCTCAACATTGAGGAGGAAAACTCAGAGACCCTTTCCTAGGGAGCCCCTTTTCCCTCCTACCTCAGGTGCGGACGAAGCCCTGGCCAGGCTCCTTCTGTCTCTCATGCAGCTCCCTTCTGTCTCTCATGCGGCTCCCTCCTGTCTCTCATACGGCTCCCTTCTGTCTCTGGAGAGCGGCTGGGACGGGACTGGGAGCAGATGAGAGGCTAAGGTCCCTATGAGGCCGCAGCTCTTGGGCACCTGGCCGTGCCCTCACTGGACGCTGCCTGCTGTGTCGAGGGGCCATGTGCCCAGGGCTCCTGCCTTGTGTCCCCCTCAGGTGCTGATACCTGTGTTCGCGCTGGGCCGCGCCCAGGAGCTCTGCATCCTCCTGGAGACCTTCTGGTAGGTGCCGCCAGGACGGCTCTTTAAGGAGCCCCTGGCCCGGCCTGAACACAGTCCAGTTGGTGGGCAGCCCTGTCCAGCGTAGCGGTGGCATCTTGGCCCTGCTTGCTGCTGTCCTGGGGGGCCGCTCGTGTGCTGTGTGACCCCAGGAAGCCTGTGACATCCCGTCAGCGCCACCGTGTGCGGCTCTTGTAGGGGTTCCTGGTTCTCCGCTGAGCCCGGCTGCTGCAGGGCTTAATGGGACAAGTGGTCGCGACTGGACTCAACCTGGCCCGTGCGTGGGCTGTGCAGACACGGGTGTTGGGGGTGACCCGGCCGAGTCCTGCCCTGCAGCATTCTCCCCTGTGGCCACTGTGCTGACTGGGCCGGTGGTCCCCAGGGAGCGCATGAACCTGAAGGTGCCCATCTACTTCTCCACGGGGCTGACCGAGAAGGCCAACCACTACTACAAGCTGTTCATCCCCTGGACCAACCAGAAGATCCGCAAGACTTTCGTGCAGAGGAACATGTTTGAGTTCAAGCACATCAAGGCCTTCGACCGGGCTTTTGCTGACAACCCAGGACCGATGGTGAGGCCCGCGGCAGGGCCGGCCAGCACATCCACACCCGTCGGTCTCCTGTCTTCCGCAGGTGTCTGGGCTTGGGCCTGCAGTGGGGGTGGGGGCATCTGCTGCCCTGACCCCCCACCTGGCCCTGTGTGTCCTGTAGGTTGTGTTTGCCACGCCAGGAATGCTGCACGCTGGGCAGTCCCTGCAGATCTTCCGGAAATGGGCCGGAAACGAAAAGAACATGGTGAGGGCATGGTGAGGTGTGGGAATCTGGAAGCTGGAGGCCGACGGGTTGTCCTTCCACCCATGCTGTCTCTGAGCTCTCACTGGCTTGGCCTCGTGCTGGCCAAGGGACGTGGCTGCTGCTGCTGGGGAACGGGGGCGATGTCCGCCTGGAGCTGCTCAGTCTCTGTGACACAGCTTGTCCACCTCGGGCAGAACAGCCCCAGCCCAGCCCTGGACAGTCTTGTGCCAAAACCTGAGCCCTTTGGAGTCTGCAGCTAGGCTTGGTCGGGCGCCGCTGGCAGGTGGAAACAGCTTCCAGGGGTTCAGGCGGGGGCATCCCGGGCAAGGCCTTGAGGTGCCAAGGCTGGAGTTCCCTGGCTGTGAGCTCTGTGCCTGCCCCCAGGTCATCATGCCCGGCTACTGCGTGCAGGGCACCGTCGGCCACAAGATCCTCAGCGGGCAGCGGAAGCTCGAGATGGAGGGGCGGCAGGTGGTGAGTCTCGACCCCGCACTGGGCTGGCAGGGCCGAGGGGCACCTCCTGGTGGTAACCACTGTCCACGCCCCGTGGCCTCTGTAGCTGGAGGTCAAGATGCAGGTGGAGTACATGTCATTCAGCGCACACGCGGACGCCAAGGGCATCATGCAGCTGGTGGGCCAGGCAGAGCCGGAGAGCGTGCTGCTGGTGCATGGCGAGGCCAAGAAGATGGAGTTCCTGAAGCAGAAGATCGAGCAGGAGCTCCGTAGGCAGCCGGGCGGGCGGCGTGGGGCCCACCTCGGGTCAGCACGGGCAGCCTGGGCTGAGGCTCTCTCTTCCCCCGGGGTCCAGGGGTCAACTGCTACATGCCGGCCAATGGCGAGACGGTGACGCTGCCCACAAGCCCCAGCATCCCCGTAGGCATCTCGCTGGGGCTGCTGAAGCGGGAGATGGCGCAGGGTATGCGGGCTGGGCAGGGCAGGGCAGGGTGCTCGGGGCAGGCGGCTGGGAGCGGCCCTCACATTGATGGCTCCTGCCACCTCCTCCGCAGGGCTGCTCCCTGAGGCCAAGAAGCCTCGGCTCCTGCACGGCACCCTGATCATGAAGGACAGCGTGAGTGCCAGGACGGTCTCTGGAGGGGGGAGGGCCGCTGCTGCGCTCACTGACCTGTCCCTGCCCCACAGAACTTCCGGCTGGTGTCCTCAGAGCAAGCCCTCAAAGAGCTGGGTCTGGCTGAGCACCAGCTGCGCTTCACCTGCCGCGTGCACCTGCATGACACACGCAAGGAGCAGGAGACGGCATTGCGCGTCTACAGCCACCTCAAGAGGTGGGCGCCCGGCCCCGCCCCCCCCCCACTCCCTTGGGCCCTGGAGGCCAGGCAGGGTCTCACCGAGCCTCCCCACAGCGTCCTGAAGGACCACTGTGTGCAGCACCTCCCAGACGGCTCTGTGACTGTGGAGTCCGTCCTCCTCCAGGCCGCCGCCCCTTCTGAGGACCCAGGCACCAAGGTGCTGCTGGTCTCCTGGACCTACCAGGTAAGGGGTGACCCCCACCCCACCGCGGTCAACACAGGTATCAACATTCCTCCCTGTCCTGCACCACCCACAATGCTTTTGCCTCTGCCCTAGGACGAGGAGCTGGGGAGCTTCCTCACATCTCTGCTGAAGAAGGGCCTCCCCCAGGCCCCCAGCTGAGGCCGGCAACTCACCCAGCCGCCACCTCTGCCCTCTCCCAGCTGGACAGACCCTGGGCCTGCACTTCAGGACTGTGGGTGCCCTGGGTGAACAGACCCTGCAGGTCCCATCCCTGGGGACAGAGGCCTTGTGTCACCTGCCTGCCCAGGCAGCTGTTTGCAGCTGAAGAAACAAACTGGTCTCCAGGCTGTCTTGCCTTTATTCCTGGTTAGGGCAGGTGGTCCTAGACAGCAGTTTCCAGTAAAAGCTGAACAAAAGACTACTTGGTACTCTCTTCTTGGTGTACATGGCTGTGTCCTGCACTGTGCCCCATCCCGCCTGGGACAGAGACGGGCATCCAGGGTGCTGGGACCCGGGCAGGGAGGCTACTGTGGAGACCAGGCAGCAGTGCTGTGGGCCCCAAGCAGCTGTGACTGCCCTGGCTTGACCAGCACAGGGTTGGGCCTGGTGTGGCCTAACTTTGGCTTGAGTGTCCAGGGTCATCCGTGGCTCCCGAACTGTGGCCCCTGCAGGGTGCAGGAGGCAGCACCTGTGGACGGACCAGACCCTGCGTCAGCCTGGGGCAAGACCGGCCCAGCACCCTCCCCACCGCTGAGACCACTCCCATGACCAGGGAGTGGGCCAGCCCAGGACGGGCTACGGGCTGGCCTGAGGGACTGCAGCCCTGGGCGGGGGGCTGCTTCACCCCCAGTTGCTGCCGTCAGTGGCCCCTGGCCCCCCACCCCATGCCTCGGCCACAGTAGTCACTGGGCACATGACAGGAGCTTCTCGTGCCTGTTTTTCTTACCGAGGTTCCCGTACAGCACTGACTTGAGGAATAAGCCGTGGGCTGGGGCTACACGTGTCTGGTGCTTGCCCAGGGGATCTTGGCTCTCCAGAATCGTCTTCACCTGGGCAGGTGCCAAAGCCCCCAGCCCCACGGCCACCAGCACAGCCGTCATCCTCCGTACCTGTGACCCAGAGCCACCTGTGACCCAGAGCCGCCCGTGACCCACCAGCACAGCCGTCATCCTCCGTACCTGTGACCCAGAGCCGCCCGTGACCCACCAGCACAGCCGTCATCCTCCGTACCTGTGACCCAGAGCCGCCCACGACCCAGAGCCAAGACTGCACAGGGGCCTGCCCACCCTCAGCCCCACCCCCTGGGGACGGCCCCAGAACAGAGCCTACCTGTCTATACAGGAAAGACTGGCTCTCAAACTCCAGGTTCCAGAACCGCAGCTTCCTGGAAAAATACGTACCTGTAGGTGTCTGTGGGGCAGTGTTTGCCATCCTCAGCCTACTATGTGGCCTTGGACGGGAGAGTGACAGGGTGGGCCTAAAGACGAGCCTGGTTCCCACTAGCTTGGCCACCAGGGGCCCTGGCTGATCTCCTGCCCCCAGTGAGGCCCATTGGAGGGGCTTAAAACCAGAGAAACAATGCTTGGGCAAGGAGGCAGCAGGACCCTGGAGGCTGGGCAGGTAGCCTGGCCATCCCAGAGGGGCTTGCCCTGGGCCCTCACCTAGGGTCCTGGTGCAGGGTCTGGGAACGTGGCTGGTGCGGGTGCCAGAGACCCCCAGTCCTGTACCTGCTGCTCTGCCACAGAAGTCTGGGGCTGGCAGAAGTTCTTCCCCCCTTCAGGGCTCACCCCAATAGGGGAGGTTCTGGTCAGAAGCTGCCACCTGGTGGGTGGCCCTCGGGACAGTGCTGGGGGCAGCAGAAACCACCCCACCAGAACCACTGGCACCAGTGAGACCTTTCCAGTAGCTGCCAACATTCTTCCATCAGGCATGGCAGGGGTTTTTCAGAGACAAGCAGCCTTCCCTGTTCTCCGCTCCCCAGCCTGGGGGGAGGGCACAGCTGGAGGCTGGGGGGCGTCCGGGCGAATCCCCTCCAGCTGTCCAGGTCCTGAGGACTCCCGGCTGCCTGCCTCCCGCCTCACCTTGCCTTAAAACTGGGGGAGGTGCTGGAGCTAAAATCAGCACGTGACTTGAGGGCAGGGCCACAGCCCAGGGGCCCTTCCTCACCTGCTCTCCTCGGGGGTGACCAAGGGGCTGGCTTGGCCTGGGGAAACGGAGACCCGGCGCAGCGTTCGCACGGGGCTCGGCACCGGGCTGCCAGCGGACTGGAAGGCGCTGAAGTCGTGTGTGCCGAGGAGGTGCTGGGCGGCTTCCTGCATGGCGACCATATCCAGGCAGCTTCAGGGACCAGGGTGACCGTCAGGAGGGTGGGGCCGGCCTGCCCGCCCCCTCCCCGCTGTCAGGGCCACACTCACTCTGCCGGGAGAGTCCAGCATAGGTTGCGTTCAAACACCGGCAGCTCATCACGCCGGTGACAGCCAGTGGCCAGGCGGTACAGGTAGGTCCGGGACGTGGCTGCGTGACGAGCGTGGAAGTCGCTGGGCACTCGGAAGGCCCGCAGGACCCTATGGCGGCAGGTAAAGCTCACCGGAGGAACGACCCCGCCCGCCCGCGGTGTCACATTGGCTCTCCTTCCCCCTCGAGCTCCGACCAGACAAGGAAGTCTGTCCAGATCTCCAGCCTCCGCCCGCGACAGATGGAGTCGGGAAGGCACAGCCCCAGGGCTGCTTAGGTCGCGGGCTCACCTGATGGCCGGGTGCCGCAGGTGTGTGTTGAGGGCCTCGGCCAGGACCTCGGGCGGGAAGGGCGGCCGGCCTGAGCGGCGCTGGACGTCCAGGTGCGCCGCGTTGCTCAGGGCGTGGACCCCGGCGTCCGTGCGGCTGGAGATGGTGAACCTGACCGGCTCCACGGAATTCAGCCGCTCGGCGGCCTCCTGCAGGACCGAGCCGCGGGGCGGGCGGGTGAGCGAGGCCGGACCCCGGGGACGCGCGGGCGGGAGCCTCCCCCTTACCCCTCACCGGGCGTCCCGTGACCGGCTGAGCGCACCTCCAGGTAGTTCTGGACCCCGACGGCGCGCTGAGTGCCCCTGACGGCCGCGACCCCGCTGCGGGCAGAAGCGGGCGGAGGTTACCGGGGGCGCCCTGCCCTGGGGTCTCCGCCGCCGTCTGAGGCCAGGGCCGCTTCCTTCCCCGAACGTTTGGAACCCGCGTCCAGAGACATCCGCCTGCCCGCCCGCGCCCTCCTTCCCGCCTCCGCCCGGGCCCACGTGGCGCCCGCCGCTGCGCCTGGGAAACCTACTTAAAGTCGGTGCCCACGTACTGGAAGTACACAAGATAGCGCGCGCGCACGGAGCCTGAGGCCGGCGCCGAACTCATGGCGGAGCCCAGCCGGTGGCGTCAGAGGCGGCCTCCAGCGCAGGAATCCTGCGCGCGCGCGGACGCGGCCTGGTCACGCCCCCCCCCCCTCCCCCCCGGCCCCGGCCGCTCTTGCGCCTGCGCGGTGGCACCGCGCCACGGCGGCCAGAGTCGGGGAGCGGAGGCGGGGCCGGGCTTAGGGAGCGGCTGCAAAGTGCCGGCCCGCCGCCGAGCGCAGGCGCTCTACCTCTATCGCGGCGCCCCGGGAGGCGCGCACCAACCACGCGGTCACCCCGCGCTCTCGCGGGCGTGCATTCGTTCACTCGCTCATTCATTCGCCGCCGCCCACACTCCCCGAGCGCGCCCGTTCGCCGCGTTGCGGCCAAGTCCTCCCAGACGTGGTTTTTGCAAACGCCCTGAGTTGCGCAACGGCCGGGATGGTTGGAGCGGGCGGGCCCGCGCCCTCCCCGCGCCCTCCCCGCGCCCCACATTTCCACCGACTGTCCCCGGAGACGGCCGTGGCAGGCCCCGCCTCACTTCCGGACCGGGGTGGTCCCTGGACGCTGCGAGAGGCGTTTGGCGACGCTCCCCGGCGGTGACAGCGGGCGGCGCGCGCGGGCGGCGGACCTTGGCGACGCTCCCCGGCAGTGACAGCGGGCGGTGCGCGCGGGCGGCTGACTTTGGCGACGCTCCCCGGCGGTGACAGGCGGGGCGGGGCGCGGCGCGGCGGCCTCATTCCGGGGCGGGCGGGCGCCGAGGCGGCGCGGGCGGGACGAGCGGTCCGGGCCGGCGCGGCTGCCGCTCGGCGCCGCGGTCCTCGTGCCAGTGAGCGCCGCGGCCGCCGCAGCCATGACCGTGGAGTTCGAGGAGTGCGTCAAGGACTCCCCGCGCTTCAGGTGCGCCGCCCGGGGCCGCCGGGGTGGGCGCAGGCCGGGGGCGTCGCTGTCGCCTTTGTGCCCGGCGGCGGGGTGGGGAGGTCAGCGCCGGGCCGGGCCGCGGCCGCCGGGGAGGGGCTGGAGGACCGGCCTCGGACAAAGCGGCGGCCCCGCCCCGCCATGCCCCGGGGGTTGGAACAAAAGACGCTCCTGCCCTGTGCGGCCGCCCCGGGTGGAGGGCGTGCGCGTGGGCAGCCGTGGGCACCTCGGGACCGTCCGCCCCCGCTCTGTGTCTGCACCTCCACTGGGCTGAGCCCCTCCCGGGCCCTGCAGTCCAGCTCTGGCCAGGGTCGTCTGGGTCCGTGGGGGCGTCGGCCCCTGGTCTCTGACTTGATCCTGTGTCCAGAGCAGCGCGTGGGGAACAGGCAGCTGGAGCCGCGTTTAAGGCCTGGGGTAGGGTGCTTGGAAACGTGAAGTGGTTTGAATGACCCAGGGGCTTGGAGGGGTGGCGGCCGAGAAGAGCGGCGGGGAAGGTCAGGTAGGGGGTAGGGGTTGTGTGCACACCGAGTCTGCATGTTTTCCATCATTCGTGGCGTGCAGGCGTGTACACCTGCGTGAACTACATGTTCACAGACGTGTGCACAAGTGTGCATCGGCTTTGCTTGGTGGACATTTGGCAAACGACAATGGAGGCAAAGAAACCTCTCTGCATCCCCAAGTGCGCACCTGCGTGAGGCCCCCTCCTCTGCACGAGCTCGTGCGGGGTGCGCTCTTGTGAACTTTGCCCCTCTGCGTGCCTCCCTCCGGACACCAGGCCTTGCACAGGACGTGTGGATGAGCTGTGCCACGGGGCTGTGCTTGCTTCTGCATGTAGCCTGCCGATGAGTGCACGCAAGCGTGTGCACACACCACCTGTCTGTGTGGGTTCACGTACTGTGTTAGCCATGTCAGCAATAGACACATCACCTTGTACACGCGTGTTCCATCACTAGGTACACATGTTGATGCGTGTCTGTGCAGTGTCTCCTTGAACACACATGTATGTGTGGTACCAGTGTGTGCAGGCATGTTTGTGCATGAACATGTTTGCACATGTGTGCTTGATTGTGTATGTGTGGGTGTGCACGCGCGCGCTGGGTCTCTTGGGATCTGCTGGCAAGTCAGCATGTGTGTGGAGGCACGGGGAGCCTCTGTATCCCTGGAGCCCTCACCAGGAGGCTCAGGAGCCTTGGAGTGGGAGGCTCAGGGCCAGCCAGGAGAGTGGCCGCCAGCCCTGGGCAGAGGAACTGGGGCCATCCTCTGCTCTCCCATCTTCTGTTGCTGACCTGGGAAAAGGGGTTGAATAACTTGAGCACCCTAGGATCCTGCATTGAGGACCCGGGCTGTGGGGAGGTGTGGGCATGGCCTCCCTGCTGGGGGCTGGACCCTGGCTGAAGCACCCACCTTCTCCCTGGCCCCTCCGTCAGAAGCCTAATGGACCTCCTCCTCCACGCAGACGGCCCTGTACTGCCCTCTTCCAGTCGTGTGGGGGTGCTGGAACCCACTCACCTCTGGGCCTTCTCTCTGGTAACCGGCTCTCATGGGAGCCTGTTACAGGAGCCAGTTATGGGGGCTGTGGGGCTGCAGTAGGTGCCGTAGAGTGACTGCCCTGGGAAAGTGCCTCACCCCTGTGGGGCATGGACTGGAGTGGGGAGATGAGAATGGCCTGGCCCAGTGGGTTTTGGGGTTAGGCTGTGATTTAACTGGGGTTCGAGGGGCTCCCTGAGGCTGTCCTGGGGGCAGGCCCTAAGGGCGTAACTTGAGTTTCCTGGCCTACCGCCAGGTTGGGGGGCCAGGCAGGGTGGGCGGGAAGATGTGGTCTGTAACGTGGAGCCTGGTCGCCCCAGCCCGGGAGAGGGGGACCCTGCCCGCACCCTCCTGGTCTGGGGAGGGCCTAGTGGCAGCCCAGGTGCAGTGGGCCGGAGGCCAGGGGAGCCCGTGTAGGGGAACCGCCTGGCCTCTGTTCAGTGTGCCCCTCCCCTGGGTGGGGCTTCAGGCGCTGAGTCATGGCTTTGGTTGGGGGGCAGCCTCACCCTCCTCCCCGTCCTCCAAGCTGCTGAGGAAATCCTGGGCTGAGCACAGCAGAGGAGGCCTAGGTCCCCAGGACTGAGGAAGGGAGAGCTGAGGGGCTCCCAGCAGTGGGAGCGGCTCTCGGGGCCTCTGCCAGGGCCCACCCTGTCCCCATGAGCACGTCCGTGAGCTCCTGGGTGCAGCCATCCCCCCTTGCTGGCTCTCCAGGGACACGGGCGCCCCAAACCCGAGGGCGGCAGCTCTGGGTGCAGCTGTCTCTGCATCCGGCCCTGCTCAGGGGTGGCTGCAACTCCTGGGGTGTGGCGCTCTCTGCTGCCTTCTCCTGGGAGGATGGTCCCTTCTCTGTTCTGGGATCCTCCAGCTGAGGTAGAGGTCAGGGTCCAGGGGCTGCAGGCTGGGCACTGGCGGTCAGCGGACACCACAGCGAGATTCCCTCCATCGCCCCCTGCTTCGGGATTCAGAGTCCTCTTAGCCCCTTGGGAACAAGAGAGGGCTGCTCAGAGAGGACCTAGTGTCCTTCTGGGGTGGCTGGGACCCTTCAAGGTCCCTGGCTGGGGCAGCCTGGTGCCTGCAGCTCCAGCTCCTAATTGAGGACACGCCCCATGTAAACCACAGGCCCCTCCCCCGAGGCCTGGGACACCGGTCAGGGTAGCAAGGTACGAGGGACTGTAGGCCCTGATGGCCTCTGCTCCTGGACCCCTGCCCTAGACCTGGAGTCCTGGCCCCAGCCCGGGCCCTGTGGTGCCCAATCCCCAGGAGGCCAGATGGCCCGGACAGCCAGTGAGCCGATTGTGTGGAGGGCTGCCGGGATCCTGGCCCTGTTTCCCTGTTGCCTGCTCCCGGAGGGGGTGGTCACGTGCCCGATCCATCTGCCTCCTGTCTTCCGGGGATTCTCCCGCCGAGGCTTCTCTGGTGATGTCATGCCTTAACTCTTCTCTCCCCAGGCAGCCCCACTGTCAGGCTGTCCTGGTGGGAGTGGGCTCTGAGGAGGATGGCCTACCCGTCTTTCCAGCGGACCATGCCGCTTGCAGCTGTGAGGTTGGGGGAGCCGGGGGCGTCTCTCCCCAGCTGGTCTGGGTCCTCCTGGTGCTGCCAGGACCGAGAGCAGCTGCCCTACTGCCCCCACCCTGTCCCACAGTGCATGGGTGCCAGACCTGGATGGGCTGCAGTAGTGCAGTGGGGTGAGGGGAGGTGCCGCAGGGTTGAGGGGCTCCAGATGGGTCCAGGGTTGACTCTGAACTCCTAGAGGAGAGGCGGGTGAGGCTGGCTCAGCCCTTGGTGGGCACTGTCCCTGAGGGACTCCCAGCGGCCGGCTGTCCTGGGAGAGGCTGGTCCAGCCTTCTTCCCCGAGGGCACAGCAGCGGCTGCCTCTGCCTGCCTGGGGTTGGGGGGGCGGGGGGAAGTGCACTGAACCTGGTCCCAGTCCTGCCCCCGTAGCAGGCAGGCGTCTGTCTCCCAGCCTGTTTCCTGAAAGCCCCTTCCCATGGTGGAGCCCCTCAGGGAGGTGCGGGGGGAGGTGAAGCCCCGAGGGGGCTGAGGCTGCAGGTGACCCCAGCCAGCCCCGTTCTTGCTTTAGGGCGACCATTGACGAGGTGGAGACGGACGTGGTGGAGATTGAGGCCAAACTGGACAAGGTGAAGGGCGGGCCTGGAGCGCCCTGTGCCCGGCCAAGCTTGGGATGGCCACATGGCCAGACTCGCCCTCCAGGCCTTACTAAGCCACTTACACCCCCCATATGTGGAGCATGCGTGTGGTGCTCCAGGTCCTGGTCCCTGTGTCTTAGCATGTGTGTTCCAGGGTGCACATGTCACATGCACACATGTGGCTGGCCCTGAGTCTCGTCCCATCTGGGAGGGGCTGGGCTGTGGTGAGTCCCCGACCCACGGTGGCTGCCCGTCCCCTCTGCTGGGCTGGTGACACGGGGACAGCTGCTGTGTGGGCTGAGCCTTGGTGTGGCTGGGGCTGGGGCTGAGAAAGGGGAGGGGGCAACAGGCCGTGGAGGGGGGAGCCGTGTCCATGAGCCCCACATGGGCTGAGAAAGAGGGGGCAACAGGCCGTGGAGAGGGGAGCCGTGTCCATGAGCCCCACATGGGCTGAGAAAGAGGAGGGGGCAACAGGCCGTGGAGCTGGGAGTGGGCAGCCTTATCCATGAGCCCCACATGGGCTGGTTCTGCTGGTCCTGCTGGCCCTGGGTCCCCTGCCTGGCTCCTGGTCCCTCCCAGCCGAGCCGTGGCGGCCCCACCCTCCCCTCCCAGACGGGCCTCCAAGCCCCAGGCAGGCCCAGGCGTGAGGAAGCTGCACCGGGGCACTGAGTCCTGAGTGCCAACGCCCTGAGTGGAACCTACCCTGGGAGCTCTTCCTGCCTCTGAGTGGCCGTGTGTGGTGGCGAGTGCAGGCGCCAGTGCCCACTGTGCTCACCACGCCCCGCTGGCCCACAGCTGGTGAAGCTGTGCAGTGGCATGGTGGAAGCCGGTAAGGCCTACGTCAGCACCAGCAGGCTTTTCGTGAGCGGCGTCCGCGACCTGTCCCAGCAGTGCCAGGGCGACACCGTCATCTCGGTGAGGGGCCGACTGACCTCTGACCTCAAGGTGGGGTTGGGGGAGAGGCCGAGGGAGGCAGCCCCTTGAGGGCGTCCAGGCCAGAAGCAGGCCGGTGTCTGCACCGCCCAGGGGCTCAGAGGGCGTGGCTGGGTGACCTGGGCCCGGATTTGCCATCTCAGCACGGGTTCCCATCTGCTCCTCCAGGAATGTCTGCAGAGGTTCGCTGACAGCCTACAGGAGGTGGTGAACTACCACATGGTGAGCGCGGCCTCCCTGCCACCTGTGGGCTGTGCCTGGCCTGGAACCGAGCTGCGCTGGCTCACCTGAAGGCCGGCGTCGGGTTGGGGGGGGCACGTTTCTGCTCCTCTAGTCGGGGGGGGGGGGAATCCCACATTTTCAAGTCAGTGTGGGGTTGGGGGACAGCCCTGGGGGCTCTGCCGTGTCCCAGGCAAGGGCCACACTAGACCCTGGGGGAGGGGTGGTTTATCCAGGGTTCCCCCAACTGGGCAGGGCTCTCGTCCCAGGCTGGCCTGGCTGCCATTTGGGTCTGGGTGGCCCCCGGGGGCCCTGGCACTGACGTGGATGGACACACAGGACAGGCACCCGTGAGATGTGGGGCTGCAGCCTGGGAACCTGAGCCGCAGACTGAACAGAGGAGGTCCCGAAGTAGACAAGGCAGGATGGCTCAGCCGTCCCTTTGCTCCTGGTTGTGCCCGGTCCTTCTCTACTTCGGGTTCCGATTCAGAGCCCAGGCTCCAGCTCCCCAGGCCCAGCCCCTGGGTGCTCCCGGCTCTGGCTGAGTGCTCCCTGCTGCAGGGATGGGCACCCCAGGGTGGCCGCCCAGGGCCAGGAGGCAGTGGGGCTCCGGCTCAGGCTGTGATGAGGCAGCCTTGGCCTCTGCACTCATCAAGGGCCAGGTGGGACAGAGGGGCAGGGGTGACAGCCATCGCCTCTGAGTGCCAACTCAGGCCTGGGGGCTGCTCCCCTGACCCCCTTGAGGCCAGCCCTGCAGGGTGGGACCCGCCCCTGCATCTGGGCCTGGGGGCAGTGCCCTCTGCTGGTGAGGATGGGGCCTTCCATCTGGGGCTCTTTCGGGACAGACCCCAAGGATCTCTGCCCGCCTCTGCCCCCAGATCCTGTTTGACCAGGCCCAGAGGTCCGTGCGGCAGCAGCTCCAGAGCTTTGTCAAAGAGTGAGTGGCCCCCAGGGCTGGGGGAAGAACACTGAGGCCACGCTCCCTCCCTTGGAGGGGAAGGGGGTCTGGGGCAGAGCAGAGGCACCTTGGGCCCAGGCCTCCAGGCTGTGCAGCGGCTCCACAAGGCAGAAGGCTCAGAGGCAGACAGCCGGGTGGAGTGCGGGGGGTTCCACACCCTGCATGTGTGGGTGGGGTGTCCAGCCCCCACAGCAGAGAGGTCCAGTCCACGTTGGGTTTGGGGGTCTGGAGTCTGGGGCATGGCTGGGGTCTGGGCTGGACAGATCTTGAGAGTGAGGTGGGGAGGGGCTGGGGAGGCCTGGAGCAGATGATCGGGGTCAGCAGGGGTGCGGGCAGGCCTGGGATAGGCTGGTGAGGAAGGAGGCTATGCCCAGGAGCAAAGAAAGGGCCTGGAGTGGAGGGGGGTGGGGCTGGGCATGGTGGCTCACACCTGTAATCCCAGCGTTTGGGAGGCCAAGGCCAGAGAATGCCAGGAGTTTGAGACCAGCCTGGGCAACGTAATGAGACCTCCATCTCTACAAAAAAAAAAAAAAAAAAAAATTAGATGGGCATGGTGGCACGTGCCTATGGTCCCAGCTATTCAGGAGGATGAGGTGGGAGGATCAGTTGAGCCCAGGAGGCGGAGGCAGCAGTGAGCCATGATTGTGCTACTGCACTCCAGCCTGGGTGACAGAGAGAGACTCCATCAAAAAAAAAAAAAAAAAAAAAGACACCCCCAAGAACCAAAAATAAGCCTTATATGGTGGCACGCACCTGTAGCCTCAGCTACTTGGGAGGCCGAGGTGGGAGAATTGCTTGAGCCTGGGAGGTAGAGGCTGCAGTGAGCCATAACTGTGCCACTGCACTCCAGCCTCCAGCCTGGGCAACAGAGACAGACCCTGTCTCAAACAAACAAAACCAGGCCAGGCGCAGTGGCTCACGCCTGTAATCCCAGCACGTTGGGAGACCGAGGTGGGTGAATCACCTGAGGTCGGGAGTTCAAGACCAGCCTGACCAACCTGGAGAAACCCCATCTCTACTAAAAATACAAAATTAGGCCTGGTGGCGCATGCCTGTAATCCCAGCTGCTAGGGAAGCTGAGGCAGGAGAATCACTTGAACTCGCGAGGCAGAGATTGCGGTGAGCCGAGACAGCACCATTGCACTCCAGCCTGGGTGACAAGAGCGAAACTCCGTCTCAAAAAACAAAAAACACACAAACAACGATGTGGGAGACTCCAGGATCCAGCAGGTGCCCTCCCTGATCTCTCACCCCACCTGGCACTTGGCCTCCAGGGATGTGCGGAAGTTCAAGGAGACAAAGAAGCAGTTTGACAAGGTGCGGGAGGACCTGGAGCTGTCCCTGGTGAGGAACGCCCAGGCCCCGAGGCACCGGCCCCACGAGGTGGAGGAAGCCACCGGGGCCCTCACCCTCACCAGGAAGTGCTTCCGCCACCTGGCACTGGACTATGTGCTCCAGGTCAGCCCCAGAAATGGGCTGGGGGGCGGGGACCAGCTGTAGCGAATGGAGGCCTCAACGGCCTTGTACAGAACTGGAGGGATTTTGAGCAGGAGTGACGATTCTTGCTTTGCCCATGGGTGGGAACTCCAGACATGGGGAAGCAGTCCAGGACCATGGGAGGATGAGGCTGGCCCAGAGCTGGGAGCTGAAGACGACCTGGGGGTCTCAGGGAACCACAAGCAGCTCAGGTGGACTCTATGGCAGGTGCAGGGCTTGGGGCTGCCTCAGCCTCCGGGGCTCACCTGTGGGCTCCCCCTCTGGCAGATCAATGTTCTGCAGGCCAAGAAGAAGTTTGAGATCCTGGACTCTGTGAGTGCGTGGGGGCTGCCCCTGAGCACAGGCTGCATGTTGGGGGCTGGACCGGGTGTGCTTGGGCCTCACCTGTGCTGCCCCCGCAGATGCTGTCCTTC
Source organism: Homo sapiens (assembly GCF_000001405.40). NCBI lineage: Eukaryota > Metazoa > Chordata > Mammalia > Primates > Hominidae > Homo > Homo sapiens. The sequence goes on along the minus strand of NC_000001.11, from coordinate 1,300,056 downwards.
ATGCACGCCCAGTCCAGCTTCTTCCAGCAGGGCTACAGCCTCCTGCACCAGCTGGACCCCTACATGAAGAAGCTGGCAGCCGAGGTGAGCCTTTGGGAGGGGTGGGGCTGGGCCAGGCCTCCGTGACCTTCCCTAATGCCACCCCCAACAGCTGGACCAGCTGGTGATCGACTCTGCGGTGGAAAAGCGTGAGATGGAGCGAAAGCACGCCGCCATCCAGCAGCGGGTGAGGCCGCGCAGCCGGCTCCCTGCACACCAGGCGCCTGGGAGGCCCCTGCGTCCTCACCCCATGCCCGGCACACCCTCCCCGCCCCTTCCTCCTGCCTGTCTCCCACCTGCCCTGCCCACACCCTCTCTAGGGGACCAAGGCTGCTCCCTTTGATGTGTGCAGTGGAGGGGCACGTGTGGGTGGGGCCGCTGCTGGGATCTCCTTTTGAGGCGGTGGTCACCTCTGTGGCCTCAGTCACTGGCTCCTTGCGGGGCCTTTGCTTGCCTGTGGGACAGCAGCCCCGGCCACCATCCCGGGCAGAGGTTGGCTGCAGGCAGGAGTGGCTATTTTGGGATAGGGGAGAGCCCCCCAGGAGTTGGGGACGGGTCCACCAGTCACCAGGAGTTGGGGACGGGTCCACCAGTCACCAGGAGTTGGCAGCCGTCACTCACTGGCTTTCTCCCCCTACCCCCTCCTGCTCCGGCCCTCCAGACGCTGCTGCAGGTAAGTGAGCACGGGCCCTGGGCGGGCTGTGGGTCGGGGGAGACCAGATGGGGCGGTGCCTTTCCCTCCTCTACCCCAAGGGCACTTCAGCACCAAGGACACCTCCCACCAGTCTCGGCTCCTGCTGCTGATGCGGCTGTGAGGGGCTGGCTCCGGCCAGACCTCCACATTCCCCGTGGGGTTGGCGGCAGCTGTCCCTTCCCATCCCATGTGGCCTGGGGAGCAGGTGGCCGCCCCTCCCCTCTGCTTCCCTGGCCTGCCAGATGGCGGGACACACAGGGCCCTCAGTGACTCCCAGGCCTCCTGAATGGGGCTCTGTCCGCCCAGCTGGCCACATGAATGGGGCACTCAGGATGCGGAGGGTGGGGGCGCAGCTTCCTTCCTGATCGCAGCCTGCTGGTCCCTGCAGGGCTGGGGTGGGGCCGGCACTCTCGGGCCCCCAGCTGTGAACGTGAGGGGTCTGCCCCACGGGTTGCAGGGCTGGGGGCCTTGCTCAGGTCAAGAAGTGGCTGTGGTGAACAGAGGGTCTCTCGTCTGAGCGTGTGGTCCGTGGGCCGTGTGGCAGCCTCAGACAAGGACCTCACCCCCACCTGTGCTCCGGGAAAGCACGGAGGGTAGCAGGGCCCCTGGGGTGGGCACTGAGGGGGCGGGTTCCATCCCCCCAGGACTTCTCCTACGATGAGTCCAAAGTGGAGTTTGACGTGGACGCGCCCAGTGGGGTGGTGATGGAGGGCTACCTCTTCAAGAGGGCCAGCAACGCTTTCAAGACATGGAACCGGTGAGAGGCCTTCCTCAGGTGGGGGCGGGGTCCTTAGGCGGGGGTGGGGTCCTCAGGCGGGGGTGGGGTCCTCAGGTGGGGGCAGGGGTCACAGCAGCCCTGGGATGGGCCCCGCCTGACTCCCCACATCCCCCCACCCACCTAGGCGCTGGTTCTCCATTCAGAACAGCCAGCTGGTCTACCAGAAGAAGCTCAAGGTGTGCCCTGGGCCTGGGGCTGGGGCCCTGATGGCTGGACGCCCCACCTGGGCCACAGGGCAGACTGGTCAGTTGGGGTTAGCACAGGGCCGGGGCACTAGTGGACGCCGGAGCCGGAACAGTCAGGGAGCAGAGAGCTGGACACGGGGCTTGGGGCTCAGGCAGTCGGCCTCCGGGTCTCCAAGGTGAAGCAGGAAGTGGGTGGTCGGGGCCGGGTGGTGGCTGAGGGCAGGGGCCACAGCGGTGCCGCCCACAGGATGCCCTCACCGTGGTGGTGGATGACCTCCGCCTGTGCTCTGTGAAGCCGTGTGAGGACATCGAGCGGAGGTTCTGCTTCGAGGTGCTGTCACCCACCAAGTGAGGAGGCCCAGCCCAGGGTGGGGCGGGGGGCGTACCTGCCCACCGGAGCTGACGCCCGCCCCTCCACTGCCTGCAGGAGCTGCATGCTGCAGGCTGACTCCGAGAAGCTGCGGCAAGCCTGGGTCCAGGCTGTGCAGGCCAGCATCGCCTCCGCCTACCGCGAGAGCCCTGACAGTTGCTATAGCGAGGTGTGGCCCTTGGTGCCCCTGCCCCAAGCCCGTGCACACACACGTGCCACCGGGGATGGCCCCTGCCCCGCGCCTGTGCACACACACACGTGCCACCGGGGATGGCCCCTGCCCCGTGCCCGTGCACACGTGCCACCGGGGATGGCCCCTGCCCCGCGCCTGTGCACACACACACGTGCCACTGGGGATGGCCCCTGCCCCGTGCCTGTGCACACACACACGTGCCACCGGGGATGGCCCCTGCCCCAAGCCCGTGCACACACACACGTGCCACCGGGGATGGCCCCTGCCCCGCGCCTGTGCACACACACACGTGCCACCGGGGATGGCCCCTGCCCCAAGCCCGTGCACACATGTGCCACCGGGGATGGCCCCTGCCCCGCGCCTGTGCACACACACACGTGCCACTGGGGATGGCCCCTGCCCCGTGCCTGTGCACACACACACGTGCCACCGGGGATGGCCCCTGCCCCAAGCCCGTGCACACACACACGTGCCACCGGGGATGGCCCCTGCCCCGCGCCTGTGCACACACACACGTGCCACCGGGGATGGCCCCTGCCCCAAGCCCGTGCACACATGTGCCACCGGGGATGGCCCCTGCCCCGCGCCTGTGCACACACACACGTGCCACTGGGGATGGCCCCTGCCCCGCGCCTGTGCACACACACACGTGCCACTGGGGATGGCCCCTGCCCCGTGCCGGTGCACACACCTACGTGCCACTGGGGATGGCCCCTGCCCCACACACGTGCACACGCCTGTGTGTGGCTCCTGCAAGCTGGGTGTGTGCTGGTGTGCACTGGCATGCTGGCTTGTGCAGTGTGGATGTGCATGTGTGTGCAGGTACCATCTGCCCATGTGAGGGTGTGCACGTATACACGCGCGTGTGGGAGTGTGCTCGGCACCATCTGCCCACGTGAGGGTGTGCACACGTACGTGCGTGTGCGGGCGTGTGCTCGGCGCCACCTGTCCACGTGAGGGTGTGCGCGTGTGTGCGTGTGCGGGCGTGTGCTCGAGGGGGGGGCCATCTGCCCACGTGAGGGTGTGCGCGTGTACGTGCGTGTGCGGGCGTGTGCTCGAGGGGCCCTGGCCTGCATTGGCTCTTCTGGCTGGGGAGGAGGGGGCCTGCTGGGGAAACCATGCTGGAGCCCCTGCGGGACCGAGCAGCTCCACCCCATCCTCCAGAGGCTGGACCGCACAGCATCCCCGTCCACGAGCAGCATCGACTCCGCCACCGACACTCGGGAGCGTGGCGTGAAGGGCGAGAGTGTGCTGCAGCGTGTGCAGAGTGTGGCCGGCAACAGCCAGTGCGGCGACTGCGGCCAGCCGGACCCCCGCTGGGCCAGCATCAACCTGGGCGTGCTGCTCTGCATTGAGTGCTCCGGCATCCACAGGTGGGCCCCTGAGGGCCAGGCTGGGGGTGGGGGTTGGGCTGGAGCATCCACAGGTGGGCCCCTGAGGGCCAGGCCGGGGGTGGGGGTTGGGCCGGAGCTGGGGGCCTTGCCTCCCCCAGACTCATCCCTACCTCTGCTCTCCAGGAGCCTGGGTGTCCACTGCTCCAAGGTGCGGTCCCTGACGCTGGACTCGTGGGAGCCTGAGCTGCTAAAGGTGCGTGTGGGGCTCCTGGAGGCCACGGGACCCCGTTTGTGGGGGCGGGAGCTGGGGTCTGCAGGTTCGCACTGATGCCTGCTCGCCCTGTCTCCCGCTAGCTGATGTGTGAGCTTGGAAACAGCGCTGTGAATCAGATCTATGAGGCCCAGTGTGAGGGTGCAGGCAGCAGGAAACCCACAGCCAGCAGCTCCCGGTGAGGTGGGGTACAGTCTGGATCAGTCAGGGAGCCCCAGCCTGGGGGCACAGCCTCATGTTCCCCCCTGGTCCAGGCAGGACAAGGAGGCCTGGATCAAGGACAAATACGTGGAAAAGAAGTTTCTGCGGAAGGCGCCCATGGCACCAGCCCTGGAGGCCCCAAGACGCTGGAGGGTGCAGAAGTGCCTGCGGCCCCACAGCTCTCCCCGCGCTCCCACTGCCCGCCGCAAGGTCCGGCTTGAGCCCGTTCTGCCCTGTGTGGCCGCTCTGTCCTCAGGTGGGAGGCCATGCCCCGGCAGGGCTGGGAGGGGCTTGCCTTGGTCGGGGATGGACTCCGTCAAGGGGCTGGTGGCAGGGCTCTGGGGGCACCTCAGGCTCCGCAGACTCCCGGCGTGACCTGGGGTTCCCTGCCCCACCCCGGGCCTGTTCCACACTCTGAACACGCACTGCCCCTGCAGTGGGCACCCTGGATCGTAAGTTCCGCCGAGACTCCCTCTTCTGTCCCGACGAGCTGGACTCGCTCTTCTCCTACTTCGACGCAGGGGCCGCAGGGGCTGGCCCTCGCAGTAAGTGTGGGGTGGGCCCAGCCAGGTGGCAGGGCAGGGCCAAGGAGGCTGGCCTGAAGGGTGCCTGAGTGTGGATGGCCCTTGCCAGGGAATGGAGCAGCATCTGAAGGGGCGGGGGGCCTCCTGGCCACACAGCTGGAGGCCAAGGCCCTGACTGTCAGGGGTGAGCTGTGCAAATGTGTGTGTGGGCTGTGTGCACCTGGGTGTGTGCACACAGCGGGTGGCCCGGGGTGCTGGGGAAGCAGAGGGCGCTGCCAGCCGGCCCTCAGCCTAGGGCCCTTCTGGAGCCATGCTGCCCGTTGGTTGGGTGGAGACATTTCAGCCTGGGCCAGCCACAGACGGGGCTGGGGGGCCCACTGCGGGGGGTGCCGGGTAAGGCGGCGAGCGGGAGGGAAGGGCTTCCCAAAAGGCCTGGGCTTTAGGGGGCTACCCCTGGCACCTTTGAGCTGTTATTTGGTTTTCTCTCCTTTGCTCCTAGCCTGCAGCTGGCTCCCCCCGGCCCTGGGTGGGAGCTGGTCCTGTCCCTAGGGGTGGCCCCTGGAGGGTGGGTGGAGTTCCAGCCTTGCCCCAGGGCTCTGGACGGAGTCTGGGCCTCCCACCCTCAGGACCCCCTTCCCTGCGGACCTGCAGGTCTGAGTAGCGACAGTGGCCTTGGGGGCAGCTCGGATGGCAGCTCGGACGTCCTGGCTTTCGGCTCGGGCTCTGTGGTGGACAGCGTCACTGAGGAGGGTGGGTGGCGTCTTGCCCTCGCCCGAGGCCCCTGCCCAGCCCCTGGGCAGCCCCGGGGGTTGCTTTCCCTGACCGCCCCCTCCCCACAGAGGGTGCAGAGTCGGAGGAGTCCAGCGGTGAGGCAGACGGGGACACTGAGGCCGAGGCCTGGGGCCTGGCGGACGTGCGCGAGCTGCACCCGGGGCTCTTGGCGCACCGCGCAGCGCGTGCCCGCGACCTTCCTGCGCTGGCGGCGGCGCTGGCCCACGGGGCCGAGGTCAACTGGGCGGACGCGGAGGATGAGGGCAAGACGCCGCTGGTGCAGGCCGTGCTAGGGGTGAGCGAGCCACGGGGGCTGCGCGCAGGACACAGGTGCACAGTCGCGTTTGCATCTTCTGTGGCGCCCACACAAGGGTCGCCTGTCCGCGGTGGGGACCACGTTCGGTCCCGGCTGGGGGCGCCCAAGGCCGGGGTCAGGGTGCAGAGGCGCGGAGAGGGGCCGGTGCCGTGGCTCCGTCTGAGTTGCCCCGGCTCCCCAGGGCTCCTTGATCGTCTGTGAGTTCCTGCTGCAAAACGGAGCGGACGTGAACCAAAGAGACAGCCGGGGCCGGGCGCCCCTGCACCACGCCACGCTGCTGGGCCGCACCGGGTGAGACGCGCAACCCACGCCCCGCCCTGTGCCCCGACCACGCCTACCCCGGCCCGGCTACGCCCTGTCCGCCATGCCCTATCCGGCCACGCCCCCGCGACCACACTCGCCCCGCCCCGCCCCGCCCCGACACGCCCCTCCGACCTCGCCCCTCAGCCAGGTTTGCCTGTTCCTGAAGCGGGGCGCGGACCAGCACGCCCTGGACCAAGAGCAGCGGGACCCGTTGGCCATCGCAGTGCAGGCGGCCAACGCTGACATCGTGACACTGTGAGCGCGGCCGGGCCCTCGGGGCTGGGCGGGGCCTCCAGGGCAGGGGCGGGGCCTCCAGGGCAGGGGCGGGGCCTCCAGGGCAGGGGCGTCTCACGCTGTGCCTCCCCGTAGGCTCCGTCTGGCGCGCATGGCGGAGGAAATGCGCGAGGCCGAGGCTGCCCCTGGTCCCCCGGGCGCCCTGGCGGGCAGCCCCACGGAGCTCCAGTTCCGCAGGTGTATCCAGGAGTTCATCAGCCTCCACCTGGAAGAGAGCTAGGGCCGGGCAGGCCGGGCAGCTGCCACCCCGCCCGGCCCGACGCCCCGCATGCCCCGAAGTCCCTGGCGCCCACCCGGCCGCGGCCCTGCGTGTGACCCGCGGGTCGATACCTGGCAGCCCCAGTGCTGGGGCGCCGCGGCCCTGCTCGCCCAGGAGGAGAGCGAGGGCCCCACACTGAGTCTCTTGAAGCCTCACGTTTCCCTGGGGGGGTGCTGCATCGTCGGGTGTCCCTCACCCCACCTGGGGAACCTCTGTCTTCAGGTCACCCCTTTTCAGGGGCCTGGGTTGCTCATGTCACAAGCCACTTTTAAGGCCCGTGTCACCTGTGTCCCTGTGTCCTCAGGGCCTGTGTTACTTCGTGCCCCACTTCTGCCCAGAACACTGACCTGTTAGCTGGCTCCCTCCTGCACACCCCAGAGCCTCCTCCCAGGGCAGAAAGGGTGGCCCATCCAGGGAACCAACGAGTACCTCACTTAGTGACCCCAGCATCCAGGCTGGCGTCGCGGGTGCTGGGCGGGAGGGGCTCTGGCCTGGGTCCTCAGCCCTGGCTGGACGCGGGCGTCCCAAGGCCACGTGGCTGGCCACGAAGGTCCCCGTGCCAGACAGCCCCAGCCGCATCCCGGCCTCCTCCGGAGGCACCTTCTCCTGGTACTCGGCCCAGAGCCTGCGCATAAAGCCACTTTGCCACTTTGCAGCCCTCATCTCATGTTCTTTGTAGCGGACCGAGTGGGTTTGCTATAGGCCTCGTCTGACTTTGTCTTGCGTCTTTTCTCTGTGGACTCTTGAGGACGCCTGAGCCCCAGCCCTGCCCCTGACCAGCCTCCCCCTTGGGTCCAGGGGTCTTTCGGCTCATATTGCAGGGCCTGCCAATGCCTTCACGCACCCCTTCCCCAAAGGTGCCCGGCAGGGAGGCAGGGCCTCCCCCACTCAGCGCAGGTCAGGCTAAGGCCAGTCGGCTGGTCACTATGCAATGCTGCCCTGGGGAGGCTCCCTGAGGGCACAGTGGGCGCTGGACCCGGCCCCCCAACTCTCTTGCCTGCTGCCTGTGACCCTGAAGAACAGAATTGATTCTTGCCCCTCTCCCTGTGTGAGCTTGGCCCCGCCTCTTGCCCCAGGCCCCTGCTGGCGGGTCTCACCCCCCACCCCTCGCTTTGAATAAAGCACTTGCGCCCACTGCCTGCTCCTGGGCTCCCGTGCCTTGCTCTGCTCTGTCTCCGGGGAGTGTCTGTGTCCCTTGCCCTCCCCGAGGGGCATTCCTGAGCCGGGTAGCACTCACTCAAGTCAGACTCCAACAGGCCGCAAGGGGCCTGATGGGGACCTGGGGCTCGTTTGACAAAATCTGGGTCCTGATGCCCCTGGTCCCCATTGTCTCGCCCTTCTACCCTTCTCTGTCCTAGACTGAGTTTCCTGGTGGGAAGAGGGGTGGACGCGAACCGGCGAGGCTAGGCTGGGGCTCGTCCCGCCAGGTGCAGTCAGGGTTTCAGCTCACCGGGCGCGGGGCGGCTGGAGGGGCACACAGGCACACACTGGCCGCCAGGTGGAGTCAACAGCTTTATTTCAGAGCAGCCCAAGTGTGTCCGTGGGGCCTGCCTTGCCTTCTGCCTCCCTGCAGCTGAGGTGGCTAGGCTTGACACACGTACACAGGTGCATCAGACGTGTGGACATGCAGACACAGACACACGGAGCATGGGTACATCACCGCGTGTCGGCACGTCCAGCCGCACTCGTGTGCACGCGGGAACCCCCCTCCGCCCCGGGCCTCCTTGAGACCCACCCCAGGCAGTGTAGGTGGTTTGACCAGAGGCGCCGACATGCCCGGTGCCTGCCTCCCCACGGCCGCGTGTGCTGCTTCCTGGGCTGCTGGTCTGGCCCACCCTGGGCCGCTGGGGAGCCTGCTGCTGCCACAGCTGCAAGGACCAGGCCAAGAGATCGCACAGCCCTGGCAGGTCTGGTTCAGGTGTCCAGAGTCTCAAGGGGC